>NC_000008.11:42284345-43484345 GCF_000001405.40 Homo sapiens
GCCGAGACGGGTGGATCACGAGGTCAGGAGATGGAGACCATCGTGGCTAACATGGTGAAACCCCATCTCTACTAAAAATACAAAAAATTAGCCGGGCGTGGTGATGGGTGCCTGTAGTCCCAGCTACTAGGGAGGCTGAGGCAGGAGAATGGCGTGAACCCGGGAGGCGGAGCTTGCAGTGAGCCGAGGTCGTGCCACTGCACTCCAGCCTGGGCAACAAAGCGAGACTCCGTCTCAAAAAAAAAAAAAAAATACCGAGGTGATACTGCTACAACAGGAATTGGCTTTCATTGAATTATGGAAAACTGTGGAACTTAAGCCATAGCAGATATCGTCAGGCAGAGCTGCTGTGGATGAAGCTACCACAGAACTGGGCAAAAATGTGTCTGAGCACTGTGGGGAAGTGAAACCTGAAAGCAAATTCACGTCAGCCTGAGAACAGACCAGGAATCGGGAGGTACAGGGAGGTGTAACATGGTCTGCACATCAATTAAAGAAACGTTATTCTTTTTTTTTTTTTTTTTTTTTTGAGACAGAGTCTCACTCTGTCACCCAGGCTGGAGTGCAGTGGCACGATCTCGGTTCACTGCAACCTCTGACACCAGGGTTCAAGCGATTCTCCTGCCTCAGTCTCCCGAGTAGCTAGGATTACAGGCACCCACCATTGCACCCAGCTAATTTTTTATTTTTAGTAGAGATGGGGTTTCACCATGTTGGCCAGGCTGGTCTCGAACTCCTGACCTCAGGTGATCCACCTGCCTGGGCCTCCCAAAGTGCTGGGATTACAGGCATGAGCCACCGTGGCTGGCCAGAAATGTTATTCTTTTGACACATTCCCTAATTCTTGAAAAGCTTGAGATGGACTTGTGTCCACCATGGTTTGTACCACTGTACTAATCAGTTTAATAGCAACAAGGTGGCCGGGTGCAGGGGCTTAGGCCTGTAATCCCAGTGCTTAGAGAGGCTGAGGTAGGAGGACCACTTGAGGCCAGGAGTTTGAGACCAGCCTGGGCAACATAGTGAGACTCCGTCTCTACAAAAATAAAATAAAAATAAAAAAAATTAGCTGGACACAATGACACATGCTTGTAATCCCAGCTACTTGAAGCTGAGGTGGGAGGATCGCTTGAGCCCAGGAGTTTTAGGCAGCAGTGAGCTATGATCACTCCACTGCACTGCAGCCTGGGCAACAGAGTGAGACCCTGTCTCTAAAAAGAAAAAATAGCAACAGGTTTTACAATTGTTGAGAGAGGTCAGCTCTTGTTCAGAGAGCGCCTCAGAATCTAGGCCAAAGATCAGGGTTCTACTAGACAAAGAGAATGAGAAGGATACTTAGGGCAGAACCTGGATGCCCATGCCTACTGCCGCAGACTGGACTGAGGGGGTCTCCCATAGTCACAGACGTAAGCCTGTGGCTGCACCATGGGTGAGCCTTGGAAACAGTGCTCAGGGAAAGAAGCCTGTCACAAAAGGCCACATGATATATGATTCCATTTATATGAAATGTCCAGGACAGGCTAATCCGTAGAGACAGAAAGAGGTGGGTGGTTGCCTAGGACTAGAGGGGCTCGGGGAGTAGGGAGTGGCTGCTGATGGGTGTGGAGTTTTGTTGTGGGATGGCAGACATGTTCTAAAGTGTGCCGTGGTTTTGGTCTCACAACTCTTGAGTATGCCAGAAACTATTGAACTGTGTAATTTAATTGGATGAATTGTATGGTGCATGAATTATTCTCAATAGAGCTGTTAAAAAAAAGTAGGCATGCAAGGTCACCATCTGATGGAAAGCTTAGCCAAAGTGGTATTGGGCTTTGATGAAAGCAGCTTCTGAGAGTATTTTAGAAGTGTTGACAGTACCTCCTTTCTGGCATGGAGTCTGCTGTTCCATTTCCACCTTTTTTTCTGAAGCTTTTGGTTCTTGGTGTCGGTGTTAAGGATTGGTTTATTGGTCAGTGACTCAGTGGTCTTATTAGACAGCTTCTGGTGTATGTGGAGGTTTCCATTTTTCCTTTTCTTGCTGTGAAGGTCCTTGTTCCTGCAGGGATCCTGGCCAGTTTGGTAACTGTGAGACTGAGGTGGCTTGAGTGCCATGGGAACAGCCACACTGGGAGGCCTTGCCACAGTCCTCTGTGTGTCTTTTTTTGTTTTTGTTTTTGTTTTTGTTTTGAAACAGGGTCTTACTCTGTTGCCCAGATCTCCTGCAACCTCTGCCTCTTGGGCTTAAGCAATCCTCCCACCTCAGCCTCCTGAGTGGCTAAGACTACAGGTGCATGGCACCACACCTGGCTAATTTATGCATTTTTTTGTAGAGATGGGGTTTTGCCACGTTGCCCAGGCTGATCTGTGTGTCTTTTTAAGTCCCATTCAGTACCATGTCTGTTGCTCACTTACAAGATTTATGATTCTTTTCAGTTTGCATCTTCATAAACTGAGAAAACAGAAATTGGCCTAACAGGGCCTCTAGGACATCCTTCAAGTGAGCCACAGTAGAGTCTGGTACAATGCTGAAATCTTCTCCTACTGCTGGGTGCCCTGTGCCACCCTGCAGGTGTGGCTCTTGCCCAGGTGTGTGTGCGGGTAGGGAGTTTCGTGCTGTAGGTACACAGGAGGTGCAGGATGTTGGTGCAGGTCAGCTTGTTTAGCAGTGGCAGGATCGGCTCTCAGGCTGGGGCTCCGGGAGCTGCTGCCTTGGGCAGCTGCTGCCCCGCAGTTGTCTTGGAGACCCCCCCATAGCCAAAAGAGGTGACAGTGGTGCAGTGGTGACTCCCTTGTGGCAGCTGGAGTGCCCGAGGCCAGAGCCGCTTTCCCTGCTGCCCGTGCCACAGCCTCAGGGCCTGCCCGTCTCCAGTGTCCCCACTCATGCACCAGGGAGAAGAGGGGAGGCCGCCAGGAGCCAGTGGCTCAGCTCATGATTCACCAGGTGGAGGAGCCACCGCTGAGGATGCTGCTGGTTACCTCGATAGAGGTTAAAGCCCATGAAGATGGACAAGTCTATAATTTAACAAAGAGAAGAGAAAACAGCCTGTTACTCTGCAGAAAGTAACTCTTTGGCATGTGCACTGAAGGAATTACCTGTTACAGGAGTATAGCAGAGGGTGAGACCCTCTTGAGCTCGGCAGACCGTGGTGCCCATGCACCTGTGCTGGCAAGTGTAGCAGAGCAGGGCCAAGCGCCAGGGTGGGTGGGGCCGTCTGGCTGTAGTGTCGTGGGAAGAGTGGCTGGAAATGCAGATAGGAGCCAATCTCTGTAGGATGTTAAACAGGAGTACTCGGATGACCTGGGTTCCCTGCTCTGCAGGGTTACTAATACCTGCTAGAGGCTTGTTTTCAAGCCCTGAAAGATGGGTGTCAGTATTCCCATTTTACAGAAGAAACTGAGTCAGACCAAGTGGTTTACCCAAGGTCACACAGCTAGTAAATGGCACAGTTGGAATTTGAACCAGCCAGTGTTTCATCTGCTATATTATGCCATATTATGCTTGCGTTCTCTCTGAAAGGACAAAACTCTCACATGAAACAATGAAGACACTCAATGTGGTGTTCACTATTAGGTTGAACCACATGCAGGTGCCATTTTTGTAGGTCAATGTGGTCAATTATCAGCAGTGTCCCATGGGTCAGCCTAATACAGCAGCAGCCGGGGTTCGGACAGGGAAACCTCTCTGCGCAGGAATGGTCAGTAGAGGTTTCATGGCGGAGCTGGGAATGGAGCAGGGCCTTGAAGGCTCTGTAGACTCTGGATGGATAGAAATGAGGTGGGAGAGGCTGGGTGCGGTGGCTCACGTCTGTAATCCCAGCACATTGAGAGTGCGAGGCGGGCAGATCACTTGAGGTCAGGAATTCAAGACTAGCCTCACCAACATGGTGAAACCCCGTCTCTACTAAAAATACAAAAATTTGCCAGGTGTGGTTGCGCATGCCTGTAATCCCAGCTACTCAGGAGGCTGAGGCACAAGAATCACTTGAACACGGGAGGTGGAGTTTGCAGTGAGCTGAGATTGTGCCAGTGCACTTCAGCTTGGGCGACAGAGCAAGACTCCATCTCAAACAAAAAAAAAAAAAGAGAGAGAAAGAAATGAGGCTGGAGAGGTTGGGTGAGAGGTGGAGTGGTAAGGAGACAGCCCAAAGGGCAGGTGCTACGTGGCTGTCGATCAGGGTGTACATGTGACCTTGGAGCACCAGGAGGTGATTGCAGGTAACGCTTGGGGCCTGGAGACCCCTCCCATGCAGCAGACAGGGTGGGATTTGGCCTGCAGCTCGCTCTGCTGGTCCCCACTGTGCTGTTTCTGTAGGAAACAGGTGAGCAGATTGCCATCAAGCAGTGCCGGCAGGAGCTCAGCCCCCGGAACCGAGAGCGGTGGTGCCTGGAGATCCAGATCATGAGAAGGTGAGGGCCTCGCGCATAGGGACCCAAGGGAAAGCTGGAGCAGCAGCCCCCGGTGTGTCTAGAAAGGAGAGTCTTGCTGGGTGCGTGGCTCACGCCTGTAATCCTAGCACTTTGGAAGGCCAAGGCGGGCAGATCACGAGGTCAGGAGACTGAGACCATCCTGGCTAACATGGTGAAACCCCGTCTCTACTAAAAATACAAAAAATTAGCCGGGCATGGGTGGGCGCCTGTAGTCCCAGCTACAGAGAACACCAGGGAAGGGGGAAGGGCATGCTGCACACTCTGCTGGGATTACTCCAATGACAAGGAAACCCCGTCTCTACTAAAAATACAAAAAATTAGCCGGGCATGGTGGCGGGCGCTGTAGTCTCAGCCGCTCGGGTGGCTGAGGCAGGAGAATGGCGTGAACCCAGGAGGCGGAGCTTGCAGTGAGCCGAGATCAAGCCACTGCACTCCAGCCTGGGCAACAGAGCGAGACTCCGTCTAAAAAAAAGAGAAGAGAGTCTTAAATATCTGCCCCTCCATCAGGGCGCCAGCCTGGCAGTCTCCACGGTGACTCTGCTGCTTCTAAAGACACCAGAGGAAGAGCAGCTAAAGTCCACACTGGGCCTTGTCAAGGGCTGTTCATCAATTTCATTGTATTAAATAAGTTAACACAGTTATCACAGTGACTTTTCTTTTGTCAGCAAAAAAAGCCTTCTTTCCTCCTATATTTCCAGTTCCAAGGTGGTATGTGACCGTTCTCTGCTGTCATGCTGTCGCTGACATTTATTCCTCTAGTGTGGAGACGGGGCTGTCCATCTGCCTGGTGGCTGCTGACCCCCTAGCTAGTGAGGCGTGAGGTGGGCTCCGAAAGAGCCAGTGAGGAGGACACCAAGCAGGGGCTCCTCTGCCAGCCTCTTAAAAAGAGGAGGTGCTATTTGGTTATGTCATGGTTCCATTTGGTTACATGAGTTCCTTCTCAGACCCTTCTCTGTGTGTCCACCTTGGGGTGATGTGTGTGCGTGAACCAACCTGCCGAAAATTAAACAGACAAAAGAAAAAAAATATGAAAACAAAAAGAGCAGGCACCACCTTGTTTGCCTGCTTGCGTGTGTGACACATCCTCCCCATGTGGAGGGCATGAGATTGAAAGGTCCTTGTAGGAGCAGTTTGGCAGCACGATGAGGACTTGGGATGTGGCACGCACAAAAAACTGAAGTTACACGCAGTTGTGCCCTCAGGGTCTGAGTTCTGGTGCTGTGAGTGGGGCTGGGTGAGCGCCACTGACCCAGGCATTGCGGTTGGCCACCCGTCCTGGGCTCTGTCTTCCTCTGTTTCAAAGCCCTGGGTTATCCTGGGCCTTTGTTGCTGAGACCTGGTGGGGGTGGTGGGGATGGGTCTGGGCAGGAGCCTGGGTCTGCTCTCATCGGTTTTCCTCCTCCTAGGCTGACCCACCCCAATGTGGTGGCTGCCCGAGATGTCCCTGAGGGGATGCAGAACTTGGCGCCCAATGACCTGCCCCTGCTGGCCATGGAGTACTGCCAAGGAGGAGATCTCCGGAAGGTGAGGCTCCCACGGCTGCCAGGTGCACAGCCTGTCTGGGCAGGTGGGACACCAGGAAGAGGGATGGGGAGACCTTTCACTTCTGTCATCATCAGGAAGCTTGGGGAGCCCCAGTGACTCCAGCAGGGCTGCTTTGCCTCTCAGATCCTCTGTTCCCTGCCCACCTGGGGCTGGTGTGTGTGTGAGTCAGAGGCGCTTCCGAGAACACCAGGGAAGGGGTAAGGGCGTGCTGCACACTCTGCTGGGATTACTCCAATGACAAGGAAAACTCATCACAGGTCTGGGCGTGGGGAAGGACTGGGCAAGTTCCAAAACAAATGCTTCCTCCCTGGGCATGTTAGGGCCACGTTAGGCCTTTGGTGCCAGTGCCACTGCTCTCCTTATTAGGAGGGATTTTATTCTAGAGATGGGACAGCACCACACACGGGGGCAGGGAGCATAGCAGAGAGGGAGCAGGATTCATGATCAGAGAGCCGGGCCAGGGCTGCAGACCCGCCCCAATCCATCCGATCCACCTGACCCACCTGGACTCATCTGTGGGGCTCTATTCTCCACCTTCTCACCACACCACCTCCTCTTCCCTAGAATGTTCACTTCTGGTGGGTGGATGGCAGCCCCTCCTGGTCTCAGGGGCAGTTGGGTGCCCTCCTCCCCATTGTTCCCTATGACAGTACCACACAGCCTGCTAGTACATGTTACCTCATTCGATTTCCAAAAGCTCACACATGGGTGCACAGGTATGGTTCCCACATGATGGGTGGATGTCATGGCCCAGAGAGGTTGGGCCTCACACAGCTGTAGCAGCAGAGCCTGGGTCCCAGCCCACACAGACCCAGCTGCAGGCCACCTCTCCATCTCTGAGGCTGAATAAGGCCATATAACATTATGAAAACTGGAAGCTCTGAACAAAATAATTTTTTTTTTTGAGACAAGAGTCTCGCTGTATTGCCCAGGCTGGAGTGCAGTGGCGTGATCTCGGCTCACTGTAACCTCCATCTCCTGGGTCCACGTGATTCTCCTGCCTCACCCTCCCGAGTAGCTGGGATTATAGGCGCCCGCCCCCACGCCTGGCTAATTTTTGTATTTTTAGTAGAGGCAGGGTTTCGCCACATCAGCCAGGCTGGTCTCCAACTCCTGACTTCAAATGATCACCCACCTCAGGCTCCCAAAGTGCTGGGATTACAGGTGTGAGCCACTGCGCCCAGCCAACAACAATTTTTATTTTAATTGAAAAAGAGGTCGGTTGCTCTGCGAGTGCACCTCTTCACTCCAGAAGGGTCACAATAGTGGGGGCGGGAGCCCAGGCGTTTATTCCTGTTCAGTGGCCATTCCCAGACACACTTCAGGTGCTGTTCTCACTGTTCCTCCAGGCCCTTGTGCCTCTTAAAAAAAAATTTTTTTTTCCACTTTGGAAAGCTGAGACAGGAGAATAGCTTGAGGCCAGGAGTTTGAGACCAGCCTGGGCAACATACCAAGGCCCTGTCTCCTCAAAAAATAAAAAATGAAAAATTAGCCAGATGTGGTGGTGTGCGCTTGTGGTCCCTACTACTTTGGAGGCTGGGGTGGGAGGATGGCTTAAGCCTGGGAGGTTGAGGCTACGGTGAGCTATGATTGTGCCACTGCATGCCAGCCTGGGTGACAGAGCAAGACTCAGTCTCAAGAAAAAAGATAATCCTGTCTCAGAACAAAGAGACAGATAAATAAAATAAAAGAAACTTTCCATGGGGCTTGGCGTGCTGGAGTGGCTCTCCCTGGAGATAGGCATGTCCTGGGAGTGGCACTCACAGCAGGATATGAACACAGCCCTTGGCATCACCCACAATGAGAGATGGGGGAACTCAACAGCACTTCGATTTTCTCCTTATTTTTCTAACCTTTGACAGTCACCCATTACTAACTGCAGCTGTGTAGAGATAAAGCCATGTTGTAGTCAAGTGGAGACTTCTCAGAGGGCAGTCTGGAAGTAGGTGGGATGTGGCCAGATTACAGAGGGCTCTGAAGTGAGGCAGAGGCTTTTAGACTTGGTCTTTTAGGTGGCAAAGAGCCAACGAGCCAGGGAAGAAGAGATCGAAAGTTTAACATGACTGGCCTGGCGTGGGTTGCAGGATGATTGAGGGGGAGGCAGGAAGGGCTCGCATCCTAAGGGACCCCTGTCCTTGCTGTCACCCAGCGGGGTTGGGGGAGGACACTGTTGCCCAGTGTCTTGTTATGTGTTGTTTCCTTTGTTCCCTCTAAAAAGTTCAAATCTATAATACACCCGTGGGCATGGAGAGGCAGGCTTGGCCAGCACATGGGGACATGTAAGAGTCGATGTTAAAAGTCTACATGCTGGGTACGTAAACAGATGAGTGTTTATGAATATGACGTGAATTCCAATGGTGAGGCTCAGATGGGAAGCTCCTCTCTCCGCCCTCCTCGGAGGCCAGCTCCCAGCAGCACACAGAGCCTCTTGACAGTCGAGGGGGCCAGGAAGGCAGGGGATTAAGGGCTTGGGCTTGAGTTTCAGATTGACCTGGCGCCGCATTCCAGCACTGCCCTCTCACAGCTGTGTGAGCTGACAGGTATCCGACCGTGTAACCTCAGTTTCCTCCTCCAACACGGGGATTCCACCCGTACTTACTCAGTGGTGGTGGTTAGTATTAAATGAGGTCACGCAGGGAAGGCTTTGCTGAGCTAATCTGTGCAGAGCTCTTCCGGCCCCTGGCACGTAGTAAGTGCTCAGTAACTGTTCTCTACTGTTACCATCACCCACATG
This sequence comes from Homo sapiens, assembly GCF_000001405.40. NCBI lineage: Eukaryota > Metazoa > Chordata > Mammalia > Primates > Hominidae > Homo > Homo sapiens. The sequence goes on from NC_000008.11 coordinate 42,293,029, forward strand.
GCTAGGAGATGGCAGGGCGGTGGTCGGAGGGTGGTATCCAGTCATGCCCTCCCAGCCTGGCCCGTCTCTAGGACTCTCATGCACAGAGAATTCCTATTTCCTGTGCTTAGACTTCAGCCTGCCTTGCTCAGAACTGCAGCAGCTGGTGAGAATCAAACTTTACTCACCTCAGAGGCCCCTTGCTGTGAGGATGTGAGAGCCCTGGGGTGGTCAGGACTGCTTCCTCTTTCTCCTCCTCCTCCTCCTCCGGCCAATCCCTGCTAGTTCTGCAGCCCTGGCTTCCTCAAAAGCAGGTCCCCTAAAGACCAGGGCCCAGGGTCAGCACTCTGGTCACATGGGCTGGTAAGAGACATGTGTGGATTTCCGGTGGTTTGTGACCACCAGCTCTGATGCTGCTTTTCACTTTCTTGACAGTACCTGAACCAGTTTGAGAACTGCTGTGGTCTGCGGGAAGGTGCCATCCTCACCTTGCTGAGTGACATTGGTAAATCCCAGTCCCGGAATTCAGGCCGTGTCCTTCAGGGAGAGTGTGGTGCCCCTGTGAGTCCCTGCGGAGCCCTGCAGGCAGACACTTCAATCCTTTGGTCTCTGTGGAAGGGGAATGGGAGCCCAGGGACGGGGGACCCTGGTGGAGTAGGGAGGTCAACAAGGAGTCAGCCAGACAGATGCTGAACTCAAATAGGTTTCCCTTCCTTCCTGATTAACTCATCAGGTGAATTATGATGTATAGGGAATAACAGATTTCCTTTCCCATTATAAAGCTCCCCTCCCTCCTTTCCTGGAATGGCCGGCGCTGGAATAAGTTGTCATTCGAATGAGTTTTGTCCCTTGGCAGTGAATTTTTCCGCTCCCACGTAGGCAGTTCTTTGCCAATGAGAGGCGTAGGAAAAACTGTCCTTTTTAATCCCTTGGGTACTGTTGGCTTCCCCAAATGAGGGCATCTGCGGCACCCTCTGAGAAGGCCAAGCTGGCCATTCATGGAGAAGAGTGACCTCAGCCTGCAGAGGTCAGTGGAGCCTCCTAGACCCTGGCGCTCACTCAGGAGGGGTCTGAGGGCTGGGCGCTAAAGGTCAGCACCTGGCCCCAGCCTGGGGAGACAGGGAGAGGGACTTGCTCAGAGCTTTTTGTTTTTTTTAAAAAATAATCTCCAGGGTTGTTGGTGCAAGTTGATAGTTGGGGTCTAAGGTTTAGAGTTATCAGAATTTATCTTTGACTCTTTGCCTCCAGATTTGGAGAATGATGCCATTTTCATCCCTCCACTACCTCAACCTTTCAAAGCTGTATACATTTTTTCTTTTTGTTTGCTCAAGTTTTTTTGGAAAATTGTCAAATATATAGAAAAGTTAAAAGAGTAGTACAGCAAAACTCACATACCGTTCCCCTCGGTTCACCAGATGTTAACATTCTCCCTCATTTGTAAAGCTGTCTTCTCTAAGCCAGGGCCTGGAAGGGTTGATGGTCCAACACTGTCTTGCTAGTGTGGGTCTGGTCTCTTCCTGACTGCTGCTTTTGACAGAGGAGAAGCAAGAAGGAAAGGAAGGGGAAAAGTCAAGCAATGACATATTTAAGGTTAAGATCCAAATAGTCTGACACAGAAAATTCCCATCTTGCTCTGTGCTGTGTCTTCGTCCCTTTGGGTGGAGTTCACATGGAGGATACGTTGACATTACATCAGTTTTATTTGACTCGAATGAGCACCCAGTGCTGGCCCAAGGGATCCCCTGCACATGGCCCGCATGAGTCTCTTCTCTGTCTACCTAGAGCATAATCCATCAGTTAGAAATTCCACTTGTTTTCTTGACACCCTGACCCAAGGCTCACCCATCCATGTTTTGCTTGGAGGCTTACTTGATTGTATTTTTTACCTCAGTGGCCAGATTCTTCATTTGTTCTCTGTTGAATTGGGTTGAAGGCAGGTTAGCAGGTTGGGGAGTATTCTCTTGCTTTTCTTGGGTGATTTTTATTTTGTTTCTCTTTGGTTAAAGCTTTGTCAAGTTATTATTTTTTTTTTGGATGTTTTTCTCTCAGATATTTTTCTTTCACTCCTTAGGCTGTTGATGACTTTAGCAAGTAGTTATTACGAAAGTCTTTTTTTTTTTTTTTTTTTTGAGATGATGGCTTACTCTGTTGCCCAGGCTGGTGTTGCAGTAGGCGACCTCAGCTCACTGCAACCTCTGCCTCCTGGGTCCAAGCGATTCTCCTCCATGAGCCTCCTGAGTAGCTGGGATTACAGGAGCACACCACCACACCTGGCTAATTGTTGTATTTTTAGTAGAGACAGGGTTTCATCATGTTGGCCAGGATGGTCTCGAACTCTTGACCTCAAGTGATCTGCCCATCTCAGCTTCCCAAAGTGCCGAGATTACAGGCATGAGCCACAGCACCTGGCCAAAAGTCTTTAAATTATTGGCACAAGTGCCGGGCGCAGTGGCTCACGCCTGCAATCCCAGCACTTTGGGGGGCTGATGCGGGTGGATCACAAGGTCAGGAGTTCAAGACCAGCCTGACCGAGATGCTGAAACCCCATCTCTACCAAAAACACAAAAATTAGCTGGGCATGGTGACGGGCGCCTGTAATCCCAGCTACTCGGGAGGCTGAGGCAGAAAACTGCTTGAACCCAGGAGGCGGAGAGGTTGCAGTAAGCCGAGATTGCACCATTGCACTCCCGCCTGGTGACAGAGTGAGACTCCATCTTGAAAAAAAAAAAAATTATTGGCACAAGTGCACATAACTCTCAGCTTCCTCATATGGTTGTTTATTCTGCAGGTGTTTTGCTGCTGATATTCACAGAACCTCTCTGGTTACGTATTCTTTTGGTCTGGGTCCACTTTGAATTCAGTTACTATTGACTTGTGTGGTAGCTTTTATATTATTTTATTCAAATTGTGTGCATGTATGTATTTAAGTTACACATAAATTAGAATAATGAAAACAGGTGCTTCTTCTTAAGTGCTTGTGTGCTATAGGTCTCCTATAGATAGATAGGTAGGTGAATATTAAATTCTGTAGGTTGCTGATTCTCTGTCTGTCTTCTCTGTGACCCTGAGTTGGAAATAATTTGACTTTGAAGTACTAACTAGTACACTACAGTTAAACTTCTTGAGGGCACAAACTTCAGTCACTGCTTATCTTCAGCATCTAGAATAGCAGTATATAATCTTCTCTATAAATATTTGTCAAATGAGAGCTGGATGCGGTGGCTCACGCCTGTAATCCCAGCACTTTGGGAGGCGGAAGCGGACGGATCACCTGAGGTCAGGAGTTTGAGACTAGCCTGACTAACATGGAGAAACCCCATCTGTACTAAAAATACTAAATTAGGCCAGACGCGGTGGCTCACGCCTATAATCCCAGCACTTTGGGAGGCCGAGGTGGGCAGATCACGAGGTCCGGAGTTCGAGGCCAGCCTGGCCAACATGGTGAAACCCCGTCTCTACTAAACGTACAAAAAACCCAAAAAACTAAAAACTAAATTAGCCAGGTGTGGGGCATGCCTGTAATCCCAGCTACTCGGGGGGCTGAGGCAGGAGAATCACTTGAACCCAGGAGGCAGAGGTTGCAGTGAGCCAAGATCGCACCATTGCACTCCAGCCTGGGCAACAAGAGTGAAACTCCATCTCAAAAAAAAAAAAAAATTGTCAAATGAATCAAATAAATCCTAAAGGAAATTAAAATAAGTAAGGACCTAGTTTTTTTTTAAAATCAAATGTCCACACATCATGAACAGCTCCAGGTCCAATACTGGCTCCTTTGCTTATTAGCAGTGTGACCGTGGGCACGTTACTTACACCCTTTTATTAGCGGTAAAATGGGAGCGTTACTCACCTTGTTAGAATTATGGAATAAAATGAGGTGATATAAATAAAGCTCCTAGCACAATGCTCTGTTCCTGCAGAATGTGCAGTCAGCAAGTGTTAGTTCCTTGCTCATTTCCTTCCCGCTCTGGATTTTGATTTTTGGCCTCTCCTTTTGGAAACCTTCAGTGCCTTCTTTAGGGCATGACCTGAGGCTGGATCCAGGGAACCACACGGGTGGGTGCCTTCTGAGACTCCCATCCTGGAAGAGGCCAGCCTTCCTCAGACCTGTTCACATCTCCGCCACCTTTTGGGTGCAGTGCAGCCCCGGTTTTGTTTTTGAGGCTGCTGATGAGCTCGTATTTTACTTTTATCCCTGTTTCTGATTTGTATTCTAAATCCATTAAATTTCTTTTTGCAAGGATCTGGTGACTGAGCCGGAGTTCATCTAACATAGCTCTTTTGTATTTTGGAACATTTCCTGAGCATATTTTGTTCCAGTTTGTTCCAAGTGCTGGCCTCACATTTCCTTTGTTGGAGTTGCCACTGCTGTTCTCTGCCAGGTTGACTTCAGATAAGTGGCAGAGCCACACCCTTGACCGCTGGGTCCGGATTCATTGCCTTTTCTTCTGGATTAAACTGTTGGCCCCTACTCTCTTCTGTGCCGCTAACCTCCCAGAGACACCCGCTCAGAACAGTGTCAAGATAACAGACATGGATAGGATTTTTCCACTGAATTTCAAATTGCCCAAGAAGAGGCTGCAGAGTGCCTGTGAGAAATGAGCAGATGGCCAGGCGCGGTGGCTCATGCCTAGAATCTCAGCACTGTGGGAGGCTGAGGCAGATGGATCACCTGAGGTCAAAAGTTTGAGACCAGCCTGGCCAACATGGTGAAACCCCATCTCTACTAAAAATACAAAAATTATCTGGGCGTGGTGGCGTGTGCCTGTAGTCCCAGCTACTCAGGAGACTGAGGCAGGAGAATCACTTGAACCCGGGAGGCAGAGGTTGCAGTGAGCCGAGATCGCGCCATTGCACTCCAGCCTGGCAACAAGAGCGAGACTCTGTCTCAAAAAAAAAAGAAAAAAGAATGAGCAGCTGCCTGGCGGGCACAGAGGTGAGCCCCCTGCATCCTGGCCAGGACTCTTCTGCCAGACCATCACTCCATGCTGATAGGAGACCTGGGACCCATGTGGAGCAGCTGGAAATGATATGGACTGCCACGTAATGTGACCCTAAAATAGCTCAAGGAAGTTATATGTGAGTGGACTCTATTTAAACAGTCTTGCTCATTATCCTTTGGAAAACATTGGCATGTGTTTTCTTTTGTCAAGGGAGGCTCAAAATTCTGGGCACTCAAGATTGCAGGGCAGGCTGTGGTGCTCTCTCCTGCCTGATGGGGTGTGGCTCTGCTGGGCGGGCCTGGGTCTTATCAGATCTTAGATTGGAATCAGCCTTTCCTGGATTCTGCAGGTGGCCAGTCTGCTGTGGTGACACCATCCTGTGCTCCAGGCCTTTCGGGAACCCACCCCTCTGTTGCTGTCCCTGCTTCCTTCTCGAGCTGCTCCTAGCAGGCATCCAGGACTTCAGCGTTAAAGAACAGAGGGTTTCAGAGAAAACATTTGGCTTTGGGGAAGAGAGCTCCATTCCAGGAACTGCACATCAGGTGCACTGTCTAGCATTGTGGATCTTCTGACTGGTTCCATTGCATGCATCCATCTGACTGAAGTGTGGATTATAGCAAAAGATCATTTGCACATAAAGCTTTTTGGAAAGCATAAGTAACCAGGTTAATAAATACAGTAACAATGAGAGAGAAGACAGCAGGCCCTCAGTCATGGCTCCACCATTTTATAGCTCTAGAGCCTTGGGCGAGGCATGGAATGTCATGGCCGCAGCGTCCCCTTCTTTAGGATGAGGGGTTTGGACCTCCGAGTGCTCTCTAGGGCCCCGTCTCCCTCTAACAACTCCATTTCACTGTCCAGAAATCTGGTTTTCAGGATGGTGGCCCCGGGACATCTCTGACATCCGCCAGCTGGTGGCCTAACTGCTTCCCACAGGCTCTGTGTCTCATCTCCACTGCCTGCCCCTGCATTCGCCTGTCCGTCCTTCCCTCCCTGCCCCTGCGCTGGCTGCCCGCTGCTCCTCGACGTTCTGTTTCCCTGGCCGTTCTTGTGGCCTGTTTCTCACCATATTGTTCCCAGAATCTGGAATTCAACCCTGAACTCATCCTAAAGTCATATCCATGTCTGCCAGGTCTTTCTTCCAAAGTCAATTCCAGTAGAAGCTCTGGTTGTCTTCTTCAGCCAGGTCCCTCCTGCCATCCCCTTTCTTGTGTCATGGTGCCACTTTCTGCCCGCTGCCCAGGACCAAGTGTCCGTGTCGAACCTGGTCTCACAGAGTCAGCCCCCGCTCCTGCTCATAGCCTTGCATTACGGAGGCTGCAGACCGCTGCTTCTGCTGATTCAATGTCAGAGCAAATCCCTGCAGCGACCTCCTCCCTGGCCTCCTTAACCCTGTGTGCTAACCTACCCTTCTGTCTTGGAAGGGCACTTCCATCACAGTCCACTCTTAGATAAAGGCCCAGCCCCTTCGCCGTACCTTTCTCCCACTCAGCCCTGGGCATGACCCACAGGACCCACCCGCCAACCTCTGTGTGTGACCCTTGGAACCCACCCGCCAGCCTCCAGGCGTGACCCTCAGAACCCACCCGCCAATCTCTGTGTATGACCCACAGAACCCACCTGCCAGCCTCTGTGTGTGACCCGCAGAACCCACCTGCCAGCTTCTGGGCATGATCCTCGGAACCCACCTGCCAACCTCTGCACGTGACCCACAGAACCTACCCGCCAGCCTCCGTGCGTGATTCCAAACCCACCTGTCCCTTGCTGGCCTTGCACGCGTTGCCCCTTGTGGAAGCTGTTCTTGCACCTCCCAGAGACCCTGAGCCTGCCCGTCCTTTGGGCACAGCTGCAGACCTGCCCCTCTGTGGGGATTGCCTGGCCTGGGGTCACGGGGATTTTCCTGTGGGTCTTTCTGCTGATGTCACCTCATTTGCTCCTTTGACGCTTGGCATTGCCATTACTGCTCTGTGATTTCTGTCTGTGCCTTGGCAGTGAGGGCTGACTTCCGGGTTTGGGGCCAGTTGACCAGACTGTGCAGGAAGTTAGGAAAAGGCTTTGATTCAGTGGCATGTTTCCCATTGTGTGCAGATAGTGGACACTCAATAGAGCCTCGCTGAGTGAATTAGTGAAGTTGTCGCACTTTCGCCTTGGCACCCAACGTTACTGCCTTGCTGCCTCACTGATTAATTGAAGGCTATTTTAGCCAAGTAACCTTTAGCCAGACTCAGTCTCTCTCCCCATGTCCACAGCTGGCCTTCAAGTCTGTTTTTTTTGGGAAGCCCAGTGACATTGAAGTGGCTGGCACAGTAGGACCCAGGCAGTAGGTTTTACTGAGGGAACGGACATCCTGTTGCCTTTCTCACTCAGTGATGACTTGGATTACCAGCCAGTTGACAACCAACCATCTTTGTACCCTTCTAACCTCTATCTCAGCCTTTTGGACCATTTCTCTTTCCACCTGTTCTCTATGGAATGTAGCTCAAACAAAAATGTTCTGAAGGGAACTTAGTCATCCCTCTAAACTTGTGATAGATAGAGATTCATGGACCCACCCTTATAAAACTGCTTTCTTCTCGGAAGTCTTGCTGCTCTTATCTGTTCCCCAGTTTGTGGTTTGTCATCTGAAAAAAATACATAGGGCTGTGGGGCTGTGATTCGGAGCTGTGATTCATCAATAAGACCCACAGGATTGTCAGCGTTCTTCAGTTATGTGTTTGTGCCTTCCTCATGAGCCAGGGAAAGGCTGGGGTTACCACCGGGGCACGGCTTCTGAGGAGGGTGAGAGAAGGAGGCTGTTATCTTCCTATGGCAAGTCTGCCATGTGGACCCATTCTGTGGAAATGTACTGTGTCATTTATCTTAGTTTTTGTGTTTTTCCTGCATACACTGCACTGTGTCGTTTATTTTAGTTTTTGCATTTTTCTAGAGGCAGGGTCTTGCTCTGTTGTCCGGGCTAGAGTGCAGTGGCACGATCATGTTTCACCGCAGCCTTGAATTCCTGGGCTCAAGTGATCCTCTCACCTCAGTCTCCCACGTAGCTGGGATGAAGGCATGCGCCACCATGCCTGGCTAATTAAAATTTTTTTTTTTGTAGAGACAGGGTCTTGCTATATTGCCCAGGCTGGTCTCAAACTCTTGGCCTCAAGGGATCCTCCTCCCTCGGCCTCCGAAAGTGCTGGGATTACAGGTGTGAGCCACCATGCCTGGCCTCACTGTGTAGTTGTGAATAGCTTAATAGTTTGCAATGTGGTGCTTCTCACAGCTCTTCTCTGTAATGGGAACATGAAAAATTACCTGGTACAGTTTTATGCTTTGTGGTGTGGCTTTTAATTTTTATAAACATGTCTTACTGCTATTGCCAGGGATTTAGATTTTTAATAAACTTCCAGATTCAACAGTATTTTTCTTCATCTCAATGTCTCATTTTTCATCAAATTTAAACAAAGTTAGATTCTCTGGGCTTGAAACAATTTTGATTCATTTCACTTTAGCTCTGAAGTACTGTTTTGTAAAATGTAGCACAGTGATACTGAACCAAGCTTTTTGAAAGCTTATTCTCTGCAGGGTACATTTAAGAGGACTTGCCTATCAGAATTTTTACATTTCAGTCCCAGAAACTATGTGTAACAATACCTGTTGGATTCTTTAAATCTGGACTTTATTAAGTTGACAGAGGTATTGAAGAATAGATGACCACCCCGAAATGAGGAATAAAGTTTGTTTTGTACAGTTGTTTAAGCATAAAAATAGACAGATATTAATAGTAGTCAGAGTATTCAGTTACCAACCTCTTGTCCCTCCTCACTGAAGATCTGGTGACAACTCTAATCCACGTGGCGTAGAGAGCGGTGCCTTTGGTCTAATCCGAATGCTCCTCCTCTTCACTGGGGGGTTCTGGGGACATCTCACCTGGTTGTGCCCTGGGTTTTGCCCTGAGATGTTAGCCTCCAGCTCTGGGGGCCTTGTCTCAGTCTGGGCATGTGTACTTGCTCAAATTACAGTATCTCAACTTCCATATATTCTGCTTTGGAAAAAACTAACCTACACTTTTATGTATTACATCCTGATACTCTCCAGCAGTCTGTCATATACCAAAACAGGTCTTTTGTGAACCTATCAGTTAACAGACACTTTGAGTTATTGCATGGCCTTGCTCTCTGCCAGCCAGTAGTTCATATTCAACAGCAGTGCCATCCCTGTCTGCAAGGCTGTGTTAGTGCAGCTATTTTTTATACTTCATTTAATTTATTATGCTTTTTCATTTGCTTTGATTTTTAATAAAAGTAAAACAAAAATAAAAGTGCTGATGAGAAGCATTGGTCTTGAAACATTAACACAATTGAGAACAAGATGAAATATAATTTTTTAGGCACATGGAAAGCAGCGAGTCTTTCACCTCATCTGGACATTAATTGGACCTAAGCTGATCTACTCTGTCACTTAGGAAGGAAATGAAAAGTAAGGAACAGTATGATATGTTGGAACCACATGGTCGAAGGCTGGACTTAAAAGAGCAGATGCAAGGAGAGATCTGGCACCACAGATAGAGCATCCCTAATCCCAAAGTCCAAAATCTAAAGGGCTGTAAAATCTGAAGGTTTTTGTACACTGACATGATGCCAGAAGTGGAAAATTCCACACTTAAGTACTTAACACATTGTTCCATGCACAAAATTATTAAGACTATTGTATAAAATTACCATCAGACTATAAAATCATTTATAAAAATTCAGTTGTTTCATATAAGGTATATATGAAACAAATGAATTTTGTGTTTAAGCTTGGGTTCATTAGGAATATGCCAGTATTCCAAAATCCAAAAAAAAAAAAACTGATCCCAAGCATTTTGGATAAGAGATACTCATCATGTATAGCTTAATGTTCTGAGCTGGAACTCCTTTAATAAGGTGGAAGTCAGTTGTTCAGCTCTCAGTTTGACTCTTAAATATGTTTTCAGCAAATGTTCAGCTTAGAGTCTTTGCAGAGAATGTTTGCTTACTCAGTTTCTGTGGAAGGCTTTTCCGTTACCCTGCACAGAGGGCCGTACCCATGACAGCAGATAGGATCGCTGCCTGGGCCTCAGGGGTCTTCCCCTCCCCGGCTTGCCGAGAGGGAGAGAGAGAGAGAGAGAGAGAGAGAGAGAATGAGAGAGAGAGAGAGAGAGAGAGAGAATGAGAGAGAGAGAGAGAGGAGAGAGAATGAGAGAGAGAATGAGAGAGAAACAGAGAGAATGAGAATGGTGGTGGCGGCGACGGCATACAGAGGGTTCATTGTTAAACCTCTGAATGTTACTGCTTTTGACTTTTTAAGTTTTAAACAAGAAACAGGTCATACCATTAACTATCCCTCTGAGTCAGAAAATATAGACCCAAGAGTTGCCTGTTCTAATGTGGCACTACCATAATTTGTTCTAACATTTCCTAATGACTGTCTGTTTCTAATTATTTCATTCAAGATATGCAGTAAGTATCCTTGGGCTACCAGTGAAGTGATACCATTTGTATCTCTTCTTCTGTGCTTTCTCACCACTTGACATTCTTTGCCCATTTTTCTTTTTCTTTTTCTTTTTTTTTTTAGGTAGAGTCTTACTCTGTCACCCAGGTTGGAGTGCAGTGGCCATGATCTCGGCTCACTGCAACCTCTGCCTCCTGGGTTCAAGCAATTCTCCTGCCTCAGCCTCCCGAGTAGCTGGGATTACAGGGGCATGCCACCACACCCAGCTAATTTTTTTGTATTTTTAGTAGATACAGGGTCTCACCATGTTGGCCAAGCTGGTCTTGAACTCCTGACCTCAGGTGATTCGCCCACGTTGGCCTCCCAAAGTGTTGGGATTACAGGCGTGAGCCACCGCGCCCAGCCCCATTTTTCTTCTGCATTGCTTTCTTATTGATTTATAAGAGCTTTTTATCTATTAGGTATCTTTACTCTTTGGTGTATGTGTTGTAGATATTGTTTCCCCACCTCTCTTATCTTTTGGCTTTGTTTATAGTATCTTTTGCCATAAACTTTGAAAACCTTTTAATGTTATTTGCACTGTTCTATTTATACCATGTGACTTTCCTGCATACACTGCTCTTTTTGCTACATGTATCCCATGGTGTTTTGGAGTTTTTGTTGCTAATGTGAATGGGATTTTTTTTCCTTTCCACTGCAACTGGATATAGCTAACATAGAGAAAAGCTATTGACTTGTGTATTCTTGTTCGTTTCCAGACAACTGGCTAAATTTTATCCAGTGTTTAGTCTGTTGAGCTCTCTAGGCTACATCTCCAAATCTATCTCCATCTCTAGTCATAGCATCTCCAAATAAAAATAATTTTATCTCATTTCAGTACTATTTATTTCATTTCTTTCTTTTATAGTGCAGTGAACTAGATGTCTGTCAAAGTTATTCACCCTCTCTTGAGGGTAAAATCATGTCCTTCTTGCCATCTGAGCTGCAGGCGGGTGCCTCCTCATGTGACATCATCACGTTGCCTCCTCACAGCAGAAGCTCTTGGTATCAAATGCTTCCGTAGCCAGTGTTGTGCAGTCTGCTTTCTTCCAACTAGATTCTGAGCTCTTTAAAGTTGGGGATCATGCCCCTTATTTTATGTCCCTCACAGAACCTCCCAGAGAACTGGGCATGTAGTAAGTCTGTGTAGGGCTGTCTGTATGTGTGGGAGGTGTCCCTGTTCTCCTCTTCTGCCTCCCCGCTGCTTCCTGGAAGCCAGTTCTGACCTCTTGGGACTGTCGATCATATGACCATAGGACTCTGTCCCCAAGGGCCCTTCCTCCTTGCCCACCCTATAGAATTTAGATTTTTGAGCCTCTAGACCAAAGAAACTTCCCTTCTCAAAACTTTATTGGCGTCAGCATCACCTGGAGAGTTTGTTAACACAGATCGTGGGGTCATCCCCAGAGACTTGAATCCAGAGGTCTCAGGTGGAGCCCGAGAATTTCACATTTTGAACAAGCTTGTTTGCTGCTGGTCCAGGTAGTATAGTTTGAGAAGCACTGCTCTAGGCTGCAGTTGGTGACCTCATGGATGCAAGGCAAAGAGTGCTTTGCGCAAGTAAGCCAGATTCCTGTGGAAGTTTAAGCCTCACGTAGCAGGGCCCCTGCCCTCCACCCTGAGGTATTGCGCTACAAGTCAGAGTATGTTTCAGGGGCATGCGGCATTTATCTTTTGCAGGATAGGAGATTCTGTCATGAAAAGCATTTTTTAGGCCTAAGAAAAACTCACCCCCCTCTTCCTCAGCCTCTGCGCTTAGATACCTTCATGAAAACAGAATCATCCATCGGGATCTAAAGCCAGAAAACATCGTCCTGCAGCAAGGAGAACAGAGGGTAAGTGACCTCCTGGGACTGGGAAAGCCTCAGGTGGGCGTGCCGGGAAGTGGCCTGGGAGGAAAGGAGCACACTCTGCATATTTGTGTGTATTTGCATTTCCTTGCCTGTGCTTTGATTCTCTGGGAATGCTGTTTGATTTGAAACAAAATTGAGCAAAAAAGTTGTTGCAGATTGAGGCAAGTTTAAATGGATTACATTGTTAGTTGCTCAAGTTGCAGGAATCTGATAAGGAAAATAATGTTTGCCTTCCTACCTCCACCCCTAGCCTCTGGGACTAGCGCTTCTTGGAAGTCGACTTTTTGTTTTCCATTTGCTTTAAGAGCCTCGCCTCTCGACTCTAAATGGAAACCAGTGGTCAGTTGGTTGTGGATGTGGCTGGGAAGAGGCACTGGGAGCTGGCCTCTGCTGCCAAGCCTGGTCCAGCCTATAGTTTCCCCAGAGCTCTTTGTGGCCTCCTCAGTGGCCACCCGGCTCAGACGTGGTGTTGACTGCCCCACAAGCTTGACATTGTGGTCTTTACCCACCCACTCTATGTGTTCAGCTGGGGTGGTGAGCACAGGCTCAGCTGAGTGGAATACAGTGAATGAGTTCTTAGATCACCTAATCCCTTCCCATACAGCTGCCCTTAGCACCTAGGCCTGGCCTGTGACTACCACAGGGCTCGCCCTTGTTCCAGTTCACCCTCACTCCTGTCAGTGGTGCTCAGATTTGAGAACTGAGGGCATTTACTGAGAAGAGGCTGGCCCGGTCCTTCCTGTTTCAAGTCTGGGTTTAGCTGTCTTGAGGGCTGGTGCCTGTTCTGTTCATTCAGCTTCCCTCTGATGATGCGTGGCAGAGTGTGGGAGGACACGTGCCTAGCATTTTTACAATATGCCTTTTCTTTTAGCCCTGAATCTACCGTGTCGAGGGCATTCTTTTGTGTATCTGGTGGCTCTTAGGAGTTTGGGATCTAATAGTACCTGGGAATTCAGAAATACCTCTGCTCTAACACCAGGCAGTCAGAATCCTCGTAGAAGGACATTGTGTTCTTATAACCCTCAGCTTTCTCCTTCCTTTTGTTTTAGTTAATACACAAAATTATTGACCTAGGATATGCCAAGGAGCTGGATCAGGGCAGTCTTTGCACATCATTCGTGGGGACCCTGCAGTACCTGGTAAGAAGTGGGCCTTGCCTGTTTGCCTGTCAGCTCCTCCCTGCTGCTGCATTTGTGGGGCTCCTGTCCTGCCTTGCTCCCAGCACCTGAGTCCCACCGGCTCTCTGAATGTTTTGGAGATGCATGAGGTCACACCCATAACCTGGTCGAGTCAGCATTTTTTGCCACCAGATGCCCTGTGGAGGGATGTGGTCGTCTTCTCTGATGTCCGGAGGGCTCTGCTCATGCGCCTTGCACCATCCCCTAGCCTCTCTGTGCTTCAGTGTCTTCTCTGAAAGGAAAGGGTTTTAAACAGATCCATGCTGGTCTTGAGCGGTCCTCCCACCTCAGCCTCCTGAGCAGCTAGGACTACAGGCAGGAGCCACTGAGCCTGGCCGAGGCCACACTTTCCATGAGGTATTTCAGGGGCCACTGAGTAGGGGTCAGAGCTCTGAGCTCCCCACCCTTTGTTTACGTTATTTGGTCTGAATATTAGGTTTCTGTTTGAGTCACTCATTCATTCAAGCATATTGATGGAGTGTAGTCTGTGTCAGGCACTGTGCTCAGGGCTGGTGATGCAGTGGGGAAAAAAGACAAGCCCTTTTCGGCCTTCAGAGCTTAGGGTTTAGCAGGAAAGCAAGCATTACTGTGATGCTTACACAGATAACTAAGAAATTACAGTTGTGGTGAGTGTTACAAAGCAAGAGTGCAGGGTGTTGCAAGAATATATATTGGGTGGCCTCAGCCTGGTCTGGGACTTGAAGGGTAAGGAGGTGAAAAGGGCTGGAGGTGGGGGACGGCAGGGGGAATTCCGTGCAAAGGGATCACACACAGGAAGACCTGCAGGTGTGGCTGGAACCGAGCACAAAAGGGAAAGAGAGTCTTGAGTTGAAGCTGAGAACAAGGTAGAGCACAGATTATGAAGGGCCTTCAGGGCTGGGCTAAAGTTCTAGACTTTATCTTAAAACCTCTGCAGAGATTGATGGGTTTTAAGTGGGAGAAGGAGCAACTCTTTGGAAAGCCCACTCCTGACACTGTGTGGAGAAGGAATCACACTGAACAGGAGGGAAGAGTGGGTGAGGTAGGGGCAGTGAAGATGTAGAGGGCAATTAGATTCCAGGAGGGCTTAGCACAAATGCCCAGCAAGACTTGTCATAGGTTGCTTGATGATGGCAGTAGCCACCACAATTGGGAGTGACTCAAGGAGTCTGCGGCTTTCAGAGTGGGTCTCACAGAGGGCTGTGATTCAGGCGCCTGTGTCCATATGGCATGTGATTTGGTAGATCCTTCTGGAGTCCTCCTCAGCTCAGCAGCAGTCGAGCAAGGGGGACCCCATGCTCTAACCAGGAGCTGAGTCAAGTCATGTACTCACATGAGCTAAAACGTCTGCCCATAACCAGACATAGAGGTTGACCTACCCATCCCGGAATGTCTTCTCTTGGTTTGGTCTCCCGGGCCCTTCCTTAAGCTTCACATTTCCAACCAGACCATGCACCACCCTGTCTCTGTGCTTTTGCTTGCCCCAGTCATTTCTGTCTCCACCCACCTGCTAAGCCCAGTCTGCACCCCCAGCACCCCGTGCTGCCGCCCCTTCTTCGGTCACCCCAGCGCTCTCTGCCTCAGCAGCAGCCATGCATCACACTTTCCCTGCCTGTTTCTAAATATCCTGGCCCTTTCTGCAACCACATGGTACCTGGTTCAGGGGTTCAACCAGCACTTAATGCGTGTATTTGGTGTGGACAGCCTGGCATCATTTTCCTTTAACATTTGTAGCCTCTCTTCCCATTTCTACACAGTGCCCACGACTGTGTCCTGCCTTAAGCTAGTTTTCAATAAGCGCCTGAAATGCTGCAACCCTTTTTTTTTTTTTCCTTTTTTTTCTTTCTTTCTTTCTTTTTTTTTTTTAGACAGAGTCTCACTCTGTTGCCCAGGCTGGAGTGCAGTGGCATGATCTTGGCTCACTGCAACCTCCACTTCCCAGGTTCAAGCGATTCTTGTGCCTCAGCCTCCTGAATAGCTGGGACTAAAGGTGCACACCACCATGCCCAGCTAATTTTTGTATTTTTAGTAGAGACGGGGTTTCACCATGTTGGCCAGGCTGGTCTCAAACTCCTGACCTCAAGTAATGCGCCTACCTCGGCCTCCCAAAGTGCTGGGATTACACGTGTGAGCCACTGCGTCCAGCCTGCAACCCTCAGTTTTAAAGGAGAGAAGTTAAAGCCTAGCGATGGGTGTGTGATGTACTCTGGCCCTGAATCTTTAGCCCCTCCATCAGTACCTACTGGAGTGAGTGGGACATAGAAAGGTCTTAGAAATGGTAGCATGATATACCCGCTAAACATGCCTGGGGTGCCCTCCTCGCCCTGCATGCATGTGCCAGTGCCCTCTAGGATGAAGCCAGGGGTGAAAGCAGATGGGCTGGCCGCCCCCTCCTGCCGTGGTCCCCCCAGAGAGGAGCAGCTCAGGTGTACCCCCTCCTGTTGCTGCAGGCCCCAGAGCTACTGGAGCAGCAGAAGTACACAGTGACCGTCGACTACTGGAGCTTCGGCACCCTGGCCTTTGAGTGCATCACGGGCTTCCGGCCCTTCCTCCCCAACTGGCAGCCCGTGCAGTGGTGAGTGGGCCCGGGGCACCTGGATGGAGGAGGGAGCCTGTCTGTTCCTTTCTCTTCACGTACCCTGTTTCCCTGGCGCCCCATCACCGGGCCTGGGAGATCTGTGTTGTTTCTCTTCCGAGAGGAAGGCCTGTCAGGACCTAGCACGAGTAGGGGAGTGGTCTGTGCTCCAAGGACCTGTTAATAGATAGAGTAGCTGTTAAGTCTTCATGTGGATTCTGAGCCTTCACATCTTTAAATACAATGCTGTGTCAGTGTCATCTGCTCTGTGTTCAGAAGTAAGACTATTGTATGAATATACGCACTTACACTGAGAATGCTGTGTGTTAGTAAACAAATAAAACACGTGTACACATGACAAGTCAGGAGGAAATATGTGAAAATTTGTTGTTGACAAATGTTACTACAACCTGAATATAAATTTTTGTTTTTAAAGCGTAAGAATGTGGCCGGGTACAGTGGCTCACTCCTGTAATCCCAGCACTTTGGGAGGCCGAGGCAGGTGGATCAGTTGAGGCCAGCAGTTCCAGACCAGCCTGGCCAACATGGCAAAACCCTGTCTCTACTAAAAACCCTAGCCAGGTGTGGTGGCGGGCGCCTGTAATCCCAGCTACTCGGAAGGCTGAGGTGGGAGAATTGCTTAAACCCAGGAGGCAGAGGTCGCATCACTGCAATCCAGCCTGGGCGACAGAGTGAGACTCTGTCTCAAAACAAAAAAAGTTTAAAAAAAAAAAAAACAACAGCTGAGCATAAAGCATAAGAATGTAGCTGAAATTGTGAACCTAATAAATTACACAAAAATTTTTCCAGTAAAAATTAAAGGATATGATGAAGATTTGTAGAATTACCCTGTATTCTTTAGCTTTTGTTTTACTGATTAAAGAAATAATGCATTGTGCAGGATATGTTTATATAAAAGTTAATTATCACCACCAAAAATGGTATGTGAGGTAATGTATATGGTAATTAGCTCAATGTAGCCATCCCACAATGTGTACATCATGTTGTACAGGATAAATATAGACCATTTTTATTTGTCAGTTTAAATCAAGAACTGGGGGCAGAAAAGAAATAAAAGTTAATTATTACTGAAAGCCATAATTTAAAAATGAATATTCCCCCAAATCAGTTAGATTTCATTTAGGATTGTTCCTTGAGAGGCCACACACTAGTTTAAATGATGCTACTCTGCTCAAAATTTACTTACTTCAAGTTTTATTTTTTTTGGAACCGTAATAAGTTCATGTGGCTCAAATTTCCAGAAGAATAAGGGAGTATGCAGTGAAGTCATACCAGCCTCCCAGGCCCTCATTTACCTCCCCACAGGCACCTGCTGTCTTCCAAGAATGTTTTCATATCTTCCAAGGTGTTCGTATCTTCCAGGGGTGTTTGCTACGTGTTCCAGTAAATTGGCATATATTTGTTTATTTGTACATTGATGTTTCCCCTCTTTTTTATCCCAATGGTAGCATTATCTGAACACGGTCCTGCACATGCTTTCAAGCTTTTCACACCATGAGAATTTCTTTTTGAGCCAATTTATCTGCAACACAAAAAATTATTATTTTGAACTTAAATAGTACTGCATAGTTTAATTACCCCCTCATTTTTGCCAGATTAACTTTGTTTCATTTTTGTGTTTTGGAAAATATGGAAACAGTAAAAAAGCAGGAATCAACTGTCATCCCATAATTGGAAAACAATCACTATGAACAGTTGTGTGTCTCCAGGCTCTTCAGCGTTATATTTTTGTACTTTTTAAACAAAAATAGGTTACTATAATCTTCATACAACGTGCCTTTCAAACTAGATATCAAAAATGCTGTATGTTTTTCCTTATTATTTGTAATGTCTGTTATTTCACTGAATGGCTGTGCTGTGGTTCATTTAACTTATCCCCCGTGGTTGGAAGGACGTTGATAATTTTTACTTCTTAAAATAACACCAAGAATAACATCCTTGTAGGGAAATTCTTGCACACAGTTGTTTCCCTAGGATAATACCTAGAAAGGGAAATAACAGATTAAAGAGTTTGCACGTTGTAAAGGTTTTTGATGCATATTAGTTAGCAAACTGCTCACCAGGAAGGTCATATAAATACACGTCTCCACCTGGAGTGTGGACACTGCCCCTTTCACCACATCCTTGCCAACACTGGCTATTGTCACCTTCTGGAAGTAATGAAAACAAAACATGAATGTTTTCAGAGGACAAGTGTCTACATCTTGAGAGTATTTGTTTATAAGAATAAAGTGGGCCAGGCGTGGTGGCTCATGCCTGTAATCCCAGCAGTTTGGGAGGCCAAGATGGGCGGATCACCTGAGGTCGAGTTTGAGGCCAGCCTGGCCAACATGATGAAACCCCATCTCTGCTAAAAATACAAAAATTAGCTGGGCATGGTGGCACACGCCTGTAATCCCAGCTACTTGGGAGGCTGAAACAGGAGAATCGCTGGAACCCAGGAGGCAGAGGTTGTGGTGAGCCAAGATTGCGCTGTTGCACTTCAGTCTGGGCAACAGAGCAAGACTCCATCTTACCAAAAAAAAAAAAAAAGAAAAAAGAAAAGAAAAAAAGAATAAAGTGTATCCTTTGAAATCAATTCCAGAAAAGTGGTCTTAGGTGATGGCAGTCTGTTCAATTCCACGTTTACCTCCCAGTGAGGGAGGTGTCTGCCCTGAGTTTTGAGAAGTGGCAAAGTATGCCCCACTATGGTGACTTATTTTAAAACAGGCATTGCTCCTTTAGCTACATAGGTTCTGGAATATTGAGGAATTTGTTCATTAATTTATAGTCACACTTTATAGTATACGCATTATAAAAATAGCTTTAAATTGCATGTACATCTATAGTGGGTTTTTTTGTTTTTGTTTTTGTTTTTTGAGACAGAATCTCGCTTTTTTGCCCAGGCTGGAGTGTAGTGGCGCGATCGCGGCTCACTGCAAGCTCCGCCTCCCGGGTTCATGCCATTCTCCTGCCTCAGCCTCCCGAGTAGCTGGGACTACAGGCGCCCGCCACCACGCCTGGCTAATTTTTTGTATTTTTAGTAGAGATGGGGTTTCACCGTGTTAGCCAGGATGGTCTCGATCTCCTGACCTCGTGAACTGCCCGCCTCGGCCTCCCAAAGTGCTGGGATTACAGGCGTGAGCCACCGCGCCCGGCTGTAGTGGTTTTAACTAAAGGAATTATTGCATTTCTTCAGGTCACTTGTTGAGCATGTCTCTTATTTATGACAAGATGAGTTAAAATCCATTAGAACTAGAAGAACAGGTGCTTTTTGAAAATACATTCCTAATGGCCCAGCGTCTTCATAGGAAATCTGTTGTCTGCAGAGCCATCTTCCTAGAGCTTCCCTCATCAGTGCTGGAGGACCAGGTGGCCAGTTTCAAGTAGATTTCTCTGAAACCCAATAAGGAGCTGTTTTGTGGACTATCTAGTTTTTAATGCTTTGGGAAACTTTTAAAAAATTTCACTATCTTATCTCAGATGGCAGGTAAATAGTAATTTCCAGACAAATGCAATTTGGGCTTTACAATTCTATTATAAAGCCACTTTGAAATATATTTTAGGACAAGCCCAAGCAATAAGCATCTTATTTTGGGTCCTTTTCTAATTTCCCATCAACAGCCTAAGTTTTCTAGCAGAGGCTTATTCCACACTTACATAATTAGAAAGTCTTGGAGCCCCCGACTTAGAGCTGTCAGAGTTTCAGCCCAAGCTATAAAGCACCAGCCTCTGCCACGCACCGGCTCTTCTAGCTTTCCAGTGCCAGTGTGCTCCCGATAGGCCGGTTCACCACTTGCCAATGAGAATTGTTTGGAGCAAAGCATTTTTTATTTGAATTTCCTAGATGTTTTGAGGAAAAACCGTAGTTGGACATTCAGACAGAATAGAAAGAACACCAGACATTGGGTTTGAGCCCCTGATTCTGCTACTCTGTTGTGTGACCTTGGACAAATCATTTGATCATCATTTCCTTTAGTCCAAATTGGGGGACTAAAAATAATGTCTGCCACATGGGCCTGTCACGGCAATAAGTGAATAAATGATCTGTGTCAGAGTACTTGGTTATCTATGAAGTATTATTCAAATTTACTCTTCTTATTACCAAGATTTGAAGCCATTTGTATGTAGATTATTTTTACTGGCCGGGCACTGTGGCTTACCCCTATAATCCTAGCACTCTGTGAGGCCAAAGTGAGCGAATTGCTTGAGTCCAGGAGTTTCAGACTAGCCTAGGCAACATGGTAAAACCCCGTCTCTACAAAAAATACAAAAATTTGCTGGGTGTGGTGGCGCACACCAGTAGTCCCAGCTACTCAGGAGGCTGAGGAGGGAGGATTGCTTGAGCCTACAAGGTCGAGGCTGCAGTAAGTTATGATTGTGCCACTGCATTCCAGCCTGGGCGACAGAAAAAAAAAATTTTTTTACCTTCAGATACTACTTCACATACCCCAAGAAGTTCCCTAAGTTGGGAAATGTATAAGTTCATTTATCCTTAGTATTTAGCTGTGTACATTTAGAGGGAAGTATCTATGTGTGTGCGTAGGTTTTGCATATTTTATGTAAATGTCGTATGCATGCTGTAATCTAGGTTTGGAAGTCCTAATTTTAACCTCTGTCAAAACA
The DNA here is from genome assembly GCF_000001405.40 of Homo sapiens. Taxonomy (NCBI): domain Eukaryota; kingdom Metazoa; phylum Chordata; class Mammalia; order Primates; family Hominidae; genus Homo; species Homo sapiens. The sequence continues at coordinate 42,313,652 of NC_000008.11, forward strand.
CAAGAGTGTGTAATAGATGAAATAGAAGGTAGAGCAAGGGAGAAGGAAAAGCCAAGGATGAGATAAGGAGGCAGTGGTACTATCTGCAGAACTCTGGGCACAAGATGGTCAGTGACTCTGCTAAAGGTTGCTCTTCAAAAACTCATCCAGGCAGTCCTGACCAGTCTTAAACTCTCAAAGAATCTGCCTGACTCGATGTGAATGAACTGACTGCTATTCCAAAAGACTGGGGCTATAAGTCTCCTGTATAGTTGTAAACTTATATTACAAATGTAAAATGGCTCTTGAGTGCTAAGTGTCGTAGGGATATGTATGACTGTATATTTCATTGACATCCCAGTCAACAATTGACTGCATAGATGACAGTGGTCTCATGAGATTATAATACTGTATTTTTACTGTACCTTTTCTGGGTTTAGATATGTTTAGATACACCAATACTTACCATTGTGTTACCCTGGCCTACAGTATTCAGTACCGGAGCATGCTGTACAGGTTTGTAGCCTAGGAGCAATAGGGTGTACGATACAGCCTAGGTCTGTAGTAGGCTAAACCATCTAGGTTTGTGTTATGTTCACACAAGGACTAAAATCACCTAATGACGAATTTCTTAGAATGTGTCCCCGTCATAGCAACGTGTGACTGCACCTAACAAGATTCATATTTGCAGGCATTCAAAAGTGCGGCAGAAGAGTGAGGTGGACATTGTTGTTAGCGAAGACTTGAATGGAACGGTGAAGTTTTCAAGCTCTTTACCCTACCCCAATAATCTTAACAGGTAAGGCACAGCGGCATTACACGAATACATATCTTTCTTGCTTTTTTTAGAAATACAAGTCTTGGCTGGCCGTGGTGGCTCACACCTGTAATCCTAACAGTTTGGGAGGCTGAGGCAGGTGGATCACCTGAGGTCAGGAGTTCAAGACCAGCCTGGCCAACATGGTGAAACCCCGTCTCTACTAAAAATGCAAAAATTAGCCAGGAGTGGTAGCACGCACCTGTAATCCCAGCTACTCAGGAGGCTAAGGCAGGAGAATCACTTGAACCCGGGAGGCAAAGGTTGCAGTGAGCTGAGATCGTGCCACTGTACTGCAGCCTGGGAGACAGAGTGAGACTCCATCTCAAAAAAAAAAAAAAAGAAAAAAGAAATTCAAGTCTGAAGTGACATCTGATAACTTTTAAACAGGCTATCAGGATATCGTCCTGTGACTAAGAAATTAACATAGTCCTTCTTAATCTTAAATCTGGAATGGGTTTTCCTCCCTTATCTCCCTAGAAATCATCTCTTTTCTAAGTTCACATAACAATTTATCTATACCTCTTATTACCCTTAATAGCCTCTACCTTGTATCACATTCGGTTTTGCATAGGGTTTATCTCTGATTCAACAGCAGTCCTTTTAAGGGTAGGGAATTATACCTTATTTCTCTTTCCACCCCTCATGTGGCCCAATTCTGTGTCACAGTCAACAAATAAATCTTTGTCATTTGAATGGCATTACAATCCAGTCTCAGAGCCAGAATCTAAACAATTAATAATATTGTATAATTGTACAGAATTGGGTAACAGTGCAAAAGAAAGCTACAAGGCAGTCACACATAATTGAGTGACATGGATAATGATTACCATATTTAGAGGGTGGAAGAGATGATTGGATGGATTAGTGCTATATGGAATGACGTGGGATAAGCTAGAACTTTTTGGAAGGGTCTAGACAGATGTACAGGACATGGATAGATGAAGAGAAAGGAGGAAGGAAATTCTAAGGGGAAAGATTGAGGTGAGCAAGGCACGTTTGGGAGGTGGTGAGTAGCTGTGTTGGCCTCAGGGAAGGGTTTGAGTGCTCACAGGAGGCAGGCTCTGCAGGGCCAGGGGAAGGAGTTTGGAGTTTGTCATGTGAACCGCTATATCTGGCAGCATGGGATCTAGATTCTGTAGGGGTCACCTAAGCTAGGATGTGCCTATAAAGTGTATTTTTAAAACCTCATGGGTTATTCTTTTTCCCCTTCTTTCTTCCTTTCTTTTTAAGACAGAGTCTCCCTCTTGTCACCCAGGCTAGAGTGCAGTGTGGCACAGTCTTGGCTCACTGCAATCTCTGCCTCCCAAGTTCAAGGGATTCTCCCGTCTCAGCCTCCCGAGTAGCTGGGATTACAGGTGTGCATCACCACGCCTGGCTAATTTTTGTGTTTTTAGTAGAGATGGGGTTTCACCATGTTGGCCAGGCTGGTCTCAAACTCCTGACCTCAAGTGATCCACCTGCTTTGGCCTCCCCAAAGTGTGGGATTACAGGCATGAGCCACTGTGCCCGGCTCTCATGGGTCATTCTTATGCAGCCATTTGGAGGTCAGCAATCTCTGATTTGGGGGTATTTTAGAATTCAGGAGAGAGGTGTGAACACCTGAATAATTGATTGGAAATGTTTATACTGTTTCTGATAAACCCATTTTCATTTTCAATCACCGTCTACTGGCTGCCGTCTGTGTGTATACTGGGAGACGCACACTGTAGCCCAACATTGGCTGGAAGTGTCTCCTCACACACTATGCTCCTCTCCACAGTGTCCTGGCTGAGCGACTGGAGAAGTGGCTGCAACTGATGCTGATGTGGCACCCCCGACAGAGGGGCACGGATCCCACGTATGGGCCCAATGGCTGCTTCAAGGCCCTGGATGACATCTTAAACTTAAAGGTGAGTGTGGAGCCAAGTTAGCCCTGAGGCAAAAGCTGGGGTCCCCAGTGGAACATGCAGTTCTTAGGACAGAGCAGGGGATGGGGCCAGCTGACCTAGTGAGGAAATTTAGGCTCCTGCATCAGTCTTTCTGCATAAGTAAAGAAAGGACAGTTGTGCTAATTGACATTGGCTATGAGGTCATAGCCACAGACAGGATTATGAAAGATGCAAATATGCGAAACATGGCACATGACCTCCCTCCCTCAAGCTAGGCCCTTGCTTTGTGTGGTTGGGAAATGTTGGGAGTAGCAGAGAGAGGACCTAGGCAAATAGATGGGCATTTCCTTGAAGAAATCGGTTTTCCAGTAACATCTGGGTTGTGTTGCAGCTGGTTCATATCTTGAACATGGTCACGGGCACCATCCACACCTACCCTGTGACAGAGGATGAGAGTCTGCAGAGCTTGAAGGCCAGAATCCAACAGGACACGGGCATCCCAGAGGAGGACCAGGAGCTGCTGCAGGAAGCGGGCCTGGCGTTGATCCCCGATAAGCCTGCCACTCAGTGTATTTCAGACGGCAAGGTGAGCCCTGGCTTCGTACACACCATCCTGTTTACCTTGGCTGTGCCTCCTGGGAAACTCAACACACTTTCAGATTTCAATTCTGCTTTGTCATGTAGTCTGTTAATCACACAGTGCGGATACCTGGCTGGTTTTTAAGTTGGAGTATGGTGTCCTCTGTGTGGCCTGATAGGAAACACAAATCTCCTTGCTGGACTTGTTACTTCCAAACCCTCCAAGACCGGTCTCTTGCCTTTATTGCAAAAAATGATGCTATAACACTCGAATCTCTCAAGTTGCCTGCTTGGCCCTCTTCCAAGTGTACTAAAAAAAAAAAAAAAAAGGATGCTGCACTTTCTTGAGTCAACTGAAAGTATTTATGATGGCCTCTGTGTACAGAACTGGGTTAGGCACCTGTGTTAACTATAGCTGTGTAAGACATGACCTCTGCTCAAAAAGACCTTCTCAGCTGACTTGTGGAGCTAAAGTTATCATATGAGAAATAATCATTGCATAGGGAAGTATATAGTGAATTTCTGAACTTCCCAGGGAAGACAGAGAGTAAAATAGAATGTAATACGTTTGTAAATAAAGAGTGTGTTCAGACAGTAAGTGTGGCTGGAAACGTTAAACACTTCATGGATGCTTCCTACTTGCTGGCTGAAGATGATGCTCTTGCTGAACAGTGGGGAAAGCTGTGGAACTTCTTCATTATCAGTTAGAAAAGAGAGGGTTGGATCCACAAGATTCATTTTGTCCTTGTCCCTTTGCAGTTAAATGAGGGCCACACATTGGACATGGATCTTGTTTTTCTCTTTGACAACAGTAAAATCACCTATGAGACTCAGATCTCCCCACGGCCCCAACCTGAAAGTGTCAGCTGTATCCGTAAGAATTTGTTATGTTTTGTTTTTCTAAATAATCCGTTATAATATGTGGGACAAGGCAGGGAAGGGAGACTGGACTAAGGAAGGGGGAGCCACGTAAAGGAAATTAATATCGCCAGTCCTCAGGGCAGCCTTCCTTATTTAGGACATGCAAGGAGTAGCCAGGCAAGAGAGAGTACAGGAAACCATTAGTTAATTTCAACCTCCTAGGACGGGCGTGGTGGCTCACACCTGTAATCCCAGCACTTTGGGAGGCTGAGGCAGGAGGATCACTTGAGCCCAGGAGTTCAAGACCAGCCTGGGTAATATAGTAAGCTCGCAAGTCTACTAAAAATTTAGAAATTAGCCAGATGTGGTGGTGCATGCCTGTAGTCCAGCTATTCAGGAGGCTGAGGCAGAAGGATCACTTGAGCCTGAGAGTTCAAGGCTGCAGTGAGTCATGATCACCCCCACTGCATGCCAGCCTGGGTGACAAGAGCGAGACCTTGTCTCAAAAAAAAAAAAAAAATTCTGTTGAAAATATATGGCCCTATATACATATGTGTCCAATGGTTCGTAAAGTGTTCCTTCAAATCAACAGCTACTTATTGACCACTGGTACATGCTGTTGGTACAAATACATGTATGTGACAGTAACCAGGCATAACACCCTCCAAAGTTACATGATCCTATAGTAGGTACAAAACGTGAAAGTGCCAGTAGTGTCGAAGGCAGGATATGGTTAATTGTAGGAGAGTTATTGTGGTTATTCTTTGACAATTGCTTGTGTCTCTGTCTCCAGTTCAAGAGCCCAAGAGGAATCTCGCCTTCTTCCAGCTGAGGAAGGTGTGGGGCCAGGTCTGGCACAGCATCCAGACCCTGAAGGAAGATTGCAACCGGCTGCAGCAGGGACAGCGAGCCGCCATGTAGCGTGCCAGGCTTTTTTTTTAAACTTAATTTATTTAAAATTCCTTGGTGGCTTTGGCCACAGGGAGGTGGTTGAGGCAGGGACCCAGAAGCAACCGTTATGAGCAACAAAAGGAAGACACTGGTTTGGATGGACGGGAAGCGGTTGGGTGGGCTGGACTGACGGAGGCCCCTTTAGACCTGGCGAGGTGAGTGTGGTTGGCACAGGGTGAGGAGTGTGGAACTGAAGCTGGGCTGGCCAAGCTGTGGCTGGTTTGGGAACCCAGAGGAGCTCACTACCATGTGGATTAGCAAAACTCCCCTGACCGTGCTGCTGGGGACTTACGGACTCTTTCCTCATTGTGACTCGTTTGCCAACATTATTGGCCTTTTGTGTCTTCCTTTGCCTGATGTCAAGTTTAGTGCAGAACCTCAGGCATTGCTGAGGGCTAGGAAATTGTCCTTGGGTTATAAGTGGCTGCTATAATAATAGTGATGATGATAATAATTATAGCAGGGACCTCCCTTGACATTTGAGGGGGTTTTGTTATTGTACAGGAAATGGAATTTGGATCCCAGAGATGCTCCAAGACTGTTCCTTGTGGTCCCTGCAGGATGAATCTCCTCCGAAACAACAGCTGCCTCTCCAAAATGAAGAATTCCATGGCTTCCATGTCTCAGCAGCTCAAGGCCAAGTTGGATTTCTTCAAAACCAGCATCCAGATTGACCTGGAGAAGTACAGCGAGCAAACCGAGTTTGGGATCAGTGAGTGTGCACTTTGCAATGAGTTTAAAGACACCATTTTTTTTTCTTTTTCTCTTTCTAAGGTTTCTTTTGTCCTATTATAATTGAGTTGCTTATTTCTGTTTCAGTTTTGTGGTGTTTTTATTTTGTTTTGTTTTGTTTTTCCTTCTCAATTTTTTTTCAGCATCAGATAAACTGCTGCTGGCCTGGAGGGAAATGGAGCAGGCTGTGGAGCTCTGTGGGCGGGTAGGAGACTCATTTTGGGTTTCGGAACTTACCAAGGGGGTGAGATTTTGTGCTCCCACTTTTCACTTTCTCATCAAACACTGGGTCGATCTCTGTCAAAAATCAGGTGTTCCTCACCATGCTTTGAGCTTAACTGGACCAGCTGAAAAGAGGCCAAGAGAGTAGCCAGTGAAGGGAGCCCCTCTGTGGCCAGATGCAAGAGCTGCATGAATGGACAGAGATGGTCCAGGTTTAAATAAGAAGCAAGGGTTAGGTTCCCTTGGGGAAAAGCCAAGACCATTTCCTGTTAGGAAGGGCATTGGATGGATGATCAACACTCCCTCTTGTCGAAGGTTTTTGACTAATTTTGTTGGGATGCTAAATCCATAGGAAATAAAAGGTCTAGGCAGAAAGTCTCAGGGCAGCGTAAATCAGATGTCACCAAAAAAAGTTAATTATGAAGGCAAAGGAAATACATGTGACTTAATGAACCTCACACAAACTGAAGGTTGAAGTCAGGCTCCGGGGCTTTTTCCTGGACTTATCCTCTGTTTTCCCCTGTGTACTTGGGCAAGGATCTTCACCTGTGTCTTAGTATCGATTTTTATGAATCAGTACTGATGGAGTATATGTGTGTTTAATGGTGAATATTAACCATAGAAGGGCTGAGTGCTCCTCCCCATCTTGGGACTCATAATCTGTGAAATAAAACAGTCTGGGCCTCCCTGCCCGGGTAGCATCAGGATAGACAGATGAAGAGAAGAGAAAGTAATGTGTCTTGGGCATCTTCTGTATGCCAGGCACCATGCCAGAGGCTTTAAGTACTTCATCTTACTTGACTCCTCAGATGGCCCTGTTAGAAGCCTATTTTATGCAAAAGGAAACTGTAGCTGGGGGTAAGTAACTTGCCAAGGGGTCACACAGCTAGAAAGCGGTGGACCCTAGATGCAGGCGCAGCCATTCAGACCCCACAGTCCACATTCCTTTGAGCCAGTCCATTGAGGGTCCTCAGGGAATGTGGCGGGTCCCCTGGTCTCGCTCCCCCGCAGATCTTGCATCTCAGCATGCGCCTACCACATCAGTTGACATTAGCACAGCTTTTCCATTAGGAGAACGAAGTGAAACTCCTGGTAGAACGGATGATGGCTCTGCAGACCGACATTGTGGACTTACAGAGGAGCCCCATGGGCCGGAAGCAGGGGGGAACGCTGGACGACCTGTGAGTACTGGCTGGGGGGCCCCTCTGTGCCCAGCACACACAGACAGCCCTGGAGCTTCGGTGTGTGTGTCAAGGGCACCCTCAGTGGCTGTGCGGGACCATTCTCTAGAGCATGCTTCCCTGTGGGGTCACTTCCAGCAAATCATCACTGAGCTTCAGTTTCCAAATCTGTTCAGTGACAAGAAAAACAGTCTTAAGTCACGAAGTTGTAAGGATGAATTCAGATAATGCATTTGAGACGCAGGCCATAATCTGTAAAGGCTGTAAAATGCAAGCAGCCTCTACCCCTGTAGCAGACTCCCCTGATTTGTTCCACCCACCCTGACTCAGGCATAGCTCAGAGCAGAAAGTAAAACAGAGAAGGAAGAACCTGATGAGGCTTAGGAGTTTGGACCTGGAAACTATTCGTTTGAGTCTTTGTCAGGTATTTGGCATTGGCTCCATGAGGGGCGGAGGGGTCTAGGCAGATCACTCCTACCTGAAGGAGATCACATGTGCTCCTGGCGTACAGATGGAGGGAACCAGGCAGGCCGCTTGAGGGCTGTGTCACCGTGAGCTCAGCAGTGTTCCCTGATTCTCTCACTAGGATTCTTAGGACAGGAGCTCCAAATGTCAGAACTTTGATTCTGTATTTTCTCTAATTAACCCTTTATTCTCCTCTAGTTCTTTTATTTGTATTTGTATTATTTTTTTAAGAGACAGGGTCTTGCCCTGTTGCCAATGCTGGAGTGCAGTGGCACAATCATAGCTCACTGCAGCCTCGACCTCCCAGGCTTATGCAGTCCTCCCATCTCAGCCTCCCAAGTAACCGGGACTACAGGCGCATGCCACCATGCTCAGCTAATTTAAAAAAAAAATGTTTTTGGCTGGGCACAGTGGATCACATCTGTAATCCCAGCACCTTGGGATGCCAAGGCAAGAAGATTGCTTGTGAGCCCAGAAGTTCGAGACCAGCCTGGGCAACATGGTGAAACTCTACCTCTACCAAAAAAATGTAAAAATTAGCCATATTTGACCTCAAGTCTAGACAGAACTTCTTTGTATATTTTAGAGAGGAGCAAGCAAGGGAGCTGTACAGGAGACTAAGGGAAAAACCTCGAGGTAAGTGGGGTTCTGTGTCTGCCTTGGGCTTCTCCTTATCTCATTTATGGGGCATCACTACTCTCTGCTGGCTTCCTTGAGGAACTATGCTACCCTCCCTCTCTCCAGACCAGCGAACTGAGGGTGACAGTCAGGAAATGGTACGGCTGCTGCTTCAGGCAATTCAGAGCTTCGAGAAGAAAGTGCGAGTGATCTATACGCAGCTCAGGTATGAGCCCCGACCTTCCTGCTCTGGAGGAAGGACTGGGAGATGCAGGTATGAGGTCACCTTCCTCCCTCCTCTCTGATTCGCTGGACCTCATGAAGAGAGTTTCTGCAGCTGCTGACTGGATGCACAGCTGCCACAGGTTCTGCTTTCTCCAGCCCAAATGCCATTAGTTTGCCATGTTTATTCTTTGCAGTAAAACTGTGGTTTGCAAGCAGAAGGCGCTGGAACTGTTGCCCAAGGTGGAAGAGGTGGTGAGCTTAATGAATGAGGATGAGAAGACTGTTGTCCGGCTGCAGGAGAAGCGGCAGAAGGAGCTCTGGAATCTCCTGAAGATTGCTTGTGTGAGTGAGTGCTGTGGTCCCGGGCCCTTGGCCTAGCAGCCTCCTGTGCCTTTCCACCTCTGTGCACTGCCGCCATCCCACACGGGACACCACAGAGCCACCAGCAGCCCACTCAGCTGCTGCTCGGGCTTCACGTCGCTGTTCTTTGACTTGGTGTAAGCGGGGAGGTCAGAGGAAGGGCCTGTGCTAATTGTTTTCATTCATCTGTGTATTACTTTCGTGTGGCTACTGTAAAGATTAGCACAAACTGAGGGGCTAAAACAACAGAAATTTGGGCTAGGCATGGTGACTCATGCCTGTAACGCCAGCAATTTGGGGAGGCTGAGGTGGGAGGATTGCTTGAGCCCAGGAGTTCAAGACTGCAGTGAGCTGTGATCATGCCACTGCACTCCAACCTGGGCAGCAGAGCTGTCTCTACTAAAAACAAAAACAAACGTGTTATCTGAGCTCTAGAGCCCAGGAGTTGAAAGTCCCGTGTCAGCAGGGCTGAGCTCCCTCTGAGGGCTCTTGGGGAGGGACTGTCCTTGCTTCTTCCAGCTCCTGGTGGTTCCAGGCGTTCTTTGGTGTGTGACTCCAGTCTCTGTCTCTGTCTTCATGGGACCCCTGTGTCCCTTATCTGGGTGACTCTTACAAGAACACTTGTCATTGGATTTGAGTCCCACCCAAGTAGTCCAGGGTGATGTCATCTCAGGTTCTCTAAAGACGCTTTCTCCAAGTACGGTCACACTCACAGGCTCCAGGAGTTGGGATGTGGGCATATCCTTCTTAGGGCCACCAATTCAGCCCACCGTCATGCACGGCAGTGCAACTTGGTTGACCATCGTCTGCGTCTGCACTGCCCTCAGTGCAGTAAGCCACGCTTTCTGTGCACACCGTCTTAACGTAGCTGTGAGTCCATGGGATGCCACATGGTGGGGAAATGGGAAACAAAACAGCCAAGAACTGAGACGGGCAGGCCTGGCCGTGTTGTGGGAGCCAGAGCTGTTGGGACTGCAAGCCCCATTGTGAAAGGCTGCAGAGAAGGTGACATGGATGAAAGAGTGATTTAGGTGTCAGTTTCCCTTAAGAGCAAAGGGAAGGAGAGAGGGAGATGGTTGCTCATGGTGGAAGCAGGAGATGGTGCATTAGGAGATTCTCATTGTCAAAGGCAGAGGGGACAATCCACACACAGTGCAGAGAACAGAGGGGCTGGGGTCGCATGCCAGAGCACTGAGCATGCCTTGGGAGCGTGATTGACACATCCTCCTGTAAGAAGAGAGGAACGGGAGAAAACAGGATGACGAGGTAGAGAGGATCTGAAGAGGAGAGGGAGGTGCAGGTATGCGCAGGTGATAGCCTGATGTGCCATCTACATCCATTGAGCATTTACTGAATGCTAACTATATGCCCAGCAAGACACACAGGTGAGAAGGCATGGCACCTGTTCCCAGGAGGGCCTGATCCTTCAAGGGGCACAGACAGAGGCATGAGTGAGAGCCGTTCAGGGCAGGAAGGGCTAGGAAGCAGCTCCAGGAGGCATGAGCTGCAGTTTCTGTGCACAGGGGGAGCTCCAGCTTGTCTTAGAGGAGAGGGAGCAACAAGAAGGTTCACAAGGAGCTGTTCCAGCTGAAGAGTGAGGATGTTCCAGGACAGAGACACTGCTTTATCAAAGGCAGAGAGCCTGGGGAGTCAGTGTGTTCTGAGTGGGGACAGGCTGGTGTGTGTGGGGAAGGCCACAATGGAGGATGAAGCTGCTGAGGTAGGCAAGGGTGAGCTTACGTGGGCCACGCTTCATTTTCTTTTTTTTTCGAGACAAAGTCTCGCTCTGTCCCTTAGGCTGAAGTGCAGCTGCTCAATCTCAGTTCACTGCAACCTCCACCTCCCGGGTTCAAGTGATTCTCCTGCCTCAGCCTCCCAAGTAGCTGGGACTATAGGCTCATGCCCCCACACCTGGCTAATTTTTGTATTTTTAGTGGAGATGGGGTTTCACCATGTTGGCCAGGCTGGTCTCGAACTGGCCTCAAGAGATCTACCCCCCTTGGCCTCCCAAAGTGCTGGGATTACAGGCATGAGCCACCGCGCCTGGCCTATGTCCATTTTCAAAGCACACAGGACACATGGCAGTATCTGTCTTTTCCCTTGATATTAAAGGAACTTGAGTGTAGGGATATGATCACATCTGGGATTTGGGGAAGTCCCTCTCCAGGCAGCTGGAGGATCTGAGTCCCTGGCCAACCTCAGCACTGAGAAGGGCCGCTCAGCAAGGCTGGAGTTGAGCCGCCGCTGTGCAGCACAGAACAGGGTGGGGCAGGAGCTGGGGCAGGGCCTGGCTGGGAGGGAGCCAGGCAGTGCAGGAGCCATCCCCTGCCATACTTTCGGTCCAGGGCAGAAGCACAGGAGGCCAATGCCGGGCCTCTCCCCAGGCATGGTCAGCAGGGAAGGTGCAGCAGGAGGACCAGGAACGGGAGGCTTGGGTGCTTAACATGGCTTCTTGATGTGTGGGCCTTGAGGTTTCGCTGGAGGGGAGGATGTGGAGCCAGGATGGTTCCACGGCCTGAGGGACACGTGAGGGGATGAAGGACTGCAGGCCGAAGTGAGTGTCAGGTGTGGGGCCTGGGGGGCTACATGGGTGGGTTGGGGACCATGCAGGGCAGAGATCAGCAGAGGGGTGACCTGAAGATTGGCCGGCGGTCGTGGGCTGTGAGCTGAGGAGGCTCAGGTAGCTGGAATGGGAACCCCTGCTTGACCCTTCGGGCTGGGAGGGGCAGTGGCTGCAGCCCCTTGGGAGTCAGGGTGTCCTTGTTTCTTCTCAGCCAGGTCATAGAGGATGCAAGCCACAGGAATTCCCATAGCCTTTGTGTGTGTGTCTGTCTTCTACCTGGAAAACAGTAAGAATACTTTCCTGTTCTTTTCTTGTAAAAGTTCATTAAGGGGCTGGATGCAGTGGATCATGAATCCCAGAACTTTGGGAGGCTGAGGCAGATCACCTGAGGTCAGGAGTTCGAGACCAGCCTGGCCAATATGGTGAAACACCGTCTCTACTAAAAATACAAAAATTAGCTGGGTGTAGTGGCACACACCTGTAATCCCAGCTACTTGGGAAGCTGAGGCAGGAGAATCGCTTAAACCCCGGAGGTGGAGGTTGCAGTGAGCCAAGATCGCACATCGCACTTCAGCCCAGGCGACAGAGCAAGACTCTCAATCATAATCAATCAGTAAAGCTGATGAAAATAAAAAAGCCTGCAAATTAATGTAGGCACCCAGGTCTCCTTAAATTTAGAATCCTTTCCTCAAAAGTCTCCGTTGATACAGAAACACTTTTGAAGCCAGATGTGAAGCACCAGTTGACCCGCAGGTGGGGGTGCCAACTGGTAGGCTGTAGGGTTAGCTCTGGCCTCTGGCAGCCAGCCAGTTGTCTCCTAAGAAAATACTGTGGCGTGAATGCAAAATGTGATTCATCACTTGGCTCCTAATTTCTTTTGATTTTGTCCCCTAGAGCAAGGTCCGTGGTCCTGTCAGTGGAAGCCCGGATAGCATGAATGCCTCTCGACTTAGCCAGCCTGGGCAGCTGATGTCTCAGCCCTCCACGGCCTCCAACAGCTTACCTGAGCCAGCCAAGAAGAGGTAGGTCCTCCTTAGCAGTGCCAAGTGTGACCATCAAGGGCACGTCAGGAGATCGGGGATGGAGGCGTTTGTCACTGGTAAATGTCTGTCTGATGGTATTACCACCTCTCTGGATGTTTGTTGCATCTGCTGGGTCCTGTGGGGACAAAAGTGATACATGTTTGGCTCTCATAGTCCCTTGAAACTTACTAACTAGTTTCTTTGTCCAAGGCTTGGATGACTAACTGCTTAATGAGAACATTGGAAATGCTGGTCAGGCACATGCTGTTACCCTTTATCCATAGGAAGCCACATTCCCTTCAGGGAGGCCCTGAAGCCCTCTGCCCCCACTCACCCTACCAGTACCTTGAGTTACCGAGTCACCACCCTCCTCCCGGTGCCACTGACCTTCCCATTCTTCCCGTCCTCTCCCTCCTCTTGCCTGAACCATCGCAGCAGAGGTGGGGGCAGGGCTTTCTGCCTCCTGCCTCCTGCCTTTCTGCTGCCAGGCCCTGTGTGGTTGAATTAATCTTCACGAAATACCACTCTGACCAAGGTGTTCCTTAGTCAGTCATAAATAACAGCTTCTCCCTCCATTATAGATGCTCAGGTCTGAGCTTTCGTCAAGTCTCATCTGGGCCAGCAGTGCATCATCAAATTCTCAGGTCCTGCTGGAGACCTCACTTGAGAGCTCAGGGTTGGGGCCCAGCAGTCTGTGTCTAGCAGCCCTCCGCCCGTTCTCCAGCACACTGCAGGCCACTTCTGCTCCCACGCCCATCTCTTCCTGTGTTTTGTTTTGTTTGACACCTTCTGTGTGCAGGGCTCTATGGGTTCCTGCAGGCTAATCTCTAGGCATGGGAAACACCGATGATTACCTGGGGCAGGGGAGGAGGTTGGGAGTGACTGATAATTCAAGGTTTCTTCTGAGGATGACGAAAACATTCTGAAACTAGATATGGTGATGGTTGCACAGCTCTGTAAATACGCGAAAACCCTTGAATTGTACACTTTAAATGGGTGAGCTTTATGGTATATAAATTATATCTCAATACAGTCTGCTTTGAAGAATCTTGTTCTTGTCCTTGGGAGTTTGTAGCCTCTTTTGGTGTTTATGTGACCTTGGATACTTAATTTTCTCTTGGCTGTATGGCACGCGCTTGTAATCCTAGCACTTTGGGAGGCCAAGGCAGGAGGTTCGCAGGAGTTCGAGGCAAGTCTCCTGGGCAACATGGTGAGACTGTCTCTCTCTCTCTCTTTTTTTTTTTTTTTTTTTTTGAGACAGACTCTTGCTCTGTTGCCCAGGCTGGAGTGCAGTGGCGCGATCTTGGCTCACTGCAACCTCCACCTCTCAGGTTCAAGTGATTCTTCTGCCTCAGCCTCCCGAGTAGCTGGGACTACAGGTGCATGCCACCACAACCGGCTGATTTTTTGTAGTTTTAGTAGAGATGGGGTTTCACCGTATTAGCCAGGATGGTCTCAATCTCCTGACCTTGTGATCCACCTGCCTCAGCCTCCCAAAGTGCTGGGATTACAGGCATGAGCCACTGCACCCAGCCTTTTTTTTTTTTTTTTTGAAATGGAGTTTCGCTCTTGTTGCCTAGGCTGGAGTGCTATGGCACGATCTCAGCTCACCTCAAACTCAGCCTCCTGGGTTCAAGCGATTCTCCTGCCTCAGCCTTCCGAGTAGCTGGGATTACAGGCATGAGCCACCAGGCCTGGCTAATTTTGTATTTTTTTTTTTTTTTGAGACGGAGTCTCGCTCTGTTGCCCAGGCCGGACTGCGGACTGCAGTGGCGCAATCTCGGCTCACTGCAAGCTCCGCTTCCCGGGTTCACGCCATTCTCCTGCCTCAGCCTCCCGAGTAGCTGGGACTACAGGCGCCCGCCACCGCGCCCGGCTAATTTTTTGTATTTTTAGTAGAGACGGGGTTTCACCTTGTTAGCCAGGATGGTCTCGATCTCCTGACCTCATGATCCACCCGCCTCGGCCTCCCAAAGTGCTGGGATTACAGGCGTGAGCCACCGCGCCCGGCCAATTTTGTATTTTTATTAGAGACAGGGTTTCTCCAGCCTGTTGGTCAGGCTGATCTCGAACTCCCGACCTTGGGTGATCCGCCCGCCTTGGTCTCCCAAAGTGCTGGGATTACAGGCGTGAGCCACCGCACCCGGCCCTTTTTTTTTTTTTTTTTTTTTAAATAAAAATTATTTCCCCAACCTCTCATGAGCTCCTGGAGTATAGTAGCTAGACCGGGAGCCTGTTCCATTCCCTTCTGGGGCAGGCACTGAGCCTTTAGGCTAGCTAGAGGCCCCATAGATGAGGCTTGGCAGAAATGTGCTCTGAGCTCCTGCCATCAGATTGTCACATTTTGCAGAGTGAGAGGAGTTCCAGGGCAGTCTTCCTTTATGTGGCTTATTCCCTTCAGTGATGTCCTCAAAGGTCTAGAAAGGTGGACCTGGGTATATAGGATGTCTCTCGTCTCCCCACAGCATAGAGCTGAGGTTAGAAAAAGACGGATGTTTTACTACATGCTGCTCTTTTTCACTGTGGCCCAGTCCTCAGAGGAAACATGGGTTTCTTATTATAGAAAAGAGAGAGATCAGATTAGATGAAACCAAATCCCAGAACTTGATTTTCAACAGATTCCAAGGAACTGTGAATCCTGATAAATTCCTTGGCCTTTTTTTTGTCTACTTCAAAAATTGGAAAACAGGTGATTTGGAGAATATCTTTAGATTTTGGCAGTTTGAAAATTAAATTCAGCTATCTAGTAAGTCAGAAAGCAGAAAGAGGTTTTTTTGCTTCTGACTTTTATTGAGATCTGTTTGCTTTTTTGCATTTTGGACAGTAACGCTCATATGTGGAAAGTGCATAACAAGATGAATGAAAGTATTAGTCAGTGGGTTGGTGTTTTAAGACACTCAGGATCAAAATAATTGTTACTTCATTTAAAAAGTATTATCAAAACTCTCTAGCATATTTTAAAATAGCAGTGTTAGCTCTGATAACTAATAATGACCACTTTCTAATAATTTGATCATTTTCTTTAGTGAAGAACTGGTGGCTGAAGCACATAACCTCTGCACCCTGCTAGAAAATGCCATACAGGACACTGTGAGGGAACAAGACCAGAGTTTCACGGTAACAGCTTGTGTGAGACTCCTGCGATTCCATGTCCTTTCTTTCTATGGCAAAATAGAAGAGAAAATGGAAATGCAATCTGGCATTATCCTCAACCTCAGTGTTTGTTTGTTTGCTTGTTTATTTGTGACAGGGTCTCTCTCTCTCACCCAGGCTGGAGTGCAGTGGCATGATCTTGGCTCACTGCAACCTCCGCTTCCCGGGTTCAAGTGATTCTCATGCCTCAGCCTCCTGAGTAGCTGGGACTACAGGCGTGCGTCACCACATTCAGCTGATTTTTTCAGTGTATATTTATAATTTTCTAGTACACATTTTTTATTATTCATAATAATAGTGATGTCTAACAATTATTGAAGGCTTACAACTACATGTATGCATTATCTTATTTAATCCTTGGAACACTTAATTCCGATGATGAGGAAGAAGGTAGCATTGTTCCCAGAAGCCTGTCCCCACCTGCACCATTGGTACTACTGCTGAGTATTTGTGTGTTGAGTGCTGGGCTGGGAGCAGGAACCAGCCATGGCCTTGTCCTCAGGGCCTTGGAGCTTAGTGGTAGGTAGTACTAGTTATGAGAAAACTAGCCAAGTTACAGGTACATTAAGACAAAGCTTCCATTGTTGAGAGAATCCTGCATCATTTGCTTAGATCTTTACATGGCCTTTACCTGCTAATCACTTGCTAACCTCCCCTAACTTTAAGCTTTTGGAAGAATTACAAGGGATACCACTGTGAATTGCAGCCTTTGCTGATGTAGTCGCATGTCCTCCTCCAGTCTGTGGACATTCTATATCTCTTGCTGCTCTCCTCCTCCTGGCATGATAATGTTTTGATCAGTTCATTGCTTACTTGCATGTCTGTGGGAGGAAGAGGAAGTCTCATCAGGCCAAGTCATGTGGTGAGGCTGGAAATCCATAACTGAGATTAGCTACCCACAGTGAGCATGGGAGTGAGTGCTGTGAGCCACAGTGGTACTGACGTCGACTTTCTAATTCCCACAGTCACAGAATCTCAAGGACTCTGAGCCAATTCAAAGAAAAGATCCTGTACAGTTTGAATATGTAACTTAGCTTAAGAGTACCCTGCAGTCACAAGATTTATTAATAAAAGGGTTTGGCTTTTTAATTTGTATTTGTTTAATTTATTTGTTTTATGCAGCCTGGGTCTTGCTATGTTGCCCAGGCTGGTCTTGAACTCCTGGCCTCAAGCGATCCGCTCGCCTCTGCCTCCCAAAGTGCTGGAACTATAGGCATGAGCCACCATACCCAGCCAATAAAGGGGTTTCAATATATTTCTTTTTATTTTTTATTTTTTGAGATGGAGTCTTGCTCTTTTGCCCAGGGTGGAGTGCAATGGCACGATCTCAGCTCACTGCAACCCCTACCTCCCAGGTTCAAGTGATTCTCCTGCCTCAGCCTCCTGAGTAGCTGGGACTATAGGAGCTTGCCACCACGCCTGGCTAATTTTGTATTTTTAGTAGAAATGGGGTTTCACCATTTTGGCCAGGCTGGTCTCGAACTCCTGACCTCATGATCTGCCCACCTTGGCCTCCCAAAGTGTTGGGATTATAGGCATGAGCCACTGTGCCTGGCTGGGTTTTAGTATATTTCTCAATTGTCCTGATTTCCTCCTGAAGAGGAAAAATAACCTGAAATGTGTTGGTGGCTGTTGTTTTTTTAACATGTCTGTTGACTTTCAGGCCCTAGACTGGAGCTGGTTACAGACGGAAGAAGAAGAGCACAGCTGCCTGGAGCAGGCCTCATGATGTGGGGGGACTCGACCCCCTGACATGGGGCAGCCCATAGCAGGCCTTGTGCAGTGGGGGGACTCGACCCCCTGACATGGGGCTGCCTGGAGCAGGCCGCGTGACGTGGGGCTGCCTGGCCGCGGCTCTCACATGGTGGTTCCTGCTGCACTGATGGCCCAGGGGTCTCTGGTATCCAGATGGAGCTCTCGCTTCCTCAGCAGCTGTGACTTTCACCCAGGACCCAGGACGCAGCCCTCCGTGGGCACTGCCGGCGCCTTGTCTGCACACTGGAGGTCCTCCATTACAGAGGCCCAGCGCACATCGCTGGCCCCACAAACGTTCAGGGGTACAGCCATGGCAGCTCCTTCCTCTGCCGTGAGAAAAGTGCTTGGAGTACGGTTTGCCACACACGTGACTGGACAGTGTCCAATTCAAATCTTTCAGGGCAGAGTCCGAGCAGCGCTTGGTGACAGCCTGTCCTCTCCTGCTCTCCAAAGGCCCTGCTCCCTGTCCTCTCTCACTTTACAGCTTGTGTTTCTTCTGGATTCAGCTTCTCCTAAACAGACAGTTTAATTATAGTTGCGGCCTGGCCCCATCCTCACTTCCTCTTTTTATTTCACTGCTGCTAAAATTGTGTTTTTACCTACTACTTTGGTGGTTGTCCTCTTTTCGGCAAAGTTGGAGCGAGTGCCAAGCTCTCCATCTGTGGTCCTTTCTGCCAAGAGCGACTCATAGTAACCAGGATGGGAGAGCAGCTGCCTTATTCTGAATCCCAAAAATTACTTGGGGGTGATTGTCACAGAGGAGGGACAGAAAGGGTATCTGCTGACCACCAGCCTGCCTACCCATGCCCATGTCTCCATTCCTGCTCAAGCGTGTGTGCTGGGCCGGGGAGTCCCTGTCTCTCACAGCATCTAGCAGTATTATTAAATGGATTCATTTTAAAAATAGCTCCTATATTTTGTAACATGTCTCAAACACTCATACTGGGTTCCACAATCCACTGTTAGAATACCTATGGTTAGGGCTTCTGAACTAAAATAATGGAAAATTTTAACAATTTGTATAGTGCCTGGATCATTACTAGTGCCATAACCCTGCTTCTTCAACATTTCACAGAACTTCTCTTTTATATAAAGGCAAGAGCACAAAATGAGTTCAGATGATCACAAACAGGTGAGTTTTGTTGGAGAAGAAAGTTGGAGTAGGAGACTTTCACAAGTGGTTTCCATGGAGATAGAATGAAGCATTCTGTGGTCAAGTAAGTTTAGGGAGCTATTCATGTTTCACTTGCTTTGTGGAGATTCACACTATGCACTGGGAAAGTATCTGAAAAGTCTTATAATAAAGAAACAGGCTTAACTTTGTGTAAGAACACTGTTTATCAATGTCATTTGGCTATAGAAACATTTTCTCCTGCTGATTGTGTGTGTGAAACATGTATTAACATTCCAATGAACTAGCATTTAATAAAGCACAATTTTGGAAACCCTGGTAAATGACAGTGGGAAATAACACCCGAAAGGCAAGGACGGGCAGATTGGGGAGGGAAAGGATGTTGGGCTAAGGGCTGTGAGCTTATGTTACAGGCAACTGAGCCACTGAAGAATTTTGACGAAGAAAATGCCAACCAAAGCAGTCATTTTAAAAGTTTATGGCTGTTCAGTTACAGGACAAGTTGTGAAAAGAAAGAAAAAAAATGGAAAAAAAAAAAGTTTATGGCTGAAACAGTGTAATTGATTAAAAAGTGAAAATCCAGGCCGGGCGCGGTGGCTCACGCCTGTAATTCCAACACTTTGGGAGGCTGAGGCAGGCAGATCACCTGAGGTCGGGAGTTCGAGACCAGCCTGACCAATATGGAGAAACCCCGTCTCTACTAAAAATACAAAAGCCAGGCGTGGTGGGACATGCCTGTAATCCCAGCTACTCGGGAGGCTGAGGCAGGAGAATCGCTTGAACCTAGGAGGCAGAGGTTGCAGTGAGCAGAGATTGTGCCATTGCACTCCAGCCTGGGCAAAAAGAGCGAAACTTTGTCTCAAAAAAAAAAAAAAAAAGTGAAAATCCAGGAGTTAGTATGTCTGCTTCCAAAAAGATTAGATAGATACATTTTTTCCTCTCAGTAAGTACAGCTAAACTCCTTGGTCACATAAACAAACACAAGACTCTGAAAGGTAGAGATAAGACGGAAGACTATCCCTGGACCTTGGGATCTGAGGAAGGACTCTGGTAGTTATTCCGTGGCTTTTCTTTTTGTCTCAAGGTTGAGTGCTGGCTTCGGAAGGCCAAGGCGGGCGGATCAGGAGGTCAGGAGTTTGAGACCAGCCCGACCAACATGGTGAAACCCCGCCTCTACTAAAAATACAAAAATTAGCCGGGTGTGGTGGCATGCGGCTGTAATCCCAGCTACTCAGGAGGCTGAGGCAGGAGAATCGCTTGAACCCGGGAGGCGGAGGTTGCAGTGAGCCAAGATCATGCCACTGCATGGGTGACAGAGCAAGACTCTGTCTCAAAAAAAAAAAAAAAAAAAGATATGAGTGCTGGAGAAGCCAACCAATGGGCACAGACAAGAAAGCCTGCTCTCTCTACCTGCGTTAGTTTCCTAGACCTGCCCTAGCTAGTTACCACAACTTTGGTGGCTTAAATGACAGAAACTTATTCTCTCCCAGTTCCGGAGGCCAGAAGTCTGAAATAAAGGTGTGAACAGGATCACACCTCTTCTGAAGGCTCTAGGGAGGTTCTATCCCTGGTGGCGTCCAGCTTCTGTTGGCTTTAGGCAATCCTTGGCTTGTGACTGCATCTCTGCCCCTGGGTCATATTGCTGCCGCTTTCTCTGTCACATCTCTGCTGTGTATCTCTTACAAGAATACTTGCCATTGGATTTAGAGCCAATTTGAAAAATCCAGGGTAAGCACTTTGTCTCAAGATGTTTCATGTAATCACAGTTTGCCATATGAGGTAATGTTCACAGGCTCTGGAGATTATGATGTGGACATCTTCTTGGGGGCCACCATTCAGCCCACTACAGTCCACCCTCTGGCACCCCAAAATCCATATTTGTCCTACATGAAAAAGACATTTATTCCTCCCAACATCTCCCAAAGTCTCAACTCATACAGCATGAACTAAGACCAAATTTGCATCTATATATTAGCTCAGAAGTCCTGCATCTCATCATCTAAGTCAGATGTGGGTGAGACCCCGTGCATGATTCATTTTAGGATTAAATTTCTCTGGCTGTGGACCTGTGATACTACAGGTTATCAGCTTCCAAATAACTTTGGAATTTGGATAAATAAATTTATTTAAAATGATGTAATAGGCATATGATAGATGTTCTCATTCTGAAAGGGAAAATTGGAAGGGATAAAGAAGTCACCATTCCCAACCAATTTTGATCTAGCAGAGAAAATTCCATTAGGATTCAAGGCCTGCAAATAATTCCCTAGCTTGAAGTGCCGCCCACTGGGCCCACAACAGTTGTGCAGACCTTTGTGTCTGCTCACAGCAGAACCATGGGCCTCTCTGTACCCATGGTGGCTCCATAGGCCTCTGAGTCTGTGCTCACAGTGACCTCATAGGCCTGTGTCTCTGCATCCATCACTTCTGTCTGCTCCTCTGGCCTCTGCCTCTGTGCCCCTGGCTCTGCCCTTGGAGTCATTCTTGCTTTTTCTTGAAGGATCGCATGTTTGCAGCCCAGTAGCTCTATCAGCCCATTTCTTGCCCGTAGCAGTTTGGATTTCAACAGCCTTTTCTCATTTCACACTGTCTCTGTCACTTCCAGGCTAAGCTGTCTCTGCTGATGTAACATTCTCAAAAATCTTGTGGGTCCCCTGTGTAATGTCATGGAGTTCAATGCCATTAGACAAGAGGGTCCTCCACAAATTTTCTGGGATAATCCCATCTCTATTCCTGACTTCTACTGAGATGGTTGAATGAGTCCAAGAGTCCCATGCTTCATCTCTTCGTGCCACCACACCCAGTACATTTTTCTTATTTTTGTAAAAGAGATGGGGTCTCGCCATGTTGCCCAGTCTGGTCTTGAACTCCTGGGCTCGATCCTCCTGCCTCCACCTCCCAGAGTGCTGGGATTACAGGTGGCCGTGTTTGACACTTCAGCAAAACTGCAATTTAAGTTATTAACTTTATTGAGTACTTACGTGGAAACAAAAATTAAGTCCCTTCTCCCGTGGAGCTGGCATTGCACATTGGTGGGAGGAGGAGTGAGCAGGGAGTGCATAATGTGCAACCACGTGTGAATATTTCCAGTCCTTCTTAGTACTGTGAAGGAAACACACAAGTAAAAACCTGGGCCTGGTCCAGGAACGTGACAAGGGTGTGACTGCCAGGCTGGGACCTGAATGATGAGAAGAAGGCAGCCAGGGAAAGAACCATACAATGAGGGGACAATGCTGAGCAGGCACATGTATGTATGAAATATGGGCGTGTGTGTGTCCTAAACAATGAGAAAAGTGGCAAGAAATGCAGTAGGAGAGCAGGCAGGAGGTGGATCACATAAGGCCTTGTGGGCCATGAAAAGGAGCTTGGATTTTTTTTTTTTTTTTTTTTTTTTTTTGGAGACTCACTCTTGTTGCCCAGGCTGGAGTGCAGTGGCCCGATCTTGGCTCACTGCAACCTCCACCTCCAGGGTTCAACCTCCCTGCCTCAACTTCCCAAGTAGCTGGGATTACAGGCGCCCACCACCACGCCTGGCTAATTTTTGTATTTTTAGTAGAAATGGGGTTTCACCATGTTGGCCAGGCTGACCTTGAACTCCTGACCTCAGGTGATCCGCCTGCCTCAGCCTCCCAAAGTGCTGGAATTACAGGTGTGAGCCACTGCGCCCCGCCAGGAGCTTGGATTTTATCCTAAGTGCAGTGGGAGGGTGTATAAATAGGGACATATTTTGATACTACATCCTAAAAAGATCACCCTCTGTTTGGGGAATATTCTATAAGAGGACAAGAGCAGAAGCAGGAAGCCCACTGAGGAGGCTTTGGTAACAGTTCAGGAGGTCATGGGAGTTTGATCTAGGGCAGTGGCAGCTCGGGATGAGAGGTCATCCAGTTCAGCACATATTCCTGAGACAGAACAGACAAGGTCTGCTGGCAGACGGGATGTGGGGTGTGAAAAGAGCAATTAAAAATGACTCTTATGGGTTTGGCCTGATAGCAGGGTGGATTAAAATGCTATTAACTGAGATGGGGGAAAGTTAAGGAGAAGCTGGTGGGGCAAGAGTCAGGAGTTCTTTAGGACATTTTATCTTTGAGATGCCTATTATGGACTAGAGCTATCCAGTAGACAGCCTGATGTATGAGACTGGAACTCAAGGGAGAGGTCAAGACTTGAACTATGAGTTTAGGAGACTTTCAAGCTAGACATGCCATTTAAACAGGTAAAACTGGACAAGTTGGAAAAGCTGGTTAGAAGACTGAAGTGTGAAGCCATTTCCCATAAAGGCTGGAGAGTGGAGGAGGAGCTGGGAACCAGTGCTCAGGCGCACATGTGCGCACACACACACCCTGCTGAGGACTGGCCAGTGAGGAAAAAGGAAGCCCAGAGCATGTGGAATCTTAGAAGCCAATTGAAGCAAGTTATTTCAAGAAGAACTTTGTGAAGCAGATCAAATGTCGGTTGTTCTAAGACGATAAGGACAGAT
Source organism: Homo sapiens (assembly GCF_000001405.40). Taxonomy (NCBI): domain Eukaryota; kingdom Metazoa; phylum Chordata; class Mammalia; order Primates; family Hominidae; genus Homo; species Homo sapiens. The sequence goes on from NC_000008.11 coordinate 42,336,618, forward strand.
AATGGATTATTTTCCTTGGTTTCTCTGGCACTAATTTTAAAAATATAGTATTTGTAAAAATGGGCTAGGTGCAGTGGCTCACGCCTGTAATCTAGCACTTTAATAGGCCAAGGCGGGTGGATCACTTGAGGTCAGGGGTTTGAGACCAGCCTGGCCAACATGGTGAAACCCCATCTCTACTAAAAATACAAAAATTAGCTGGGCATGGTGGCAGGATCCTGTAATCCCAGCTACTCGGGAGGCTGAGGCAGGAGAATCACTTGAACCCGGGAGGCAGAGGTTGCAGTGAGCCGAGATCGTGCCATTGCACTCTGGCCTGCGGGACAAGAGTGAAACTCTGTCTCAAAACAAAAAAATTTGTAAAACTGATCCCACAATTCCCTACATTTGTAACTTTTAAAATTCAGAGGTAAATACATTTTTATTTAAGGAGGAATAATTCTTCAGAGCAAAATAATCTGAATATCACCTGGAATAGAGATTGGACAGAAAAAAGTGTGAACAGGGAAAACTAGGACAAGTCATATATGTAAATGAGAGTATAAAGAGTAAATGAGAGTGGTCACTGCTCACTGCAGCTTAACTAATCAGATAGTTAAGTTGCAGGCATAAAGTTTTTTTAACTTTTATTCCTCAAGTAATAAATTGAGGAAAATACAAATATGTACAAAATTTTTACAAAAGCTATCCATAAAAGGGCAAGTAGTAATATATAGAAAAGATCTACCAGATTAGTAACAAACTACCCCCATTAGGAAAATGGTAAATGATATGAATAGGAAATTCAAAAAAAGAAGAATTACAGATTTCCAATAAGCATAACTTAAGATATACACTGATATTGTAAGGAAACACAATCACCACAACCTTGCTAATCAAAGAAACTAATGATATTTATTGGAAAATAATGGGAATTTTTAATAGACTGGGTTAGAAGACTAGAAGTGTACGTCCCAAAATATTAATAGTTCAGCTGTAGGGTGAGATCACTGATTTTAATTTTCTCCTTTTATACATTTTTCCAGATTTCTCTACAGCAACTACGTATCATTTTGTAATAAATTTTAATTTTTCGATGCACAAAGCAATTGCCTGGAATTGCAGTTCGATATGAACCCAGGAGTTACGCTTGTAAAATAAACTATTGCTGATGTGACATTTCCATTTCTCAAGCAGACTGTAAATTTCTCAGATGTAGGTCATCATGTTATAATTAGGGTTCCATTGCTCATGATCTAGATGAAACACTTCTCCCTTTCTTGTGGTCTCTTCATTAATTTGGTCCCTACCGCAAAGGCAGGGGGATTAAAAATAAAATATCTTTTGACACTGGTTGGCAGGTGTACTAACACGTGTGCGGGAGGATTCCTGTTCTCGGCATGGTTCACGCCGGGCTCCGGCAGCGCCCTAGTACGTAAGGGGCTGCACTGGAGTGTGGACTGCCCGGTATCCTTAGAGAAAGTTTTGACAGTGTGACGCCAGTGTCGCCTCTAACCACGTACAAAACGCGCCATGCATTGGGTAGCTATTACAGTGCACATTTTTGTGCAGGAAGCTACCCCACCAGCGCAAGTATTTCAGAATCAAGATCGCACTCCCGTTTCCCCTTCTAGGGAAAGGATTCCAGATAAACACTGAGAAAACAGATTTAATATCTTAGGTCAAAACTCCAGGTCTTCCCATAGGAAGGCCCCTGGGCTGTCATTCTGAGGTGCCTATTTCCCCCGCGCCGTGTCCACGTCCACGAGTCCACGAACCCTCCGAGTTCTCTCTCCTCACCTGCCGAGGGCTCGCCCCTCTAGCCCCGCCCCGCCCCGCCCAGGACGCGTGACGTCACAACAAGCGCCGTGCGCCCCGCCCCCCATCGGGGGCAACCATTGTTCCGCCGGTCGCGCCGGAGCTGGGTTGCTCCTGCTCCCGTCTCCAAGTCCTGGTACCTCCTTCAAGCTGGGAGAGGGCTCTAGTCCCTGGTTCTGAACACTCTGGGGTTCTCGGGTGCAGGCCGCCATGAGCAAACGGAAGGCGCCGCAGGAGACTCTCAACGGGGGAATCACCGACATGCTCACAGGTTAGCACCGGGCCGGGCCCCGCTGGCTTTCTTCTTTCCTTCCAGCCTCTTCCCCTGCCTTCCTTCTCTCCCACACCGACAGTCCAGTGGGTAGGGTAGGTTCCTTGCAGCGGGTCGTCTTCCGTGGGGATCTCCCTCCGGCGCCCCTGGCTGGTTGTCAGTCCTGCCGGCTACACCTGGGCCATCGCTTGGGCTGCTTTTGGTCTGGCCCTTGGAGGAAACGGGTGGTCACTGTCTCTTAGAGGCTGCCATATCCCCTTCCAGAAAACAGTTCTCGTTTGTTTACTCGTGGTTCTTGTTCACCCGAGCCTTCTGTTGCCTTTCAGAACTCGCAAACTTTGAGAAGAACGTGAGCCAAGCTATCCACAAGTACAATGCTTACAGGTGGGACAGTGCAGCATTCTCGGGTAGCATACGTTCTGGGATACCCTGTTTAGTGTGGCAATTAACAGGACTGAGGGCCCAGTGGATATTTGGTCCATCTGCAAGAGCGGGAAAAAGCAAGAATCGAGGCTGGTACCTTACTATTTCTTGAAGAATGTGGGCAGTGCGTTATAGGATCAGTTCAGATAAGTTCCCAATTCTGATTGCAGATAGCTGTAGCCTGATACGTATTTTGTCATCATCAAACATGAATTACTAGAAATGCGGTGTAATTTTAACCGTAATGAAAGACAGCGGATGAAGTCCATACTGTGAAATATATGTGGTTCAAGGAATCACATTTTTTCTTTTGGTTGGTCTAAAGTTGATCCTGTGGGATCCTGATCCTGATCCTTGTTCCTTGTTCATGGGATCCTGTCCTTGTTCATCTCACCAGGGGCCTTATCCTATTCATTCTTTCCACATCCACCTGCTTCTACTCCTTAGCCTATATTTATTTATTTATTTATTTTTATTTGAGACGGGGTCTCGCTGTGGTATGATCATGGCTCATTGCAGCTTCAACCTTCCAGCCTCAAGTGATCTTCCCATCTCAGCCTCCTGAGTGGCTGGGACTACTACAGGCGCACGCCACCACACCCAGCTAATTTTTTTTTCTTTCTTTTTTTTTCTTTTTTTTTTTGTAGAGACCGGGTTTTGCTATGTTGCCCAGGCTGATCTCCAACTCCTAAACTCAAATGGTCCACACACCTTGGTCTCCCAGAGTGCTGGGATTCCAGGCATCAGCCTCGGTGTCAGCTCTCCTTAGCCTATAAATATGTGCAAGTCCCTCAGCTCTTAAAAGCAAAACCAAAACAATCTTAACTTCCCTCTAGCTAGCACCTTCCCTCTTTTCTCACTTTATGGTGAATCTTCTTGAAAAATCTTCATTCCTTGCCTGGACTTCTTAATACCTAATCATTTACTCAAGAAGTCCCAGTCCTTGCCTGGACCTACCAGTGCTCTGAAAATCCGCTCACCTACGTCTCATCTTATTGGACTCTCTGTGGCATTCACCCCTGGCTCATGCTGTGAATATCTCTTGACTTCTGTAATGGCACTCTTTCTGGTCTTTCATCTCTTCTTCTGTCTTACCTTTTAATGTTGGTATAGGTTGAGCATCCCTAATCTGAAAATTTGAAATGCTCTAAAATCTGGATGATTGCCGACATGATGACACAAGTGGAAAATTCCACATCCGATCTCATGTAGTAGGTGGCAGTCAAAATGGTCAAAACTTTGTTTCATGCACAAAATTATTAAAACGACTATATAAGATTACCTTCAGGGTATGTGCGTAAGGTGTGTGAGAAATATGACTGAATTTTGTATTTAGACTTGTATCTCCCATATCCCTAAGATATCTTATTATGTATACGCAAATATTCCAAACCCTGAAAAAAATTCAAAATCTGAAACAATGCTGGTCCCAGGCATTTCAGATAAGGGATAGTTAACCTGTGGTTCCGGGGAGTCTGCCTGCCCTTAGCCCTCTTTTCTTACTTCTGTAGTTTCCCTGGCAATCTTGCCATTCTTGACTTTGAAATGCCACTTATGTCAGTGACTCCAAATCTGTGTATCACTGGACTTTTTTCCACATTTTTAGCCCTATACTGTCTTTATCCCAAGTCAGCTCCCTTCTTCCATTCCCACTCCACACAGTTCAGAGCTGATTGTGCTCCCTCCTTTCCTTACTTCTGTGACTTCCTCTGTAAAGTAAAATAATTGTATTATCATCCATACATTTGATGATTCAAAATTACAGAGATATTCAACTTTGTATTCTATTTGGATCACAGCAGGTCTCAGAAAGGAGGTGTTTAGTTTGAAGAAGCTCATCGGGATAAGTGAGAGGGCCAGCAGTCTAGACAAATAAAATGTGCCAAAGCATTGAGACATGAAGGGTATAACGTTTTCTGGAAGTCAGATGTTCAGTTTGCTTAACGGGTATGGTATGAGTGGGAAATAAGTCTGGAAAAGCAGGTGATTCCCTACCACTCCTGCATGCTCCTCCCTACCCCAGTAGACATTTCTGTTGATTGTGGCCAAAGTATTCTTTTGAAAATAGTTATCTGATCTTGTCAGTCAAATAATTAAATAATATTTTCTCTTTACCTTGATAAAACCCAAATACATCATAGCATACAAAAGGCCTTTCATCTGATTCTTCTTCCCTTTTAGGCTTTGCCTCACAGTGCCAATGACCTGGAACTACTTGCCTTTCCTGAAATGATCCCCTCCATAAACTGTGTTTGCCTGCTCCTTTACTTATAAATATGTCTTTTCAGATTCATCATCAGTCATGTGCTTAGAGAGAAGTTCAAATCCAAATATAAAGGGTTATTTGTGCTATAACAGAATGCAAATCCAAGGTTCCAAAGACTATCCAGTGTTTATGCTTTTGACTTAGCTGTACTGTCACTTCTCATCAGCATCAACTCTGAATTACATTTTGCATTGAAATTATAGACAGAATACCGTCAGCGAGCTCCCAGGGTGTATCCAATCTGTCACCAGATTAACAAACTGGATATGTGTGGAGGTGGGCAAGAATTACAGGTCACCGCTTTATGCTGAACTGCAGTGGGAACAATTTTTTTTTTCTGTCCATAAGTTTATTGTCTTTATCTGAAAAATCCTCGTAGAAAATTGTTTGGTTTAGCTCTCTGCAGCCCCCTCCTGAGCCGTGGGGAAGCTTGCCTTCTTTTGAGCTATGCGATCTTTCTTCTGAGCAAGGGACATTTTGGGATGGTTCCACCTCTTTTTAACTTCTTTCTTGAGCTTCTTTTCATAGACTGGATTCTCTCCTATAGCAGCATGAGCTTTCATCTCCTTCATCATGTCTGAAGTTATGCTATTCTTTATGTATTGAGAGAACTGTTTCTTGTAAGCATCTTTATCTTCCATTAAGTAGTGCATGTAATCTGCAACATTCTGGCCTATGTTGTGCTTCTGGTGTAATTCTGCATTGAATTCCTTGCTTTCAGAATCATAACCAGGGAATCATTTGGTACTTTGAGGGATAGACAAGCCTCCATCCAGGTCACCAAAAACTTTATTGCCAGTGGTAGTTCTGGCAAGGCCTGCATCCAAATAGCAGGTGAAAGCACCTGGCTGACCATCAATGCTTTCTACATTGTATTATCGCCAGTCACCTCCACTTGGCCTTCATAGATCTTGTCCATGCCAAACCTATTGAGAAGCCTGTGGGCCAGCAGCAGGCCAGTACAATATGTTGCAGCATAATTTGTCAGGCCAACCTTCACACCATATTTTGGCAGTTCGTGTGCATATGCTGCGCAGACTATCATATCCCCCTCTATACGGGCATAAGCAATCTGACAATTGATATCTCTGTTTGTTATATGAACTATCATCCTCTATTTGGGTGTGTTGTATTTATTTTTATCCTGTATTACCAAGCGTTTCTGAGCATAGTAATCAGTTTTACCATCTTGTCATCTTTAAGTTTCATTTGGTATCTCTTAAAGTAGGCCTTATTCTTAACAACTTTAACAAAGTCCATCCTGTGGAACAGAGACCTGCAGGCCCAGCAGCACTAGGGGGTGGAAAGGCGGGAGCAATTTTTAAAAACTGATGTAGGGGCCAGGCACAGTGGCTCACGTCTGTAATCCCACCACTTTGGGATGCCAAGGCGGGTGGATGGCATGAACCCAGGAGTTCAAGACCAACCTGGGCAACATAGCAACATCCCATCTGCATTAAAAAAAAATAAATTGATATAGGGACATAAGGGAATGCAGTTTGAAACTATGAATTTTAAAATAGCTATCCAAGGGCTGCGTGTGGTGGCTCATGCCTGTAATCCTAGCACTTTGGGAGACCGAGGCAGGTGGATCATTTGAGGTCAGGAGTTGGAAACCAGCCTGGCCAACATGGTGAAGACCTGTCTCTACTAAAAATATAAAATTGGCTGGGCGCAGTGGCTAACGCCTGTAATCCCAGCACTTTGGGAGGCCAAGGCAGGCAGATCACGAGGTCAGGAGATCGAGACCATCCTGGCTAACATGGTGAAACCCCGTCTTTACTAAAAATGCAAAAAATTAGCCAGGCGTGGTGGCGGGTGCCTGTAGTCCCAGCTACTCAGGAGGCTGAGGCAGGAGAATGGCATGAACCCGGGAGGCGGAGCTTGCAGTGAGCCGAGATTGCGCCACTGCACTCCAGTCTGGGAGACAGAGCAAGACTGCGTCTCAAAAAAAAAAAAAAAAAAAAAAAAATATATATATATATATATATATATACACAAAATTAGCCAGGTGTGGTAGCATACACCTGTTATCCCAGCTACTCAGGAGGCTAAGGCAGGATAATTGCTTGAACCTGGGAGGCAGAGGCTACAGTGAGTCAAGATGGCGCCACTGCACTCCAGCCTGGGTGACTCCATCTCAAAAAAAAAGTAACATAGGTATCCATAAGCAGATCTGGTGTCTAATAATTCACATGTGGCACATTTTTATGAGGAAGTTATGAACAATTTCTAAAAACTAGCTATTTTAAAAAAGGGGGCCCAATGATGATTTCTACTTACTCCCAAAGAAAGACAGCTGGTCTCCCCATCCCTTGAGTATTATGTATACAGTTTAAATCACTTTGTTACTCAGCACAAATCAAAACAAATCACTTTGTTACTCAGTACAAATCATACTCTTTGACGTATAGAGTTTAAATTCAGTTATTCTCAAATGTGGAGCTTTTCAAGATACTTTAAAAGTTAGACGTAGGCCAGGCGTGGTGGCTCACGCCTGTAACCCAGAACTTTTGGAGGCCAAGGTGGGCAGATCACAAGGTCAGGAGTTCGGGATGAGCCTGGCCAACATGGTGAAACCCTGTCTGTACTAAAAATACAAAAAAATTAGCCAGATGTGGTGGCGCATGCCTGTAATCCCAGCTACTCAGGAGGCTGAGGTAGGAGGATTGCTTAAACCTGGGAAGCGGAGGTGACAGTGAGCTGAGATCACGCCACTGCACTCCAGACTGGGCGACAGACTGGGCGAGACTCCGTCTCAAAAAAAAAAAAAAAAAAAAAAAAAGTGGCCGGGAGTGGTGGTTCACGCCTGTAATCCTAGCTGGTTCACACCTGTAATCCTAGCTTTCTTTGGGAGGCTGAGGCGGGTGGATCACCTGAGGTCAGAGTTTGAGACCAGCCTGGCCAACATGGAGAAACCCTGTCTCTACTAAAAATGCAAAAAATTAGCCAGGCATGGTGGCGGGTACCTATAATCCCAGCAACTTGGGAAGCTAAGGCAGGAGAATCGCTTGAACCCCAGAGGCGGAGGTTGTGGTGAGCCGAGATTGCGCCATTGCACTCCAGCCTGGGCAACAAGAGCAAAACTCCATCTCAAAAAAAAAAAAAAAGTTAGACATATATTAGGTGGTCTGTCAGCTCATCTGATTTTTAAGTTCCATATGGAGGTAGAAAATTAGGCCAGGCGCAGTGGCTCACTCCTGTAATCCCCGCACTTTGGGAGGCCAAGGCAGGTGGATCACGAGGTCAGGAGATCGAGACCATCCTGGCCAACATGGTGAAACATCATCTCCACTAAAATACAAGAAGGCGCGCCTGTAGTCCCAGCTACTCGGGAGGCTGAGGCAAGGGAATCACTTGAACCCGGGAGGCGGAGGTTCCAGTGAGCTGAGATCGCGCTGCTGCACTCCAGCCTGGCAACAGAGGGAGACTGTCTCAAAAAAAACAAAAAAAAAGAAAATTAGTTATCTTGGTGAAAGCATAAGCATAGATATTTGCTTGTATATGTATTCCAGTTTAAGAAAAATTAAGGCCTTGATGGATTTCTAATTGGTTTTCCTTTTCTTCTTTCCTTATAGAAAAGCAGCATCTGTTATAGCAAAATACCCACACAAAATAAAGAGTGGAGCTGAAGCTAAGAAATTGGTAAGTTTAGTTAGCATGTTGATCGAAGAGTTCACACGTGTCCAAATTTGGTGGGTTCCCACCAAACCAAACTTGCCTGTCTGAAGCAGCCTTGACCCACACAGGCTGATTTCACTACTCCTGATTTCTTGGAATAACATTCATGCTGTTTCATACACACTTTTTCAAGCTCAAAATGTTTTCATTTGGGAGAAGATGGGTTAAAATTTTTAAAAATATATGTAATTACAGTTTTCTTTCTCTCTGTTACAATATATACATGTACTCACGTTGAATTTCAACTTGAGTGTTGGTTTTTAAGAAGAGTGACCAAGTGGCACTAGCATATCTGGTCCCACCTATTTTTCTCTGATCCCCAGGTGTAGGAACCTATGTGAGTTAGTGGGAGTGCGTGTTCCCCAGAGAGATCTTACTAATAAGCACATGATTAAGACCCTTTTGTTTTATGGCATTTAGCCCTGTTCTCTGTAATTTCCACGAAGCCTTGTGTACTGTGTCACAGTTTCTAGAGGGTCACATGCCTCGTTAATTTGTAATATAATACCCCTTATCTGAAATGCTTGGGAACAGATTATTTTGGATTTTGGATTTTTTTTTTGAATATTTGTATTTGGTTGAATATTCCTAACCCAAAAATCCGAAATCCAAAATGCTCCAATGAGCATTTCCTTTTGAGTGTCATGTCAGCACTCAAAATGCTTCAGATTTTGGACATTCTGGAATGTGGATTTTTGGATTAGTGATACTCAACCTGTAATATCACTGAGAATATCCTGAGATGGTCTATCTATTGACAATCAGATTGTTGTCTCATCTAAATCTTACTAAATGATTCAAAGTTCCTTAAATTTAAGGACCATATCTTATTCATCTTTTGTGAAAGATGTCAAATTATCATGGCTTTTTTGTTTGTTGGTTTTGAGACGGAGTCTCACCCTGTTGCTCAGGCTGGAGTGCAGTGGCACGATCTTGGGTCACTGCAGCCTCCGCCTCCAGGGTTCAGGTGATTCTCCTGCCTCAGCCTCCCGAGTAGCTGGGACTACAGGCATGCGCCACCATGCCCAGCTGATTTTTGTATTTTTGATAGAGACAGGGTTTCACTGTGTTGGCCAGGCTGGTCTCAAACTCCTGACTTCAGGTGATCCACTGCCTTGAGCCTCCCAAAGTGCTGGGATTATAGTCGTGAGCCACTGCACCCAGCCTGAGATGCCTTTTGAGTAGTCCAGGTCCTGATAGTTATCACCTCCTTTTGTTCTTTACCTATTAATGTTTCACAAATGTCCTCTGGAATTTAAGAATTAATATTTGATTATCTTTTAACCTTCTCAGGAGATGAGCCATAATTGCCCTTTTTTTTCTTTTTTCTTTTTTTTTTTTTGAGACAGGATTTTGCTCTGTCACTCAGGCTGGAGTGCAGTGGTGGCATAATCACAGCTTACTGCTGCAGCCTTGACCCTCCCAGCCAAGCAATCCTCCCACCTCAGCCTCCTGAGTAGCTGGGACTACAGGCATGCTCCATCACACTCAGATATTTTTTTTTTAATTTATTTCTTTTGTAGAGATTGGATCTTGTTATGTTGCCCAGGCTAGTCTTGAACTCTTGGGCTCAAGTGATCCTCCTGCCTCAGCCTCCCAAAGTGCTGGGATTACAAGTGTGAGCCACCATGACTGGACCATAACTGCCGTTATATTTTTGCCCTTCAGAGTCATAACATTACCATAAATCTTGGACATTGTGTGATTTAGTGACAGATTGTCCACATTCAACATGTGCCACATCTTAACCTTGACTTCGCTACTCAGTACAAATCATGCTCTGATATATAGGCTTTAAATCCTTGTGGCATAGACAGTTCTCAGCATCAGTATATCCTCCTTAAATAGACTAGCCAAGTAAGTTATAAATACATTAGACTTTAATTCTGAGTTTCTGTCTTGGTGAACTGACCCATTGATAGTCTCAGGAACTACTCCTGCTTCCATTCACTTCCTCTTTTATCCCTACAGTACTTCCTTTTTTATGTTTATTGCAAATAGCCTGCTCATTTCTTAGAGAAAAACTGAAAAGCTCTGATACACTTCATCTCAAATCTGCGCTTATGGTATATTCCTAAAAAGAATACAAAGGTATCCAAAATTCCTTTTGCATAAGACTGGTTGTAAAAATCTCATCATTATTCCTTTTCACAATTATTGAAGAATCACAGAGTTGCTATCTAGCCCATTTCTGGAATTACTCCTCAGTAATTCTAGAAATTATTCTAGAATTACTCCTCAGTAATTCTAGAAATTATTCTAGAATTACTCCTCAGTAATTCTAGAAATTATTCTAGAATTACTCCTCAGTAATTCTAGAAATTATTCTAGAATTACTCCTCAGTAATTCTAGAAATTATTCTAGAATTACTCCTCAGTAATTCTAGAAATTATTCTAGATTATCTAATCTATTCCTTCTTAGTAACGGAAGTAATAGATTCTTCTTAGATTATCTAATCTGTTACTTCTCAGTAATTCTAGAAATCTGAAATTTCCAGAATGAGTAGTTTGTCTTTTATTCCTTAATGTTTGGTATAGAAAGTAGCTTGGGTCTGAATTGCTTGAGGTCAGTATGTTATTGAGTAAAATTATTGTAGCACTATGTGTAAAGGGAAAAATAATTACCCTTTAAAAAAATATTGTGATACAGGAAATGAGCCTGAGCAGTTTCCTTTTTCTAATCTATTCTGCTTCCTAAATCTTTTGTTCATTTCTATCTGGTAATTGCTGTTTTCCAAACTTGAATATGCTTTCAGTAATTTGGGGACATTTATTAAACATTAAATAAATTAAGAATATTGATGAGTGAACCTAGGCCTGAGAGGCAGTAGAGATAACTGGCACACCTGTTATTAAGCATGCTGAATGTTTAACTAAAAAGGACAGGACATTTTTCAATACACATGAAAAAAAGTTCAATTTTACTGATACCAAAGTTGCAAATTAAACAAGACACTATATAGTGCCCATCAAATACATGCAGTGTGGAGAAAGATGTGAAAAAAAGGACCCTCATTTACTACCCATGAAAGTGTTGGTTGTTACAGCCTTTCTGAAGGCTGCTTTGTCAGAATGTATATATCGTTTGACCTAGCAATTCCACTTTGACGTATGTTTCCTAAGGAAGGTAATAGAGATATGTATCTACTAGGATTCATTAATTCATAATTTTTGATCACCTGTATGCCAGTCACTAGGGATAAAAAAATGAAAAGACAGGATCTCTGCTCTCCCAAAACTTAGATTCTAGAGAAGTGCTGCCCAATACAGCAACCACAAGCCACATTTGGCCATTGAGTTCTTGAAACGTGGATGTTGTGACTGAAGAATGGAATTTTAAATTGTAATTAATCTAAACTTAAATTGTCATATGTGGCTAGTGTACCATGTTGGAATGTGCAGTTCCAGAGCAGCGCTTCTTAGAACAAGGTGTCTAGGCCAGCAGCATCAGCGTCCCCTGAGAACTTAGGCATATTCTTGGCCCTACTCCAGACATGGTGAATGAGAAACTCTAGGGTGGGACTTACATTCTGTGTTTTAAGAAGTGCCCCCATGTGATGCTGATGTATGCAGGAGCTTGACAACCTCTGTTCTAAAGGAAGTTTATGAATATTATTATACTGTCAAATAATTGGAAACAATCTACATGTTTACCTGTAGGGTATTTGCTAATTAAATTATTATGCATTTATACAATGATATACTGTGTAGCCATAAAACAAAAGTTAATTTTAAATAAGATATAATTATTTTCTCAGAGTTTCCCTTTTGTCATTCATGTAAGCATTCTGTCTTCGGGAGAATTTATTTTCACTGGGGTTCAATTTTCTGTGTCCTTTATTTCAAACCTTATCACATGGTATTCATTTGTTTTTCATTTTCTGCTTTTTACTTTATCTTTTAGTGATTTGGTAAGCATTATATTCATATGACTTTTATATTTCTAATTTTCCATGTAGCCTGGAGTAGGAACAAAAATTGCTGAAAAGATTGATGAGTTTTTAGCAACTGGAAAATTACGTAAACTGGAAAAGGTAAAATTTTAACTTGTTTACTTCATTAATTATAGTATCTGCCTTTATGGCCACTATGTAGCGTCATTGCAGGGTGACCAATGTCATTCACTGTAGTGAGACTCACAGGAAATGAGGTGAGTGAAGTTGATGGCTTTAACTTTTTGAATGTTATTTCCATAAAATGTTCACTTGTTTTATGTGGCATTTAAGAGACTATTAACACCCGTAATAGAGTTGGCTCATCGTTTTCAGTACTATTCAGAAAAGAGATTATAAACTTTGACTGAAAGATCGTTATCTTTTAGAATTTCTTTATTTCTTTATTTATGTTTTTGAGATGGAGTCTTGCTCTGTCGCCCAGGCTGGAGTGCAGTGGCGCGATCTCGGCTCACTGCAAGCTCCGCCTCCTGGGTTCATGCCATTCTCCTGCCTCAGCCTCCTGAGTAGCTGGGACTACAGGCGCCCGCCACCACACCCAGCTAATTTTTTGCATTTTTAGTAGAGACGGGGTTTCACCATGTTAGCCAGTATGGTCTCGATCTCCTGACCTCGTGATCTGCCCGCCTCGGCCTCCCAAAGTGCTGGGATTACAGGCATGAGCCACCATACCCGGCCATCTTTTAGAATTTCTATGTTTACACTCTCCCAAGCATTTTTATGGTTTTATTTCACCCCATGATAGTAATTATATCACTTCTGATCTGTTAAGAATAGACCTTTTAAAAGTATTGGATAACTTAGAGATGAGACATCTTCAGTTACTCTGTTATTCACCTATTACTCCTTAGGTTACTTGTGAATAATTTTGTGTGGGTCACCCAGGCAAATGTAAATAGCTCTTCATGTCTTTTAGCAGACTGGTATGTTTCCAATAAGATCATTTAAGTCCTCAAAGCATTCCTAAATCATTGTTAGACTTTTTTTTTTCTTAAAGATTCGGCAGGATGATACGAGTTCATCCATCAATTTCCTGACTCGAGTTAGTGGCATTGGGTAAGAACTATTTTTTAAGCAGACACAATCGTCAGTTAGTTTATTTTTCCTGTTAGCCAAAGTAAATTACATGCTGTTTCTCAAAACCTGTACTTCACCACCTCTGTACCTTAGCCATACAGTTCACCCTTCCATAGCTTATGATCTGAGGCCGATTCTTCAGATAGTGTCTCTACTGTAAGGTCCCCATCCAAGGCAGATGTTACCTCCTTCATGAAACCAGTTTGGTTACCCAGGCAGAAAGAACCTCTCCCTCCTCTGAACTCCACTACCATTTCCTCCGTGTGCATCTATTTCCTGCTCCAGCTTGGCCTCTTTTGTTTCTCTGAGCATGATATTTATCATAGCACCTCATGAATTTGGAACAAGCCCTCAAGCTTTTTTTAAATTATTTTTTGAGACAGGGTTGCTATGTTGCCCATGCTGGTCTTGAACTCCTGGGCTTAAGTGATTCTTCCTCCTCAGCATCCCGAGTAGCTTGGATTATAGGTGCACGCCCCCTTGCCCAGCTTCAAGCATTTTTAAATGAAGGGATTATTATCTTAAAATTTGAGCTGGTACCAAGGTGGGCTTTTTTGACACTGGCTGAAGTAAAGATTAACATTGAAATATTAAGGCTTTAGTGCTCTCATCTTTATGGCATGGGGCATTCCTTTAAATATAATGATTTGTTCTTTAAATGGCAGCATTTTCGGTGAAAGTTATTCTAAAACATATTAAATTCTTAAACCTAGTATGTTGAAAATGAAAATGACTGCTTGGGGACTCAAGGCCATTATAAAATTTTCATTGGAAGAATTACAAAAATTTTTTTTTTTTTTTAGAGATAGTGTCTTATTCTGCTATCTAGGCTAGAGTGCAGTGGTGCTATTATAGCTCACTGTAACCTTGAACTCTTGGGGTAAAGTGACTCTCCTGCCTTAGTACTCCTTTTGAGTAGCTGAGACTACAGGCTTGCGCAACCATGTGTGGCCAATTTTTGTATCTTTTGTAGAGAAGAGGTCTCCCTATGTTGCCTAGGCTGGTCTTGAACTCCTGGCCTCAAGCCTTCCTCCCACTTAAGCCTCCCAGAGTGCTAGGATTATAGGTGTGAACCACAAGGTGTTTTAGAGAGCATCTATTATCCTTTTTTTCTAGGCAAGAGAACTGAAAGTTGAATATAGAACATGAGTAACCATGGCAGAGCCAGATTTGAACCCATATCTTCTGACTCCGAGTTCAGTTCTGTTTCTTCTATGCTGCATTGCCTTCCTAACATCAGTATCAGTTTCTATATCACAATATAATGTGATGATATTTGCATAGCTTACTGAATGATACAGGTTTATTTGTCCCGAAACACTGTGGCCCCAGACTATTGTGCTTGTATGTTTATATGTGTGTGTATGCATTTCTTTCTGTTCACCGCTCCTGCTTTATTATGCTGTAAACTGGTATGGTGAGAAGAGAGTCAGGAAATCTGGATAATGGTCTAGAGCTAGCACCAGCTAGATTTGTGACCTTAGCAAATCGCTTCATCTTTCTAGGTTTCAGTGTCCTTCCTTATGAAATAAGAGAGAAATTTGGTTAATCAGTAAGCTTCCTTCTGTCCCCATCCTATAAGAGCATCTTCAGTCATTTCTGACATTCTGATTTATTTATATGAATAAAGTGATATTTTAGAAACCTAAATCAGATTTTATCATTGCTTTGTGCAGTGTCCTCTAATAGCTTTCCATTGCACTCAGAATAAAATCCAAACCTATCACCATGGCTCTAAAAGCACAGTAGAGTGTAACACCTGCGTACTGTTCCATAGCACCTCATACCGTCACTTACATCACTCTATGCATCCTAGTTTTTCTCTTCTCTTGAACAGGCCAAGCTCATGCCAGCCTTAGGGCCCTTGCACTAATTGTTTCCTTTTCCCGAAACGTTTTTCTCTTTGATCCCCTAGATAGCTGGTTCTTTAGTCATTCAAACCTCAGCTTAGATACCATCTCAGAGACCTTCTACCACTCAGTCTAAAGTAGGACCCAGCCATTCTGTCATATTCTATTTTAATTTATCCATCTGATTTTTTCTTGTTTATGTAACTAACTATTGTCTCTATCTACCCACTTACATTCTTATTCCTGCTACATTTTCAGCACCCAGGAAAGTATCTGACACATAATGGCCCTCAGTAAATCTTAGTTCAATGAATGAACAGTTTTCAAGTGCCATCTGTACATGGGCACTATGACAGCAGCTGCTTAGACATCCTTTTTATGTCTGAATTCATAGTTGTCTTCCTAATGATTGAAGCTTCAATAATTCGTACTTCGGATACAGTTGAACATTACCAAAGTAGCCATGCAACATTTTAGCAGGTCTTGTTTAGCTTAATAGCAGCTCTTCTTACTATTAAGACATGGTTGTTACAAGGATCCCAAGTTTCACCCAATGTTGAGATAATGCTTTTGTTTTTGTAGTCCATCTGCTGCAAGGAAGTTTGTAGATGAAGGAATTAAAACACTAGAAGGTGAGTATGACTGTAGGTCACTAATTCCAGATTAAATATGGTCCTGAAGGACCATTAGTGCTCTAACAAACTTCAACTTGAAAAACCCATTCTCAATCAGTAGATACAAAAGATAAGATTTTCTTTTTAACTCTGTAGTACAGTAGATATAGGGTATAGTTTATATTACCATCATAAACATTTTTAGGTTTGTAACTAACTCAGAGAAAACTAAGAAGACCAAGAACCAGGGCCAGGCGCGGTGCCTCATGCCTGTAGTCCCAGCACTTTGGGAGGCGGGTGGATCACTTGAGGTCAGGGGTTCGAGACCAGTCTGGCCAACATGGTGAAACCCCATCTCTACTAAAAATACAAAATTAGCCGGGTGTGGTGGCAGGCACCTGTAATCCCAGCTACTCAGGAGGCTGAGGCAGGAGAATTGCTTGAACCCGGGAGGCAGAGGTTGCATTGAGCCGAGGTGGTGCCACTGCACTCCAGCCTGGGTGACAGAGTAAGACTCTGTCTCAAAAAAAAAAAGAAGAAGACCAAGAACCAACCTCTTGACTTAAAAGCAATGAAATAGTTATCGTTTGCAAATTTTTCAAATATCTAAATTGCCTTTATTTCTTTTTTTTTTTTTTTGCTCTGCCTCCCAGGTTCATGCCATTCTCCTGCCTCAGCCTCCCAAGTATCTGGGACTACAGGCTCCCACCACCACACCCGGCTAATTTTTTTTTGTATTTTTAATAGAGACGGGGTTTCACTGTGTTAGCCAGGATGGTCTCGGTCTGACCTTGTGATCTGCCCACCTCGGCCTCCCAAAGTGCTGGGATTACAGGCGTGAGCCACCGCGCCTGGCCCCCTTTATTTCTTTAATAAAATTTTAGGCAATAAAATCTTAGATTAAAAGCTAAGTTATATATTACTGAAAAAGATTCTGTAAGAGATTTGTAATGGTTATTAAAGGAATTTTTGCTTTCAAAGAAAAGATAAAAATAGAACCTAACAAGTAATTATAAAACGTTTTCCTTAAATATAGTAATCCTTTACATGTAATTTATCTCTTTATACTTTTCATGGGTGTATGTATACATATGGATTCATTACAGCATATCCATGGCATTTGGGATTTAGTATTTGTGAGTATTTGCAAGCAGCCCAGTGGTTAGGTAGGCAGGTTTTGGAGACTGACCTGGCTTTGAATCCCACCTCCACTACTTTATTAGAGTGGGATGACCTTATTGCGTCAGTTTCACACCTACAAAATGGGTATTTCTGCTTCGTACAATTAAATGCAATAATATATGTAAAGCACTTAGCAGAGTGCTTGGTACCTAGTACTACTTAAAAATGGTAACCAACTCTTATGAGGCATGATTAGTAGTATTACTAAGTTAAGAATTTGTGTGAGCCACATTGCTAGAGAATGAACTCTACATGTGCATCTCATACAGGGTTTATGCTTTGATGCCTGTGGTATAGACAGCTTATATGAGAGAATTGATTGGCTAAAGGGGTCAAGAATCTGTGGGTTTCTTGGAGGTATTGAGTTGCATCTCTTGGGAGTGTCAAGGATCTACTGTTGTGGTTTTTATATTTCACAATTCACACATAAGGAATACAACTGTTGATATCTATAACTATATCTGTCTAACATACTCAGTATTTCCACTTCTTCAGTTTTAGTCGTATACTTTAGCGTTTTCTGTGTGCACATAACCATAGGAAATATTAAGTGCTCTATATTTCATAAAGATGCTTATTTTTCTCGATTTTATATCTCCAGAGGGAATGTGTATATTTGTGGCTATAAGGGGGCTTGTAGGAATTGCTTTTGAAGCATGCTTATCTTGCTGTTTCTTTAACAAGGCTCACAGCTGGATTCATGCCCAGTAAAGGGACACCTGAATGGAACTGAGTCACTTTTAGACTTAATATGGGATGTTATGACAATTCTTAAGTTAAAAAATGCAGGTACAGTAATAATTTTCCTTTCAATGGAATTTTTTTTTGTTTTGAGACACAGTCTTGCTCTGTCTGCCCAGAAGTACAGTGGCGCAATCTTGGTTCACTGCAACCTCCGCCACCTGGGTTCAAGTGATTCTCCTGCCTCAGCCTCCTGAGTAGCTGGGATTACAGGCGCGCACCACCATGCCTGGCTAATTTTTGAAGTTTTAGTGGAGACAGAGTTTCACCATGTTGGTCAGGCTGGTCTCGAACTCCTGACCTCATGATCCTCCCACCTCAGCCTCCCAAAATGCTGGGATTACAGTCATGAGCCACTGTGCCCGGCTCAACAGGATTTTGAGCACAATGACTGCACAAATCTACTACTCAGTGCTAATGGAATGAAAGAGTGAAAGAACAAATAAACTATGAATAAACCTAGTTAATCAGAAAACATTCAGAAGTTATGGTTACTACTGTTGCTCTTAACAATAAATTAAACCACTATAGTCAGTAAAATTTGGTGTGATTCTGTTTTTTTTTGTTGTCGTTGTTGTTTTTCGAGACGGGGTCTTGCTCTGTTGCCCAGGCTGGATTGCAGTGGCGCAATCTCGGCTCACTGCAGCTTCCACCTCCCAGGTTCAAGCGATTCTCTTGCCTCAGCCTCCCAAGTAGCTGGGATTACAGGGGCACACCACCATGCCTCGCTAATTTTTTGCATTTTTAGTAGAGATGGGGTTTCACCATGTTGGCCAGGCTGGTCTCGAACTCCTGACCTTGTGATCCGCCCGCCTCGGCCTCCCAAAGTGCTGGGATTACAGGTGTGAGCCACCACGCCTGGCCCTGAAGAGTCACTTTTATCTAGCTCTTCATATCTGAAATTTTTGTCTCATTGTGTTTTCAGTCATTTCAATGTATTTGTTCCCCAGGTGGTTCTTTATAAAAAGGGTCATTGAGTTTAGCATTTTCCCCCCAAAAAGCATTTAAATTAACATGTCAACTTTATTTATCTTCTATACAGATCTCAGAAAAAATGAAGATAAATTGAACCATCATCAGCGAATTGGGCTGAAGTAAGATGGCAGATTTTCTTTTGACACTTGAGATATAAAAGTAAATTTTTTATAGACATTCTTTTATACACCAGAAGGACTCTTCAAACTTAGCTAAACCACAACCATTTTCCTATTCAGAAGTGCTAAGATTTGTGGACTCTTACAGAGTATCTGCCTGTGTTCACACAGTGCTTTCACTTTTGCTTTCTAGTTTACTTGTTTTGAGGATTTCCCTTATTCTTTTGACTTTAGCAGGGAACTTCCTCTTAAAATACCTAGGACTGAGTGTATCAGGCAGTCAGCGGGTGTTTATTTCATGCTCACATTGTACAAAGCACTACACTAGGTCTAGGGTAAAGATACAGAGAGGTTGAGTGTAGCTTTTAAGAAGTTTATAGTCTACCCGAGAAGGTAGGACATGAATATGAAAAACTAAATTTAAAAAAAGGACAAACCTCATACCTAAATAACCATATAGGAATAACTACTAGGCATGTTTCTATATCAGCATCAATAATTATTTTGTGTGCCAGATATAGTCTGGGAACCCCTTTTCTAATTATTTACAGTTATAGTGCATAAGCACTATATGTATCTCTTCTGGCATTATATAGTGTTGTGAGTGATTCAGTCCTAATTACCTTTTGAATTTTCCTGTTGATGCTTTACCATAATATTTTAAACTTATACTCCCATTCCAAAATCTTGAGCCAGTGAGAGACCTGGATGGTATGGTTCTTGCTCTCCTGGCATTTCTGTAGTAAATGGAGGTGTTCTGAAGAACTGGTTTGCTGAGAATTGGCTGTGAATAGGTGCTTCATCATGCTGAAGCATATGCTTAGTTGCTGTTTCACACTGAATTTCCTAACAGCCTTATTGAGATGTAATTCATATGTCCTGTAATTCATCCATTTAAAATATACAATTCAGTGACTTTTAGTATATTCACAGAGTTGTGCACAGTGTAGGAACCATCACTACAGTCAGTTTTAGGACATTTTTGTTATCTCAGAAAGAACCCTGTACCTATTACTAGTCATTCCCCCATTGCCTCCCCTTACCCCCACCTCAGACCTAGGCAGCTGCTCATCTACTTTCTGTCTCTACGGATTTGCCTATTCTGGACACTTAATGTAAATGAAGTCATACAGTATGTGGTCTTTTGTGACTGACTTCTTCCACTTAGCATATTGTTGTCTGAGTTTATGTTGCAGGATAGTATTTGAAAATATAATTTTGCAGGATATAAGAGCGGTAAACTGTAACCCCTTGCCTTGTCAGTAGACAGCAGTTTACTTTGAAAATAATGCCCTAACTTAAATATATTTATTTACTCTTGTTACATGAACACATAGTTTATTTACAAATAAGTTTAGATGGAGCCTTTGAAATATTACAAAGAATGACACTTAAGGATTTTTATCCAGTTTAGGAATAAACCTCCCCCCATTCACTCCACCCCCAATTTTGCTGTTGTCATCTCAGTGAATTCATTCTAGCCTTGATTTGTGAGAATGATCTGCTGGTATGGCACGGACAATTGTTATAAAAGGCAATTTAATTTTTAAGGAGATTTAAATTTTACGAAAATCTTTTGTCTACTTATTCTGTCTTTATAGATATTTTGGGGACTTTGAAAAAAGAATTCCTCGTGAAGAGATGTTACAAATGCAAGTAAGATGTGTCAAATTATATTCTTTGATTAGAATTGAGAGTGTCACTTGGTGAAAAGCCATTTTGGGAATACTGACTTAATTTTTCTTCTATTAGGATATTGTACTAAATGAAGTTAAAAAAGTGGATTCTGAATACATTGCTACAGTCTGTGGCAGTTTCAGAAGAGGTAACATACTTCCTAATCTTGGGTTATTTTTGCCCTGATGTTAAAATTGCCTAATATATGGGAAGAATTTGGATTAAAAAGATGTAATTTGTGGTACTTCATAGACTCACTAAGACCTAGTAGTATTAGTTAAGGGTATTTGTTTATAGATGGGAATATGTAACTAGGGGAAATTCATCCTGATTTTATTATAGGATGATATTTTAATGACTAGTTTTAACGACGTTTATTAAATGACTTTAAGTATATTGAAATGCTAGTAATGGTTGTCTTTGGCCTTTTGGCTGGATGATAGTGAAGTTGTGGGTAGTTTTGTTAATTTACCTTTCTTTTTCCTTTTTTTTTTTTTTTTTGAGACAGAGTCTCACTCTCTCGCCACGCTGGAGTGCAGTGGCACCATCTCGGCTCACTGCAACCTCCGCCTCCCGGGTTCAAGTGATTCTCCTGCCTCAGCCTCCTGAGTAGCTGGGACTACAGGCGTGTGCCACCATGCCCAGCTAATTTTTGTATTTTTAGTAGAAACGGGGTTTCACCATGTTTGCCAGGATGGTCTCAATCTCTTGGCCTCGTGATCCACCCACCTCGACCTCCCAAAGTGCTGGGATTACAGGCGTGAGCCACTGTGCCCAACTGCCCAAGTTTTCTATAAGAGAGCTAAGAATAATGTCTTAGAAGTACCAGTTCAAAACCAATTCTTACAACAACCGGGTTCATCAGAAGAGTTCTGCTTAGTGTGTGAATGTGAGCAAAGTAAGAACCATATAATCCTGGTGTCTTACTGGTTTAAAATATTGAAAAGCTCATACATGCTTAAAAATATTAACTTTTGGCCAGGCGCGGTGGCTCACGCCTATAATCCCAGCACTTTGGGAGGCCGAGCCGGGCGGATCACAAGGTCAGGAGATCGAGACTATCCTGGCTAACACGGTGAAACCCCATCTCTACTAAAAATACAAAAAATTAGCCAAGCGTAGTGGTGGGCACCTGTAGTCCCAGCTCCTCGGGCGGCTGAGGCAGGAGAATGGCATGAACCTGGGAGGCGGAGCTTGCAGTGAGCCGAGATCAAGCCGCTGCACTCCAGCCTGGGCGACAGAGCGAGACTCCATCTCCAAAAAAAAAAGAAATTAACTTTTAAAATTGGAATAGAAAAACCTTATTTAAAACATTTTAGAGTATGTTAGAGTAGATAGAGTAGATACCTGAACTGAATCTCTGGCCACCTGTGGAGTTTTGTCTAGGAAGTAGGTGATGGCCTATCAGGAATACTCTGGGTAGCTGCTGTAAGAATCTAGAGTTGGAGAGAGAAAACTAAATCCATACTCACTGATCAGTAGAAAGAACATTGGACTGGGGTCAAAAGACCTGGGGTCTGAGGCCAAATCTACCACTATTATGTCTCTCCTGATCTTAGATTCCATACTCGCAAAATGAGAGAACTGAAGTTAACCAGATTTTCAAGTATGTCTGCATCAGAAATACCTAGGACTTAAAAAAAAATACATATTGTTGTACCCTTCTGCAAATAAGAATCTCCTTAGGTGGGAACTGGGATTCTGTATTTTCAAAATGTAGATTTGGAAGCACAGCAAGCCAAATGCATGCTATGTTGGCTATGACAGCCTTCCTGGATTTATTTATTTCTATTTTAATTTTACTTTTTTGGGGTATGTTGTATGGTTATATGCTTTCACATAAAAAGGTATACTCTAAGACATCTCACTTCCACAGTCCCTATGCACTCTTTCCTACTCCTTCTAAGTCCCATTAAGAACCACTTCCCTATGGATTCTTGTAACGTTTCTTCATGAAAATACAACTAAATACTAGTATACCATCTTTATTTCTTTCTTCTCTCCCTTTCTTTCATAAAGTTACATAATATATATACAATACTATACCTTGCTTTTTTCACTTACAAATAACATCCTAGAGATTTTTCCATATCAATATATAGAAAACTTCCTTATTTATTTATTTTTTGAGATAGGGTCCCTCTCTGTCACCCAGGCTGGAGTGTAGTGGCGTGATCTCGGCTCACTGCAACCTCCGCCTCCCGGGCTGAAGTGATCCTCCCACTTCAGCCTCCAGAGTAGCTGGGACCACAGGCACGTGCCACCACACCCGGCTAATTTTTTTTTTTTTTTTTTTTTTTGGTAGGGACATGGTTTTACTATGTTGCCTGGGCTGGTCTCAAACTCTTGGCTCAAGTGATCCACCCACCTTAGCCTCCCACAGTGCTGATATTACAGGCATGAACCACCATGCCCGGCCCCTTATTCTTTTTTGTAGCTGTGTAACATTCAGTTGCATGCATGTATCATACTTCATTTGTTTATCCAGTCCGCTATTAATGGACCCTTGGGTTGTTTCTCTTTCTTTGCTCATACACTTTGTTTTTGTTTTTTTTTTAATAAAGTGAAACATTTTTGTTGGTAGGCGGACAGTGAAAGACATCCAGCTTTTAGGAGGAGGAAATGAGAACAAGAGAAGGCAATAGAATTTTCTTGATTAAAATAGTTTCCATGGATGTCCAGTACACATTCAGTCTAGTCTTCTTTTTTTCTTTTTTTTTTGAGGCAGAGTCTCGCTTTGTCGCCCAGGCTGGAGTGCAGTGGTGTGATCTCAGCTCACTGCAACTTCCACTTCCCAGGTTCAAGCAATTCTCCTGCCTCAACCTCCTGAGTAGCTGAGGTTACAGGCAAACACCACCATGCCCGGCTAATTTTTGTATTTTTTTTTTTTTTAGTAGAAAAGGGGTTTCACCATGTTGGCCAGGCTGGTCTTGACCTCCTGACCTCAAGTGATCCGCCCACCTTGGCCTCCCAAAGTGCTAGGATTACACGTGTGAGCCACCTTGCCCGGCCTGGCCTTCTTTATATTTAAATATTTGGTTAAGGCACTGTGGCTCATGCTTGTAATCCCAGCACTTTGGGAGGCTGAAGTGGGAGGATCGCAAAGACACTGCAAGCTCTTTAGTTACCAAAAGGGTGTTTGGCCTCTGTTGTACTTATCAAAATGAAAGGGAGGAGATAGATTGGATTCTTTTATGCTGTATACCAGGCACTATAGTGGATGCTTTTACATATGTTCTTATTTACTTACACAATAGCATATGAAGTAGTTTTTAGTAGTTTACATATAAGAAAACTGAGGTCTAGAGGAATGAAGAGTCCTCACTTGCAACACTGAAAAAAAAGTAAAATGAAAAAATTCCATCTCAGTGGAGACAGAATTTCATAGAATATAGGAAAAGAAAGGTTTAAATAGCTGTATATAACTTGCCTGAAGCTATGTGGTTGTAGAGTATAGACCTATTAATTGAGTTCAACCATAAGAATTGAAATGAGTTTTCTTTTTAAAAAAAAAAAAAAGAGAGTGCCTGGATCTCTCTGTGTTGACTGGGTTGGTCTCAAACTCCTGGGCTCAGCGATCCTCTGGCCTCAGCCTCTCAAAGTGCTGGGATTACAGGCATGAGCCACCGTGCCCGGCTGAAATGAGTTTTCTGATTAACCTTTATAGAGTTAGAGTATATTGTTTAATTTGAGATTTTTACATATAGAGTTGTTCATAGGTGTATTTTAAAGCTATTTTAAAATATTGTTTTTATTCATTATTGAGTAGTTACTTAGGTGCATTTTTAATACATTAAATTAACTCGTTGTATGCAATGTATATCTAATGCCAATTACTGTTGTCATCACAGATTCTGCTGTCTACATCAATACACCTGAATAGTTGGACAGAAAATTGAAATCTTTTAACTAATTCTAACTATGAAGCACAGTGAAATAGAAAGTTAGGCTGTAAGAAGTAAGGCTCTTCTGTGTGTCATCAGCTTGGTTCCATTTGCCCAATTGATACATTTACATGGACAATCTCATATGTGTCTTCTGTCATCACAGGTGCAGAGTCCAGTGGTGACATGGATGTTCTCCTGACCCATCCCAGCTTCACTTCAGAATCAACCAAACAGGTGCCTCAGAGTTTATAATCAATGGTGATCAGTCTTACACAACAGTGAATTTCACTTTTTAAGTGATAGTTGGGTATTTTCAGAATAAGTTTTGTTTTCGCCTTCCTGAAAAGTCTGAAGAGCTTTGTACTGATTGAATTCTGCGAAAGGCAAATTTCTCGAAAAGGATACCTATTATTCTTCCATGAGTTGCTGGGAGGACAGTCTAACATTTGAAAGAGAAAACATTGAATACAATAGTTTTAGAACGATTTACTGTCTGTGATAAATACTTTAGAAATACTATAATCAGATTTTCATTAAATTTTATCTTAAAAAATGAAATATTGAGAAACCTTCTATTAGAAAACCTGTGAAGGCAAAACATTTTTTATTTTAGAATATATGCCTTTGGAAGGTGAAACAGCTGACTCTTTGATTGCTTTTTTTTCCCATGAGCCATTTCAAGAACAGGAAAACTCTTTGATTTAAGGAAACAGATAAATACAACTGATCATTGTTTTTACAATCGTAATACCTTAAACAGTGGTTTCTAAAAATATGTTTCATTTGATAAGATGAATTTTCTATTAGAGGGAAAAAGTACTTGCTCAGAACATTAGAAAACATAGAGATGGCCGGGCACGGTGGCTCATGCCTGTAATCACAACACTTTGGGAGGCCAAGGCAGGTGGATCACGAGGTCAGGAGATCAAGACCATCCTGCCCAACATGGTGAAACCCCGTCTCCACTAAAAATACAAAATTAACCAGGCGTGGTGGTGCGCGCCTGTAGTCCCAGCTACTCGGGAGGCTGAGGCAGGAGAATCGCTTGAACCCAGGAGGCAAAGGTTGCAGTGAGCCGAGATCGTGCCACTGCACTCCAGCCTGGCAACAGAACGAGACTCCATCTAAAAATAAAATAAAATAAAATAAAATAAAATAAAATAAAATAGAGATTTCTCCATAAATAATTAGAAAACTCATGTTAAAAATGTTTTCTTCCCGGGCTCGATTCCCTGCCAAAAAAAAAAAAAGTTTTCTTATTCAGGCATGATGTTGTTCCTGGTACTCTGGATGCTGAGGTGGGAGGATCACTTGAGTCCAGGAGTTCAAGGCTATAGTTTGCCATGATTGTACCTGTGAATAGCACAGTCTCCAGCCTGTGCAATATAGCAAGACTGTGTCTCTAAAAATATTGTTAAATATTTTCTTGCCATTACAAAGTAATTACTCTTTTTCTTATTCCCTAATTATGATTCTACAGCCAAAACTGTTACATCAGGTTGTGGAGCAGTTACAAAAGGTTCATTTTATCACAGATACCCTGTCAAAGGGTGAGACAAAGTTCATGGTAAGTACTTGTTAGAGTTAGCACATCTAAAAAAAAACTTGGAGACTGTTCAGTAGCCATTCTGAGTGTGTGACTTCATGGTAGCTTTGAATTACAGTCACCAAATAGAGTATCCATGAGACTTTAAAGAAAAATAATAGCAGGGGCCGGGCGCGGTGGCTCACGCCTGTGATCCCAGCCCTTTGGGAGGCCGAGGCGGGTGGATCGCCTGAGGTCGGGAGCTCAAGACCATGCTGACCAACATGGAGAAACCCCGTCTCTGCTAAAAACACAAAATTGGCCGGGCGTGGTGGCGCATGCCTGTAATCCTAGCTACTCAGGAGGATGAGGCGGGAAAATCACTTGAACCCAGGAGACGGAGGTGCGGTGAGCATAGATCGTGCCACTGCACTTCAGCCTGGGCCACAAGAGAGAAACTCCGCCAAAAAAAAAAAAAGAAAGAAAAATAATCAGCAGGATGCCTGATTCTCATAGCTACTCTCAGAATATTTTAGGAAAGAATTTTCTTTTAATTCTCCACTTGTAAATAACACGTGTCATCAGAATAGTTAATTAGGCCTGGGCATGGTGGTGTAGTCCCAGCTCTTTGGGAGGCCGAGGTCAGCGGATTACAAGGTCAGGTGATCAAGACCATCCTGGCCAACACGGTGAAACTCCGTCTCTACTAAAAATACAAAAAATTAGCTGGGCGTGGTGGTGTGCGCCTGTAGTCCCAGCTTTTCGGGAGGCTGAGGCGGGAGAATCACTTGAACCCGGGAGGCAGAGGTTGCACTGAGCCGAGATCGCACCACTGCACTCCAGCCTGGGTGACAGACCGAGACTCTGTCTCAAAAAAAAAAAAAAAAAAAAAAAAAAAAAGAATGGGTTAATTAGGCATAATCTGCTTTTTGAAAATACCAGTAATGACTTTGACACACAGTAAGTTTTTCCCTAAAATAGCAAATGGTTCTCATCTTCTCTGATTCAGAATTCTTCAATAAGTAACGTAGTTAGAATTGATTGAAAAATATTAATCTATTTCAACACCAAAGAAAGAAAAGTCATCAGGGTCTGTGATAGAACACTCAGGGGAAGAAACGTTACATGGAATGATAATGAGGAAAGTTGATTGGGGGGGAATTAAGACTTAATAATTCAAGATGAATGGCTAGTGGATTAAAAGCAGATTAATAAATGATTCTGTATAAACACCAACAGGAAGGCAGATAGAAATCTAGAATTACGATTCTTTTTTTTTTTTTTTTTGAAAAGGAGTTTCACTCTTGTCACCCGGGCTGGAGTGCAGGAGGGCGATCTCGGCTCACTGTAACCTCCACCTCCCGGGTTCAAGCAGTTCTCCTGCCTCACCCTCCCGAGTAGCTGGAATTTCAGGTGCCTGCCACCACGCCCAGCTAATTTTTGTATTTTTAGTAGAGACCAGGTTTCACCATGTTGGCTGGGCTGGTCTCAAACTCCTGACCTCAGGTGATCCGCCTGCCTCAGCCTCCCAAAGTACTGGGATTGCAGGCATGAACCACCGTGCCCAGCCTAGAATTAAGATTCTTAGTTCCTTTTTTTTTGAAACAGGGTCTTGCTCTGTCACCCAGGCTGTAGTGCAGTGGCGAAACATGGCTCACTGCAGCCTCACCTTCCAGGGTTCAAGCAATCCTCCCACCTAGTAGCTGGGACTGCAGGTGCGCACCACCATACCTGGCTAATTTTTGTATTTTTTGTAGAGGTGGGGTTTCACCATGTTGCTCAGACTGGTCTCGAACTCCTCAGCTCAAGTGATCCACCCTCCTTGGCCTCCCAAAGTACTGGGATTACATGTATGAGCCACTGTGCCCGGGCCTCTTCTTTCTTAAGGTGACATTTAGTGTTCTGTCACTTATATACATCATTCGAGTCCATTTTCTCAACACCCCACTTTTCCCGGGTGATATGACTGAAAGGAAAGAGACTGTGCTTTTGGAGAGTGGATGTGCTAAAATTAGTAAGAGTCTCAGTGCATAGATTTGACAAGAGTTTTAGCCAAAACTAGAAGATAGTTGAGAAAGATAATTAAATTGTCATGTCATTCAGAAAGTAGAGTGGTGTTTGCCAGGGCCTGGAAGGAGGGGGTAATAGGGAGTTCCTGTTTAAATGGCACAGAGTTTCAGTTGGGGAAGATGAAAACATTCTGGAGATGGATGGCGGTGATGGTTGCACAACAGTGTGAATGTACTTAATGCCACAGAATGGTACACTTAAAAATGGTTAAAATAGTAGGCACAGTGGCTCATGTCTATAATCCCAGTGACTTGGGAGGCTAAGGTGGGAGAATGGCTTGAGCCCAGGAGTTCGAGGGTATAGTGAGCCATGATCGCACTACTGCACTCCAGCCTGGGTGACAGAGCAAGACCCCATCTCAAAAAAGAAAAAAAAAATAGATGGCCAATAGATGGTAAATTGTATGTTGTGTATATTTAACCCACACACATACAAAAAATCATGTCATTAAGTTCAGCATGGTGATATTAGTGGGCTGTGAAAGTGTATTTTCTAAGGTGGTCACACTTTAACAATGCTTCCAAACGAACTTTGGAAAGATAAAAGTAAAGGTTCTAGTCAGTCTTGGAAATTAAATCTCTGATTTGTTCTCTTGACTCTGTCAAGTTTTGAAGTCTTACTCTGTTCCCAAAAGTATATACATACATGAGATGGTATTAAAAATAGGGCTTGTGTATGCCCCATGAACAGCCTTTTCAAATTTAGGTGGATTTTAATTCACTCAAAATGAATGTGCATGAATCTTACATTTAAGAATATTCAGTCAGATAAAATCCTAAAAACAGTATCTGCTAGACAAGTTGGATGTTGTGCACAGTAGAAAAGTATCTTGCTACGTCTGGGCATATTTTGGGGACCTCTCTGGCCTAAATCTTCCTCAAGTATCATCCCTGTGAAAGTCACTAGAAATCCTTACTGGGAAGTGTGCCAACTGTTTTCAGAGTTAATGACCAGGAAGGTAGTTCCACACTACCATGGCAGAAGCTGTTTTTTTATAATCTTAATGGTGTTCTGCTGTGCTCGAAGAGAGATCCAGAGGAAAAACCAACAGAAGCTATAGGAATCCAGCTAGCAAGAATACAAGGTAAAAGGGCCAGGCATGGTGGCTCACGCCTGTAATCCCAGCACTTTGGGAGGCTGAGGCAGGTGAATCACCTGAGGTCAGGAGTTCAAGACCAGCCTGGCCAACATGGTGAAACCCCATCTCTACTAAAAATACAAAAATTAGCTGGGCGTGGTGGCGGGCGCCTGTAGTCCCAGCTACTGGGGAGGCTGAGGTGGAAGGATCGCTTGAACCAGGAAGGCAGTGGTTGCAGTGAGCTGAGATTGTGCCAGTGCATTCCAGCCCTGGCGACAGAGCAAGACTCCCTCCCAAAGGAAAAAAAAAAAAGGAAAAAGTATAATCTAGTGGGCTGGATGTAACCTGAAAAGGAAAGGTGGGTAGCCAAGTCTTTGTGATCTTGTTGATAGTGTTGGACTTGGGTTATCCCAGTACATGTGCCACAGGAAAGAATACTAAGGCCACTCACCCATCCTAGGATAGACCCTATCTTGACTTCCCTGTCTTTCAATCATACATCTGGCAGCACATCTACTGGTATTGCCAGGAAAGGCATCCCCCAGACATATTTCCAGAAGAAAACAGGCTAAAAAACAAGAAGACTGGGTCTGTTTATTTGTTTTTAAAGTATAGAAGATTCAGGTGACAATAAGAACAAGAAACTAAGGCCTTTATGTTGCGACATAGGAATCCATCTCAGTGGGTGGTTTTTGACAAAGTTTGGATGTTATACCTGTGGTTCATAGTCCCTGGAACTTAAAAAAATACCGTAGTTGAGCATGCTGTTTTGACATTTGTAATCATTGTTAGGAAGAGAAGCACTCGAGGTCAACTTTCAAATCAATTTTAGAGACAGGTAAGAGGTGGTTTGTATCTTTCATTATAGAAGAATAAATTTGGATACAGAAGATAGAGGGTCTTATTCTGGCTCCATTACTAATACTCTGTATGGCATTGGGAAGGTGGATTTACTTCTAAAAGGCCTGAGTTTTATCTTTAAAATTGATATTTGCCCTACGTCAGAAGACCGTTATGCAGATCAAAATTAAATAGTATATGTGGAAACTTTGAAGAGTTTGTACAAATATTTGATGTACAAATAAGAATTTGCACAACTTCAAAGATAATGGATCTTCCAAGAGTTGTACAAAGAGAGCTGCACAAATATAAGATGTCATCTGTGTGGAAATGGGTCAGTAGAGGCAGGTGACCTGGTAAGGGTTAGATTGGGGAACAAAAGAAGGGATAGAAAGAGAGAGGATGGTGCCATGAAAGGAGAACAGAATGAGGAGAGTGAGCACCCCCAGGGCAGCAGTTGTATTCAGTCAGTTCAGCAAATACATACAAGCATGTCCTCCATTCCAGGCACTGTTCTCGAAGCTTGGGATGTATCCATGAATTTAAGTAAAACTCATATTTGAGGACTGTGGGAAGGGACTGATAGTTAACAATGAACATAATAAATATGTGAATTATATAATAGGTTGGGTAGTAAGTGTTATTTTTTAAAAAGGAAGAACAGGGTCTAGGGGAGAGGAGAGTGCAGGAGGCAGTATTAAATAGTGTGGTTGGAGGCAGCCTCATTGAGAACATGAGACTTAGGGAATGACATAGGGAGTTAGCTAAGCCGGTATCTGAGGGAAGAGATAGCCAGGCAGGAGTCCGAGCACCAAGCCTATGGGAATGAGCATGAGCAAGATATCTAATGAAGATGAGAGCTCTAGGCTTCTAAAAGGAAATTGGCTGCAAAATGAATTCAACTTAGGTAGTGAAATAAACCATTCTCATTCCATATCCCCTTTTTTTGCAAAACCTCTTCTTGCTATCACCACTTACTAGTCTTAAAGGTATGCCTCTTCATGTGTTTTTCAAGTTATATTCAAGACACAAATTCCTTTAAGCTAATAGTAATCAAACCTTAGGAAAGCCATGGTTATTCCAGATCATCTTGTGCAATCATAGTCTTTAGATAATTGAGCTATACTATATTCCTGTGAATATAGTAACACTCAGAAGAAAAAAAGTTTCCTCTGCATTCAACTATTGGTTTTATATACGGTGAGTGCCATTCAGATTTCAGTATTTTGTGCAAGTTTGGCCTTGGGTGATTTTCTGTGAAATATCTGCAGTAAGAATTCAAGGGACAATAGGAGATACCATGGCTACCCCGAGGAAATGAAAGAGGTTTTATTTCCGACACTCAGTATGAAGCTACCCAAATGAAATGCCAAACAAAGCTAATCCACTCAATCTAATACAGAATTTACAGTAAAACAGAGAAATTCTTTAATATTAGCACTTCAGAAAAAGTGCAGGAAATAAAATTAGCCTTGAGGAAAGGAACAAAGCCATGAGATAAAATCCTATTACTGATGTGACAAACAGGAACATCATTCCCTGTGGTATCTAGACATCCGCATCCGCAAGGTAATACCTCCTGGTAATTCCAGGTGGAAATGACTTCTGATCCACTTGAAGGTGGAAGTTGAGTTGGAACTTGTTAGTGCCTAAGAAGGTAGGTTTCATATTTTGAAGGTAAACATATTTCATTAATCTTTCTTCCATAGGAACAGCTAAAGAATTAGTTTAGATTTTAATTTTTCTATTTTGCTGAGTGAAAAAGTATGGCTTTTAGTGGCATGTGTTAACTTGACCACTCTTGAGGACCAGAAGCTTGTCACTTGTGTATTTTTCTTAGAATGTAGCATTTGATACTTTTAATTGGAAATTTGGTGGTGCTTATATCTTGTTTTACATATGTATGGGTTGCTGACCAGTCCAGATTTTTTGTCCATTTTTCAGGAAAGGGAAAAGATAAAACAGACTTGGATAACTTTTGTTTGGAAATTGTAGAAGTATAATGAAAAATTACCTGTGAAGGAAGAAAGTGATCCCCTCATTTTCTGATCTCATATTTTTCTTATTTTCCGTGTCTTTCTCCCTTCTAGTGTCTGAGAGATTTCTTCAATTTCAAACTCTTTTACTTCTGCTACCTATCATTTTAAATTTTGATTTAAACCTTTCCCTGAGGGTTTTCTATAGTATTCTGTTCTTACTTCATGGATAGAGTATCTTCTGTTATTACTGGAAGCTTTTTTGTTTGAGACTATACTGGTAGCTTTTTTGTTTGTTTTCTTCTTCCTGCATAATCATCGTTTCTTCCACGTTGCTCTCTTCTGTTTATTTTGATGTCTGTGTTTCGTGTTCAGGGTTTTCTTTGATTAGTTTCTTGCTTAGAATCACACAAAGACCAAATCCTCATAATGAGAATCCTTATTTGCAGTTTTGTGTAGTTCTCTAATTATCGTGAAGTGTAATAGAAAGGTAGGGATAGTGTATTGCTCACAGAAGCTGCTAAGTTAAAAGTGCTCAGAATTCTAGAGCTGCTAACATTAAAAACAAAAATGGCCTTGTGTTTTACTTGATTAAAATTAAGCCTTAAGTTTAGAACATCTTTAAACTTGGTTTAAAATGTTCATTTTAGGGTGTTTGCCAGCTTCCCAGTAAAAATGATGAAAAAGAATATCCACACAGAAGAATTGATATCAGGTATTGTTCAGACTTTGTTGCTGACCTGTTAACTTTTCCAAACTTGTCTCGTTTTCTCCCTCCCTGTTTGTATCTTGGAGTTCACATTCATATCTAGAGCCTTTTTTTACTCCCAAGAGCCATATGTTCTTGCCAAATGCAATGTTTAGCTCCAAAGTATGTAAAGAATAATGACTGTCTACAGACTCCAATTTATTTTCTCTAGATTTGCACCTCACCATGATGCCTTCCACAGCTCAAAAGTCATTTCCTGCCTGGGCTAAGTTAGTTGTAATAGGTGATAATGCAATTTCATTTCTCCACATCTCTTTCAGAACAAAGTTCACAGAAACCTAAACAAATTACAAGGTTGGGGTGATTTGAGCAGTCTACCTCATGATAGTCTTCTCTTCAAATTATTAGACCACTTAGGCTTATCTTTGGTATTTTGTTCCTTATTGATTTTAGGAGTCCTATATTTGCTAAACTTGAAATGCATGGTAAAAAAATGTATCTACTGTCCATTTTTTTTAGGTTGATACCCAAAGATCAGTATTACTGTGGTGTTCTCTATTTCACTGGGAGTGATATTTTCAATAAGAATATGAGGGCTCATGCCCTAGAAAAGGGTTTCACAATCAATGAGTACACCATCCGTCCCTTGGGAGTCACTGGTGAGTGTCCATGTGTGTATTAGAGATCATCTCTCATCTGGAGAGAAGGTTATTTTCAAAGATACTTTGGTTTAGCAAACCTTCTAATAACTATGCCAGTTAGTGTAGTTTCTTTGTATTTTTAGTCCTTCAGGCAACGAGAGAGGATTTAATGCATAACATGCTCCTAGGCCCTCAGTTGAAGGCCATCAAGGCAAGCGTTAGTTCCAGCTTTGTTAAAATGGATTAAATCCTTGCATGCTCAGTAAAATATCTTATTCATCTAAAAGGGTTTTTTTTTTTTTTTTTTTTTTTTTGCTGTTGTTTAATGTACCTCTAGGACCCCTGAAAAACTCAAGTATCATTGTTTTCAGTGCCACATACTTTGCTTTTAGTGCCATGGTATCTTTGGCCCCATGCTTTTAAAGTTTAAAGAATAAGGATTGCTGAATCTATGCTTAATGGGTTCTGTTAACATTTCACAGTATACTATGTGGTTTACTGTTCTCTACTAGGAGAATGAATTTTTGTCATTTTGTCCTCAAAGTATAAAATACTTTGTCCTCAAAGTATAAAATACCTCATCCCTGGTAGACTAGGGCAGTGCTTCTCACAATTCAGTGTGCATACCAGCAACATGGGGGCCTCACTAAATTCAGATTCTAATTCCTTTGGCTTGCAGTGGGGCTCAGGATTCTGCATTTCTAGTAAGCTTCTAGATCAGAGGTTACCAATCTTTTAGCTTCCCTGGGTCACATTGGAAGAAGAATAATTGTCTTGGGCTACACATAAAATACACTAACACTCACGATAGCTGATGAGCTTTAAAGAAAAAAATCATAAAAACATCTCATCGTGTTTTAAGACAGTTTACGAATTTGTGTTGGGCCACATTCAAAGTGGAGCTGGGCCGCATGCAGCTGGCGGGCCATGGTTGGATAAGCTTGTTCTAGATAATGCCAGTGCTGCTAGTCCAAGAACCGAGTTGCAAAGGAACTCACTAGAGTATATAATACATAGTGGCTCCAGCAGAAAGGACAATCATGAGTGAGGATGACTTGAGTGGCCCTAGCTGGGATCCCCAGGTTCCCTTTGTGGCACTGATGACTCACGAGATGAAGCTCCAGCACAGCCTCCTGGGAGAGGATAGAGGTAGTCAGTGTCTTTTTTTTTGAAATGGAGTTTCGCTCTTGTTGCCCAGGCTGGAGTGCAATGGCACATTCTCGGCTCACTGCAACCTCTGCCTCCCAGGTTCAAGCGATTCTCCTGCCTCAACCTCCCGAGTAGCTGGGATTACAGGCATGAGCTACCACGCCTGGCTAATTTTGTATTTTTAGTAGAGATGGGGTTTCTCCATGTTGGTCAGGCTGGTCTCAAACTCCTGACCTCAGGTGATCTACCTGCCTCGGCCTCCCAAATTGCTGGGATTACAGGCGTGAGCTACCACATCCGCCGGTCTTTTTTTTTTTAGTGACTTGGTTACCATTTTCTTTTTTCTTCTGAAAGCAAGTCCCACACAGCTCTTAATCTTGAACCCTCTATAACTAAACTATAAAACTGGTTCTTACAATAAGTTTTTCTCTCTGTACTTGCAGGAGTTGCAGGAGAACCCCTGCCAGTGGATAGTGAAAAAGACATCTTTGATTACATCCAGTGGAAATACCGGGAACCCAAGGACCGGAGCGAATGAGGCCTGTATCCTCCCTGGCAGACACAACCCAATAGGAGTCTTAATTTATTTCTTAACCTTTGCTATGTAAGGGTCTTTGGTGTTTTTAAATGATTGTTTCTTCTTCATGCTTTTGCTTGCAATGTAGTCAATAAAACCTCATGTACTATTATTGGATGATGATGATCTTATTTTCTTAGCAAGTATGTTTAGTTTAAATTTTCATATTGTGTTCATGATCATACTTTACTATGGGTTTTGTAGAGAGAAATATGAGATGATAGCAGATCTTTAATGGGAATTTTTATTTTCTCATATTCTGCTCTATGCTATAAACCACATTACCCCTACTTACTGATCAAAAATTGTTAATTAAGGTACACCCAGAGACTAGCCTCTGGAAGACTGTTCAATATTTTCTAGAAACTGGGGGGGGGCGGGGCACGGTGGTTCATGTCTGTAATCCCAGTACTTTGGGAGGCTGGGGCAGGTGGGTCGCCTGAGGTCAGCGGTTGGAGACCAGCCTGGCCAACATGGTGAAACCCTGTCTCTACCAAAAATACAAAAATTAGCTGAGGGTGGTGGCATATGCCTGTAATCCCAGCTACTTAGGAGGCTGAGGTGGGAAAATTGCTTGAACCCGGGAGGCGGAGGTTGCAGTGAGGCAAGATCACACCAGTGTACTCTAGTCTGGGCGACAGAGTGAGACTCCATCTCAAAAAAATAAACTAGGGACCTTCATAAATTTAGTTTTTTGTTGGGCCCATATTTGATTGTGTCAGTCCATTCTTGCATTGCTCTAAAAGAATACTGGAGACTGGGTAGTTTATGAAGGAAAAAGGTTTAATTGGCTCATGGTTCTGCTGACTGTATAGGAAGCATGGCACTGGCATCTGCTAAGCTTCTTGGGAGGCCTCAGGAAGGTTTTACTCATGCTGGGAGATGAAGTGGGAGCAGGCACTTCACATGGTGAAAGCAGGAGCGAGAGAGAGAGAGGAGGTGCCACACTTTTAAACAACCAGATCTTGTGTCAACTAACAGAACTCACTCATCACCAAGGGGATGGTGCTGAGCCATTCAGGAGGAATCCGCCCCCATGGTCCAGTCACCTCCCACCAGGCCCCACCTCCAATACTGGAGGTCACATTTCAAGCATGAGATACGGAGGGGATAAACGTCCAAACCATATCATTGAATCTTGTAATATAAACTTATAACCTGAATAGAAAAACAGGTGTATGATTTATCTCTTAAATCTGTAGCACTTGCTTGAAATCCACTAGAAAGAGCTCCCCTAAGCACAACCACTTCTATGCACAAAATACAGCCCTTTTAAACTTCAAACAAACAAAAATTTCACTTTTTTGCCCGAGTTCTCCTCTGGGCTTTTAAGCACAAGTGGTCAAAATGTGTAAGTAAAAACACTCCTTGAAAGCCCTGCCTTTCAAATATTAAAATTATATAAATATAAAATATACAAAGTTATCAAATGGTAAGTAAAGCTACTGAAAACGTGAAAATGCTTTATAACTTGCAAAGGACTATACAAACATAAGATATCTTGAAACTTCTTTATTAACCAAATTATTTTGTAGTGAAATGCCATTTCCCTTCTAAGAAATGAATGGAAATAAACAATAGAGTTATTAAGGAAAAATATAGTATTTGCTGTGATAATTTTCCTGGTAAGATGTAAGAATTAATTTACTTTTAACTTCAGATGCTATCATTTTTTACCCCCTAGGATACTGTCAGGCACCAACCCTTCACCAGAAATTGTTTAAAGATTTATTTGGAGAGAGAGATGTGGCTCGGTTATAGTATATGTATTTCAAAACTCACACAGTACACTTTAAATATATACAATTTCAATTCTTTGTTGTTGTTGTTGTTGTTGTTGTTGTTGTTGTTTTGAGACCGAGTCTCGTACTGTCACCCGGGCTGGAGTGCAATGGTGCGATCTTGGCTCATTGCAACCTCCGCCTCCCGGGTTCAAGCAATTCTTCTGCCTCAGCCTCCCGAGTAGCTGGGATTACAGACATCTGCCACCATGCCCAGCTAATTTTTTGTATTTTTTAGTAGAGACAGGGTTTTACAGTGTTGGCCAGTCTGGTCTCAAACTCTTGACCTCGTGATCCACCCACCTCTGCCTCCCAAAGTGCTGGGATTACAGGCGTGAGCCACCATGCCTGGCTTCAATTCTTAAAGATTTGAATTAATTGAGTCCCTAGATTAGAAATAATTTTTTTGGTTACAGAGTCCCATCAGTTTTCTGGAAAAACGGACAAAAGGCTAAAGCTAGTTTCATTCATCACAAGGTCGCCATCTCTTAGTTCTCTAGTTTCAGGCTATTTCACTTGCTACAAGATTTGATTTTAAGAGAGATCTGTATGGAAGCATTTTAAAGTTAATGTCCAAGATTGAGCTCAAATGCAATGTGGATTCTTCTTTATTTTGAAATATTTATAGCTTTTCTATTTTTTGGCATACTCTTAATCGAGCATGCTGCCGATTGCTGGTCAATTGGCTTCGACACAGTAGTCCAGGGCCACAGTCGCAACGCTGGAAGATTTCTGGAGCTTGAGCAGTGTCTTTATGCCCTCTTCTGGAGCAGACCTGTCCCTCCAAAAGGACTGGCTTACAAATTTTCGTCCAAAAATGACGAGCACAGCAAAGTCCAGGGCCACAGTCAAAAGTTCTCAGACAACTTTCTCCCTCTTGTCCTGTAACAAGGTTAATGTGGGCTTTAGTGATAAATAAGGAAAGTGGCCTGCTGGGGGTTTGCTACTGGGATAAGGGAATGGGACCTATGACTGACAGCCACAAAGTAAAAACAGACACAGCACGCAGGTCTCACAGAGCTAGGTGTTACGCTAAAAGCAGTAATGCCATGGCGACTCCACCCCTACCCATCAGAATTGATCGTTGTTACTGGCTGCAGACTACCTTAGGCTACTCTCTACGTGACCCCCACAGCTTCTTACAGAAAGAGATAACAAACAGCACATGCTTCCTAAGTGTTTCTGGGATGGAGAAGAATAAAATCAGTCTCACCCTATCCTTAAGAGGCTGGGAGGAGAAAATGCATTTCTGAAATAAAATATGCTGCGAATGCTGTTCTTACCCTTCCTGCCTTGTGATTTCTTAATACTTGGCTTCCTTTTGGGTTGGTTTTCCTGGACTGGGTGCCCAGTTGTTCCTTCTGCATGTGTGCCATCTTGCTCATCAAGCTGCCTTTCTAATATTGGGGTTGCATCTTCCATCGTAGTACAAACATCTGAGGGACAACCAGGTGTAACTAGAATTATTAACTTCAAGGGGGAGAACCACAGACACACTAATTATCCTACTGTTGCATAGTTTGGCAGCACCTCTGCCTTCAGTTTATATATAACTTTCTAGATTTCTGGAACATGTGCTAAATATTTACATGCTCGCATGTGGCAGAGAAAGTAGCTAAGTGGAAATTGCATTCCATTAAAGGTAGTTAATGGTATCCAAGTGGAAATGGAAGTATTTGAATGATTACAACTTGAGTCTTTCCTTTAAAATCATTATCTCCAAGTCATTGGCAAGAGCTGTTGCCAGGAAATAAATTATTTTGTTTCATTAAGAAAAGGCAAGCCGGGTCCGGTGGCTTACGCTTGTAATCCCAGCACTTTGGGAGGCCGAGGTAGGTGGATCACCTGAGGTCAGAAGTTCGAGACTAGCCTGACCAACATGGTGAAACCCTATCTCTACTAAAAATAACAAAAATTAGCCGGGCATGGTGGTACATGCCTGTAGTCCTAGTTACTCCAGAGGCTGAGGCAGGAGAACCACCTGAACCCGGAGGCCGAGGCTGCAGTGAGCTGTGGACAACAAGGGCGAAACTCCGCCTCAGAAAAAAAAAAAAAAGGAAAAGAAAAGGCAGCTGCATACATTTACTTCAAGCATGAATCTAGGAAGCACCATTAGAGAGTGCCTACCCTGGAATATTCTAGTCTAT
This sequence comes from Homo sapiens, assembly GCF_000001405.40. Lineage (NCBI taxonomy): Eukaryota > Metazoa > Chordata > Mammalia > Primates > Hominidae > Homo > Homo sapiens. The sequence goes on from NC_000008.11 coordinate 42,375,625, forward strand.
GGGGCTTAGACACTACCTTCGGTTTAAAAACCACTGTTGGCGTTATGTCGCTCACCGTTCACACAGAGTGTCCCAGGGCAGCACATGGCATCTCGCTGGCACCTCCTCCGCAACCCACGACATGTAGCACAGAACGGCTTCTCATCGCGGGGCTGGAGGCAGAACTTTCTGGTATTGCAGTCCGTGTCAGACAGGCACTGTGAGCCCTGTGGAGGGAATCTGTTATCACAAGGCTAGGAAACCCCCAACACGATGGAAGATGACTTATTATTGAAGGCAGGAGGCGGAGGGAGCCAAAGGACAGTGGCGCTGTGACAAACCCTGGGCAGCATCTTACTCTCCAGTGGAAATGGTTTTCTCCCACAAAGGGAAGCTCATGTCACCCGGGGAGACCTAGGCGCTGCAAAGGCTATTTGAGTTTGAAAAATTGACTTAACTCAGAATTTAGTTTTCCTGTGCTCTTTGTGAAAATGGGAAAAAATGTTTTCCTATGTGTGTCTTAACAGGTGAGTATGAGATTTTCAATATATCTTAACTCTAGAAGCTGGCTACAGTTTCATTAAACATACTATTGATGTTTGTGGCATTCCTATTTGATTTTTTACTCTAGTGAATCACATTTAGCTTAGAGACCCTTCCCTAAGTGAACTGTCCTTTGATTTTCAATGATGCCTCATTGACATAGAGAAAGAGATACCGAAGATCAATTGTTCTCATACACAGTTGATGCTTCTACATAGACATACAACGTAGGTGTAGCATATATGATATATGTAATAATCTATACGATATATAATAACATATACACATACATAAAGCGATTCCTAAAACAACTCTCTCTGTGAAGTTAGATGGTGACAAGGCAATGCATCATGGCCCTCTGTTTAAATTCTCATTCCCATGTTTGCTTGCTGGCTGTGTGAGCTTGGGTAAGCTCTTCAACATCTCTGAGTCTTATTTCCTCATCTGGAATTAGGGAATGTTTCACCTATCTCAAATTGTGAGGAAGAGTACATGACGTATTACATGTAAAAGAGCTGGCACATAGTAGAGCTTCCAAAGTGTTCGTTTATTTCGTGATTTATAGACAAACGTATGGCCGAATGATGTGAAAAGCCACTGTGTTTATTTCATACATTCACACTAAGGCCACTGATCCTACCAGGATGCCCTCCCAAATCCGAAACCAATTCAATTTACCTGCTAGGTAAGACATTTCATACATGAATCAGAATGACTTACTAAAGCCTAAACAAAACACCCCAGCTGTCAGCAGTCCCGTACCTCGCCCCCCTCCCTAGCAGCCTTACCTTCCGGGCCCCATGCAGGTCAGCAGAGCTCCTGATGTTGTTGAAGTCCAGGACCAGAGCTCCCAGGGGAGAGCAGAGCCAGCTCAGCCCCAGCAGGACGGCCGCCACCATCCTTCAATCCCGGGGCTCCTGGAGGGTCCCAGCACTGTGCGTCACCAAAGCGAGGCTGCTCTCCACCCAGAGCAGAGCTTCCACTAAGCTGGCAGCTCAGCACGTCGTCTGTTTGTCACTGCTTTTTCTGAAAGAAGTAAACCTTAGTCTGAGTAAGGTGCGTGAAATCGGCTGAGCAAAGTCTGACCAGCAGGTTCCTCCTGAAACTATTTATAACCAGATGTGCCTCCTCCCCGCTCCGTTCCTTCCTCCTGCCCCACACAGGCTTCAACAAATCCCTTCAAATCTGTTTGATCAATAGTTCAAAACAAGGACTCAATAGAAGGAGAGAAGAGGCAGGGCCATGCGGCTTCTCCTCCAGGGGTTCAATCCCTCTTAATTATTGCATATCAAAGTTAGTTCAAAGGGCCACGGCAGAGCAGGATGTCTGTATCAAAGGCAAACTCTGATAATCACCTGCATTTCCTACCTTCAGTAATCCTTTGGGGGTAGGGAGGGAGTCTGCCCTAAGATCTGTTTTCACAGCTAATTGTGCTCAAAGAAAGGATGAATCATACTGGCCAATATGCTATAGAGGATGCCAAAAACTAATGAGGTACAAAATACACTGAGAAGCTGTAAACTGGGCTTCAGATAGTGAGGACAGATAGAAAAAGAGAAAACGCCCCCTGATTAGCTCTGGCATCCAGATGTCAAAATCCCAACCGCTTAAAAGTTGTGAACGTAACAGCACCTGTTCTGACTAAATGCCATTTGGGAAATTACTTTCCTTTAAATGAAAATTGAACTGTTTGAAGTTAGGGTTATTAGGAAAATAATGTAATTTATGAAAATCCCATTTTTCAATGGTGGGAACAATGATAGCGCATTTTACACAATTCAGTACGAAGCTTTGGGTCCATTTTATCAGCAACATATTTAATTTGTGTTGCATTATGTAAAACTCACTTAAGCAGAACAAGGATCCAAGTCTCTGGCTGATTTCAGATGAAATTTCATGTATTTCCAATTTTCCTAATACGAATTTTTTAAAACTTCTGCTTCATCCCTTTCCTGTCTGATTTTTTTCCATTTGGACTATTAGTCAGGTAATTTAGACATGTGCTTATCACTGTCTTAAATACTTTAAGGGTAGAACAATCTAGATCTGGATCAAAAAATCATTTTTTCTCTTCATTGTTTCATTGCTCTTAGCATAGAGTCATCTAAAATGCATTTTTTCTATGCCATAAATGATAATCTTATTATTTACTACATTTTCCTGCAGAACAACCTAACATCAATTCATTGACATGAATCTCAGCATTCTGTGCATGGGAACATTCTCAATTTTGAGTAATGCAGTGCCATTCCGAGGGTGATGCAGGTGATTCGAGCCTTCCTACTACTTGGCCCTTGTCCTTGGGTTGGTATTGCTTGTCTACCTCTCGTATGGAAGTTACTTGTTTTAATCCCTTAAACTGACATCAAACAACACCCTTTGATAGCATGATAACCCTGGTGACTAGGGGTGTTACAGAATTTATTTTCAAGTTGTACAATTATGACCAAGGATAAAGGAAAGAGCCCCCAGGGTTCTGTCTCTGCCGGGTTTCTCTGCTTCCTGCTGCCTCACTGTAAGGGAATTTCAGGTTACCAAAGGCCCCTGGCAATATACACAGGCGAAAGAACTGACGGGAACTCCTGTAACACGGCACAAACAGCCACTGAGCACTTAGAGCACTTGGCATGGAACAGAGCCTCGGATTACATGTTAGGAATAAAATTTGAAACTCCAATGGCCGGGCACAGTGGCTCACACCTGTAATCCCAGCACTTTGGGAGGCCAAGGTGGGAAGATCTCCTGAGCTCAGGAGTTCAAGACGAGCCTGGGCAACATATTGAGATCCTGTCTCCACAAAAAAAAAAAAAAAAAAAAAAGTAGGCCGCGTGCGGTGGCTGACGCCTGTAATCTCACCACTTTGGGAGGCTGAGGTGGATGGATCACCTGAGGTCAGGAGTTCGAGACCAGCCTGGCCAATATGGTGAAACCCTGTCTCTACTAAAAATATAAAAACTAGTCGGGCGTGGTGGTGGTCACCTGTAATCCCAGCTACTCGGGAGGCTGAGGCAGGAGAATTGTTTGAACCTAGGAGACCGAGGTTGCAGTGAGCCAACACGGTGCCACTGCACTCCAGCCTCGGCAACAGAGTGAGACTCCATCTCAAAAAAAAAAAAAATTAGCCAGTCATAGTGGTGTTCACCTGTAGTTTCAGCAACTCAGGAAGCTGAGGTGGGAGAATCATTTAAGCCCAGGAGATTAAGCCTATATATATATATATATATATATATATAGAGAGAGAGAGAGAGAGAGAGAGAGAGAGAGAGAGAGAGAGAGAGAGAAAGATTCAGACAGAAAACTTGTATGTATGGATGACAGAGCCTGGGTGACACAGAGAGAGAGAGAGATCCAGATAGAAGACATGTACATATGGATGATTTCAATGTATTATGACAAGCACTAAAATAAAGGTATAAATATAAGGGTGGAGGACTTATGAAGATATAAATACAGACGAAGGCATGATTTAGACTTTCTAGAGAAATAAAGGAATGTGTTTACAGATGAGGTAATATTTGAGCTGAATTTTGTTGGTTGCATAGGGGCTTCCTAAGTTGGGAAGTCGGAGATATCCTCACCTGGGCTCAGAGGGTGAGGTGTGTGCAAGAGGGAGGAGGTGCACTCAGGTGCTAGTGAGAGATTGTGTGGCTGCGGCAGATGATGGAAGGATGAGATGAAGCAAGATGCAGACCCTGATATGCCATGCTAAGAAAATCAGATTCTATTCTCTGCACAATGTAAAGTCATTGGAGATATATCAGACTGAGAATGCCATGATCCGCTGGGTGCAGTGGCTCATGCTTGTACCCAGCACTTCGTGAGGAGGATAAAGCAAGAGGACCACTTGAGGCCAGGGAGCAGCCTGAACAACATAGCAAGACCCTGTCTCCACAAAAAATAAAAAACCTGGGCATGCCAGCACTTGCCTGTAGTCTCTGTTACTTGGGAAGGTGAGATGGGAGGATCACTTGAAGCCAGGAGTTCAAGAGCAGCCTGGGCAACATAACAAGAACCCATCTCTACGAAAAATACAAAAATTACCCTGGTGTGGTGGCACGTGTCTGCAGTCCTAGCTATTCAGGAGGCTGAGGCAAGAGGATTGCTTGAGCCTAGGAGGTCAAGGCTGCATGATCCTATCCCTGCACTCAAGCCTGGGTGACAGAGCGAGACCCTGTCCTCCCACCAACAAGAAGGAAGGGAGGGAGGGAGGGAAAGAGAGAAAGAGAGACAGAGAAAGAAAGAAAGGAAGGAAGGAAAAAAGAAAGAAAAGAAAGAAGGGAAAGAAGAAGAGAGAGAGGAAGGAAGGAAGGGAGGGAAGGAGAGAGGGAGGGAGGGGGAGAGAGAGAGAGAAAGGAAGGAAGAAAAGAAAAGAAAAAAGAGAGGAAGGAAGGGTGAAAGGAAGGAAGGAAGAAAAAATGAAAGGAAGACAAACGAAAGGAAGGAAGGAGAGAGAAGGGAAGGAGAAAGAAAAAGAGAAAGAAAGAAAGAGGAAAGAAAGTGAGAGAAAGGAAGGAAGAAAGGAAGAAAGAGAAAGAAAAGAAAAGAAAAGAAAAAAGGGAGGGAGGAAGGGAGGAAAAAAGGAAGGAAGGAGAGAGTGGAAAGAGAGAGAGAGAGAGAGAAAGAGGAAGAATGTGAGAGAAAGGAAGAAAGAAAAAGAAAAGGAAGGAAGGAAGGAAGGAAGGAAGGGAGGAAAAAATAAATGAAAAAAGGAAGGAGAGAGAAAGGAAGGAGAAAGAAAGAGAGAGAAAGAGAAAGAAAATGAGAGAAAGAAAGAAAAAGAAAGAAGGAAAGAACGAACAAACGAAAGAAAGAGAAAGAAAAAGAAAGACACTGGTGTGATCTAATTTGCTTTCAGGGCACAATGCTGGTGGCAGTATGGTGCTTAGGTTGCACTGGGAGAGAGGGGAGGTTGGGGGCCACTTAGGACTCAGTTGTCATTGCCCCGATGACAATGAAGAGGTCCAATTTGAGGCAGTGACACAGTGACAATGGGAACCAAGCAAAGGATGGGAGTCTGAAGTTCGAGCTGCATCACTGGATGTGGGAGTGGGGAGGGAGGGGAGGAGGAGCTGGGATGATCCTGCCTTCTCTGATTTGGTGCACTGGGTGGGTAGAGGTGGGCCTAGAGACAGAGAATTCAGGATGAAAATCAGGTTGGGGGAGCAGGATAAGAGGGTGCCTTGAGAAAAGCTGTCCGCACAATCAACTGTTTGCAGGATATCTACTGTGGAGATATAAGAGTAGCCATTGTGTCTTCCACGAACCAGGCTCTCCGTTTTGCCTCTGAGAGACAGAGAGGAGTGGGTGCAAGCACCAGATGCCAGAGGATCACCAACAGGGGGTGAACAACACTGAAGAGCGACCCTGTGCCTGTCTGTGTCTGTCCATCTCTGTCTCTGTCTCAGCACTGACAGAATGTGGGCTTTGGGGCCGGGCCTGACTCTATTACCAGCTGGGCCTCCTCTCCCCTGTCTGCCCTGATCTGTGCATACGCCAGCCTGTCACAGCGCTTCTAAAACCCCACTGCAATTGCCTACTTCTTTGTCTCTACAACTAGACCATGAGCTCGAGCCAGGCGCGGTGGCTCACGCCTGTAATCCAAGCACTTTGGGAGGCTGAGGAGGGTGGATCACTTGAGATCAGGAGTTCAAGACCAACCTGGCCAACATGGTGAAACTCCATCTCTACTAAAATACAAAAATTAGCTGGGCATGATGGCACACACCTGTAATCCCAGTTACTTGGGAGGCTGAGGCAGGAGAATTGCTTGAGCCCAGGAGGCAGAGGTTGCAGTGAGCCAAGACTACACTACTGCACTCCAGCCTGGGCGACAGAGCAAGACTCCATCTAAAAAACAAAAACAAAAACACGACAAAAAAACCTCTAAACAAATGCCTCTCATCCATTTTCCAGGCCAGAACTTTCCATCTTCCATAGACTTTAGTGCCTTAGCAGGCTGTCAATGGACATGTGTTCGATACAACTCATCAAAGAAAAACCTCCCTTAATCTGAGGCCTCATTTTGCAATAAGACTAGGGTTACGGTCTCTAAAAAGCCAGAGCAATTTTGGAGGAAAGTAGGTATGTGAAGTAGTTTTGGGAACATGACATTTGGTATATTTTCAGATTTCCCAAGGCTGCTTGCCTGCACAGTGTCCCTCAGCGAGAATGCCAACAACTGAAATGAGATGCCCCCCTGTGGCAGCGTCTACTGCCAGGAGCCCGCATCTCCATGATTTGGGGACTAGAGATGATGGGGCAGTGGGGAGAGGATGCACGGTGAAGCAGGTGTGGAGAGGAAAACTTAAAAAATGTTTCTGCTTAAAGGGCATCCTCTTTGCTCTTAGGTCAGACCACAAGTTTCACGACACAGGCCACAGCAGCAATGACCTCACAGAATTCACTCCACAAGGCCTCCTGAGCGGCACCTGGAGCCGTGGCTGTCTTTTGAAAAGTGGCACCACAAGACACTCCTTTAGCCACAGAACAAAGGAAGCCGTCGTGCGAAGTTCTGGCCAAGGTGCTGCCATACTGATGCCCCCTGGCAAGGATTATGGGTTAACTGGAAAATTTCAGGCTGATGCTTCAAGTTTTGCAGTGAGCGCCTAGCTCATGGGAACACTAAAATCGAGTAATACTGACTAAGCTTAGAGGAAATGAAATTTCTCAAAAAAAAATTTCCAGAGGTCCCAGTTTCTGCACTGATTCCACTCTTTGGGTAAAAATTGCAGACTCGTGTTTGAGACCTGCCACCTGTGTCCTCCCGCGTGACAGCTGCTGTGGTTCACGTCAAAGGCTGGGTGTCAGAACCGATTATTTATACTCACTCGGGAATGGAAATTTTTATTTGTTATGCCTCCTGTGTCAAAACCAGTTTGATTTCCATAAGTTTTGCTTTCCTTAAAACAAAATCAAAGTAACGGAAGCAAGCAGGTCTTTGGCAGAATCTCACAGGAAATATTCCATCAAATAAAAGATGAGAAGGGGCATGTTGATGGGGCGGGCAGACAAACCGCAGGATGTGATCACAGAGATGACAGAAATGTTGCCATTTGGTTCCCTGAGGTCAGAAGGTAAGGCCAGCCCTCCACAAGGCTGGGGAGTGAAGGGCAGCACCCAGGGACAGCACAGGGGGGATGCCAGGGTGGCTGGTGCCAGCCACTTTTGCAGACGGTATAGCCTCTGGCAGGTCATGTCACACTCAGCCTCAGTTCCTTCTGGTCTTGAGGGCCTTTTACACACCAGTGTTCTGGGAGATTGGGCTGGCATCTGCCATGGCCTCCAAGTTGCTCAGCTCCAGGAGGCACCTTTGGACCATGTTCCATGCACGTGGCCCACGCCTTTGGAGCTGTGCAATGTGCTGGTGCAGGGAACCTCCCTTTCCAGCAGCAACAGCCTTGGAGTTGTCCTGACTCCACAACAGGCATCTGGCTGGGAATAGCACCAGGGTCCCTGGACCCTCCTTCCTCAAAGATAGGCTCTGCCATTGTTTTGTTTTAAAATAAAATCAGGTTGGCCGGGCACGGTGGCTCACACCTGTAATCCCAGCACTTTGCAAGTCCGAGGCAGGCAGATCACTGGAGGTCAGGAGCTCGAGACCAGACTGGCCAACATGGCGAAACCCCGTCTCTACTAAAAATACAAAAATTTGCCAGGCATGGTGGTGCGCGCCTGTAATCCCCGCTACTCAGGAGGGTGAGGCAGAAGAATCACTTGAACCTGGGAGGCAGAGGTTGCCGTGAGCCAAGATCATGCCACTGCACTCCAGCCTGGGGAACAGAGCAAGACTCTGTCTCAAAAAAGAAAAAACAATCAAGTTGTGTCCATTTGTGCCTTCCTAGGTCCTAAGGGCCACACCCCCCGCACCCCCCTACCCTGTTCCTGGGCACTATCCCGCTTTCCTTCCTGTGTGCCACGCTGCGGCTGACATGTTCATGGGACACAAAACATGGTGGGGGGAGGTCTGCCATCTTTGGATCTGAGTCCTAAGATGCAGACCAAACTGGGTCTCATTCTTCAATTCTTTATTTTTAGGGACAGGGTCTCATTTTGTCACCTGGGCTGGAGTGCAGTGGTGCAAGCACAGCTCACTGTAGCCTCAAACTCCTGAGCTCAGCTCCCCGAGTAGCTGGGATTATAGGTGCATGCCACCGCAACAGCTAATTTTTGTATTTTTTGTGGAGATGGGGTCTTGCTATGTTGCCCAGGCTGGTCTTGAACTCTTGGGCTCAAGCGATCCTCCCACCTTGGCCTCCCAAAGTGCTAGGATTACAGTCATGAGCCACAGTGCCCAGCTACATCTGATTCTTTTCTTTAGATTTAAGTGGTGAATCCTGTTGCATTAGGAAACCCAGTCTTTCTAGGTGTTGAGGTGTATCTGGCTCAGCGGGTGTGATCTTGGCCCCTCTGTCCCAGGCTCCTACCTTGAGTGTCGTCCAGGCCTTCCCAGGACTTTGGCCAAAGAAAGCCACCTGCAGCTGAAGCCTCTCTCTTGGGGGGCCTTACCCAGCCAGGAGTTTCCCTCTGGTCGTCTCCATGTTAAAAATGAAGACACCGAGACTCGGAGGGACCACTAATCTGCCACAGGCCCACAACGAGGGGGCTGCAGACCTGGGATCTGAACACAAGAATTCTGGTTTCAAAGTTCATTCTTTCCTCTATGCCTGCTACACATGTCACTAACTGACGTCTATTTCCAAACACCAAGTTGATGAAAACAACATAAAATCACAAGGAACACTGCCTGGGCTATTTTCCAATTACGACTCTGGTTGTATGTCACCTCCTTCTTTCCCAAACTGTCTCTGATTAAATGGAAGCTAGAGCTTCACTAGGAAGTGACTGAGACTAAATGACTTGTAGGTGGTGTCATCAGGGCTGTAACATAGCTGTGTGTGGTATGGTGACAACATTGGTTTCTCCATAAAACAACTTAGTAATTACTTGCTGCCCTTCTGACATTCAAATTAGACCTGTGGCCAGGCACTCTAATTCCAGCACTTTGGGAGGACAAGGCAGGAGGATTGCTTGAGCCCAGTAGTTTAAGACCAGTCTGGGCAACATAGTGAGACCCCATTTCTACAAAAAATAGAAAAATTAGCCTGGTGTGGTGGTTCACACCTGTAGTCCCAGCTACTCGGGAGGCTGAGGCGGGAGGATCGCTTGAGCCTAGGAGGTTGAGGCTGCACTGAGCTGAGATGGCGCTGCTGCACTCCAGCCTGGGCAACAGAGTGACACCCCGTCTCAAAAAAAGAGAAAAAAAATCTAAAAACGATACACAAATTAGATTCTGACTTTGGTAGAAAGTCCTCAGACACAGCTCAGATCCTAATTCATAGCTGTGTTCATAACCTCATGAAGATCTTGGGTGAGGCTCTGGGGACACATGGGGAGTGGGAGGGGAGTTTGTCACCTTGGCCCCCCCATACCGCCACTGCCCCCACAGGTCTGGCTTCTCTTTTACCTTGTCTCCTTGCTCCCCCTTGTGGCAAAGAGTGAGGTGCACATTCAGAAGGCCCAGCACAAAGTCCAGGCTCCTGATTCCAGGAGCATTTCCCAATTTCTGGTGGAAATTTCCCATGGAATAGCACTGTCCTTCTCATACATCTAGGTTCTTCCCCAACTTATGCAAGTGAGCCTCACTTTTTCAATTATAAAAGAAATACATTCCCAAATCTTAGAAATGTTGGAAAATACAGAAAAGTATGAGGAAGAAAATTGAAGTCAGATATCTAGAAATTTTGGTAAAATTTTCCCAATTTTTTTCTATGCAGTCATGTATACATATGTACATGCAGCATTTATTTATTTAATATGCAATATAATTAATCTACTATCAGTTCCAAAATTAGCCATTACTAATGCCTACATCTGCTCATGTGCGCCTCTTCTTCCCAATCCCTCTGTCTGCCTCCCCGGATTGGAGGTATACACTGAGGTTGCTGTTTTCAGAGACGAAGTCTCACTGTGTTGCCCGGGCTGGAGTGCAGTGGCCATTCACAGGCAGGATCAGAGTGCACTACAGCCTGAAACTTCTGGGCTCAAGTGATCCTCCCGCCTCAGCCTCCCAAGTAGCTGGGGATATAGGTGTGCACCACTGCACCCAACTTGATGTTTATGTTTATTGCTCCCTTGCTTCTTAAAATTACAATACACACACACACACACACAATTGGGATTACACTGTACATATACTTTTGTTCCCTCCTTTATCTTTTTTCAATGAGCCTTTCTTCAAGATCATCAAATATTATCAGAACCCATGGCTATACCACAACCCAGAATATGGATGTATTATAATTTATTTAATGTCCGCTAGATGTTGGCCATTTGGGTTCTTTTGGCTTTGCTTTGCTTTTGTTTTGAGATGGTGTCTCACTGTGTCACCCAGGCTGGAGTGCAGTGGCGCCATCTCGGCTCACTGTAGCCTCAACCTCCTGGTCTCAAGCGATCCTCCCAGCCCCTCCTGAGTAGCTGGGAACACAGACGTGCGCCACCAACCTCAGCTAATTTTTTATTTTTTATAGAGATGGGGGTCTCGCTATATTTTTCAGGCTGATCTTGAACTCTTGGCCTTAAGCGATCTTCCTGCCTCAACTTCCTGAGGTGCTGGGATTACAGGCGTGAGCCACCATGCCAGGCCAGCCCTTTTTCTTTAAAGAAACGGAATTGAACTACACAGCTGGCTTCAGAATCATATCCTACACTCAGGGTAATTGAGCTATGAAGTCTTTACAGAAGAGCTGCTGTTCTCAGCTGTTTTTTCAATCTCTGAGAGTAAAACTATACTAAACTTCCAAGATTTTTCTCTGAACGAGGCCACAGGGGGTTACCTTGGCTCAGCGGGTGACCTGGGCTGGGAGCCTGCTCCCTTGGGGACAGCATCTCCCTGGGCCTCTGCACTCAGATGCTCTGGGTGTTTCCCTGGATGGCAGCTCTGAGCACTGTCATTGTGCCCTGGACACGAAAGACGCTTAGCAAACATCCCTCAAAGGAAGGCATTGAGAGTCCCTTCCCAGCTCTAAAATTCTGATTCTATTGATTTGACAGGAGAATGCCATGGGTATTGGTATCAGGATTTGGACTGAGAAAGCCCTTTCCACACTTCCCAAGAGTTTAGATAGCAGTGTGGGTGGGAAATGAGAATGTGAGAACGAGTGCATTATTTGGCTGTAGTTCTGAGGTGGTGAAGGCCAGTCTTTTTTTTTTTTTTTTTTTTTTTTTTTTTTGAGATGGAGTTTCACTCTTGTTGCCCAGGCTGGAGTGCAATGGCACGATCTCTGCTCAATGCAATCACCACCTCCCGGGTTCAAGTTATTCTCCTGCCTCAGCCTCCTGAGTAGCTGGGATTACAGGTGCCCTCCACCATGCCCAGCTAATGTTTTTGTATTTTTAGTAGAGACAGGGTTTCACCATGTTGGCCAAGCTGGTCTCAAACTCCTGACCTCAGGTGATCCACCTGCTTCAGCCTCCCAAAGTGTTGGGATTACAGGTGTGAGCCACTGCGCTCAGCCAATGAAAGCCAGTCTTGATAAGGACATTAAGTGTGAATCTAGAGCGAGCTAACTGGACAGGACTAGAGGGACAGGAAGCAAAGGATGGATCCTTCCTGCAGCAGCTGACTTCCTCCACGGTTTTCTCATCACCTTCTTGCTTCAGGTCTTTCTGGATTACCTGGGACTGGTGTTGTCAGGTCCTTTCAGAAGAAAGACCTTCAGATAACAGAATGTTGTGAAATTTCCATTAAAAAAATTTTTTTTAACAGATAAGGATCTTGGTCTGTCACTCAGGCTGTGGTACAGTGTATGATCATAGCTCATTGTAGCCTTGACCTCCCATCCCAGGCTCAAGCCATCCATCCTTCCACCTCTGCCTGCTCAGTAGTCAGGACTACAGGAGGCCACCATCACCCTCAGCTAATTAAAAATGTTTTTTTTAGAGACAGGGTCTCACTATGTTGCTCAGCCTACACTTGTACTCCTCGCCTCACAGGATAGTCTGAAGTTGTGGCTCTAATATTCATATGTATATGAATAAACGTGAGTTTTGCCTGTATAGCTTTTAAACTCCTTTCTTTTCTTTCTTTTTGTTTTGTTTTATTTGAGAGGGAGTTTCACTCTGTCGCCCAGGCTAGAGTGAAGTGGGGCAATCTCAGCTCACTGCAACCTCTACCTCCCAGGTTCAAGCAATTCTCCTGCCTCAGTCTCCTGAGTAGCTGGTACTACAGGCATGTGCCACCATGCTCGGCTAATTTTTGTATTTTTAGTAGAGACGGGGTTTCACCATGTTGGCCAGGCTGGTCTCGAACTCCTTATCTCGGGTGATCCACCCGCCCGAGCCTCCCAAAGTGCTAGGATTATAGGTGCAAGGCACCGCACCTGGTCTAAACTCCTTTCTTTTCTTTTCTTCTTTTATTTAATTAATTAATTAATTAATTAATTTTTGAGACGGAGTCTCACTCTGTCGCCAGGCTGGAGTGCAGTGGCATGATCTTGGCTCAGTGCGAACTCCGCCTCCCAGGTTCAAGTGATTCTCCTCCCTCAGCCTCCCGAGTAGCTGGGACTACAGGCGCACACCACCACGCCCAGCTAATTTTTGTATTTTTAGTAGAGACGGGGTTTCACCATGTTGGCCAGGATGGTCTCGATCTCTTGGCCTTGTGATCTGCCTGCCTTGGCCTCCCAAAGTGCTGGGATTACAGGCGTGAGCCACTGCGCCCAGCCAACTCCTTTATTTTCATGTGTTATTTACTGATGAACATTTTCTATAAGCCAGGTAAATTATGCACTATGGTTACATTATTTGTTTGTTTTTGGAGATGGTGTCTCCCTCTGTCGTCCAGGCTGTAGCGCAGTGGCGCAATCACAGCTCACAGCAGCCTTGACCTCCCTGGGCTCAAGTGATCTTCCCACCTCAGCCTCTCAAGTAGCTGGGACTACAGGCACATGCCACCCATGCCTGGCTAATTTTTGTATTTTTTGTAGAGATGGGGTTCAACATATTGCCTAGGCTTGTCTCAAACTCCTGGGCTCAAGCAATCCACTGCCTCAGTCTTCCAAACTGCTAGGATTACAGGAGTGAGCCATGGCACCCGGCCTGGATACATTATTTGATTTAATATCCACTACAATCCTGAGTAGATATTAAGTTAGTTCTGTTTCACAGATGTGGAAACTGAGGCAGAGAGAGGTTAATGCTTGCCTAAGACCACAGAGTTGGCAAAGCTGAGACACAAATTCAGCTCTTTGGACTCCTAAGCTCACTTTATTTCGCCTACTAGGTTATACTACCTTGCTTATGACATTGACCATATTTGGCCTCATTCAGCAGATATTTGTCCAAGTCTTACATTATGAGTCTCTTGGGGACATGTATCTTACTTATCTCTTATTAACTTCAAATACCTTTCACACAGCGGTCAAATCTGATATTTGCCTTTTGATTCAAGCAGCAACTTGGTATTGTGTACTGTGGAGTATCACAGACTTTGTGGGGGACTTTTTGTCTCTTTTTATTTCAAAAAAAATTTTAAACTCAGTGGAAAATTTCAAGAATAGTGCAATGAACACACATATACGTTCCACCTCGATTAACCAATTGTTAACATTTTATCATATTTGCTTTTTCTTTTTTTCTGGATCATTTGAGGGTTAGTTGCAGCTACATGATATTTCACTTCTAAATACTTCAGCATGCATCTCCTAAAATCAAGGCCATTTCTGCATAACCAACGTACACTATCCTTAGAATTTTTTTTTTTTTTTTAGACGGAGTCTTGCCCTGTCACCCAGGCTGGAGTGCAATGGCACGATCTTGGCTCACTGCAACGTCCACCTCCGGGGTTCAAGTTGATTCTCCTGCTTCAGCCTCCCCAGTAGCTGGGATTACAGGCACCCGCCACCATGCCCAGCTAATTTTCTGTATTTTTACTAGAGTCGGAGTTTCACCATGTTGGCCAGGCTGGTCTCGAACTCCTGACCTCAAGTGATCCGCCCCCCTCGGCCTCCCAAAGTGCTAGGATTACAGGCGTGAGCCACCGCGCCCGGGGCCCCCTCAGAAAATTTTACATTGTTGCCACACTAATCTACTCTCCATTCAAATTTCCCCGATTGTCCCAATAACGTTCCTCAGTAGCTGGTTTTGTTTGTTTGGTTTTTATTCAGGGTCTAATTTAGGATCACACATTGCTTTTAGTGCCATATCTTTTGCTTCCTTTTTTTTTTTTTTTTTTTTTTTGAGACGGAGTCTCGCTCTGTCGCCCAGGCTGGAGTGCAGTGGCGCGATCTCGGCTCACTGCAAGCTCCGCCTCCCGGGTTCACGCCATTCTCCTGCCTCAGCCTCCCGAGTAGCTGGGACTACAGGCGCCCGCCACCACGCCCGGCTAATTTTTTGTATTTTTAGTAGAGGCGGGGTTTCACTGTGTTAGCCAGGATGGTCTCGATCTCCTGACCTCATGATCCGCCCGCCTCTGCCTCCCAAAGTGCTGGGATTACAGGCTGCTTCCTTTAACCTAGAGCAGTTCACTAGCCTTTTTCCTAATCTTTCATGAAACTGACATTTTTGAAGACTGGGCAGTTGTCTTGCAGGTCTCTCAGTTTGGATTTGCCTGATTGTTTCGTCCTGAAGAGAGGCAAATTACACACTTTTACAAGAATATTATCTCTGTGTCCCTCTCTGTGCCTCACACCAGGGGCATATGTCAGTCCCTACCATCCCCCGTTTGATCAGTCTCTTTGATGTGAAGGTACCCTTTTCTCTTTAGTGAGTAATCTATGGGGGTGATACTTTGAAACCATATGAACATCCTCAACGGTCCACTGATCATTTCAGCCTGAATCAATTATTATCATGGTGGTTCCAAGACGATGATTTTCTATTTCTGTCATCTATTCTACCTTTATTAGTTGGTCTTCTCCTCTACAGAAGAGCTTTTTCTCCTCCACATCCTCTGCCCCTTTGAATTATCATCTCTCACTACTTGTGGGATCTTGAATCAATCACTTACTCCCTGGGGACCTGTGTATTCTCATCCTTAAGACGAGATGACCTAAGAGTGACACTCTTGAAGTCTGGTCAGTCTGAAATGAAATTCCCATAAGAGGCTGGGCGTGGGCTCAGGCCTGTGATCCCAGCACTCTGGTAGGCGCAGGCGGGCGGATCACTTATGCCGTGGAGTTCGAGACCAGCCTGGAAACATAGGGAGATTCCCGTCTTTACCAAAAAAAAAAAAAAAAAAAAATTAAATTAGCCGGGCGTGGTGGCGCGCTTCTGTGGACCCTCCTACTCAGGAGGCTTAGGCAGGAGGACGGCTTGAGCCCAGGAGGTCGAGGCTCCAGTGAGCCAAGATCGCGCCACTACACTCCGGCCTGCGGCATGCCTCAAACCTGGGGTCCGGCACCCTGCGGCCTTTTCGCGGCCGCACCCATGGCAACAGTTAACTAGCAACCTCGCGCATTCTCGCGAGAATGAGTCCCCTCAAGGGCACAGGTGCGGTCCCCAGCCTCTTGGGCCCCCAGTCAACCTCACTGTCCACACCGAGCCCTCCTGCGCACGCGCGCTGCGGAGCCGGACAGTTGGTGGTGCTGGCTTGGCCCGGCTGTTCGTCTCCGCGCCTTGCTCCGAAGCGCGCGACCGTGGCGCGACACGCCGGCGCACAGGCGCTCTCGGGGAGGGGCGGCGCGCAGGCGCGGCTGGGGGTGCGAGGCTGCGCAGGCGCGGACGGCGTTGGTTTGAAGACCTTCAGCGTTGCCCTGGCGGAGCAGAGACAGGCCCTCGGGGTGGAGGTGAGGAGAGCTGAGGCCGCGCGGGCTCCAGTCCCGGAGAGCGGTGGGCCGCGGCCGAGCAGAGCGCCAGGCGGGAGGCGGGCCTAACGGAGGCTCTGTGGGCAGGGAGCAGGCTACCGGGGCGCGGGGGGCCGGGGCCGCTCGCTCCCGCCGGGACCCGCCCGGGCCACCTCAGGCGATGGAGCCGCAGCACGGCGGGGCAAGTGGCCTCCGGGCGCGGGCAGCGACCTATCCCGCCGGCGTGTGGACCGCACTTTCCTCCCAGGGGTCAGCTAGAAAGGAGATCGGTTCTAGGGAAGTTGGATCCTCGAACCCCACACCCATCTCCCGCCCGCCCCTGCCCCCTCCTTACGGCCGAGGGAGGGTGCCCTGCGTGCAATTCAAAACGGAGAAGCGAGGAACGAAAAGGGCTCTGTACTGGCTGTCAAGTTAGTGGCTTTGTAAAGCAGTAGCAACCGGCTTAACGCCTTTCCCCGTCTGCGTCTCCTGCAGCCTCTGTGCAGTGTGCACATCTATGGGCAGGTGCATTCTGTAGAGCTGGTGGAGACGTGTGGTTGTAGCTTTACTCTCGAGGAACATGAAGTTTCTGTTGTTCTCGATTTTTGCTTGATCATACTAGCAGTGCATTTCCCATCAGAGTCATAGGCCTGAAAAAGTCAGCTTGAACTAGGCAGAATTGAGGTCAGTTAGTATACTAAACCAGCTACGTGACTTTTGCATAGTATCTCGTACTGGTTTTGAAAAATAACAAAACAAAATGCTGAAATATTGTAAATAGTCCCTAGACGTATATATAGTGCTTCTAAACATTTAAGTGTATCTTTTCTCGGCAGTATGAAAAACCAGACTGTAAAGCTTTAACATTTCTATTTCAATATATACTGCCTGCATTTCTATACTTACTTCCCAAATTACAGACTTCTGGCAAAATTTCAACAAATATCAACATCAGTTGTAATCATAAAGAGTAATATCAAATTGCAATTGGGATAATATAAAAAGCCTAGAATTGATCACTTTAGTACAAGGGATTGAATTGTAAAATAATCGTTCTGTAAGTGAATTATGAAACCTGGTAGCTTAGAGCAAAGTTTTACTATGGAATGAGTCAGTACATTTATACTACCGTTTCCTCTTTAATTTTTTTTTCTTTTTAGTTTTTTATACTAGTCTCTTTATATCATAGTGTCTGTCATATTTGACAGGTTTATGTTAAGGAACAAAACTTAAATGCATTCCCATTTAAGTGCATCATATGTATATGTTTGGTATGATGGGGTAGGCAGAAGCTTAGCAGAAGTCTGGATTAAGAGCTGGGCTATATATAAATAAATATGAGCTTAAATGTGTAGATCATTCAGGCGTAGCAATTGCAAGGGCTAGCTGGTACTCTGGATTTTTCTGACATATGGGCTAATGGCACTGCTAGAGGTGGCTCTGTAATTGGTTAGACATAGCTTTTGAGTCTGCGAGAGGAATACAGAAGAACCTGCTGCAGAAAGATTTCCCATGATACAAAGAGGGCAAAGGAATGAGATAATCAGCAGTGTTGATAGCTCTGAGAATTTGATATGAGGGTCATATTACCAGTAGCAAAGCTGGGCAGATTTTTAGTAGGCAAGATGAAAAATCAAGGCACCTGAGGTTTTTGAAGGCTTTAACTTCAGAGTTTACACTAACTTTTGGTAAGCAGGTTGCTGCAGGTAGAATCTGTCATATTTCTGGTTAATGGGTAAAATTATAGCACTTTAAGAAGAGCTTTGAGAGAAGATATATTCTAGATGAATACACTTCAATTCGTATGGTAAATTCTTATTTTAAGAACTGAATTTCAGAGGAGAAAAATGTTAACCCTGAGGATTTTGATTGCATCTTTTAACAGTTTCTTTAAAAATTTCCATTGTTGTCTTATACAGGTCTTTGGTTTCATAAGAGCCTGAGAGAGATTTTTCTAAGGTAAATTTTGCATATATTTTTAAAAGAAGTCCAGTTTAACATAGCATCTTTTTCATCCTGTAAGAACTTACTTTTCTTTGAAATGCAATCAGAAAGATGACCTCTGAATCTCACGGGAAAACTGTTTTATTCTCAGTATTCTGGAAAGGTCTGTTTTTTAAGGAGCAGACTGCTGTCTCATACCTTTGATTGCATTAAAGCATTAATGATACACAGGAAGAGAAAACTGTATACCCCTTCTCACAGGATTAAACAGCAGAAGAACTGTGGGTGAATAAATACTAAATGGTTATTTTTATTCCTTTGCCCTGTTTTTCTTTATAAGATATGTGTAACACACCAACGTACTGTGACCTAGGAAAGGCTGCTAAGGATGTCTTCAACAAAGGATATGGTAAGTATGCTATTGTAACTTTCCAGTTTGGGGTAAAGGTTAGTGTTGAATGCCTACTGTGTGTAAATACTGTGTTAGTAAAATAAGGGTAAGTCAGCATTATTCCACTTCACAAGATTTAAGGGGATAACTATTAACAGGCTATTAGACCTCATTCTTTAGAGGCAGAACCCCTTACAAGCATTAAAAGCAATTATATACATATACAGATGCATATACATGTCCATATTTAATGTTATCTGGAATGTAGAATAATATATATAACATTTATGTCTCTTTGTCTGGCCCTGAGGACAATTAAATTAGGGGGTAGAACTTTTCCTCCCTCCAAACAGTGGCATTGTTTTTATGAAAGTGACAACATAACTTTTGACTTCTTTGGAGTAATGTATATTCTGATCCTAAATAAATATTTTTTAGGTTTTAAAATTTAACTTAAATTTATGTGCTGTACATATTTGATTTTTTCTTATTAACTAGTAATGTTAACTATATTTTAAACGATATATATAGCAGCACACTATTTTCAGCAATTTTGATTCTTGGAATAGTGCATATTCCTTTCATTTATTTTTTTCTTTAACTTACATTTTAAAAGTATATCTTTATTCATTTTGAGTGCTTGAAAATTATACTGCATTTATTTGGTTATAATTCAGTTTCTTGAGGAACTCTCACCCAATGAAAATACTATGCATTTTTCATATGGAAGGTACTATAGGCTATTTCATAATTTCTGAGTTGCAAAAACTAGTGAATGTCACATTTTGTACATTACTGTGTTTTTGTGTGTGTGTGTGTATAGGCTTTGGCATGGTCAAGATAGACCTGAAAACCAAGTCTTGTAGTGGAGTGGTGAGTATCTAATATATTTTTAATGAATGTAACATAATTAACTTAAAGGAATCTGTTTAAAATCATGACAGTCTAGTTACTTGAACCAGCACCATGCTGTCTTCCCCACAGCTTTGTCCTCTCAGATTTTAAACAGCATTCTTAGCCAATTAAAATAAACAACCAAGTTGAATTTTTGAAGAGACCTTTTGTGTTTCTCAGAGTATACTACAGCTTTCACTCAGAAGATGTAGAATATATATTTTTTGACCCATGTCATATGTTTATACTTTCATGAATATGTATATGGGCACCAAAAACCTCACTTCCATGATAATGGGTTCATGGAAATTTTATTACCCTTTTACAAAAACAAATTAACTTTACTCTGCCCCTTCATGATTAGTCGAAACAAAATATGTAAATAAAATGTATTTCTGCACGTATGCATGTACATTATTCTACAGTTTTTAACTGATGTTTATAAAGTTTTTTTTATTGGAAGTAAAGACTACAGTAAAGGCTATGTTGGCATATTTTCAAAGTATCATTAACAATAGCTTTTGGCTGGGTGCAGCGGCTCACACCTGTAATCCCAGCACTTTGGGAGGCCGAGGTGGGCGGGTCATGAGGTCAGGAGTTCGAGACCAGCCTGGTCAACATTCTGAAACCCCGTCTCTACTAAAAATATACCAAAAATTAGCTGGGTGTGGTGGCACGCACATAGTCCCAGCTACTCGGGAGGCTGAGGCGGGAGAATCTCTTGAACCTGGGAGGTGGAGGTTTCAGTGAGCCGAGACCAAGCCATTGCACTCCAGCCTGGGTGACAGAGTGAGACTTTGTCTTAAAAAAAAAAAAAAAAAGGCCAGGTGCGGTGGCTCACGCCTGTGATCCCAGCACTTTGGGAGGCCAAGGCGGGCGGATCACGAGGTCAGGAGATTGAGACCATCCTGGCTAATATGGTGAAACCCCGTCTCTACTAAAAATACAAAAAAATTAGCCAGACCTGATGACGGGTGCCTGTAGTCCTGGCTACTTGGGAGGCTGAGGCAGGAGAATGGCATGAACCCAGGAGGCAGAGGTTGCAGTGAGCAGAGATCGTGCCACTGTACTCCATCCAGCCTGGGCAACAGTGCAAGACTCCGTCTCAGAAAAAATTGCTTTTATTTAATAAATCTCAGCAAGTAGGTTAAGTTTTAATTTACCTTACTCTGATTTCTCCTCATTGGCTGCATCGTTTTTGGTATTTATCCATTCAAACCCATGAAAATTTTATTTCTGAATGTATAATTAGAAGGACAAAGACATGTGGAATTCTAATGATACTGTGTATAATCATGGTTTGTGACCATCATTCTTTCCCTGGGTTTCTCTGGAGTAAATAAATATATATGCACCTCCCTTACTAAGATGGGCACGCTGTGTATATAGTTCTGTTAAAATAGAAGAATCATTCTCATTTTGTGTAGGTTCCAGAATTTGCTCATTAGGTTTGTGTTGCAAAAATTATCAACTAAAATTTTATCTCCCTTTCATGCTGCTGTTGTGTGGTAATATTCATTCAGATGGTAAGAAAAAAAAGCTTATTCGTATGCTTGTTTTTATGGCTGCTTTTGGTTTCTGGTATTGATTTAGGATAAATTTCAATCATTGTTCCAAATTTCTTAGATTGTGTCTTGATATTTTTCTCATATGCTATCTACTTAACAGTAACATTTTTGTTTGTTTTGTTGCTTACTAAGCATTTAATGTAGAGCTATATGCATGTTATATGCATGTTATAAATGTGTTTTGCACTTGTTTGACCAAATTATGAAATTAGACACAAACTGAACTGTGAATCGTGAGCCTGGAACTCAACTTAGAACAATTCTAGCCTTTTTTTCTGAGATTTGTACCTGTGGCATTTTAGATTCGTGACAGACCTTCAAACTAAGAATTGATGCTGACAAGGGAGAAATGTAGACTACCCCTCTACCTTAATTTTGTGCATAAGGTTTTTCTAGCACCAAAATTAAGATTTGCATTTGTTATACTTGTCAAGTTTGTGAAAAGTAAATGTAAAAAATAAAACACTAGATAGTTGGATCTACTAAAAGAAAAATGATTGTCACGTTAAAATAATTATGTGAACAGTTAAACATGATTAACATGTTATCATTTTTTTTTTACTAAGGCCTTCCCCTAAATGTGCAGCATGATACTCTCTTTGAAACCATTCTGTGTGGTTTGATAAACAGAACATAACTTCCCAGTTGTCTCATCTGCCTGTAGAACTAGAGTTAGGGGACAGGGCATTTGTTAAGGAGAGGATTCATGTTGCAGGCAGTGAAAAAGACTGGTCAGGGTTGGCAGCATCTCATTACTGTTGGCAGGATTTCAGAAATGCTCCCTAAAACAGGACCAATCAGAATGTTTTTTCTTGACAGTTCATAGATTGTCAGTGACAGGTGCTGTCTGCTTTCCCCAGAAGGAGGTCCATTTCTAATTGCTTATTGTCATATGACTTAAAGGGCACTGAACTAGGGCAAAGGATGTATTTTATTTTATTTTATTTTTTTGAGACAGAGTCTCATTCATAGTAACTGTTTGATAGAAAGCACTCTTAAAGGTAGACAGGATAGAAAGGGGGAAAGAAGGATAAATTATAGCATTCTACTTTATTTTGAAAAATGGGTAGTACTTTCAAATATTGAAATTGTCTAAGCAGAAGTTTTGCAGTTTTGCACACAAAAGCATTAAAGTTTTCACAGCAGTGTGACTGTACTTAATGCCACTTCACTGTACACTTAAAACATTATTAAAATGGTAAAATGTATGTTACATGTATTTACCACAATAAAAAAAAACATTTTTAAAAGGAAGTAGTAAAGTGTTGACCCTATTAAAAAGGAGGAGGGCAGTATTTTGGGATTTTTAAGGACCTTGAAATTAACTGATAGTTTGAAACATATAGCAGAGAACTGATAATCTTTTTTTAGGTCATGAAAGTAAAATGTTTAAGATACAATATTTTTGGTCTTTTTAGTAAAGGCATTTGTTTTCAGTAAAGATACTTCTTTTTTAAAGGAGAGAATTTAGGATTACCATTTGGTAAGAGAGTATATGGAACAAGAGATATTAATAAGAGAAGTAGAGTAATGGAAAGATCTGAAACTGGTATTGAGCTGTCTCACTCCGTTGCCCAGGCTAGGGTGAAGTGGCATGATCTCGGCTCACTGCAACCTCTGCCTCCTGGGCTCAGGCTGGGACTACAGTCACGTGCCATCATGCCTGGCTAATTTTTTGTATTTTTTGTAGAGATGGGGTTTTGCCATGTTGCGCAGGCTGGTCTTGAGCTCCTGGACTCAAGGGATCCACCCGCCTTGGCCTCGTAACATGCTGGGATTACAGGCATGAGCCACTGCGCCTGGCAGAACTGGTTAAAATATTTAGGGACTGGAAAAGCAAGGGGAAAGGAGGAAAGAAGTTGCTCTAGAGTAGGGCTGTGGCAAGCAGTAAATGGTATTGTTTTTGATACATTGAACACTGCTTTCCAAAGTGAATATTTTCTATTTGATGAGCTAATTTTAAAGTAATTATTTTTTCTTGCTTACCAGGAATTTTCTACTTCTGGTCATGCTTACACTGATACAGGGAAAGCATCAGGCAACCTAGAAACCAAATATAAGGTCTGTAACTATGGACTTACCTTCACCCAGAAATGGAACACAGACAATACTCTAGGGACAGAAATCTCTTGGGAGAATAAGGTAAGAGAACGCATTAGAAGTTATTCATAGGTTCAATTTATCTTGTAGATTGAATGATGAACATACCCCAAATATAATCAAAAGAGATCTTACAACCTATCTAGTAGCCATATTTTTTCTCTGCATGTGGCCTTTTTTGATGTCTTATGTTTCTAGAAAATAAGGCTTTGTTTGTGAGTACTCTAATTACTATATTACATCTTTGTTCTGACTGGTTCTCTGTTACACAGCTAAGCTTCTCCTGGGTAGAACAAACTATTTGCGGAAATTTGGTTTAGTTTTGTAATTGTTGAAAAATTGGCTTGACAGAAAAATTTTTCTAAAATGTTCTCATGTTTTCAAGGAGAAAATCTATTAGATATAGTCAAGTGCCCACTATGTACAGGGCACTGTTTTTGATAGAGATACCATGTATAGATAATGTACATGCAAAACTGAGTAAAATGACTTAGCCTGCTTGTTAAATGTCAGGTTATCTCATTACTGCTCTTTCAAGAGAGTATCAAGATGATTTTGTTGTATGGGAATTCTGTTTGGTTTTGAACTGTATTTTATGTAACTTGCTAAAATAGGATTTGCCCCATTTTTTAGTGGGAGAACCATGATGAAGGCTGGGGTGAGGGGACAGGAGGATGGAGAGCTTACTTATTACATAATTTAATATTTTGCTTTCTTGAATGACTCCTTTTTTTTGTTAAAGAACTCAGGAAACTTTAGAATTGGTTTCTTGAGTTGGATAAATGATTGAAAATTACTAATTATTTATTTTAAATCTTTGTTTTTCAGTTGGCTGAAGGGTTGAAACTGACTCTTGATACCATATTTGTACCGAACACAGGGTAATTATTCAAATCCCATTTCCTGAAACGTTTTTGGAGCCTGAAAGGGTAGAGAGCTTTAGAATAAGGAGATATAGTGCAAAGTTCAGAGGCAGGAAGAACTCAGAAGGTTGCTATAAGGAATATTGGAGACCTTGTATAGGTAATACAGATAAAGGAAGATCCCTCCCCACCAAGGCAGGATGAACAATTTGAAAACTGAATAGATGAGCAAAAATGTATAAATGTATTTGAGAGAGACACATGGTAGAAAAAATTTAGGAGCTAGAAGAGTCTTGAGACCATAGATGAATCTTAAGCAATTCTGAAGATTGATGGACATGGTATTCTGCTGAGAAAGTTAATTCCTTTTGGCTGGGCGTGGTGGCTCACGCCTGTAATCCTAGCACTTTGGGAGGCCGAGATGGGCGGATCATGAGGTCCGGAGATGGAAACCATCCTGGCTAACACGGTGAAACCCCATCTCTACTAAAAAATACAAAAAATTAGCCAGGCATGGTGGTGGGCGCCTGTAGTCCCAGCTACTCAGGAGGCTGAGGCAGGAGAATGGCATGAACCCAGGAGGCGGAGCTTGCAGTGAGCCGAGATGCACTCCAGCCTGGGCAACAGAGCGAGACTCTGTCTCAAAAAAAAAAAAAAAAGTTAATTCCTTTTTTTTCCCCCTCACCCTCTCTTATGGTGCTGAAAAGTTAATTTCTTAAGAAGGTGATCTGGCTCTCAGATGCTATAATGATTAGTTCTGCTGCCTACTTGATTTCTTAGCCTCTGTAAATCCCCCAACTTCTTGACCTCAATTTCCTCGTGAAAAAAAGGGGGATTGTGTCATTTCCTATCTGCCTAATGTGGGTCCATGCTATCTGAAGGACGGAGGTTGCTAGATGAATGCAAAGTGACATTTGTCTCAGCCGTAACAACAGGTGTGTTCTTTTTGCCACACACTTCAGTTATCTTTAGGACAAATATTCTTTTCTTTTTTTTTTTTTTTTTTTTTTTTGAGATGGAGTCTTGCTGGAGTATAGTGGCACTATCTCAGCTCACTGCAAACTCTGCCTCCTGGGTTCAAGCAATTCTCCTGCCTCAGCCTCCCAAATAGCTGGGACTACAGGCATGCACCACCACGCCCAGCTAATTTTTGTATTTTTAGTAGAGACGGAGTTTTACCACGTTGGGCAGGATGGTCTCTGTCTTGACCTCGTGTTCCGCCTGGCTCGGCCTCCCAAAATGCTGGGCTTACAGGCATGAGCCACTGTGCCCGGCCAGGACAAATATTCCTACAAGAGGCTTGATTGGAATAGGGTTATTAAGAACTAATTTCATTTTTTCAGTATTGTCCTTCAAAAAAGCATGCTTCTCTCCATGATAGGTTAATAATGTATATTGGGGATTAATTCTTTGTGGCATTTGGCATTTGGAAACATTTAAAGAGATTTGGCTTCTTGTACGTCTGTATACATACACCTTCAGATTATTAATTTGGCACTGAAATATCTTATTCATTCTTTTTTTTTCTTTTGAGACGAGTCTCGCTCTGTCGCCAGGCTGGAGTACAGTGGCATGATCTTGGCTCACTGCAACCTCTGCCTCCCAGGTTCAAGTGATTCTCCTGCCTCAGCCTCCCAAGTAGCTGGGACTACAGGCGTGTGCCACCACGCCCAGCTAATTTTTGTATTTTTAGTAGAAACGGGGTTTCACCATGTTGGCCAGGATGGTCTCAATCTCCTGGCCTCGTCATCCGCCCACCTTGGCCTCCCAAAGTGCTGGGATTACAGGTGTGAGCCACCACACCCAGCCTCTTATTCATTCTTATACTTTTGTTCATGCTTTTATGAAATAAATCATGAAGTATCCTATCATTTGAACTTATAATGAGTAATAGATGATAGTAGTCTATACATGTCTAATCCTAACAAAATTATATTTGTAGAACTAGGTCATTTGAAATGTTTTTACTATATATGTGGCATGTACCAAAATAATATTTACATTGGGAGATGAGAGAGAGGATCTTACTCTAAAAATTCCTAGACAGTAGTAAGAACTCATGTTGTTTTCATCATTTGCTTTTGTTTGTTTGTTTATTGCAGAAAGAAGAGTGGGAAATTGAAGGCCTCCTATAAACGGGATTGTTTTAGTGTTGGCAGTAATGTTGATATAGATTTTTCTGGACCAACCATCTATGGCTGGGCTGTGTTGGCCTTCGAAGGGTGGCTTGCTGGCTATCAGATGAGTTTTGACACAGCCAAATCCAAACTGTCACAGAATAATTTCGCCCTGGGTTACAAGGCTGCGGACTTCCAGCTGCACACACATGTGTGAGTGTTTATAATTTATTCCTTAGTATCAGTGCAGTTGCCCAAAATATTGTAGCCATTAGCATGCTGAGAAGTGATGGTACTCAGATTTAGCATGCCTTGGTGAATATCCATCCTTGCGGTGCTATCCTCATAGCAAAACCTTGCCAGGAGGCTGGTGCACGTGGTGTGCAGGCTGTGCTGCTGGTGGTCACTGGCCCCTCAGCCTGCACCCCAAACTTGAGGAAGCTCCAGCCTCTGTAGAAGAACCACTGGGATAGAGGGAGCCCAGAGCATGGCTTACCTCATGGTAAGATGACCCTTTGGAGATGTTACTGCTTCCTCTGCTGCCCTCTCATCTTGACAGTATCTGGAAGCAGGTCTGTTTTGGTCACCAACAACCACCACCAAATTGATCTGAGCATCCTGGGACATCCCGGTAATTCTGTGGAGGTTTCAGGTACTGGTATTCTCGGTTGGAACCCAGGTACCGCTAATGCATTCAGAAGTAACAGGTGCTCTGAAAGAGTCCTGGGATTCAGTTATGTAGGCTGCACCATGTTGGTGGGATGAATCAGAACTTTTACGTAGTATTTTATGTTGAGCCTACTGGACACTGCTACTATACCAGGAAGAAAAAGCAAAGGGCAAACTATGTGTTTTTAAACTGTTGCAGATTCCTCTCTGCTAGATGCTCTAATTTACTTATGATGGCTAAAACAAAGGCAAGCAGTGGTATAGACAGTTACTGAAATTGATGAAACAGTATTATCAGGAAAACCATGTGAAAACCCAAGGACTCACCTCTGGCATGCTTGGAAGCAATAACTAAGGTGGTTTTCTGGAGCAGTGCACCCTAGGTATCGTAGGAGGGTGCTTTCTAACTGTAGGATTGTGTTTTAAAGGAAATCCAGAATTGGTTTTATTCCTATACCTCTACCTTTTTATTTTTTTGCAGAATCTTTATTGAACTCTACTTTGAAGTTTCTAAGTTCTATGAACTTCTCAGAGACCTATAGATTATACTTACCCGAGGTGTCTGCCTTTGTGCTTAATTGAATTGTCTTAAGAAACTCACATCATGTGGAGGAGCCAAGTAAATGGATCAAGTGTTAACGTTTTAATTAAGCAGTCATTACTGGCATAGCTGGATTTAGTTCTGTGTTTTGTTTAGTAGTCATTTATGCTAGAAATTTGCTGAAATCTATAGTTACAAAATGGGATCCTTGTTTAGATAGTCTTAGAATTTGTTTTCATACCATAATAACAATGGTACAAACTAGATATTTATGACGTTTTCTTATCTATGAAAACAGGAACGATGGCACTGAATTTGGAGGTTCTATCTACCAGAAGGTGAATGAGAAGATTGAAACATCCATAAACCTTGCTTGGACAGCTGGGAGTAACAACACCCGTTTTGGCATTGCTGCTAAGTACATGCTGGATTGTAGAACTTCTCTCTCTGTAAGAATGTGCTGCCAGATTGGATCTGCTCTTATGTTTGTGTCTAAGTTTTCAGAGAATGTTGTGATATGAGTGTAGTTTGCTTGTTCTTTATTAATTTTAATAAGCCAGCTCATTGTGTAGTGAAAGGAATATAATGTGGCCAGGCTCACGCCTGTATTCCCAGCACTTTGGGAGGCCAAGGTGCATGAATCACCTGAGGTCAGGAGTTCAAGACCAGCCTAGCCAACAAGGTGAAACCCTGTCTTTACTAAAAATACAAAAATTAGGTGGGCGTGGTAGGTGACGCCTGTAGTCCCAGCTACTAGGGAGGCTGAGGCAGGAGAATTGCTTGAACCCTGCAGATGGAGAGGTTGCAGTGAGCCAAGATCACACCATTGCACTCCAGCCTGGGTGACAGAGCGAGAGCCTATCTCAAAAAAAAAAAAAAAAAAAATTATGCTTGACGTCAGGAAATAGGGGTTCTTCTAGTCCTAGCTCTTCCTGTATATCTGTTGTCTGACCTTGTCATTTTATCACTTTGGCCTCAGAATTTTCTTATTTGGAAATTCATGGGATTAGATGACTATTTCTGTTGCTATAGTAACTCTTACTAAAAATAACACTGAGCTGTTAAATTTCATGTACTGTGCTAAGGGCTTTATGTATATTATGTCATTTAACGCTCACAACCACTCCATGTGGCGATTAGTGTTATCCTCATCCCTGTTTTACAGATGAGAAAACTGAGCCTTAGAAAGGTCAGCTAACTTGCCTAAGGTCACATAGTAACTGGCAGTGCCACAATTGAACCTAGGTCTGTTTTTCTGTCACCCAAGTTCATGCCGTAACCACTGTGAGAGATTGTCAGCTGGTATCTCAGAGAATTCAGGGTGTTTGGTTGTGTAGTGTTTAAAAATTTTGCTTGAGGCCTTGAAGCATGCATTCTCAGGGTACGTCCTACCCCTACAAGTCCTACTGACTTCTTAATCAGTAATTCCGGCTGGGCACGGTGGGTCACGCCTGTAATCCCAGCACTTTGGGAGGCTGAGGCAGGGGATCACCTGAGGTCAGGAGTTTGAGACCAGCCTGGCCAACATGGTGAAACCCCGTCTCTACTAAAAATACAAAATTAGCCGGGCATGGGGGCGCATGCCTGTAATCCCAGCTACTTGGGAGGCTGAGGCAGGAGAATGGCTTGGACCCGGGAAGCGGAGGTTGCAGTGAGCCGAGATCGTGCCATCGCACTGCAGCCTGGGTGACAAGAACAAAACTTCATCTCAAAAAAAAAAAAAAAAAAAATCAGTAATTCTAGATTGGCCCTAGGGTGCTTTTAGCATTGGAAACCTAATGCACAAAGTGATGGTTATATTGGACTGATCTGTAATTCACTGTTTTCTGTTATTATTCTATCTCTTAATCTTAGGCTAAAGTAAATAATGCCAGCCTGATTGGACTGGGTTATACTCAGACCCTTCGACCAGGTAAGTAAAGGAATTAGTAACAGAGGGGTTGAGGTGGAAGGTGATAGAGAAAACAATGAAAATAACCTGCAGAACAACCTGTAGTCACTGTAAGTTGATTTGGACCATTTTGTAACATTTGGTTGTTCAGACAGAAAACAATACAGATCAAATACTTTTGCATTAAAAAAGTATGTATTTCTGACTATAATGTGGTCACTTTGGCCTTTGAGTTTGGTTGATCACTCATTGCCCTTAACCCTGAACTTCAGAGAAAGTTTGCCATGATCATGCTTTCCTCATTACACATCAGATAGTTATAAATAACCGATTGAGTAATAGCTGTTTGCTTATAGCTCGTATACCCAGCTACAATCCACACCATTGATTCCATCTGTTGTTTCTAGAAAGTTCAGATCTAATTGTAATACTTGTTTCAAGTGATTGTGGTGTTTTCTTCTTCCTAGGAGTCAAATTGACTTTATCAGCTTTAATCGATGGGAAGAACTTCAGTGCAGGAGGTCACAAGGTTGGCTTGGGATTTGAACTGGAAGCTTAATGTGGTTTGAGGAAAGCATCAGATTTGTCCCTGGAAGTGAAGAGAAATGAACCCACTATGTTTTGGCCTTAAAATTCTTCTGTGAAATTTCAAAAGTGTGAACTTTTTATTCTTCCAAAGAATTGTAATCCTCCCCACACTGAAGTCTAGGGGTTGCGAATCCCTCCTGAGGGAGATGCTTGAAGGCATGCCTGGAAGTTGTCATGTTTGTGCCACGTTTCAGTTCAGTTCTGAAGTGTTATTAAATGTGTTCCTCAGCGACAGTGTAGCGTCATGTTAGAGGAGACGATCTGACCCACCAGTTTGTACATCACGTCCTGCATGTCCCACACCATTTTTTCATGACCTTGTAATATACTGGTCTCTGTGCTATAGTGGAATCTTTGGTTTTGCATCATAGTAAAATAAAATAAACCCATCACATTTGGAACATAACTGCTCATGTGACTTGCTGGTGATGGTTTTCTTACCTTGATGTGATTTGTTTTAAGAAGCACTTTCACAGGCGAGATTTGTGTCTAAAGTATCAGGGCTGCCGTCTGTCCCTTTCACTTCACTGACCCCTGCTCTTCTCTTGCTCTCACAGGGCAGGCTGAGGAAGGAAGCAGTGAACATGGTTGTGCTGGGGAGTGGCACATCTGTTGTGCTTGTGGTGTGACAGGGTTGCTTCACCCCGGGAGTTGTGTGCAGCTGCTGAGAAAGTGTGGATGTGAGCGGGTGAAAAGACAGTTGAGGGACGAGTGCATTTGGGGAAGCATGGGGAGGAGAGACGGTGGGAGGAGGCCAGAGCTGGGTGGACACTTCTGGGACTCCTCCTGGGCTTCAGAAACATGATTTTTGATTACTAGTATAGAAAAATGATAACCAAGGAATGAAGTACCAGTTTAGAGAAGAAATGAGCAGACTATAAAATCCTCAGGGCTCACTGGTAAATCATCTTCCTAAAAGTAGAACTCCTTTTGAAAATCTTTTTTTTTTTTTTGAGTTTAAGAGCAGAGGTTTAATAGGTGAGAGAGAAGAGAAAAGCTGTCTCTTGCAGAGAGAGAGGGGGTTCCTGAGTGGGTCTTCAGTTTTGTGATGAAACGCACAGGGTTTTATAGGCTAGCTTGAGGAGGTGGTGTCTGATTTACATTGGGTCTGAGAGATTGATAGGACCAGGTGTGCTGTTTGCACAAAGAAGCTGGCCATCCCACCCTAATCTTTTATTATGCTGATGGGGTCTCTACCTGGCTGGTGCCATGTTGCCTGCCTTTTTACTGCACATGTGACAAAAAGGAAGAGGGAGCCTCCATGTTGAACATGCCTGGCCCCCAGATAGCCTTTTCCTATTGGCACAGCTGCTGGCATGCACCTGTGCAAGCTTCCAGCTTGCTTATCTATGCTTGCAGCTTGATTTTCTTCAGGCTGCTTTTTGTTAGAAATGATTTGGGGGCTGCTTTTTATTAAAAAGAAACCTTACCAACGACTCTCTTACCCTCACTATCTGCCTAAATAATTTCTTTCTAGCTCCGGTATCATTTCCCCTATAAGGAGTGGTAACTCACTGCTGTTAGGGGGTGTTGGATGATGACTCTTTCTGGCTACTTCCTGCTGAAGAGGGGTGTCATGTGGGGAACAGCAGTTAAGGCTCCTCCTGGGGTTGATTTAAGGGTCCTTGGAAGAAAGGTGTGTCCATGCGTGGCTCCATCTGTAGCACCATCTGGATGTTCTATCTTCAACATTCTTTCCGATAAATGTACTTTCCAATCCTGGACGGGACCCCAAAATGAAGTGGCGTTGTTGTCTGGGGTAAATACCCGAGGTTCGTTGTCCCATGCCAAGGAAATCAAGGACATGGACACACAAGAAGTGAGTTTAAGAGTGAAGGTTTAATAGGCAAGAGAAAGGAAAGAAAAGCTCTCTCCTGCAGAGAGGGGCTCCTGAGTGGGTCTTCCCTGCATATCTCTTTTTAAAAATTACAGCAATGCAGTTTGCTGTTTGAATTTGTTTCTAAACAAGTTCAATTTAGAAGTAAATAAAAGTGAAAATTCTCATTCTTCTAATTCCTGTTTCTTCTGCCACTGACAGTTTGATATGTCCTTGAAGATATGTTTCAGTATTATGTAAATATCTATTTATATATACAAAACGTTAAAATGGATACCTTGGCCGGACGCAGCGGCTCACTCCTGTAATTCCAGCACTTTGGGAGGCCGAGGCGGGTGGATCACCTGAGGTCAGAAGTTCGAGACAAGCCTGGCCACATGGTGAAACCCCATCTCTACTAAAAATACAAAAATTAGCTGGGCATGGTGGTGGGTGCCTGTAATCCCAGCTACTCAGGAGGCTGAGGCATGAGAATCGCTTGAACCCAGGAGGCGGAGGTGGCAGGGAGCCGAGATTGCGCCATTGCACTCCAGCCTGGGTGACAAGAGTGAGACTCCATCTAAAAAAAAAAAAAGGATATCTTATTTTGCAGTATACTATTTGTTCACATCTGCTTCATATTTTTGTTATTTGTATGCTTTAGTATAAATGTGACATTATTTAACTATTCCCCTTTTTTGCTTATATTCAGTTTTTTGCTTTATAAACAGTGCTGCATTGAATGTCCTTGTCTTTTTTTTTTTCTTTCTCTTTTTCGACATTGAGGCTCGCTCTGTCTCCCAGGCTGGAGTACAGTGGCACAATCTTGGCTCTCTGCAACCTCTGCCTCCTGGGTTTAGGCAATTATCCTGCCTCAGCCTCCTGAGTAGCTGGGACTACAGGCGTCTGCCATGATGCCTGGCTAATTTTTTTAGTAGAGATGGGGTTTCACCATGTTGGCCAGGCTGGTCTTGGACTCCTGACCTCAAGGAATCTGCCTACCTTGGCCTCCCAAAGTGCTGGGATTACAGGTGTGTGCCACCGTTCCCGGCCCCTTGTCTATTTCTGTGACTGTTCCTGTGCCAGCACTGCCCAGCAGAGCTTTCTGGGTGATGAAGGTGATCTGTCTCTGCACTCTCCTGTGTGGCAGGCACTAGCCACATAGGACTATGGAGCAGTTGAAATGCAACTAGGGGAACTGAAGAACTAAGATTTTAATTTAAATTAAGTTTTTGAGACAGTCTTGCTGTGTTGCCTAGGCTGGAATGCAGTGGTGTGATCATGGCTCACTGCAGCCTCAACCTCCCCAGGCTCAGGTGATCCTCCCATCTCAGCCTCCTGAGTAGCTGGGACTACAGTCTCATGCCAGCACACTTGGCTAATTTTTGTATTTTTTTTTGTAGAGGTTGCGTTTCACCATGTTGCCCAGGCTTAATTTAATTTTAATTAAATTTAAATAACATGTGGCCAGTGGCTACTATATTGGATATTGGACAGTGTAGTTCTGTAAGATAGATTTCTAGAATTGAAATTGCTGAGCCGTAGGGCATATGCATTTGCTAAGTAGTACAGACTTGCCCTCCAAAAATTTTTTACCAATTTCTGTTTATACCAGTGGTGTTTGAGTGTCCATTTCCCCACATCCTCAGGTTTTTTTTTTTTAATTTTAATTTTTATTTATTTTTTGAGACGGGGTCTTGCTCCAGTCACCCAGGCTGGAGTGCAATGGGGTGATCTTGGCTCACTGCAACCTCCGCCTCCCAGGTTCAAGCAATTCTGCCTCAGCCTCCTGAGTAACTGGGATTATAGACGCGTGCCACCACGCCAGGCTAATTTTTCTATTTTTAGTAGATATGGGGTTTCACCATGTTGGCCAGGCTGCTCTCGAACTCCCAACCTCATGATCCTCCCGCCTCAGTCTCCCAAAGTGCTGGGATTATAGGTGTGAGCCACAGCGCCCGGCCCATCCTCAGTAATATTTTGACTATTACCTAAGTTTGAAGTTTTTATGTTTTATGGGTGAGAATGATTGTTTTATTTTGCTTTCCCTCCATGGCCAGTGAGATGGAACTGTGTTGACTGGTTATTTACAGTTCTCCTTTGCCCGTTCAGATTCCTTGCTGCATTTCCAGATGAGTTGTCTTACAACTAGACACATTTGCTTTTTGAAAAATGTCAGTGCAAGGTATCCCCCCCAAAGATGATCTTAACTAGACAATATCCTTTACCCAAATTAGGGGTAACTGGGTAGGAACTAGATGGCATGTATGTCAGAAAACATCTATGATACCAACCACATGACAGTTTTATTTCTCTGATGTTATCTTTGTGAGTTGAACCACCATTACCAGAGATAAAGTAAAACAAATGGAAAAGGGGTGAGAAGGGGTGAACTGTAACTTAGTATGAGTCCAATTCACCTTGTGTCTCACTGGAAAGCCCTTCCCTGTAGCGCGAGGGTGGAGGGAGTCCCATGGGCTGACCGTGGCTGCAGGCATCCCTCTGGGGTGTGGGGGATGAATGAGCTGCCCAGGACCCTGGCTCTGTGTCAGAGGCAGGACTGTTCCACCTGCACATAAGGGACAGAGAGGAAGTGGCAGCAGGGGAACCCTGAGGCCTCTTTGTTCCTTGGGCAGAAGTTATTTGTATTGATGGCCTGAAGTGGATGAAAGGGATATATATGCCTCTAGGTTTGTATTAATATTTTATTTTTAAAAATGTGAATGCAAATATAGAAGAAAATGCTCCAAAATGTTAATATTCATTATCTCAGGAAGGTGGAATTATAAATATCCTTATTTACTGTATACTTTTCCAGTTTTCTAAAGCAAGTTTCGCATTATTTCTGTAATCAGGAAAAAGCTCTTAGGACTGTTACAGTTTGGAGGAGGCAGAGGCCCAGCGGCTGCACGGGCGGGCGGGCATCCCACGTGGAGCACGGTTCCAGCCTAGGCGAGACGCCCTGGCTTCCGCTCGCCGCCTTTAGCGAGGCTACCCCGATGGAGGGTGACGCAGGAGGACGAGTGTTTCTTGTGGTAAGAGACTAACAAGCATGGGGTTTTTCTTTTCTTTTCTTTTCTTTCTTTTTTTTTTTTTTGTTTTGTTTTTTGAGACGGAGTCTCAGTCTCAGTCTGTCGCCCAGGCTGCACGATTTCGGTCCCTGCAACCTCAGCCTCCTGGGTTCAAGCGATTCTCCTGCCTCAGCCTCCTGAGTAGCTGGGATTACAGGTGCCTGCCACCACGCCCAGCTAATTTTTTGTATTTTTAGTAGAGGTCGGGGGTTTCACCATGCTGGCCAGGCTGGTCTCGAACTCCTGACCTCGGGTGATCCGCCCGCCTCGGCCTCCCAAAGTGCTGGGATTACGGGCATGAGCCAAATGTTAAGGGAACGCATCCTATTTTACATACCGATTTTCCCACAAGTCACCGGGAGGATGTCACTGTGCATAGCTGACCGTCGTCCTGTGCCGAGGGTCTGCTCAAGGGACAGAGGAGGACGGTGCTGTCCTGGGGTTTCGTCTGGCTTCCTGTGCCTGTCCTCGGAGGCTCGCTGTTACCTTTCTGAGCCTCAGCTTCTAGCGCAGGGGCTGGGAAGGGAGCTCAGAAGGGGCCGGAGCCGCGCGGCCCCCTGAGCGTTCTCGGTAAACGCTCGGGGTCCCCACTCCAAGCCCGGCCTTCCGCATGCCGCTTCCTCGGCTACCCTTGAGAAGCAAAGCCCCCTTTTCCCTTGCCCACCACGCCAGTGCTGGCGCTCAGGTGCTGCCTCCCCTGTAACCCACAGCCCGGTTCTGGGTGCAGGCGTGTGTGTTAGCGCGAGGGGCGTTTTCACATCCCGCGCGCCCTTAATCGTGGGCTCCTCTGCGCCCCAGCGGCCTCTCAGGTAAGGGTGGTCGGATACTAGCGCCACCGGCCTTGCCCAGCTTCGAACAAATCGTGGCCGCGCGGTGGTTCACGCCGGGAATCCTAAAACTTTCGGAGCCAGAGGAGCCCTTAAGCCTAGGGATTCGAGACCAGCCTGGGCAACATAATGAGAACCCCGTCTCTTAAAAAACAAAACGAATTGTAAATTAGGACAGGGTGCCATTGGATGGACCTCCATGAATGTCGCTTTTCCCACTGAGAAAGGCCCAGTGAGGCTGTGGCTTAGGGTGAGTCACCAGCAATGTCGGGCTGGGCAGGCCTCCCCTCCTGCCGAGGTTGGGTGGCCCGGAGGAGACGGGGGCGCCTCCCAAGGGGGGCTGACTCCAATACGCCCAGTTCCTTCTTCCCCAACGTAGTTACCGAATACACTCCTTTCCTCTGGCGGAGTGGATTAAAGGGGGTAGGAAGCAAAAGTGGATTCCAAATGGGGTCCAGTCACGTGGAAGGAAGGTTAAGGACGGGGCTCAGCATTCCCGTGCAGTGTAGGCACAGTCAGCTCTGCCCCTCTCCGGGATCTGGCGGCCCACCTGGGGTGGGCGTCCAGGCCTGGCGCTAGGAGAGTGGAGCGTGTTCTGCCCGCCTTCCGACCGGGCTCATAACCCGCCCTGCTCCGTAAACTGCCACTCCCACCTGCCTCCCGGACGGCTGCCTCCTGAAGCTCTTTCCCGAAGCATTTCTCCATCGCAGAACTCCCTCTTGAACTCCAAACCTTTATTTCAAGCTGCCTGGCAAACGTCTCTTCTCGGAGATTCTGCAGGCATCCAGAAGTCACCGTTCCCCAGGCGGAAACTGTGCGCTGGGTGCCCTTCGCACGTGGAGTCTCGGCCGCATTGCCGCCTCTGCTCTGACAATTCCTCCCGACCTCTCCCAGCTCCAGTGAACACAGCCTCGGCGGCAAGCGTTGTGGTGCAGCTGCGTGCCTGTCTCCCCTCTGCCCATGAGTGCTGGAGGCCTCTCTGTCTTCATTCCAGCAGCGGCCAGGCTGTCGTGTGCCAGGTGATAGGCACTGGTGGATGATGATTGCTGAACAGGAGCCCTCAGACAAGCGGGCCTGGTCGGGCCTCCCAGGCAAGGGGATTTCTGCTTAGGGACCGAGGTTCTCCTTCAGCAGGCGCTCATAGTTCCCTGTGACCACCAAAGAAACACAGACCATTCCTGGCACTTCTGAGCATTTCTTGCAACTCTGAATTATGGTATAATTAACACTCAGTGAGGTGACTTCACTGCTGGCAATTGAAAGGGCCAGAGATAGTCTGATAGGCCAGAGATAGTTGCAATTAAACTCGACCCCACCAGGTGCCGCTGTTGTTGCTGCCAAACAGAGATGCCCACAGCTTCCTCGTCCGTGCTTTCTGCCTGGAGCCCTTTAAGTCCCTCTTTTGACCTCCTTGCCCCACTCCCTACCACTCATTGCAGTCTCTAATTAGGGTCAGGTTTAACCTCTAAATGGCAAGTCTTGGGAAAAGCAAGGAAATTCTCCATCTTACTCTGGCCCAAATCCCTTTTGCTGTGTAAGCAGATTTTGTTCTAGCCACACGGAGAGCAGATGGTCATCCTCACTGAGTCTGAAACCCTTCACTTAAGATCATATTGAATTCTCGTGTTTCCTTTATAAAAACAGGCGGAATGAGCCCTCACCCTCTCTTCCTAGGCTTCCTTTCCAAGCTCCTAATCACCTCTCGCAGTGCTCCTTCCTGGAACTTCCTCCCGGGCCTACCCACAGTCCCCTTTTATGGAGATCACAGCTGTGGACGGGCCTGGCCGCTGCTGAACCGGAAGACTCCAGATAAGGTCAGGAAGCCTGAGGCCTGCCCTGGCCCCGGATGAGTTGGCCCCGAAACTTTTTCTCATTCTGGGCTTTGGTGCCTGCAGTGGCCGGCCAGCTCCACGTGTTTCAAAGATCCAGTAAAATAAGGGAAATGAAAATGTTTCAGAAGGGTGGTGGCAGGATTATGGGATGTAGGTGACTTTTTTTTTTCATAATATTAGTCATGCTTTTTTTTTTTTTTTTTTTGAGACAGAGTTTCGCTCTTGTTGCCCAGGCTGGAGTGCAATGGCATGATCTCGGCTCACTGCAACCTCTGCCTCCTGGGTTCAAGCGATTCTCCTGCCTCAGACTCCGGAGTAGCTGGGGTTATAGGTGTGCACCACCATATCTGGCTAATTTTTTTGTATTTTTAGTAGAGACGGGGTTTCACCATTTTGTCCAGGCTGGTCTTGAACTTCTGCCCTCAAGTGATCCACCCGCCTCGGCCTCCCAAAGTGCTGGGGTTACAGTCGTGAGCCACTGCGGCTGGCCTATTGTTTTTTCAATATAATGAAGGATAAAAATATTTAAGAGGGTGACAGTTAATCCAAGAGCAGAGCTCCACTGCCTGCTTATGTAACCACATTCTATGGGTTTCCCCAGTCCCCCATCATGCAGGGAACTGATTTGCTAGCGTCCTTGTCTCTAGTGGTTTTGTTTAACTGTGGTCTCTTTTCTATTCCTTTTCTTCATCATCCCATTAATGCTCTCCTGAGAGCCATCCTCCTGAGGGGACTCACCCATAAAAATAAAGGATTCACCCACAAGAGAGGGACAAATGCTTGCCTGAGGAGCCCGTTTGGTACCAGGCCCTGGGGTGATCCCTTTTTCATGCCGATGCCCTGATTCCTCACACTCCCGGGAAAGGGTCCCTTGGCCCATTTTGTACACAAGAAAACTGGCTCTAATAGGAGCGATGGAAGTGGCCCAGGGTTAGTGAAGCAGGAGCTGAACTCTGAGCCTGGTTCTGCCAGACTCCAGGAGCCTTCAAGGCACCGGCAAGTGTGATCCCCCACGGGCAAGCACAGTCCAGCAACAGCCTTGTCCTGGGATGCCTCAAAACTCACTGTGCCAGCTACACAGAGGGCCTTTTCACCACCTCACTTTGTCATCAAATAAACCCAGAGGCCAGAGATCTTTACATGTCATCCTGAACTGACTTTAAATGTTTGCTGATTTTAAATGTTTATTCTGCAGCTTGAGATCTCTACTGCTTAAGAATTCAGCTTCTTTTAAGAAGGCGAGGTGGAGAGGGCTTATTTAAAAAATTGTCTTGTTGAAAATGAATCCATTGTGTTTAGGTATTTGCTCAAAAGTTCATTCCTGGCCCGAAGTGGTGGCTCACACCTATAATCCCAGCACTTTGGGAGGCCGAGGCGGGTGGATCATGAGGTCAGGAGTTCAAGACCAGCCTGACCAAGACGGTGAAACCCCCGTCTCTACTAAAAACACACAAAAAATTAGCCGGGTGCGGTGGCAGGCACCTGTAGTCCCCACTACTCAGGAGGCTGAGGCAGGAGAATTGCTTGAACCTGGGTGGGAGATGTTGCAGTGAGCCGAGATTGTGCCATTGCACTCCAGCCTGGGTGACAGAGTGAGTCTCCGTCTCAAAAAAACAAAAACAAAAACAAAAAAATACAAAAAAAAATTAGCCGGGTGTGGTGGTGGGTGCCTGTAGTCCCAGCTACTCGGGAGGCTGATGCACGAGAATCGCTTGAGCACGGGAGGCAGAGGTTGCAGTGAGCTGAGATCACGCCATTGTACTCCAGCTTGGGCTACAGAGACTGTCTCAAAAAAAAAAAAAATTCATTCCCTTTGGAAAAGCAATAATAAAGTAAAAGACCATTGTCTCAGAACTCAAGCTCCTCTGACAGCATCCAGATTTTCCCCCCTCAGAGGAGCCCAGACAGCAGCAAAGAGGCGTCTCTAGGCCTCCCCATGGTTCTGTCAGGTGGAGTAAAGGGATCCCATGAAAAGAATCGCAGTGAGCAGCACTGCCCACACCGTCTGTGTGAGGTTCCCTCTGTCTGAAGACTCTGCATTATTAGAGGAAGAAGCTGGTGAACTCAGGAAAGATTCTCTGGGTAGAACTGTGGGCTGGTGGCCCAAGACAGGGAGCCTCTGCCAGCGTCCCCTCCAGCTTGGAGATGGTCCATGCTTGGACTCAGCTGACCAAACCCTCCCAACCACCTCGCTTGGCTCCCTGGGCACTCTGCTTTCCCGCCCTTGGCTTGCAGCACCCCCAGCCACCCACAGGAGCCACCTTGCAGAGGGAGGGGTCCCAGGTGAAGTGACTTCCCTCCCTCGCAGGCGATCGGCTGGCCAGGTGGCCCTGTGTGTCAGATCACAGTGAGGCCGGGCAGGGGTGTGGGTAGGCGAGGCTTCTCCCAGAACTGCCACTGAGGCGCCTGTGCTCAGTCACGAGAATGCTCAATGTGGTGAGTGTGGCCTGTTTCCCTCTCACCCCAAGATGCTGCCTCTGCTGTCCTGCCTGCTGGGCCGGGCCGGGGCTCCCAGGTGGCAGCCCTCCTCCCTGGACAGGGGTGGCTAGCGTCTCTGCCTGAATCCCGCAGACTGCTTAGGCTGCACAAGGTTCACCTGCATTGTGTTGTGCTGTTACTTGAAGTGCGGAAATGAAGGGCTGAAGGTGCCATTTTAAACACCAGAAAGGGCAGGGCTCTTAGTGGAGATGCATTTTTTTTTTTTTTTTTTTTGAGATGGAGTCTTTCTCTGTCGGCAGGCTAGCGTGCAGTGGCGTGATCTTGGCTCACTGCAACCTCCGCCTCCCGGGTTCAAGCAATTCCCCTGCCTCAGCCTCCCAAGTAGCTGGGACTACAGGCGCATGCCACCACGCCAGGCTAATTTTTTTGTATTTTAGTAGAGATGGGGTTTCACTATGTTGGCCAGGAAGGTTTCCATCTTCTGACCTCATGATCCGCCCACCTCAGCCTCACAAAGTGTTGGGATTACAGGCGTGAGCCACCGTGCCCGGCCACAAGATGCATTTTTCACACCTGCCACTTTGCCTCATCTGTCACCTTCACAGCTCCTAAGGGAGTCGGAGCTTGTGCCACCACCGCTACAGAGGATTAAGGGGTTTCCCTCTGGGGGCTCCAGAATATGCAAGCCAGGGTGTTTTTGGCTGCTTGAGCAAAGGATAAGACCTGCACTTCCCTGCTGGGTCCTCAGCCCTGAACATGGCAACCGACTGCTCCATGAGCTGCTGACTGCGGGTTTCTGAATGCGGGGCGGGGACGCCGTGCCTCCCTTTCCTGCTCACCTGTGTTTTCTGTACAAGCCCGTAACAGTAGTCAAATAAGGGAAACCAAAAAAAGGTATGTGAAAAATACAAGGGCCAAATTATATAGCTTTGGTTTTTGTGGAAACTCACTCTGAAAGAAAAATTGTCAATATTGAGAAAAAGGCTTCAGAGGCAAACTTCTGAGGGGCATTTTTTATTATAAATTTAATATGGTTGATTAATGAAAAATGACAATGAAGTACCAAGAAAATGTTTGTCAATATAAAAATTTTAGCAGCATTTCCATAGTTTCAGGCTCCAACATTAGTCGTACTTCCTCCCTCCCGCTATCAAAAAAAGAAGAGACTCCAATGGGATGGAGTAGAGCCTGGGGGTGTCCAGCTTTGTGTGGGCCTCAGAGAAATACTCCATCCAGCATCCAGGATTCTCCCTCCCTCTCATCCCTGAAGTGCTAGAATGTCAAAGCACAGAAAAAGCCTCCTTTGTGCTGACATTGGAGACAAGGATCCGTTCTTCAGGCTGCAGGGAGAATTGGGATAGAAACTGACTCTGGACTTGACATGTAGTGCTCAGCCACACGCCCTCACCAACACCTGTGCATTCTCTACTCTGATGACAAGGAAAGGCCACTGCAAGGTGGGTGGGATCTGGGGTGTGGTGGCGGTGGCACTG
Source organism: Homo sapiens (assembly GCF_000001405.40). NCBI lineage: Eukaryota > Metazoa > Chordata > Mammalia > Primates > Hominidae > Homo > Homo sapiens. Next base: position 42,416,970 of record NC_000008.11, read on the forward strand.
CTGGTGGGAGCCACGGCGTGGCGCATGCTGGGTGACGGTGTCACCGCCACACACTGCTCTGGGGCAGGCGTGATCAGTGAGGGTGGGAGACAGACAATGTGAAAACGTAACACTGGCCAATGATTCCCCTGCTTCTTTGGTACTTTCCAAAATTCTCTGATCAAAAAAGTATAAGGGAAGCACACCATTAAAAAATTACAGTTTTACGTATTTACAAAAGCAATGATGATATATTACACAACAATCAATACACAGTATATGAACAAATCTTCAGTGAAAGCACTTGTGAGCTCCCGTCCCGCTGTCATCCCACAGCACGCGACCTCTGCAGGGTCAGGTTGCCTGTTCTGAAGCTCATTACCTTACAGTATATTAGAAGGCAAAAACATCATTTGGAAAAAAAATCATTTTCCAATCTACACTTTCCTTTTAGAAGGCTTAACATTTGCCATCGAAATAGTTATGTACAAGATTTATTGAATATTGACTTCTAGGCAATGATCTCCACTCCCAACTTGAATATGTTTGAAATAATGCTGCCTATTCTATGGATACAATAGATATTTAATATATAAGTAACTGCACCACATTATATCACCACGATACCAGTTTAATACATATTATTATGTACAGTAGTTAAGTTAGCTCGGGAAGGTGAGTCTCCGCAGCCTGGGTGAACAGTGTGGGATGGAGCCTCCTGGAAGGGAGGCAGAGAGCTGGTCATGAGAGAGCCGTGCACGGCCAGGATGTGTATGTGCGGCACGAGCACACATGTCTCCCACACGCCAACACCAGACCATCCCTTTAGCTGTTTGCAGCTGGAAGAAGACAAATCACACATATGGAAGGATCCCATACATGAGAAGAGCCATGACAGCAGCGCTGAACAGCCCAGCCACAGGGACGGTCACGAACCAGGCCACGAAGATGTTCCGAAAGAGGCGCCAGTCCACAGCCTTGCGGGAGCGGATCCAGCCCACGGCCACCACCGAGCCCACCTGTGGGAGCAGACATTGCAAAGTAAAAACAGGTGAGCCACAAAGGCTACACTCTACCAATGTACATGGGCTAATCTCAGAAACAAGCTCTAGTACAACATTACCCAGTCCCCTACATTTGTTAAAGCTTTTAAAATAGCTTAGATTTTAGGTAGAATTGTTTGGGGATTCTTCTCTTCAGCATATAGCTCTTTATATAGTTGTTTTATATAGTTGTTTTGAGACAGTCTCACTCTTCACCCAGGCTGGAGTGCAGTGGTGTGATCTCAGCTTACTGCAACCTCCATCTCCCAGGTTCAAGCAATTCTCCTGCCTCAGCCTCCTGAGCAGCTGAGATTACAGGCGCATGCCATCACCCTTGGCTAATTTTCATATTTTTAGTAGAGACGGGGTTTCACCATGTTGGCCACGCTGATGTGGAACTCCTCACCTCAAGTGACCCTCCCTCCTTGGCCTCCCAAAGTGCTGGAGTACAGTGGTGCAATCTCAGCTCACTGCAAGCTATGTCTCCCAGGTTCAAGCGATTCTCCTGTCTCAGCCTCCTGAGTAGGTGGGATTACAGGCAAGCACCACCACATCCAGCTAATTTTCATATTTTTTAGTAGAGATGGGGTTTCGCCATGTTGGTCAGGCTGGTCTCAAACTCCTGGCCTCAAGTGATCGGCCCGCCTCAGCCTCCCAAAGTGCTGGGATTACAGGCGTGAGCCACTGTGCCCAGGTTGGATTTTGGCTTTAAAAATAATATTCCCGGCCGTGCGCGGTGGCTTCCGCCTGTAATCCCAGCACTTTGGGAGGCTGAGGTGGGCGGATCACGAGGTCAGGAGATGGAGACCATCCTGGCTAACACGGTGAAACCCCGTCTCTACTAAGAATACCAAAAATTAGCCAGGCGTGGTGGCAGGCGCCTGTAGTCCCAGCTACTTGGGAGGCTGAGGCGGGAGAATGGCGTGAACCTGGGAGGCGGAGCTTGCATTGAGCTTGCAGTGAGCGGAGATCATGCCACTGCACTCCAACCTGGGCGACAGAGAGAGACTCTGTCTCAAAAAAAAAAAAAAAAAAAAAAATTCCCTGAAATCGACTGTAGTTAACAGGGAACATTTAAAATGTATCTTGAAATAATTCAAAACTTAGAGAAAAGCTGCAAGAACTCCTGTTTTCTCTTTACCCAATTCACTATTTTTTGACATTTGCCACAATCTGTGAAGAGACTTTTTAATATGATTAAAATATCCTGCATCTTATCAAACCTCACTTTCCCCTTCTGCTAAAGATTTCACAATCCAATGTTTATGACGATGGCTATAAAATGGTGATTTACCAGGCCGGGCATGGTGGCTCACGCCTGTAATCTCAGCACTTCAGGAGGCCGAGGCGGGTGGATCACCTGAGGTCAGGAGTTCGAGACCAGCCTGACCAACATGGTGAAACCCTGTCTCTACTAAAAATAAAAAAAATTAGCCAGGTGTGGTGGTGCATACCTGGAATCCCAGCTACTCACTTGAACCTGGGAGGTGGAGGTTGCAGTGAGCCAAGATCGCGATACTGCACTCCAGCCTGGACAACAGAATGAGACTCAGTCTCAAAAAAAAATAAAATAAAAAATAAATAAAATAAAATGGTGATTTACCAAAGTCCATTGCAATTTCTCACATGGAGTTCTACTTCAAGGAAGAGCTCTTTCCTCTCCCAACGTGTTTTAGGACCTTAATACATAATGACAAATAGTTTTATAAATAGCTGTTAATGTAGTGTCATCCATAATCTGTGAATATCAGCACATGATATCATGTAAGTTGCTCTTTTTTTGGCTAATTAACCGACAAAAAGATGCACTGTTGCTGTTTTAATTTGCGTATCTTTAATTACAATTAAGGCTGAACTTTAAAAAATATATTTACTGAATTTCACTCTCTCTAGCTTTCACATATACAAATTGTCGGCCAGGTGCAGTGGCTCATGCTTGTAATCCCAGCACTTTGGGAGGCCAAGGCGGGCGGATACAAGGTCAGGAGATCAAGACCATGCTGGCTAACAGGGTGAAACCCCATCTCTACTAAAAATACAAAAAATTAGCTAGGCGTGGTGGTGCACACCTGTAGTCCCAGCTACTTGGGTGGCTGAGGCAGGAGAATCGCTTGAACTGGGGAGGTGGAGGTTGCAGTGAGCCGAGATGGCACCACTGCACTCCAGCCTGGGTGACAGAGTAAAACTCCGTCTCAAAAAAAAAAAAAAATTGTCTCTTCATGTATTTTGTCCATTTACATACTAAAATCTAATGTGTTCCTTATTTATTTATGTGTAGTCTTCACTGAATAATATTAACTCTGTGATATCGAATACACATTTTCTTAAGGTAGTATTTTGCTTTGTTTCACTTTCAAGTTTCTAACTTCATGCAATAAAATATGCTATAATTTTCTTCTGTGATTTATCCTTGGCTTGAATATTTGATAAATATTTAATTCCATTTTATTTTTCTAAAATAAAATTCCATTTTACTCTAAATTTAAGAATATTTTTAAAATATTATTTAAGCCATCAGATTTATGTTCATGTATTTTGAGAGTGGTCTAATTTTGTTTTTCTAGACTGACAGTCAGCTATTCAACCTTTCAAACACTTACTGGTTAAATTTTCCCTTTTTCAAAATACATGCTCATATAGAACAGGTTCCATCCATTGCTATCTACTCTGTTCTTATCCAGGTATCTACTTTTAAAAATTATTGTGGTAAGATATACATAACATAAAACTTACAGTTTTAGTAATTTTTCAGCATACCATTTAGAGGCATTAAGTACAATCACATTGTTTTGCAAACCATCACCACAATCTGTCTCCAGAACTTTTTCATCATCCCACGGGGAAACTGCCCCATAAAACACTAACACCCAGTTCTAGCCCCTCCTCCCAGGACCTACTCTTGACTTTTGTTTCCTTATATGACATTATACGTCAGGTAAGGCTAGTTCCTCCTTTCAGTTTTCTTGTTAGATCATTTTATATTGCTGATAATTTATTTCACCAAAATGTATTCTTTAGTCTCGTTTTGTAAAATTCCAAGTAAAATCCTGTTCAGGTTGTATTTAGGGAGAAGTGACTTCATTACAACATCTGGTTTTCCCATCCAATAGCACATTACGTCTCATATTCAGATTATCTTTTTATACCTCTGAGCAGTTTTGTGCCTCTTCCATATATATCACTCACATTTCTTTTTTAAAAAATTATTTATTTAGTTGTTTAGAGATGGGGTCTTACTATGTTGCCTAGACTGGTCTTGAACTCCTGGGTTCAGGCTGTCCTCGTACCTTCAGCCTCCTGAGTAGCTGGGACTATAAGAACACACCATGTGCCTGATGACACTCACAGTGCTTATTAGGATTATTCTGAGATAACTTTTATTTTTGCTGCAATTATGGTGGCAGTTTTTTTCCCTCCCGTTACATTTTCTAATTGGCTATTGCTGATGAACAAGTGCTGGATTTTTCTATTTTTACCTTGGACTTGGTCACTCTTACGAACTCTAGTAGTGTTTTAGAAATACTGAATATCGGCCGGGTGCGGTGGCTCATGCCTGTAATCCCAGCACTTTGGGAGGCCGAGGCGGGCAGATCACCTGAGGTCAGGAGTTCGAGACCAGCCTGACCAACATGGAGAAACCCCGTCTCTACTAAAAATACAAAATTAGCTGGGTGTGGTGCTGCACACCTGTAATCCCAGCTACTCGGGAGGCTGAGGCAGGAGAATTGCTTGAACCCGGGAGGTGGAGGTTGTGGTGAGCTGAGATCATGCCATTATGGCACTCCAGCCTGGGTAACGAGTGAAACTCCGTCTCAAAAAAAAAGAAATACTGAATATCATCAAATGTCTTTTTGGCTTATATCTCAACAGAGATCTTTTTTTTTTTAAGTGGATTGCTAAGGCATATTATACTGAAGCTGCCTATATACCCAACTTGAGCCCCTGCGAGGACCTTGCCCTGCACAGCCTGCTGGTGGTGGGTGATGCAGTCCTGCCCTGTCACGAAGGGAGCCCACTTTCTGGTAATCTTGATCAATTTGGTCCTGCTGAAAGGTTCTTGTATAGTATTGTTTTGTTTTGAGATAGAGTCTTGCTCTGTCGCCCAGGCTGGAGTGCAGTGGCACAATCTCAGCTCACTGCAACCTCCACCTCCTGGGTTCAAGCGATTCTCCTGCCTCAGCCTCCCTAGTAGCTGGGATTACAGGCACCCACCACCACACTTGCCTAATTTTTATATTTTTAGTAGAGACGGGGTTTTGCCATGTTGGCCAGGCTGGTCTCGAACTCCTGACCTCAGATGATCTGCCCACCTCAGCCTCCCAAAGTGCTGGGATTACAGGCACGAGCCACCATGCCCAGCCAAATATTGTTGATGTCATTTTTCAGCATCTTGCTTAAAGTTTTTACAATCAATATTCATCGGTAAACAGATTTCATTGTTTGTGATATTTTAAATTAGGTTTGGTATTAGGGTTATTCAGTGTACGCCATAGCACAAATGGGAGAGGTTTTTTAGTTTTGTTTTTCTTCCTACATTGTGGGAAAGTTGAGATCGTGTGAGAGCTGGGTTTTTTTTTGTTTAAATGGAAAAGATTCTAATGAATTCCTCTAGTCAGCAGTATCCTCACCCGCCCCACCCCTAGCCCCTTTTTGCTTTTTTAGGTGGGAACAATTATTTTTGGAGAACTCCCTTAATTTCATCCTATTGTTCTGGGTCAGATTTTCCACTTTTTTCTACTTCTTAGGCCAATATTTCTTTGTCACGTATATTGTTGCAGAAAATAATTCACATGGGTTTTCAAATTCTTAGCATATAGCTGTGTGGCTTATTTAATAATGGAAACAGTTCTCTTCTCTGTTGTTACAATGTCTTCCTCCTTCCCCTCCCTCTTTTCCTTGATGTGATCTGACATTTTGTTAGTAGCCACTTTCCTCTCCCCTTCTTATTTTGTTTTAAATTAATTTTGCTTCTATATTTCTTACAACCTGTTTCCTCAATTCTTACTGTCCTGGACTTTTTACAAAATCCTAATTTTAATACTTGGTTATTTTATTTTCCCTTTGATCAATTAAACCATTTAAAGATATGAATTTTCATCTTAGCATAACTTGGTTGCCACAGGTTTTGCTGTTTGTATCCACCCACAGACACACACATTTGGTTTTTATTATTTTCCAAGAAAGCTATCCTTGTATTTTTCTAAACTCCTTAATTCAATTGTTACCTTAAAAAAGCATTAAAAAGTCTCCATTGGGATACATTCTTATTTCAATATATAATTAATTTCTAGTTTAATTTTATTGTAATTAGAGATCATGGTTAGCACAACTTATCTTTAAACTTTTTTTTTTTTTAATTTAAATTTTAACTTTTATAAAATAGAGACAGGGTCTCACTATGTTGCCCCAGGCTGGTTTCAAACTTCTGGGCTCAAGCGATCCTCCTACCTCTGCCTCCCAAAGTGCTGGGATTACAGGTGTGAGCCACCATGTCAGGTCTGTTTTTAAAATTTTATAGAGATTTTTATCATGGTCTTCTGATTTTAGGATTTTTATAAATGTTTCACGATGCTTGACAGGAAGGCATATGATCAGTAGCGTAAAAACTTGTACATATTTATTAATTATGCTGTTCTAAATAAACGTTCAAATTCTTCATATTCCCACATACTTTTTCTATACTTCATTTATCATACGCTAAGACAGTAATTTCTGAGTTCTTAACAATTTTATGTATTTAGTTACATGTTATTTGATTCATAAAAGATCCAGAGTACTATGTCTTTGCTACTGATCATGTCTTCCGTGAATGTAAAATGTTATTTTTTTGCTGTGTTCTAACTTCCCTTTTAATAAATCGAGTGTGTTTCCAGTTTAAGGCCATCATCAGGTACTTATAGCAAAAAATTGTTGAGAAGAAGGGGGACCAGAGAACAAGAATTAGAAATTAAATTAGAAATTATAATCCTACATTTGAAATCAGTAGTGTTCCCTGTATGCTGTTCCAAATTGAAATGGTGGTTGAATCATCATCTATGTCATCAGTGAGGACTGACAATGTGGGTGATCCACAAACAGGAATAATCTCAATCCACCCAGTATGGAATTAAAACATTCTGCAGAATATGACTTCCAAATTCCTATTAAAGAGCACACACATGAGCAACTGTGCTCAGTAGTGGCACTGTGTGTTATCTGCTAGGGCTAAAGACCAAACGTGATTAAGGGTCACAGAAGGGAAGAATGATGAACGAATTGCTGAAACATAACATCTGAGGATTCTTTTATTTTCAAAACCGGTTTCTGTGTCTTCAATTAAGGCTTTTTTTGGGGGGTGCGGGGGGGGATAGTTTTGCTCTTGTTGCCCAGGCTGAAGTGCAATGGTGCAATCTCCACTCACCACAACCTCCGCCTCCCGGGTTCAAGCGATTCTCCGGCCTCAGCCTCCCGAGTAGCTAGGATTATAGGCATGAGCCACCGTACCTGGCCAATTAAGGCTTTTGACCCTACTCAAAGGTATTATTCCAGGAAAATATCTGATAAACTGAGTCCTCTGATATGAAATACAAAATATATAAAACCAGAATACATACAGAGGGTGTAACTCATCAAACAGACTGCCTTATATATGCCTTCTGGAATAAAATGTGATAACAGGACTTTCCTAATTGTTTTTTCCCAAGTTATACCTTCAGTTCATATATCACATAATATAGTATGGTTTCATAAATGTTTTGAAATAGGCTACGACAAAATTGAAACTATGCACTTAGGCCGGGCGCACTGGCTCATGCCTGTAATTCCAGCACTTTGGGAGGCCGAGGCAGGCAGACCACTTGAGGTCAGGAGTTCAAGACCAGCCTGGCTAACATGGAGAAACCCCATTTCTACTAAAAATACAAAAATTAGCCAACCATGGTGGTGCATGCCTGTAATCTCAGCTACTCAGGAGGCTGAGGCAGGAAAACTGCTTGAACCCAGGAGGCGGAGGTCGCAGTGAGCCAAGATCAAGCCACTGCACTCCAGCCTGGGCCACAAAGCAAGACTCTGTCTCAAACAAAACAAAACAAAACAAATCTATGCACTTAGCCATGTACACTTAGAAGGAAGCATAAATCAATAACATCTACCTAGATACATTAAAAACCTCATTTTAAACAATAGTTTCCATCTTATTTCCTGCCAAGTCCCCAACTTCTCCCTACTTTCTATTAGATGGCTCTAAGCATGAAACTTAAAAATCAAACACAGGATAATTATCCTGAAAACTGATGCAATTCAACTATGACTCTATGTGGACATCAATACCCTTTCAATGTTTCCAGATTCACAGTCTCACTTACAGAGGGCCCCATTCTTCACGCCATCCCACAGCTCTCATAGTTCATCCCACGTTTGCCATTTGGGGACTGTTGTGTGCAGGGGAAATATGTGATATGAGAGAATAAGTGTTATGGGGTAATGACAACTGTGAGCTCTTCTCAGCACTTCTATTATTTGGACTCTGATGAGAGCCATCTGCTCTCCAACTACACGGCAAGTTCCTGAGAGCTGAGACTCTGTCCTTAGTGCTCACAGGGAATAGCTCTAGGCTTTGTCCAGAAGTCCACGATCAATGATATCGGACAAACTTACTCAAATCCAAGTTGTGACCTGTCTTGTCAATTTTATAGATGGCACCCTGCTGCAGTCCCATTCAGGGAGACCTGCTTTAAGTGCCAAGAAGCTATCCTAATACTACTCATCACCAGCTCAAAGGAAACAAAACTGGCTGGGCACGGTGGCTCATGTCTGTAATCCCAGCACTTTGGGAGGCTGAGGCGGGCGGATCACGAGGTCAGGAGATCGAGACCATCCTGGCTAACACGGTGAAACCCCGTCTCTACTAAAAATATAAAAAAGTAGCTGGTGGTGGGCACCTGTAGTCCCAGCTACTCAGGAAGCTGAGGCAGGAGAATGGCATGAACCCAGGAGGCGGAGCTTGCAGTGAGTGGAGATGGCGCCACTGCACTCCAGCCTGGGTGACAGAGCGAGACTCCATCTCAAAAAAAAAACCTTATCATGTACTTTGTACAGGTATTTTAGGATAATGATAACATATACATCTATTCACTAAGGTCCTGTACAAACTGGATGTAAATCTCTTAGTCACACATCATTATAGTATATATATCAATACAGTATTGGGGAAATCATGCATATAGATAATTCAAGAGTTTGGCTTTTTAAATAAGCATTTTATACTTTTCATCTATTCCTATAAACTGTATTCTAGAGTTTAGTGTTATTAGCAAAATCAGTACTGTCCATTCCAACACTGTATACAGTATACATACAAACGGATTAGACTGCTCATACAGTTAGCTAAGTAGCACCAACCTGGAAGAACCAAACCTGTGCTGTTTTTTCAAAAGCTCTTTCAGGCCAGGCACGGTGGCTCACGCCTGTAATCCCAGCACTTTGGGAGGCTGAGGCAGGCAGATCACCTGAGGTCAGGAGTTCGAGACCAGCCTTGCCAACATGGTGAAGCCATGTCTCTACTAAAAATACAAAAATTAGCTGGGTGTGGTGGTGCATGCCTGTAATCTCAGCTACCCGGAGGCTGAGGCAGGAGAACTGCTTGAACTCAGGAGGCAGAGGCTGCGGTGAGCTGGGACCATGCCACCGCACTCCAGCCTGGATGAGAGTGAGACTCCATCTCAAAAACAAAACAAAACAAAACAAAACAAAACAAAAAAAAGCTATTTCAACTGGTGTAGAAGAGTCTGCCTTCAGCAGTCTTGCTTTAGTGTAGGTTAATCATTAAAAAGATGGCATTACATCTGTTTAAAAGCATTCCAAAAGACAACTGATGCCTATAGAAAAGTCATAAGCCCGTGTCCTTGGAAAAGAATGTATTTAGTGACACGCGTCTCCTCCACGCTCCACACACCACAGTGAATGGAAGTGATGTGGAGTCCAGAGAAGATGTCACTTTTCATTCCTTATAGTCTTGTATTGTTTGAAATATTTCAGTGAATATGTGCTTCTCTGGTAAGTTTTAAATAACCCACATTAGGAAACTCACAATGAATGGGTGGCGGGCACACCTGCACCTCTTCCTGCCTTCCTTCCCCATGCTTGCCAGGCGGAGCCGGGGAGGAGGACGCTGGCCATGCCGTCCATGTGGGAGCCTCAGCTGGGCTGCTCCCTGGCTGTGTAATCTCGGGCACGTTACTTAACTTTCCTCTGCCTCAGTTTCCTCATCTATGAAGCTGGGGAAGCTTCTTGGGGAGACCACCAGTGGAGTGCTTGCCCCAGGCACCTTGGCCATGGTCGGGCACCACAATGGTGCTGATGGGGACCTGAACGAGAAGGTGTGTGGCCTGAGGTGAAGATCTGAATCCTGGATCTATCACATGTGGCTGTGTGCATGTGGGAAGCGGCTCAACTCTGAGGGAACCCAGTCTCCTCACCTGTGGACTGGGAGTGACAGTTCCGCCCCCACAGGCTTGCTGTGGAGAGGGAACGGTGTGCCATGCGTGTGGTGTTGAGCACGGTACCCAGCACTCTCCTGATGATCAGTAAGTGGGGGGATTTGTATACAGAAACTTTGTGGAAATTGAAGTATTTCTGTATATGGTAGCAAAAAAGGAAAAAACAAACTCTTTCCACTGAGGCTGATTCTTCATGCGTGGAGCCCCAGCTTTGAAACACGCTGCTGGGCCACTCCAGATACTCTTGTGAGGGCCACCTGACCTGGGTGTTTGAAGCATGAAGCCACTTGCCTTTGCTTGGCGTTGTCTTTTAAACATACTGGCTGGAATCTTAAAATTGTGAGTAAATAGAAACGTGGGTGGCTGTGTCTGTTTTGAGGGCTCATATATTCCTCCTGGTGCTGAGAGCTCTGCTCCCAAGCAGCAAACACCAATTAGTTTTTCTTGAATAATACAAATGAATGAACCTAGGAAAAATCTCAAAGTGACTTTCGCTTTGTTGAGACTGGTGAGTTTGTCTGTATACAGAGGCTCACCTGAGCTATTTTAGAAGTATCTGCAGATACTGGGCAGAGTTGGGTGATGAGACCGGGGCTCTGGTCCTCCCCACCTGGGTTCTGGTCCTCCCCACCCTGGCCACCTGTGGATCACTCCCTGAAACTCCCGGAACCCATTTCCTCTTCACTGGTCTTCAGGGCTCCTCCCTGCAGCTCCAACTTTCCACACCATGACCAGGAGCCCTCTCTTGTCCAGCTGCAGGTTTCAGAGCACTCCGCAGTGGTCAGTATCAGCAATTACCCCTCGTGGGGAATTTATGGCAATATAGTCACTTTGAACATCATATAAGGAACAAAACCAGAAACAACTGTGTCCTACAATTCCAGAGATGATTTGTGTTAATTTCTAACACTGTCAACCCCCAGTCCCCTCATTGGCTGGACCAAGTGGCAGGCTCCCAAGTGAGCCCACAGGTATGCCCAGCGCACACAGGATGCCAATCAAACTCCACTGTGGAAACAGTGGGAGGATAGCAGGCCAGTCCCAGGCAGGCCAGCCCTGGCATTCTGCCTTGGAAAAGCCAGGTCTGAACGAGAGATAGTGTCGTCCTGCCGAGAGGAGGACGGTGGAGGGAACAGATGGAGGAATACAAGGTCCCGGAGACCTGGAGAACCTGGAGCTGCATTTTGCACAACCATCTACAGAGCCCTACAGCTTCCCTTGCATGCGCTCCGGTGGCCCTGGACCTGTCCCAGCGGCCTGGGGAAGGGCTCCCGGCTAGCAGGGGCCTACCTTACAGTGCGTGGTGCTGACTGGAAGCCCGATGTTGGAGGCGATCACCACTGTGAAGGCTGAGGCCAGCTCGATCGTGAAGCCGCTGTGGGGGGAGCATGAGACACGTCACAGGTGCCCTCTGTATCAGCCTCCCTGACACCCCGTGGGTGCTAGAGGCTCACCAGAACATTCTCTGGGGTGACTGCCGACTGCTGACTGGGCAAGATCAATTTTAACAGAACAAGAGGCCGCTGCTCAACAACAGCAATTCCCACCAAGGCTGCATTTTCCTGTGCATGGGCCCTCAGCAGCCTGGCCTTCTGATACGTTTTCAAAGACCACACACTGCAGTAACTGGGCCAGACATTCCTGCTGTGCAATAAGATAGTAAATCAGTCATTTCTAAAACGCAAAGGAAAAACTATGCTCTCATTTTAAAAATGTGCACTAATTACAAAAGAGTGTATTTTTCTCGGATTACGAATTTTTCTTCAAATCAATCTTCTAAACTATCTTTTATTGAAATGAATTTCAAGTGAGAACTTAAAACTAGAAATTTTAAGTCTGTGTGTATATAGGAGGCTCACTGGAGCTATTTTAGCTTTCTCTGCAGATGCGGGGCAGAGCTGCGTGATGAAACCTGGGTTCCGGTCCTCCCCACCCCAGCTGCCTTTGGATCACTTCCTGAAACTCCCAGAGCCTGTAGGAAAAGGAAACTTCCCACATGTTTTAAAAAGACAGAGATTTCCTACCACAGGTGGCTCCAAATTTTGGTCATATTCTGAAAGTTCTGGAAGTTCCTTTAACCCCTGATGCAGCTGAAGGCTATGCGGTTGAGAGACCACATTTAAAGCCTCCAGAGCTCACCCACAATGGCAGGGGGCGCCTCCCTGTCTGGCAGAGCAAGAGGAAAGTAACCCCAGCAGGGTGGTTGCTGAGAGCTGGGGTGGCCAGAGAACTTTCAGGAAAGGCCAGCCCAGGGGCCTGTTTAAGTCTGTGCCCTCCCTGCCCACCTGCCTTTGGCCCCCGTGCTGGCTGAGGGTGAGCTTCTCCTCTCTTCCCTGCCTGCTCTGCTCCACTACCCCTGCTTGTCTGCCCTTCCCACTCCTCATCTCAGGGACGCTGTGGCTGGGGGCCGGGCACAGTAAGGGAGGGCAAGGATAGGTGGCATGCTAGGTGGGGCCATTCTTGCCCACTGTCTCCTCCTCCCTGTGACCCGCTGCCAACTGCCAGTGCTGAGCAGGCCGTTCAGACACAGCCGGGAAGCTCTACCCAGGCCTCGGATGACAAGACCTGCCCTGCTCGTCCACCAGCCCAGGCTTACCTGGACGGCGTGATGGGAGTGAGGTCCTTCCCCATGGTCTGGATCACTCTTCTCCCCCAGACCCAGAGGCCTGTGCAGATTCCAACTCCTCCATAAAACAGCAGCCAGACGGGTGTAGCTGCTTCTTGCGTTACCCCGCCTTGTTTGTAAATCAGCCACAAGGCTACCAGGGGACCGATGGCATTACTGGGAAAAATAAAAAGAGAAAAGATTAACTATATATGCAAGCGGCAATGTACATGATACAGGTGACTTTGTTTTATTGTGCTTCACTTTATCACACTCCACAGATATGATGTTTTTCTTTCTTTTTTTTTGAGACAGAGTCTTGCTCTGTTGCCCAGGCTTGAGTGCAGTGGTGTGATCTCGGCTCACTGCAACCTCCACCTCTCCGGTTCAAGCGATTCTCCTGCCTCAGCCTCCTGAGTAATTGAGACTACAGCCGCGGGCCACCACACCCAGCTAATTTTTGTATTTTTAGTAGAGATGGGGTTTCACCATGTTGGCCAGGCTGGTCTCGAACCCCTGACCTTGTGATCTGCCCACCTTGGCTTCCCAAAGTGTTGGGATTACAGGCATGAGCCACTGTACCTGGCCTTCAGATAGGATGTTTTTTATGAATTTGAGGTTTGTGGCACCCCCACACCAAGCAAGTCCGCTGGAGCGACTTTCCAGCAGTATGTGCTCACGTCATGTCTCTGTGTCACATTTTGGTAATTCTCACAGTATTCCCGAATTTTTCATTATTATCATATCTGTTATGGTGATCTGTGATCAGTGATCTTTTATGTTACTATTATAATTGTTTTGGGGTGCCATGAACTGTTCCCATATGAGACGGTGAGCTTCACTGATAAATGCTGTGTGTGTTCTCCCTGCTCCACTGACCGGCCACTGCCTTGTCTCTCTCCCTCTCCTCCAGCCTATTTCCTGAGATATTGCTATATTGAAATTAAGCCAATAAATTACCGTACAGTGCCCTCTAAGTGTTCAACTGAAAGGAAGAGTTGCATGTCTCTCAGTTTAAATAAAAAACTGGAAATGATTAAGCTTAGTGAGGAAGGCATGTCAAAATCGGAGACAGGCCAAAAACTAGGCCTCTTGGGCCAAACAGTTAGCCAAGCTCTGAATGCAAAGGGAAAGCTTCTTGAAGGAAATTTAAAGTGCTACTTCAATGAACACATGAATAATAAGAAAGCAAAACAGCCTTAGTGCTGATATGGAGACAGTTTGAGTGGTCTGGATAGAAGATCAAACCAGCCACAACATTCCCTTAAGTCAAAGCCTAATCCAGAGCAAGGCCCTAGTTCTCTTCAATTCTGTGAAGGCTGAGAGAAGTCAGGAAGCTAAAGAAAAGCTGGAAGCTAGCAGAGGTTGGTTCTGGAGGTTTAAGGAAAGAAGCCATCCTCATAGCATAAAAGTGCAAGGTGAAGTAGCAAGTGCTGATGGAGAAGCTGCAGCGAGTTCTCCAGAAGATCCATCTAAGATCACTGATGAAGGTGGCTACACTAACAATAGATTTTCAATGTAGAAGAACAGTCTTCTATTGGTAGAAGATGCCAGCTAGGACTTCCATAGCCAGAGAGAAGGCAATGCCTGGCTTCAAAGCTTCAAAGGACAGGCTGACTCTCTTCTCAGAGGCTAATGCAGCTGGTAACTTTAGTTGAAGCCAATGTTCACTTACCATTCCAAAACTCCTATTGCTCTTAGGAATGATGCTAAATCTACTCTGCCTGTGCTCTAGAAATGGAACAACAAAGCACATCTGTTTACAGCATGGTTTACTGAATATTTTAAGCCTACTGTTGAGACCTACTGCTCAGAAAAAAATATTAATATTTCAAAATATTACTGCTCATTGACAATGCACTTGGTCACCAGAGAGCTCTGACGGAGATATGCAAGGAGATGAATGTTGTTTTCCTGTCTGCAAACACAGCATCTGTTCTGCAGCCCATGGATCAAAGAGCAGTTTGACTTTCAAGTCTTATTACTTAAGAAATACACTTTGTAGGGCTAGAGCTGCCATAGATAGTGATTCCTCTGATGGGTCTAGGGAGTCCATTGAAACCTTCTGGAAAGGATCCCCCATTCCAGATGCCATTAGAACATTCGTGATTCATGGGAGGAAGTGCAAATACCAACATTAACAGGAGTTTGGAAGAAGCTGATTCCAACTCTCACAGATGACTTTGAGGGATTCAAAACTTAAATGAAGGAAGCCACTGCAGATGTGGTGGAAACAGCAAGAGAACTAGAAGTGGAGTCTGGCGATGTGACTGAACTACTGCAATCTCATGAAAGAACTTGAAAAGATGAGGAGGTGCTTCTTATGGATGAGCAAAGAAAGTTTCTTGAGATGAAATCTACTCCTGGTGAAGATGTTGTGAACATTGTTGAGATGACAACAAAGGATTTAGAATATTCCACAAACTCAGTTATCAGAGCAGAGGCTGGGTGTGAGGGGATTGACTCCAATTTTGAAAGAAATTCTACGGTGGGTAAAATGTTATCAAACTGCATTACATGCTGCAAAGAAATCTTTTGTGAAAGGAAGTTAATTGATGCGGCAAATTTCATTGTTGTCTTAATTTAAGAAATGGCCACAGCCACCCCAACCTTTAATCACCACCACCCTGATGAGTCAGCAGACATCAACATCAAGGCCCAGACCCTCCATCAGCAAAATAATGAATTGCTGAATGTTCACAGGATTGCTAGCATTATTTTTTAGCAATAAAGTATTTTCAAATTAAGGTATGTACATTGTTTTTAAGACGCATTTAATAGACTATGGTATACTATTACAGAAACATAACTTTTCTATGTACTGGGACACCAAAAACTTCATGGGTATTGTGAAACTTGTTTTATTGTAGTGGTCTGGAATGGAACCCACAGTGTCTCCCAGGTGTTCCTGTACATGGTGACTTTTGTCTTGAGCATAGCTCAACTTGGTGTATTTGAGGTTCACCTATATAATCTATTCATGGTCCAAATGATTTTTTTTTAATTTTGGTAAAAAGCATAACATAAAATTTACCATCGTAATCATTCTTATTTATAGTTCAGCAGTGTTAAGTATATTTACATTGTTGTGAAACAGATCTCCAGAACTTGTTCATCTTGCAAATGTGAAACTCTGCACTCTTTAAACAAATTCCCACTGCCCCTCCCCGCAGCTAATGGCAACCACCATCCTACTTTCTAGTTCTAGGAATTTGACTGCTGTAGACAGCTCATAGAAGTGGAATCATAGAGTATTTATCTTTTTTTTTGAGATGGAGTCTTGCTTGGTTGCCCAGGCTGGAGTGCAGTGACATGATCTCGGCTCACTGCAATATCCTCCACCTGGGTTCAAGCAATTCTCCTGCCTCAGCCTCCTGAGTAGCTGGGATTACAGGCACGTGCCACCACGCCTGGCTAATTTTTTGTATTTTTAGTACAGATGGGGTTTCACTGTGTTAGTCAGGATGGTCTTGATCTCCTGACCTCATGATCCGCCCGCCTCAGCCTCCCAAAGTGCTGGGATTACAGGCATGAGTAGTATTTATCTTTCTGTGATGGTTTATTTCACTTAGCCTAATGTCCTCCAGGTTCATCCATGTTACAGCAAGTGACAGGACTTCCTTCTTTTTAAAGGCTAAATAATATTCCAGTGTATGCATGGACATAATTTGTTTCCATTCACCTGGCAGTGGACATCTGGGTTGTTCTCCCCTCTTGCCTATTGCAAACGGCAGTGCTTTGAACATGTGGTACAAATATCTCTTTGAGACTCTGCTTTCAATTCTTCTGTATGTATACCCGGAAGCAGGAATGCTGGGTCATAGGGGAGGTCTGTTTAATTTTTTGAGGAGCCTCCATCCTGTTTTCCATAGTGGTTACACCATTTTACACCCCCACTAATGGTGCACAGGGTTACAATTTCTCTACATCCTTGACAACACTTGTTACTTTTTTTTTTAAGTGGTAGCCATCCTAATAGGTGTGTAATTTATTATTATTATTTTTGAGAGAGTCTCCCTCTGTTGCCCAGGCTGGAGTGCAGTGGCACAATCTCACCAGGCTGGAGTGCAGTGGTGTAATTTCGGCTCACTGCAACCTCCGCCTTCTGGGTTCAAGTGATTCTTGTGCCTCAGCTTCCTGAGTAGCTGGGACCACAAGTGCCCAGAAACAGGCCCAGCTAATTTTTGTATTTTTAGTAGAGGTGGGGTTTCACCATGTTGTCCAGGCTGGTCTTGAACGCCCGACCTCAGGTGATCCACCTGCCTCGGCCTCCCGAAGTGTTGAGATTATAGGCGTGAGCCACCACACCCGGCCTATTAAATGGATTATTTTTTTTTTTGAGACAGTCTCACTCTGTCGCCCAGGCTGGAGTGCAGTGGCATGGTCCCAGCTCACTGCAAGCTCTTGTCTCCTCCCCCAGCCAGCTGTGTAGACTGGGTATCACTGAGTCACTGAAACTGGATTCCAATTTGGCTTTGGTTTTGCTGTGTGGCCCTGAGCATCAGATCCCATCTCTGAGAGACACCCGCCCCTGGCTCAGAGGGATGTTAGAGACAGGGTGGGATAGGCCATGGCAGCTCAGTGCTGAGGCCTCGGGGCTCAACCTCGTGCTGAATGCATGGACGCCTCTTCTCACTCAGATGACTTCTAGAATGGTGCTTTCACCAGACGCTCTCCCTGCTCCAAAGCCCCAGAATAGTCCCCACGCTGCAAGCAACTCTTCGCAATTCTACAGTCACCCCGAGCAGCCACTGCCTAGATGCTTCCTTTGAAATGAAACATGGTGTGTGTGTGAATGTGCGTGAGTCCATGTGTGAGTGTGCGTGTGAGTGCGCATGTGAGTGTGTGTGCGTGTGTGTGTGCATCTGAGTGTGTGAATGTTAGAGAATGTGTTGTTACTTTTCCACGGATATGTTTTTCTCATCTCCCTAACTGGCGTTTAAACTTCTAATGGACGAGGACCCAGTTCCTAGCGCTCTGCCAGTACCAGGCCTTCTGGAAAGAATGCTTGATGAGGAGGAGGAAGTGGGACGGTGTGGGGGCAGACAAAAAGTTACTAACATAGGACAGAGCATGCTGTCTCCAAGAAAATACCAAATAAAATACCACAGAAATGCCCATATGATGCTGAGCAGAACATAAGATGCCCAGGTTCATCTGCAGCGAGACTTCTTTTACGAACAGCAGAGTTGCAGCTGCACGTGGGGAGGCAGTGTGCGTAGCCCATGGGGAGTCACTGACTGCGACAGAAGACGACAACGGCACAGTCCCCTGAAAGGTCAGTGGACTCACCATGACCGTGATGGCAAGAGCAGAAACGGACAGAAACCGAGCGAGTGGGGAGCACCATCCTGAGCATATTACACAGGGGAAGCCTGGGAGGTTAGGACTCGTTTTCCCCCATTTTACAGATTGGGAAACGGAGACTTCGGAAAAGCACATGCCTTGTCTAGGGGTTACACAGCTGTAAGACGACAGCAGAGACCCAAACTTGGGGCTCTCAGGCCCCAGGAGGCCGCCCTGCTTCCTACACACCAGGCCTGGGCGTGGGGTGGGGCAGGTGGGGTGGGTGGGGTCAAGGTTGGAGGGTCATATCTGCCCATCCCTACACACTCATTTGCAGGATGCCTGCGACATTACCATGTGGAGTGACCTGCAGGCTCGGGCGGCAGCTCCAGCGGCTGCATCGTGCAGTGGGGAGAACTAGGGCCCACGAGTGGGACGGAGCCTTCTCACTGGGGTTGAAGATGTCACTGAAGGATGGCCGGGTGTGGTGGCTCACACCTGTAATTCCAGCACTTTGGGAGGCTGAGGTGGGCGGATCACCTGAGGTCAGGAGTTTGAGACCAGCCTGGCCAACATGGGAAACCCCGTCTCTACTAGAAATAGAAAAATTAGCCGGGCCAGGTTGGGGAGCCTGTAATCCCAGCGGCTTGGGAAGGCTGAGACAAGAGAATCACTTGAACTTGGGAGAAGGAGGTTGCAGTGAGCTGAGATTGCGCCACTGCACTCCAGCCTGGGGAACAGAGCGAGACTCCGTCTTAAAAAAAAAAATTAAATCACCTCCTAGGAAGTTCTCCTAGCGTCCTGGTTCAGCATACCTTCTGGCTGTTTCCTCGGTCTGTGCACTCTGCCTCCTGCCTGCCTGCCTCACTGCCCCAGTGCTCCTCCACCCACGTTACCTGCTCTGCACCCAGCCCGGCCTGTCCTGAACTCGGGCGTACACGGCCGCTGCCTGCTCAACCTGAATAGCAGCATCGCGCCCTGGCTGCATCCAGGGCCTCCGTCATCCCTAACAGACAGCAGCTCCACTCTTGCCTTTGCCAAGGCCACGGCTCCGATCTTGGCAGCTGCCTCTTTCCTTCTTCTCTCACATCCGCATCCAGGCCGTCGTCCAAAGCCAGTGCCCCTGTCAAACGTGCCCTGTGTGGCCCCTGTCAAATGTGCCCTGTGTGGCCCCTGCTCACAGCTCCACGGCTCCCCTCTCGAGGCGAGGCCTTCCTTCCTGTGTCCATCGGCCACGTGCTCTGCATCCACGACCTGCAGACCGGCGACCTCCTAGCTTGTCCTGGAGAACACAGGTGTGTGCCCGCCTCAAGACTGCACCTGCCGTCCTGCTGACGCCACGTGGCCGCCCCTGCACCTCCGTCACCGGCCAGCCCTTCCCTGGAAGCCCAGGTCGCACTGCCATCCTGGCGGCTCCTGCCCTGTGTCTATCTACCTTACTTTCCTGTTAACACTGCTCGCTGTCCCGCACGCAATGCTGACTTATGGGTCTGTCCACCGCCTGCGCACCCCTATCCCTGGCAGGGACTTCCATCGGTGCCGTTCACTGCTGGATCCCGGCACCCGCACAGCGCTGGCCCCTGGCGGAGCCTCAAGGACCCTTGTTGAATGAATGAATGAAAGCACCCACCTCACGTCATTGCCGCCGTGAGCAAAGGACCCGAAACAGGCGGTGAGGACCTGCAGGAAATGGAACAGGAGGTGAACCTCGGGTGCGTCCTTCTCCTCCTTCTCCTCCTCTGCAGGGTCCTCTCGCGGCTGGTCAGGGTCGGCCAGCTCCGACGCCAGCTTCATCTCCACGCCGCCCTCCTCCGCCTCGATCTCCGCCTCTGCCACCGCGTTACAGTAGCTCGAGTAGCTGTCGTAGCGCAGCCTCTTCTTGGAGTAGGACACGGTGTCGCCCACCAGCTTCTCACTGTCCTCTGGGGCCGATGAGTCCGCAGCTCGAAAGGTGGCGTGCACTGGCAGCCCACAAATGGCTGCGGTGTAGCAGGTGTAACTGTTGTTTCGGCGCAGCAGCCGGTAGTTGCTTTCCTGGGCTGGCTTCTCCTCGGGGCCCCTGTCGATGTGGATTTTGTGCAGCAGATCTTTGTAGAGCCCCGAGTCTTTGTGCACGGTGTGGTACACATGACCGTCGCTCCTGGTGTGGCCGTCGAAGCCGAAGGTGCCGTTGGAGATGGGCGATTTCACAGAGCCATGGGTCATGGACAGTGCTCTTCCTGAAAAGGGTTAGAGAAGGTCTCATTTTCCAGTCTTTTTTTTTTTTTTCTTTTCTTTTTGAGACGGAGCCTTGCTCTGTCCTCAGGGTGGAGTACAATGGCGCAATCTCGGCTCACTGCAACCTTCGCCTCCCGGGTTCAAGCGATTCTCCCTCAGCCTCCTGAGTAGCTGGGACTACAAGCGCGACACCATGCCCAGCTAACTTTTTTGTATTTTTAGTAGAGATGGGGTTTCACCATGTTGGCCAGGATGGTCTCAAGCTCCTAACCTCATGATCCGCCCACCTTGGCCTCCTAAAGTGCTCGGATTACAAGCGTGAGCCAACGTGCCCAGCCCCAGCCTTTCGAATATAAGCGAAGGAAACACTCCCTACTATTTCATGGCACTTATCTCCAGAAGGCTGGGGATGACTTATTAACATATACTTTCTTTTCTAAGTTGGCCATAAAGGACATGTAATATGGTTACCACTAAAAAAAAAAACCAAAAAAAAAAAAAAAAAAAAAAAAAACATGGAAACATACAACAAAAGGGTAAAACTAATAATGTGGTATTTTCAAAACATCTTAAGTTCTCCTAAAAAGTGTCTTCCAGAAATTACTATGGCACTTGGCACATTTTTTCTGTTTCTAGAAACCAACACAAGGAGAATCTTTTTAAGAAACTCATCTTAGAGAAACTTCATACATGAGACAAAACCCACTTCGTGTGAGGTAGATATTCCAGGTGCCTCTGTTTTGATTTTGTTTTTAGAGACAGGGTCTCAGCTCTGTCACCCAGGCTGGAGTGCAGTGGTGCAATCATAGCTCACTCCAACTCCTGGGCTCAAGTCATTCTCCCGCCTGAGCCTCCCAAGCATCTGGGACTACAGGTGTGCACCATCATCCAGGCTAATTTTTTAGGTGCATCTTAAAAGGTCAGTCATGAATGTCAAAGGCAGTATCTGAGATGAGTCAGGCAAAATGAATTTGCTTTCTCTGGGCCACATCTGAGACTGCACCTGTGGTAGGCAGGTGCCAGAACCCACCTTGCAGAGGTGGCAGTCACCAGGGCAGGCTTTGGTGAAGCTGTGCTCCCCTGGCACTGCCCACAAACATTGAGAGTCTAAAGGACACAGAATGGTCTGGATTTTTTCTTTTCTTTTCTTTTCTTTTTTGAGATGGAATCTCACTCTGTTGCCCAGGCTGGAGTGCAATGGCGCAATCTCGGCTCACTGCAATCTCTGCCTCCCAGGTTCAAGTGATTCTCCTGCCTCAGCCTCCCGAGTAGCAGGGATTACAGGCACCCACCACCATACCCAGCTAATTTTTGTATTTTTAGTAGAGATGGGGTTTCACCATGTTGGTCAGGCTGGTCTTGAATTCCTGACCTCAGGTGATCCATCCACCTCGGCCTCCCAAAGTGCTGGGATTATAGGCATGAGCCACTGCACCTGGTCAGTCTGGACATTTTCTAAGGTTTCTGTGATTCAATGGTGGGACCACCTCCTTGGTTACAAATTTAGCTTTCTCTTTGCATCTTCCATAGTAAGCTGGGTTAACCAACGTTCAGCAATTCGATAACTCCTGGGGCATGGAGATCTGCATATGTAGCTGAGTGGGTGCAGCACAGACATACAGTGCGTGGCCCCAGTGCCTCCGGTTAGACTATAAACAGCTCTTGGAAGAAATCACAGGACAAGAGTGAGCCTGCTCTGCTGACTACGAAATGGTTTCCTGAGGCCTCCCTAGCTTCTGGGTTTTCTCAAATTATAAAACTGGGGGATCCTTTTGTGCATTAAAACCAGATTGCCCACACCCAGGCCCAGCTGGTCCTCCCCAGGGAACTTCTCTGTGCTGCCACAGAACCCAAGCTCTCCAGGCACATCTTACCGTATGCAGCCCGAGGGTGGCTGCCCGCAGAAGTGCCTTCCGAGGTCCCCAGTGTCTCCCCTGCTGCTCCCGTGAGCGGGATGGTGCTGTCATCATTAGCCTTGGCACCTGGTAGCTCTTTAAATACTGGGGACTCTGCTTCCTGAACCTTACTGAGGCTTTCGTCAGATACTCGTGATAAAGCACCTTCTTTTTGTAATTTGCCTAAAGAAAACAAAGTCATACTGAACATTCTGGAAGAGAGTTCTTATTATTGAAACATGAATATTAAAAAGTGAATCTATATCTTTATGCTTTAGCACTGATTTTGGAAACAAAAAAAAAAGTTATAGCTAGATAGAGAAAATGAAGTTGAGGCCAGGTGTGGTGGCTCACACCTGTAATCCCAGCACTTTGGGAGGCCGAAGCAGGTGGATCACCAGGTCAGGAGTTTGAGACCAGCCTGGATAATATGGTGAAACCCCGTCTCTACTAAAAATATAAAAATTAGCCGGGTGTGGTGGCAGGCGCCTGTAATTCCAACTACTTGGGAGGCTGAGGCAGGAGAATCTCTTAAACCCAGGAGGCAGAATTAGCAGTGAGCCAAGACTGCGCCACTGCGCTCCAGCCTGGGTGACAGAGTGAGACTCTGTCTCAAAAAAAAAAAAAGAAAGAAAAGAAAAGAAAGTCAAAAGTTCAATTAATTACCTGGAAAACTCTAGCCAGAAAATTCAGCAATTGAGGAAAAGATGGAAATTTAGGGCCCGAGTTATCATATCCAAAAACAACAACCAAAAAAGGGTCAGATCCGAATACCACAGTTCCCTCCAGCACTAATGTTCTGTAAATCTATAGCCACCCAGACTGGCCTTCTGTTTTCTTAAACTAACCTCAGAATCAGAAATTTCAATTTCTGAAAAATTGCCTTTTTCAGAAAGTCACATAAATAAAATAATAAAATATGCGATTTTTGAGACTGGCTTTTTCTACTCAGCATAATGCCTTTGAAATCCATCCACGTTGTTACATGGATCAATAATTTGTTCCTTTTAATTGCTGAGTAGTATTCAAATGTACAAAGGCACCACAGTTTATTTATTCTGTGGATAATGTGGGTTTTTGGAGATTGCATATAAAGGTGCTATAAACATTCATGTGCAGATTTCTGTGTGAATTTAAGTTTTCATTTTTCCAGGGAAATATCTAGGAGTGGTTAAGAGTATATTTATGGCAAGTGCTAGCCATATAAGAAGCTGCCAAACAGTTTCCCTGTACCATTTGACATTCCCATCAGCAACGTACGAGGTTCCAGTTCCTCTTCATTCTTCTAAATACTGACAAAATTTAGTACTGTCAGTATTTTTCATTATTTATTTATTTATTTATTTTTGAGATGGAATCTCACTCTGTCACTCAGGCTGGAGTGCAGTGGCTCTATCTCAGCTCACTGTAACCTCCGCCTCACGCGTTCAAGCGATTCTCCTGCCTCAGCCTCCCGAGTAGCTGGGACTACAGGTGCGTGCCACCACGCCCAGCTAATTTTTGTATTTTTAGCTGAGACGGGGTTTCACCATGTTGGCCAGGATGGTCTCGATTTCTTGACCTCGTGAACTGCTCGCCTCAGCCTCCCAAAGTGTTGGGATTACAGGCGTGAGCCACCGTGTCTGGCCCCATCTATCTTCTTTGGTGAAGTGTCTATTCAAATATTTTGCTCTTTTTTTTTTTTTTTTTTTGAGATAGAGTTTCACTCTTTTTGCCCAGGCTAGAGTGCGCTGGAGTGCACTAGCGTGATCTCCGCTCACTGTAACTTCCGCCTCCCGGGTTCAAGTGATTCCCCTGCCTCAGCCTCCTGAGTAGCTGGGATTAGAGGCACCCACCACCATACCTGACTAATTTTGTATATTTAGTAGAGATGGGGTTTCACCATGTTGGCCAAGCTTGTCTCGAAATCCTGACCTCATGATCCGCCCACCTCGGCCTCCCAAAGTGCTGGGATTACAGGCATGAGTCACCGTGCCTGGGCTATTTTGTTCTTTTTGTTTGTTTGTTTGTTTGTTTTGAGACAGAGTCTTACTCTGTTACCAGACTGGAGTGCTGTGGCGCGATCTCGGATCACTGCAACCTCTGACTCCATGGTTCAAGCGATTCTCCTGCCTCAGCCTCCTGAGTAGCTGGGATTACAAGCATGTGCCACCACGCCCAGCTAATTTTTGTATTTTTAGTAGAGATGGGGTTTCACCATGTTGGCCAAGATGGTCTCAATCTCCTGACCTTGTGATCCACCCACCTCAGCCTCCCAAACTGCTGGGATTATAGTCGTGTGCCACTGCGCCTGGCCTATTTTGCTCATTTTTTAATTGAGTTATTTGTTTTCTAAAATGTGTTTTTATTTTTTGAATACAAGTCCTTTGTAGTTATGGGATGTGCAAACATTTTTTCCCATTCTGTTCCCGGTGCTTCTCACAGAGCAATAGTTTGAAATTTTGATGAAGTACAATTTATCAAGTTGTCCTTTTTTTTTTTGAGATGGAGTTTTGCTCTTGTTGCCCAAGGGGAGTGCAATGGCACAATCTCGGCTCAATGCAACCTCTGCCTCCCAGGTTCAAGCAATTCTCCTGCCTCAGCCTCCCAAGTAGCTGGGATTACAGGCATGAGCCACCACACTTGGCTAATTTTGTATTTTTAATAGAAACAGGGTTTCTCCATGTTGGCCAGGCTGATCTCGAACTCCCGACCTCAGGTGATCTGCCTGCCTCAGCCTCCTAAAGTTCTGGGATTACAGGCGTGAGCCACCATGCCTGGCCCAACTTGTTCTTTTATAGAACATGTTTTTGGTGTCATATCTAAAAACCCTTTCTCAACCCAAGGTCACAAAAGTTTTCCCTTATATTTTTTTTCTAAAAGTCTTATTGTTTTTTAAATTTTATATTTAGATCTATGATGCATTTTAAGTTAATTTTTAAAATAAGGTTTAGGTTAATGTTCTTATTTTGGCATATGGATGTCAAGTGTTCCAAAACCATTTGTTGAAAGACTGTCCTTTCTCCATTGAACTGTTTCTGTACCTTTGTTTAAAATCCATTTGCCACATTAGTGTGGGTCTATTTCTAGACTCTATTCTTGTTCCATTAATCTATGTGTCTCTCTCTTCCACACTGCCTTGTGGCTTCATAACAAGTCGTGAAGTCAGGTTAATATGAATCCTCCAACTTTTTTCTTTTCCAAAATTGTTCCAGCTCATCTAGTTTCTTTGACTTTCTACATGAACTTTAAAAGTGGCTTGTCTAAATCTACAAAATATCCTGCTGGGATTTCTATTTAAATTGTCTAAAGTCTAGAGATGAATCTAAGAACTGGCATCTCTACTATACTGTCTTCCAATTCAGGAGCATGCTTTGTCTCATGTATTTTGGTCTTTTTCAAAAAGTGAATTTCCAAATGCAGATATATCCATACCAAAATGTGACCCTATGGTACATGCTGAGACCAAATGTAAATATCTGTTTTTTGAGAGTTCTGTAAAAAGCATGTGGCTTCAAGGCTTGAAATTCAAATATGGGGAATTGGGAATAGGAAAACAGCCTTGGCTGACTTCCTAAGCCATATTCTTCTTCTTTTTAAAAACTGTTTTCCTTTTAATAACATGTGTTTTATTTTTATTGCTTCGTTTTATTATATATGTTATAATTACTATAACTATAATAATACAATTATTATAGTACTATACAGTAGAGTACTATATTGTATATTATACTATACAGTTATTGTATAGTATAATTGTATTATACCACAGTATAATTATTACAGTACTATAATAATACAATTATTATTATAGGATATATATATATATATATATATATATATATATATATATATATATAATAAAATGTATACTTTTTTTTTTGAGACGGAGTCTCGCTCCGTCACCCAGGCTGGAGTGCAGTGGCACGATCTTGGCTCACTGCAACCTCTGCCCCCCCGGGTTCAAGCAATTCTCCTGTCTCAGCCTCCCGAGTAGCTGGGACTACAGGCACCTGCCACCAGGGCCCAGCTAATTTTTGTATTTTTAGTAGAGACAGGGTTTTATTTACCTTGTTGGTTAGGCTGGTCTCCTGACCAACGAACTCCTGACCTCAGGTGATCCACATGCCTCGGCCTCCCAAAGTGCTGGGATTACAGGTGTAAGCCACCATGCCCAGCCAAAAATGCATACATTTTAAGCATCCAGGTTATGACCTGCCGCAAGTGGGCACACTCTAAACCCCTTCCCTGATGAAAACAAAGACATTTCATGTCCCTGATAAGTTCCTGAGCTGCCTTCTCCAACCCCCACCCATCCCAGGCGATCAGTGCTTTCTGTTGCTATAGATGAATTTTCCATATTCTTAAATTTAATGGAAAGATCCATAAAACTTTTAAATAAAAATTTAAGAAAATGTTATGAAAAATGCCAGCATGCAGAATAGGTGCTCTTCCGGATCATGGGCTTCTGCTCAGTATCACGGCTGTAGGATGCCTTCAGCCGTCAGGTCCCCAGCAGTTCATTCTCTCTATT
The DNA here is from genome assembly GCF_000001405.40 of Homo sapiens. Lineage (NCBI taxonomy): Eukaryota > Metazoa > Chordata > Mammalia > Primates > Hominidae > Homo > Homo sapiens. Next base: position 42,443,984 of record NC_000008.11, read on the forward strand.
GCTGCGTGGTCGTCCATCGCATGAATTTACTCAATTTGGTTACCCATTTGCCTGCTGACCAACACATGGGTTGTTTCCACTTTGGGCTATTATGACAAAAAGATTTGTATACAAGTCTTTTTATGAACACGTTTTCATTTCTTTGGATAAATAGCTAGGAGTGAAATTACTGGCTCACATGGTAAGTGTAAGGTGAACTTTATAAAGAAACTGCAAACCTAACTTCCAAAGTGGTTGCACCATTTTAAATTTCAGCATAAACCTGGGAGAGTTCCAATTATTTCACTTCTTCACCCACATATGGAATTGCAGGAACTTTGTACTCTTAGCCATTCTTGTGAGTGGGAAACAAAATCTCCTTGTGGAGTTAATTTGCATTTCTATGAAGGCTAATGTTTTTCCACAGGCTGGCAGAACTGCACTGCACGGTTAACTTCCAGTTACTCATGGCAACTGGGACCTTGCTGCCCACCTGGGTTACAACTTATCAAGAAAACGTATGAGCCAGAAAGCACTCAGGAACGGAGAGACAGAGGATGGGGTATGTTCTGGAGTCACCCACACTTCCATTTCCTCCATTAGTAAGGATCATGGCATGTTACATGTGAGGTTTTGGGAATCGGGAGCATTTCTGTAAATCAGAAGAATTAAAAGGCCCATACCTGTTATTTTCCTCCGCATCCACGGACACACGAAGAGCCACACAAAAAAAGCGAACAGGAGGGCGACACCAAAGGAAATGAGGGCTATGGCCCACATGGGGAGAACAAGGCCGAGCACTGGGAAGGAAAATGAGAAGCAGTGTCATTACTGGAAACTTCTGCAAGGTCAGGCCTCAGGGCGGTGGACTTCCCACTCCCCAAATCGAGAACGAATCACCTGGATTTTGTAGTGAATAAAACTCTCAACTAAAAAAACATGCTATACTTTTTGGAGTAGAAAGCTGTATGTTCAAGACATCTTATATCTGGCGAATATGTGCTTAAACTAGTTAGTAAGCTAATTATTAAAGTTTTACCAACTGGGGGCCAGGCATGGCGGCTCACACCTGTAATCCCAGCACTTTGGGAGGCCAAGGTGGGAGGATCACCTGAGGTCAGGAGTTCGAGATCAGCCTGGCCAATATAGTAAAACCCCATCTCTACCAAAAATTCAAAAATTAGCTGGGCGTGGTGGCGCATGCCTGTAATCCCAGCTACTCGGGAGGCTGAGGCGGGAGATTCGTTCGAACCTGGGAGGGGGATGTTGCAGTGAGCCGAGATTGCACCACTGCACTCTAGCCTGGGCAACAGAGCGAGACTCCATCTCAAAAAAAACAATAAATAAAATAAAAATAAATAAATAAAATTTTAACAACTGGGCACAAACAGCATATTTAAGTTGGGATGAAATCCATTTACATATTATTTCAATATCTAAATGGCTGCACAACAAATGTGGCTGAGAAGGGAGTCAGCTGAGGTCGGGCATGATGGCTCCCGCCTATAATCCCAGCACTTTGGGAGGCCGAGGTGGGAGGATCACCTGAGGTCAGGAGTTTGAGACCAGCCTGGCCAACATGTTGAAACCCTATCTCTACTAAAAATACAAAAACTTAGCCAGGCGCGGTGACAGGCGCCTGTAATCACAGCTACTCAGGAGGCTGAGGCAGGAGAATCACTTGAGCCTGGGAGGCGGAGGTTGCAGTGAGCTGAGATCGCGCCATTGCACTCTAGTCTGGGCAACAAGAGTAAAACTCCATCTCAAAAAAGAAAAAGAAATAAAGAAAAAAAAAGAAAGGAGTCAGCTGTCTTCCATCCTGATGCCCACCTCAGCCCAGCCCACCTGCGGCAGGAAGCTGCCATCTGGACACTGCCTGGCTCCGCAACTGAGGCCTCTCCTAGTTCCTCAGCAGCCAGTAGCCCTACTTTAAACGGACATGTGCCCTAACCACATACACAGAACTTCTTTGAAATCAATTGAGAAATAAAAGGATTTTTGTTGTTGTTTATTTATTTTTATTTTTACTTTTATTTTTTTAAGAGACAAGGTCTTGCGATGTTGCCCAGGCTGGTGTCAAACTCCTAGCCTCATGGGATGTTCCTGCTTTGGCCTCCCAAAGAGCTGGGATTACAGGCATGAGCCACCTGGCCCAAGGAATAAGAGTTTTTTAAAAGGACACTGACCTTCAATTCTAACTCTTCTTTGAAGCATCAACTTACGGAATTACAGTGCAGAAAAACTTTTCACTCAAATCCCATAATGCACACTAAGCAATAATAACATTAGCCAATCCAAGGGTGGAAGTGCACATGGTTTGAGAACGTCATCTTTTCATAGCACTGTCATGTCTCCAGCCCTCATCACCCTGAATTTTGTCCATCTGCTGTCAATGGTGACAACAGGCACATTCACACACATTCATATGTGCACAACTTGAACACTTATGCTCATACATAAACTCACAGGTAGTTATGCAAGAATACTCACCACAGCATTATTTGTAATAGTAATAATTTGTAGAACAACTAATATATGCATCATTATGAAAATGTGAAGTAATTACTGTAGACAGTCTTATGAATTATGCAGGTCTATATGTACTGATAAGGAAAGAGGCCCAAGATCCAATGAGTAATGCAGGCTAGTTGTATGATATACACATGGCATGATGCAATTTATGTTTGAAAAATAAAACATCCACCTTTCCACATTCCCGTCATATCTGTGAATTTACAGAAAAAGTTCTGGGAAGATACAGTGGTTTCCAATTTCTTTATGGAGAGATGGGAGACTGGAGTGGGAATTTCACTTTTTATTACACATACCTTTATAGTGGTAACTTAAAAAATATATACAATAAGATAAGGATCTGGGAGAATTTACTAAAAAAAGTAAAAAACAAAATATAAAAAAGAAAAAGAAATAAAAATATATATACTATAAGAATGTCACTTTTGTAAATTGTTAAAAAATTTAATTCAAAGGGGTTAACTATTTAACACTTTGCTCTTAAATAAATTTGCAGTCTTTGTTTTATTGTTAACCATTTTATACATAGAAAGCAGCACAAAGTTACTCAGCTGAGGTACTATTAGGCTTGGCAGGGTGCCTCATGCCTGTAATCCCAGCACTTTGGGAAGCTGAGGTGAGAGGATCACTTGAAGCCAGGAGTTCAAGACCATCCTGAGCAACATAGTGAGACCCTGTCTCTACAAAATAAAAACAAAAAGATTAGCTGGGAGTAGTGGTGCACGCCTGTAGTCCCAACTACTTGGGAGGCTGAGGTGGGAAGATTTCTTGAGCCCAGGAATTTGAGGCTGCAGTGAGCTATGATAGCGCCATTGAACTCCAGCCTGGGCAACAGAGTGAGATCCTGCCTCAAAAAAAAAAAAAAAATTAACATACTATAAAAAAAATTAACATACATTTGGGCTGGGTGCGGTGGCTCATGCCTGTAATCCCAGCACTTTGGGAGGCCAAGGCGGGCAGATCACAAGGTCAGGAGATGGAGACCATCCTGGCTAACACGGTGAAACCCCGTCTCTACTAAAAATACAAAAAAATTAGCCAGGCGTGGTGGTGGGCACCTGTAGTCCCAGCTACTCCGGAGGCTGAGGCAGGAGAATGGCATGAACCCGGAAGGTGGAGCTGCAGTGAGCCAAGATCACGCCACTGCACTCCAGCCTGGGCGACAGAGCGAGATTCTATCTCAGAAGAAAAAAAATTTCTTTTTTATAATTGTAAGAGATAGTATGAATAGAATAGGTAGTTAATACTATATATAGTCAGAATTAATGTATATAAGTATTAAAAACAAAAATCCAGAATCACCTAGCACAGTGATAGCTAAGGTCACTGGGGGAGGACAGGCACTTAACTGCTCAGCTCCCATCCCCCTGACTACATCAGAAGGCTGACTCAGCTCTGCCACGCGGCTGTACTGACACCAGCAGGCCCCATCCAACTCAGGCTCTGCCCCTGCACCCAAAGCTGAGAGCCGCTTGTGCGACCCCTTGGTTGGTTGCACTGGGCTGTGTCTGGGGCCAAGGCTTCCCAGCGTCTGCTGTCCACCTTCATGTAGGGGTTCATACACGCAGCAAAGGATTGCACCAAAGCTGGTTCTTGCCAACTCGAATGGTACCCGCTCTTTACCAACGTCAAACTAACAACTGACGCCAACACCGATCCCACGCATGGCTTCAAAGCATGGTTCCTGAAGAGGTTTCCCTGCTTCTTCTGTGGTTTTGCTGATGATACAATTACTAATTGTGCTACTTTCGGCTTAGCGCTACTGCGCCAAACTGATCTAAGAGAGGCAAACCCTAGAGACCACAGGGAGAGAGAAACAATCTGGGATACATATTTTAAAAATGAGTGAACGCTTTTGCTATCAGGCCCTATTTTTACCATTCATGCTGAGCAGGGCCCGAAAGAGAAGTCAAGAAGGGCTACTTGATGGGCTCCTTCTAGGACCACGCCAGGCTCCCAGCAGGGTCACATGGGGTCCCAGATGGTGTCAGGACCACCACCAAAAGGGTGAACCTGAGGTCGGGGGCAAGACTTCTCACCCTGTGCTTCGACTTAAGATAATATCACCTGCCCTTTGCACCTTTGCCGTCACACCTGCCTCTACCACTGATGTGGCCTGGGATACAGCCAGAAAACTCTGAAATCACCTCCCAGTCATGAGAAACTGGCAGGGGAAGCAGGAGAGAAACGCATCACCCAGGGGAAGTGGTGGGGAGACAGGGTAACACGTCACGGAGGAGGAAGAAGAGAGAAGGAATCTGGGAAAACAGGGGAAGCTGTTCACAGTAGGTGAGAGGGGGAGCAGAATGGGGACAGGATCTTACTGAAGTATTCCAGCAGTTTGGTGATTTAGCAGAGAATCAGATGAGCACAAGGATTTACTTTTAAGGCCTGCATGTGAAAAAAGTAAACTGACAGTTACCTGTGTTACACAGCTCCAAATTGTACTAAGTATATAAAATCCAGTTTCGTGGATAAAAAACAATTCAATACAAAGATTCAGCACAGGACAGCGCCTGAATCAATGCACACCCAAGGCAAACGGTTTTTCTCCTAAAAACTCAAGACTGGCTTCTACACAACAACATTTTTGACAAAAATACTTTCTATTAAATTGTCTTTCTGGTACGGATCTCGAATTGTTTCCAAACAATTATGGCTACGTCAGGCAGTAAGACATGGCCGTCATTTCCCCCTGCGGATGGACATACTGGGGCACAGCCTCAGTGGCTCGTGTTCACTCAGCCAAAAGTAGCTGCCAGGAACCCGCGCAAGGAGCTCTGGGTCTCCGTTCTCGGTTTTAGCCACTAAAAGGCGCAAATGTCAAGCGCCTTTCATTTGCGGAGCAGCTAAGATACGATGAATAGTGATTTAGCTCTAACCTCAAGCATCTTTACAATTCTATTCCAAATTCCCAAAAGATTAGACGAATATTCAAGCCATTTAGGGAGAAATACATAGAACTTTTTATACGAGCTCAGTCTCCATTGTTATTGCCTTGTTGTACTTCTTGTTTTTCACATCTAACACTCATGACTAAGGATCTATAAACAAATAAAACTTATATGGGACCAATAAGGCTTTAGTCTATATCAGTTTCCTTATATCATGACCCATCATCTCCCTACAATCTTCCTTCTTATTGACTCAATGCAGATTCTTTGTCTTCATTATATAAATAATCCATGCTTATCGTAAAAATATCAGCAGTACCTACAAAATTGTATGATGTACAAATATGAACCTTCCTCATCATCCTCCCCTCTTCAACTTACTTCCCAGGGAGACAGTAAGAACTATTTGGTGTGTATGTTTCCAGGCATTTTCTAGGTAGGCACAGACACCATGTCGAACATTTATTTTTCTTTTTTCCTTTTATTAAACAGAAGCAGAATCCCACTATATACTATTCTATGCTTTTGTTTGTCACATAACAATATGCTGCGGATATCTTCTCATAGTAAACATTCACACTTATGTGTGCACACACATGCACACACACAGAGATTACCTCCTTTGTAGAACTGCTCTAATATCTTGCCTTATAAATTGAGCTTTGTCTTTTGCTCTAGATCAATATATTCAAAGCATTAGAGGAGCTACCTATGTAATAGGAATTCTGAAACAACTTAGTTGAGAAAATAAAATAAAAAATGTGATTTCCTAATTTGCTCTATAAGTAAAAAATATATATATATATTTTTTGCACATGGTACCAAGTATTTTTTTTTCGTTCGTTCTTTTTTTTTTTGAGACTGAGTCTTACTGTATTGCCCAGGCTGGAGTAAAGTGGTGCCATCTTGGCTCATTGCAACCTCTACCTCCCAGGTTCAAGCGATTCTCCTGCCTCAACCTCCCAAGTAGCTGGGATTATAGGCACATGCCACTATGCCCAGCTAATTTTTGTATTTTTAGTAGAGATGGGGTTTCACCATATTGGCCAACCTGGTCTCGAACTCCTGACCTCAGGTGATCCACCTGCCTCAGCCTCCCAAAACTGCTGGGATTACAGGCATGAGCCACTGCGCCCGGCCTCTTTTTTTGTTTGAGATGGAGTCTCGCTCTGTCGCCCAGGCTGGAATGCAGTGGCTCAATCTCCACTCACTGCAGCCTCCGCCTCCCAGGTCCAAGCAATTCTCCTGCCTCAGCCTCCTAAGTAGCTGGGATTACAGGAACTCACCACCACACCCAGCTAATTTTTGTATTTTTAGTAGAGACAGAGTTTCTCCATGTTGGCTAGGCTGGTCTCTAACTCCTGACCTCAGGTGATCTGCCTGCCTCTGCCTCCCATAAGTGCTGGGATTACAGGTGTGAGCCATGAGCCTGGCTGGTACCAACTTTTTCAAACCAGGGTACATTTGTAATAATTTTGAAAATGAGGTGAATTTAAATGACCCTGTTTTGAATCCAGCTCTTGGTGATAACTGGAGACTCTTCTCACCCCAGGGCTTCCCCAATCCAAGACTAGGAATCACTGTAACGGCAATTTCTGGCTTCTCCACAGCCTGCACTTCACAATCACAGCATGGAAGAAAGAGGCCTTCTGAGTGCAGGGCTCCTTCTCACAAAGCCAACTGGCAGCCTGAGAGGTTTCTGATGTCCTGGTTTCCTAGAAACTGGATCAGAAGCAGCTGCAACTGGAGGAGGAACAGGGGGAGGAGGAAGAGGTGGAAGAAGAGAAGGAGGAGGAAGATGAGAAGGAAGAGGAGAAACCAGAGGAGGGGGATGAGGAGGAGAAAGGGGGCAAAGGAGGAGGAGAAACAGGAAGAAGAGGAGGAGGACAGGGAAGAGAAGAGATGGAGGAGGAGGAAGAGATAAGGAGGAGGAGGAAGAGATGGAGAAGGAGGAAGAGATGGAGGAGGAGGAAGAGATGGAAGAGGAAGAGATGAAGAGGAGGAGGAGGAAGAGATAGAGGAGAAGGAGTAGGAAGAGATGTAAGAGGAGGAGGAAAAGATGGAGGAGGAAGAGGAAGAGATAAAGAGGAGGAGGAAGAGATGGAGTAGGAGAAGGAAGAGATGAGGAGGAGGAGAAGGAAGAGATGAAAGAGGAGGAAAAGATGGAGGAGGAAGAGGAAGAGATGAAGAGGAAGAGGAAGAGATGGAGGAGGAGGAGGAAGAGATGAAGAGGAGGAGGAGGAAGAGATGAAGAGGAAGAGGAGGAAGAGATAGAGGGGGAGGAAGAGATGAAGAGGAGGGGGAGGAAGAGATGAAGAGGAGGAGGAGGAAGAGATGAAAGAGGAGGAGGAAAAGATGGAGGAGGAGGAGGAAAAGATGGAGGAGGAAGAGGAAGAGATGAAGAGGAGGAGGAAGAGATGGAGGAGGAGAAGGAAGAGATGAGGAGGAGAAGGAAGAGATGAAAGAGGAGGAAAAGATGGAGGAGGAAGAGGAAGAGATGAAGAGGAAGAGGAAGAGATGGAGGAGGAGGAGGAAGAGATGAAGAGGAGGAGGAGGAAGAGATGAAGAGGAGGAGGAGGAAGAGATGAAGAGGAGGAGGAGGAAGAGATGAAGAGGAGGAGGAGGAAGAGATGAAGAGGAAGAGGAGGAAGAGAGGGGGAGGAAGAGATGAAGAGGAGGGGGAGGAAGAGATGAAGAGGAGGAGGAAGAGATGAAAGAGGAGGAGGAAAAGATGGAGGAGGAAGAGGAAGAGATGAAGAGGAGGAGGAAGAGATGGAGGAGGAGGAGGAAGAGATAGGAGGAGGAGGAAGAGATGGAGGAGGAGGAGGAAGAGATGGAAGAGGAGGAGGAAGAAATGAAGTGGAGGAGGAAGAGATAGAGGAGGAAGAGATGGAACAGGAAGAGATGGAGGAGGTGGAGGAAGAGATGGAGGAGAAGAAAGAGATAGGAGGAGGAAGAAATGGAGGAAGAGGAGGAAGAGATAAAGAGGAGAAGGAGGAAGAGATGGAGGAGGAGGAGGAAGAGATGAAGAAGAAGAGGAGGAAGAGATGAAGAGGAGGAGGAGGAAGAGATGGAGAAGGAGGAAGGGATGAAGAGGAGGAGTAGGAAGAGATGAAGAGGAGGAGGAAGAGATAAAGAGGAGGAGGAAGAAGAGATAAAGAGGAGGAGCAGGAAGAGATGGAGGAGCGGGAAGAGGAAGAGATGAAGAAGAGGAGGATGAGGAGGAAGAGATGAAGAGGGGGAGGACGAGGAGGAAGAGATAAAGAGGAGGAGACAGAGATGGAAGAGCAGAAGGAGGAAAAGATGGAGGAGGGGAGGAAGAGATGAAGAGGAGGAGGAGGGGGAGGAGGCCGCAGGAGGCCGCAGAGGCAGGGGCAGGCATGTCTCAGGTACAGACATGCTCTGGGAAAGTCAGGAACCAGGCCTGGTTAAGTTGGGAATTCCTTTGCTGGTGGAAACGAGTGAGCAAAGGTTGGGTTAGGGTTAGAACTTTTGGGAGTACCCATTACATTAGAACGGTAATGAGGAAGCCACGTTTCTGGTAAGAGACGTGCCTAGAGCAGTGGTTCTCAAACTGTAACATGCTTCCAAATCACTGAGGCTCCCCTATTAAACCACAGGTCACTGGGCTGCATTCTGTGGGTCCAGGGCTGGGCCTCGGAATCTGCATCTTGACAAGTTCCTGCATGCTATTGCTGGCCAGGGACCACACATTGCCTTAGAAGGTGCCTACCAGAGGCTTAACTGGGTGACCTGCTTCGACTGTTCAAAGGGGCATGCCATGAACTTTAGCATTCACTGTTTAAACACTGAACAAAAACCAGGCCCCACACAACTGAAGACTTTTTCATTAAAAATGAAGCTTAGGCTTGTATCCAACCCAAGTAAGCATTTTATTTCCTAAAGTTATTTTTTAGTCCTTGCAAGTCATTTTTTTAAGAACAAAAATGCAAAGACAATTTTTTAAAAGTGCGAACTTAGTCTTTGAAGTGTAAGAATGACTTTTGAGAAAAGTCATGTCAAATGTAAAGTAACACAAATCAAACTAAGCCTAAGAAATAATCAACTTCACAATAATTAAGAGTAGAGAAGCAGAGGAAATCAAAACAAAACACCAAAAACACGAACTAGGACACCACGGCTATTAATGACACAGCTGGACTCGCAGAGATACCCCATATGAGGAAACAGTATGTAATGAAAGTCTACATTGAAGGACAAAATACCTTCAAGGCTTACATAAAAATAAGATTTTGACTCACTCACTGGACATTCTAGAAACATTCCCCTGGAATCAAAATATTAGCAAAGTCCTTTTTTGACTCATCGGAGGAACAAAATGGTGGGACCTTCAGAGCCATGACCTTCTCCTCTAGGCAAGCCCCTTGAGAAACTTCAAGTAAGAATTTTTCCATACAAAGATGTGTGGAAAAACAGAAGGACAGGATGACTCAGGAGTTTCTGGCAAGTTAAGGCCAAAAGACTGGGTTAGGTTAATTATGACTGATGGTAACAAAACAGCCTCTAACAGGCACGGTTGGCCTTCTCCGTCCATGGTTCAGCAGATACTGGCGGCCAACTTAAGGGACTTGAATATCCATGGATTTTGGTATCATTTTTTTTGTTTGTTTTTGAGACAGAGTCTCGCTCTGTCTCCCAGGCTGGAGTGCAGTGGTGCAATCTCAGGTCACTGTAAGCTCCCCCTACTAGGTTCATGCCATTCTCCTGCCTCAGCCTCCCGAGTAGCTGGGACTACAGGTGCCTGCCACCACGCTGGGCAAATTTTTTTATTTTCAGTAGAAACAGGGTTTCACCATGTTAGCAAGGATGGTCTCGATCTCCTGACCTCATGATCCGCCCGTCTCGGCCTCCCGAAGTGCTGAGATTACAGGCGTGAGCCACCGCGCCCGGCCGAATTTTGGTATCTACGGAGGTCCTACAGCCAATCTCCGAGGAGAGGGAGGGACCAATGACTGTATGAAGCATTGATTATGTGCCGGGCACTGTGCCAGGTACCCCACCTTCATTATCTCAGGGACTATAGTGTCCCTCGAACGGAGATGCTACTCCTGGCCTTACTTTATAATCAGGAATAAGACTTTGGGAGGGGAGGTGATGTCACATTCCTGACAGAACAGCCACCCAACTACAGAACCTAACGCTAACTTCAGGACTGGGAATAAATACTGGTTGTGCTTCGAGGGAATAATGAACTTCAAGATCCTTACACAGATTTTTTTTTTTTTTTGAGACAGGGCCTCGCTTTGTCATCTGGTTGAGTGCAGGGCCACGATCATAGTTCACGACAGCCTTTACTCCCTTATACAGATTTTACAATTATTATTATTATTATTGTTATTTTGGTAGAGATGGGGTCTTGCTATGTTGCCAAGGCTGGTCTTGAACACCTGGCTTCAAGTGATGCTCCTCCTCAGCCTTCTTAAGTGCTGGGATGACAGGTGTTAACCACCATGACCAGCCCAGATTTTTTATATTCCTAATTAGGAGGTGGCTGCTTCTTCACACTAACTAGTATATTAAATATGTACAAAAATAGCTGGGCGCGGTGGCTCACACCTATAATCCCAGCACTTTGGGAGGCCGAGGTGGGCGGATCACCTCAGGTCAGGGGTTTGAGACTAGCTTGGCTAACATGGTGAAACCCTGTCTCTACTAAAAATTAAAAATTAGCCAGGTGTGGTGGCGTGCGTCTTGTAGTCCCAGCCGCTTGGGAGGCTGAGGCAGGAGAATCCCTAAACCCAGGAGATGGAGCTTGCAGTGAGCTGAGATCACACTACTGCACTCTAGCCTAGGAGACAGAGCAAGACTCCGTCTAAAAAAAAAAAAAAAAAAATATATATATATATATAGAGAGAGAGAGAGAGAGAGAGAGAGAGAGAGAGAGCGTGCGCATGCACTCCAGGTTCCCAAATATACCAGAAGACATTTTAAAGAGAGTTAAGAGAAGAGAAATAATTTGTTAAGGTTGAGGCTGGGCGCGGTGGCTCACGCCTGTAATCCCAGCACTTTGGGAGGCTGAGGCGGGCAGATCATGAGGTCAGGAGATAGAGACCATCCTGGCTAACACGGTGAAACCCCATCTCTACTAAAAATACAAAAAATTAGCCGGGTGTGGTGGTGGGCCCCTGTAGTCCCAACTACTCAGGAGGCTGAGGCAGGAGAATGGCATGAACCCAGGAGGTGGAGCTTGCAGTGAGCCGAGATTGCTGGAGCCTAGGTGACAGAATGACACTCCGTCTCAAAAAAAAAAAAATTTGTTAAGGTTGATGCAATTTTTATTATCATTAACTGCTATATTACATACCAGGTATTATATGTAGTGTTTTAAACTACCTCCCACATCTGTATAATGTCACAACTAAGACCCCAGGGCTCAGGACTGGAGGCATGGTTCAAATTCTGGTTCTGCATCCTATTAGTTACAGGACCTTGGGTATTCAGCATTGCCCTGCCTCAGTTTCCCACCTGTAAAATGAGGTTATTTGTATTGCCAATTACCAAGAGTAGTTGGGAGGACTAGAAGGATTAATCCACATAAAGCTCAGTTCAATACAGTTACATTATTTATTTCTCACAACAACCCTATGAAGTATTTATATTAGTATTTATATTATTCTTAGAGTCTCATTCATCACACAGTTTAATTTTCCCTAGGATAATTTACTCTCCCAGTAAGATGATATTTTTAGCGAATGTGCCAACTGCAGCCAAAAGATGGGGGAAAGAAGAGATGGAAAAAAAAGGCCATGTATAGAAAAAGTCAGACTTTTATTAAAAATCGTAATTGTCTTCTGACAGTTGGAAGAAGAACCAGGAAGCAAGAAGAATAGAGGGTAGAAAAAATAAAATGCAGAAACGAAAAAACCCCATCCATATTGATGCCAATTCCCATGTTCAGGACTTGGCACCACAGAAGGCGTCCTCAGCTTTCACTGGCTCAGTCTCTTAAGTCAGCAACCTGGGAGGCGTCTGGTGATTGCAGGAGGCTTTGCTTTCTGTTCAGCTAACTTGAACTCTAAAAGCCCATATAAAATAAGAACAAAGGGCAAGGTGCAGTGGCTCATGCCTGTAATCCCACTTTGAGAGGCCAAGGCAGGCGGATCACGAGGTCAGGAGTTTGAGACCAGACTGGCCAACATAGCAAAACCCCGTCTCTACTAAAAATACAAAAAATTAGCCAGGCGTGGTGGCAGGCGCCAGTAATCCCAGCTACTTGGGAAGCTGAGGCAAGAGAATTGCTTGAACCTGGGAGGCAGAGGTTGCAGTGAGCTGAGATCATGCCATTGCACTCCAGCCCGGGAGACAGTACGAGACTCTGTCTCAAAAAAAAAAAAAAAAAAAAAAAACAAGGACTAAGATATCTCCCGTTACAGAGTTCACTTCCAACCCAGTGCTCCAGGCCTTCCAATTACCTGGCATTATGAGATGTTTGAGGGATTCACATGCTAGGTGGTGCGCTTAACTCCATGGTTTGGAACTGATTTTTCTCTGTCACTCACTTAAAACAAATTTTTTTGTTTTGTTTTATTTTTGAGATGGAGTCTTGCTCTGTCGACGAGGCTGGAGTGCAGTGGCGGGATCTCGGCTCACTGCAATCTCCACCTCCCAGGTTCAAGTGATTCTCCTGCCTCAGCCTCCCGGGTAGCTGGGATTACAGGTGCCCGCCACCATGACCAGCTGATTTTTGTATTTTTAGTAGAGATGGGGTTTCACCATGTTGGCCACACTGGTTTAGAACTCTTGACCTGGTTCAAGTGATCTGCCTTCCTCAGCCTCCCAAACAGCGGGGATTATAGGTGTGAGCCACCGCGCCCAGCCTCACTTAAAAAAAATTTATCCTGGGGCACATACTTCAAAAAGCTGTGACAAACACACTTCCTGGTCCATGAATTATATAACCTAAAGGGGCAGCAGGCTGCTGTTACCTGTGACTGGGATTTCACCTTCCTCCCACTCTCCTCATCAATCTAACTTTGCTTCCTGCTTTCCTAGAACCTAAAGCAGCTCTGGCACTCCCCTTTCCTTCATCCGCAAATCACCCAAAGTCTGGAAGCCCCACAGTGAGTATTTAAACTTTTTTTTTTTTTTTGAGACAAAGTCTCGCTGTGTCACCCAGGCTGGAGGGCAGTGGCGCAAGCTTGGCTCACTGCAACCTCCACCTCCTGGGTTCAGGTTCAAGCAATTATCCTGCCTCAGCCTCCTGAGTAGCTGGGACTACAGGCGCGCACCATCACGCCCAGCTAATTTTTGTATTTTTAGTAGAGACGGGGTTTCACCAGGTTGGCCAGGATGGTCTTGATCTCTTGACCTTGTGATCCACCCACCTCGGCCTCCCAAAGTGTTGGGATTACAGGCATGAGCCACTGCGCCCGGCTGAGTATTTAAGCCTTTAAGATCAATGTTCTGAACACTACACAGATACCACAGTAAAAGGTTATATAATGTTAGAATCATTTAGGAATACTTTATTCCCAGTACTGAAACATATAAAATATAATTAGATATTCTTAATAAAATCTGAGGAACATTACATTGAGAACTCCTAGTTTGAGAAAGTAATAAGGATTTCCACTATTTTGGAAGAGGGCGCTTTTCGATTATGATAGGACATGTCATTTAGCAGAAATTTCATCTTTAAAACACAGAGAGGGAGCCTTTTCTGTCAACATGGCCAATAACCAAATCTTCATCCATAACAGACATTAAGAAGATGAAAACCAGCACAAACTAACACATCTGTTGATGTCACAGATCCCACAGTCTGGCTGTAGGAGGCGCATCTCACAAACAGAAGAGGAATATTCTCTAGCAAACATGTACAGAAATGTTTAACAGAATGCTACTAGCTCATCAGTGCTGAAATGGGTGCAAACAAGAATACCATACATAAGCTTATTCATTTTCCTATTCAAGGTCTAAAAGAAAAGAATTAGGCCAGGTGCAGTAGGGCTCACACCTGTAATCCCAGCACTTTGGGAAGCTGAGGCAGGAGGATTACTTGAGGCCAGGAGTTTGATACCAGCCTGGGCAATATAGAGACCCCATCTCTACAAAAAATAAAAAATTAGCTGGGTGTGGTGGCACACACCTGTGGTTCCGGCTACTCAGGGGGCTGAGGTGGGAGGATTGCTTGGGCCCATGAGGTCAAGGCTGCAGTGGGCTATGATTGCACCACTGCATTCCAGCCTGGGCAATAAAGAAAAAAAAAAAAAAAAAGGCCGGGCATGGTGGCTCATGCCTGTAATCCCAGCACTTTGGGAGGCCAAGGTGGGGCGGATCATGAGGTCAGGAGACTGAGACCATCCTGGCTAATATGGTGAAACCCCTGTCTCTACTAAAAATACAAAAAATTAGCTGGGCGAGGAGGAGGGCGCCTGTAGTCCCAGCTACTCGGGAGGCTGAGGCAGGAGAATGGCATGAACCCAGGAGGCGGAGCTTGCAGTGAGCCAAGATAGCGCCACTGCACTCCAGCCTGGGCAACAGAGCGAGCCTCTGTCTCAAAAATAAAATAAAATAAAAAATAATTTTTAACCCCCCCCCCCACAAAAAACCTCTGAACCTTTATACAAAAGAACAAAAGCGGCCAGGCGCAGTGGCTCACGCCTGTAATCCCAGCACTTTGGGAGGTCGAGGCAGGCGGATCACAAGGTCAGGAGTTCGAGACCAGCCTGGCCAACATAGTGAAAACCTGTGGTGTGCTCCTGTAATCCCAGCTACTAAGGAGGCTGAGGCAGGAGAATCGCTTGAACCTGGGAGGCGGAGGTTGCAGTTTTCCAAGATAGCGCGATTGCACTCCATCCTGGGTGAGAGAGTGAGACTCTATCTCAAAAAAAAAAAAAAAAAAAAAAAACATAAAAAATAACAACAAAATCCATGAGAATGACAAGGAAAGGAGTAATTCAGCAAAGAAAATCATCATTGGCTTCGGTATCTAAAAAAACAAAGCATGGCTTCTAGTCTCTGGATAAACTGGTCTGATATTTCCAGGGGTCTGTACTCTGTGCTGTGAACGGCTTTAGAGCTCCGCTGGGCATTGCTGATGTGTGGACTGTCCCGCTCACTGGGTGCCAGGCATGGCCCCAGGTGCTCCACACCCTCTCCTGACCCCTGCACAACCCTGTAGGCCTGTGGGATTAGATCAGGTTCTGAGGCTCAGAGAGGCTAAGCTATAGTGGCAACACAGCTGCGTAAATGGCAGAGTGGGGATTTAATTTTTTTTTCTAACTTGAAAGTCTGTTGCCTTTGTACTCTACATATCTCTTGGGTATTTAATTAAGACAAGTAAATGCATTTACCACTCTTTTTACTATTCTATAATGACCATGAGTAACGCATTTTACTATCAGCCAACAACTCCAGCACCTATTCCATAATGACCATGAGTAATGCTTTTTACTGTCAGCCAACAATACCAGCACCAAATAAACTGATACTGTTAGAATACAATGCACTTTGCCCCTGGAGTATGCTTCCAAGGGATCCTTACCTGGTGCTCCTGTGTACATGATGGAAAAGACATTGATTGCTATGGTAGCAGCATAGAATACTGGGAGTGCCCGGAGGCCATTGGGAACAGGGTCTTCCTGTAGGAAGACAAGGAGACAGAGTGGAAGGTCAGGATCCCAGCAGCATTTGGAGCCAACACAGACAAAATGATACAAAATACTGTTACAAGAAACTCTTCCCAAACCCCAGTGTGGCCAAAAGGATGGGCGTTGTCACTGCCTGTGATCTGCTCCACTTCTGCAGAAATGGCATTGGCTGGGGCCATCTCTCCCACACAAATGCAATGTCAAAGAGCCCACTGTTGTGGCCAGCAGACACATTAAAGCCCTGGAATCACATGAGCTGATGTCAGACTTGGAAACAGAAAAGATCTGTTGGGTCAAGCCGGTTCCGGAGGACCAAAGCCCAGAGCTCAGCATCTCCTTCCTCAAAACCCATAGTGCTCACTACAGCCAAGTCCAGGTTTGGCCCTAACTGGCTACATTCAACAAATAATTTGAGATTCCAACCTCCAAGCATCCTCTAAGAGAGTCAGATGACTTCAGCATCACTGCATTACCATGAGATTTTACAACACTCTATTACACAATGCATCTTAGCTATGTTACCATGTGCTATGAATTTCCGAATCTTTTCCCAAGGTATAGTATTTAACCTTCGACTATTAGAAGTTAAAAAGAACTGCAGTTCCTTGTTGAATAATTTATTTGCCATTCGACATTTATTAACTACTTTAGGCTTCTGCTACAACACTCCCTAAATCTAGTAAGTTCAACACGAATGGTACTGCGCATGTTTTCAGTTAAATAACATCTAAGAGAATATGAGGCATTTAGAGTTTTTAGCAGATCTACAGAGAATTTTGAAGTAAAAATACGGGCCAGAAACTCCCATCAATGTAACACTGGCACACAGATGTGGCTCAAATAATTCAAAAAGGGGCTAACTTCTAATAACCACGAAGGCCACATTTACATGAACATGCTACCTGCCATGATAAAAGGAAAATTAGGTCTAAAAATCGATGACAGCAGCAGAAGTATGGATAAGCATCTCAAAGACTGCTACTGCCAAATGCAAACACGCCTGGAAGTCAAGTATGTTTGCAGAACAGTACAGCCCATCAAGGAGCTGTTCTGGAATGTCTCAAGGAGCCAAGAGCACTTGTCAAGAGGCTCGAGTTGAATGCAGTGAGGCGTGATGCAGCAAGAGCAGGGCAGAATGAGACTCAAGTGTGGGAGTGTCACACCAGACCAGGCAGGGGAGGCAGCCATGTGGCAAACACCAAGATTAATGGGCTGGAGCCTGGCATGAGTGACACAGCCAGCTATGATCATCTGTGATGTATCACGTGAAAAGAACCCAGGATGAACTGAAAACAAAATGCTGGGAGGCTCAATGACTATGACCTATGCCGTTTCCATGGCATTGTTTTCTTAGGGACATTGCTAAAGAGAGATTCCCAACCAATAACTTCTGCAGGTGGACAGCCCCGAGTCTGTGTTTTCAATTAAATTACCGTATGTTTTTTCAAATATCTTTTTTTTTTTTTTTTAGACAGAGTCCCACTCTGTTGCCCAGGCTGGAGTGCAGTGGTGCAATCTTGGCTCACTGCAACCTCTGCCTCCAAGTTCAAGCGATTCTCATGCTTCCGCCTCCCAAGTAGCTGTGACTACAGGCATGCACCACCATGCCGGGCTAACTTTTTGTATTTTTAGTAGAGATGGGGTTTCGCTATGTTTGCCAGGCTGGTCTTGAACTCCTGACCTCAAGTGATCCACCGCGCCTGGCCTAAAATAACTTAGTCTTGAAACTCATTGACAGACTTCTTGTTTGACCTGTCTCCTTTCTTCCCTCCACTTTCTTTCTCTCTCTCCCTCCCTCCTTTCCATCTATCCATCCCTCTATCTGCCACTCATCCAAGCATCTGTCATTCCCTCTGCCTAAATATTTACCAAGTGTCTTGTAAGTGCTAAGCACAGTGCTGGGCCCTAGAATACAGAAGTGGCCAGGGCAGTCATGGTTTCTGCTCTCACAGATCTTACAGTCAAATAGTGAACAGGCAACTAAGCAAGAAATGCAGCACCATATGACATGCTAAGTGCCGTGATGGCAAGGTGGACTGTGGCCGGAGCTCAAAAGAGAGGGGACCAGGCGAATCTGGGGGAGGGGAGGAGAGGAGCAGCTTCCTAGGAAGTGACACCTAAGGGCGGAGTAGGGCTTGCCAGGTGAGCATGGATTCCAGAGACAGGAGGGGAGGGGTGAAGGCTGGCAGGCTAGAGAGGGGTGTGCCTTCCAATATGTGAATATGAGTGTTCCTGGTCCCAGGAGAAGGAAGGGTGAGAAACGGTGAGGGCAAGTTGGTGCTCTCCGAGAGAATGGACCCTTCAACAGATGGCCAAGCAAGGCTGCAAGAAAAGGGCTGCGCCAGCTTCCAAGCAAGGTACAACCTGGAGGGTACGTCCCTGCCTGCAGAGGAAGCATGCACTCAATAGTTATCAAACACTGCAGCAACCCTGTGACTGCCAAACAAAAGAAGATAGCCACGTTTTGTGTCTAGAACACTGATCTCAGTAAGCACTAATTTTTTTTTAGACAAGATGTACCCAATAGGTGTATTTCCTTCTTTTTATCCTTTCCTCAAATTGCGTCAGTGTTTCAACCTTGCTCTCTCCATTAAAAAAAAAAAAGGGAACACACCTTCACATTTGGGTGAGGAAATTCTCCAGCTGTTTTTTAATGACAGTTTCAAAATCTTAACACTATCTCATTCTATTCTGCTTAACATTCAGGAAATAATTACCTTTCCTTTTTGAGGTCTCAGCACAACTCCTGGGAGTGTTGATTAATGAACTAAAGTACAGAGCCAAGAAACACTATTTGCAGTGCTTGTTTCTGGGGGACTCTCTGGGTAATTTACCTTGGCTCTTTCTGGCTATTTATAATAACATCTGACGCTAACTGCAGGGTGCTGTGCCTTGACAATGTATGAATACAATTATTCCTCTAACCCCTCTCATTATTAATTTCTACTGAGTAGAGCCAAAAATAGTTCTTAAGATTTAATTAAAAGTAGCAGCCCCACTTACCTTTTTTAAGATGAAAATTCTGATGAGTACAAACAGCAGGCCAGACATGAAACCAGACAACAGTGGAGATATAAACCAAGAAGCAACTGAATAATTAAAAAAAAAATCTAATGAATGTTAAAATTCATTCATAATTATGGTCCTATTCATAGAACACAATGATAAACAAAATGTATTACATACATTCATAAGTATTTCCAGAATTATTTACCTTTAATTCAGAACCTAACAAGCCCTGTGACTTGGCAGAGCTGACCTTCACACATTTATGGCCACACTCAGACATCAACACACAGTCACACACCACTGACCACACTGCCAATGCAGGGTCAAGAAACCCCTGCCCCAAGCTCGGGCCTCAGAAGACAGCATCCTGAGTCCTGCCTCCCACGGAGTCTTTCTGCCTGCCCTTCTTATCAACACATATGGAGACTCTGTTGCTGTTCCAACAGTAAGGGTTATTTAAAAGCTGGGCCAACTTCCATTTCCTTTGCCAAGGCCAGCCGGGTACTTTCATTCCTGCCATCTAGCTGCTGGAACTCTGAAACTTTTAGCCTCTAGCCAAGTAGTTCCCGCCTCTGGGTGCACAGTGGAACCATCTGGGGCATTTTCAAAAACTCGTTTGGCCCTGGCTGGACCCCCAGAATTCTGATTTAAAAGGTTGGGAATGGGGTTTGGGCATTGGTATTTTTCAATCGCTTCCCCGGGTCATTCTAAAGTACAGCCAGAGTTGAGAACCACTGTTCTAGAAGCCTGGGATGGAAGGTGGGTTTCCTTGTGGTTTGTGCCCCTGCCTGGCAGCTCAGGGATCCCATTTGACCCAGGACTCCTAAGGTCATCATGATTCTTGTAAAAAATTGAGTAACCCAGAATATGGAAATGGAGTGAAAGAGTATCGTTCACGATGGGTGGGATGGTATTTGTGGAGGTGAATGGATTTACCTCTTCCTAAAAGCAGAGCCAGGCACTAACTTGTTAGACACCTGATAATGGGTGCAGGCTTACGTCTTGGTCCCTGCCAGGCAGGCTTACAAGGTAGAGAGGACAGTTGACAGAGTGTTTCTTCCCAAAGGGCAGGCTGGATGATCTTTTTTTTTTTTTTTTTTTTTTTTTTTTTTTGAGACAGGGTCTTGCTCTGTCACCCAGGGGCTGGAGTGCAGTGGCATAATCATGGCTCACTGCAGCCTCAACCTCTGAGGTACAAGTGATCCTCCCACCTCAGCCTCCTGAGTAGCTGGGACTACAAGTGCGCACCATCACACCAGGCTAATTTTCTTTCTTTTTTTTTTTTTTTTGTTGTAAAGATGGGCTCTTGCTATGTTGCTCAGGCTGGTCTTGAACTCCTGGGCTAAAGCAATCCTCCTGCCTTGGCCTCCCAAAGTGATGGAATTACAGGCCTGAGCCACTGCGCCTGACCTGGATGATCTGTTGAAGGCAGGGACATAACACGGGGCTCACTTTGAGGCTTCCCCAAGACTATGAACTCCTGGATTCCAGGCATCTTCCTCACTTGTGCTCAATCTTTCTCTGACCTATAGACTGACTTCAGTCTAACACATTTCTTACCTGCCTGGGAAGAACAGAGGGTGATTTCCAAAGCTGGATGACAAGGTAACATTTCAAAAGAATAGAGTTAAACAACTGTCCAGCACATAATAGTTCACTATCTCTATTAACAGGAACTTTGGCCAGGTGCGGTGGCTCACACCTGTAATCCTGGCACTTTTGCAGCCCGAGGCAGGTGGATTGACTGAGCTCAAGAGTTCAAGACCAGCCTGGGCAACATGGTGAAACCCTGTCTGTACTAAAATACAAAAGAAATGAGCTGGGCGTGGTGGCATGTGCCTGTAATCCTAGCTACTCGGGAGGCTGAGGCAGGAGAACTGCTTGAACTCGGGAGGCGGAGGTTGCAGTGAGCCGAGATTGCGCCACTGCACTCTAGCACTCCAGCCTGGGTGCCAGAGCGAGACTCCATCTCTACAAAACAAAACAACAAAACATAACAAAACAAAACAAAAAACAGGAATTTTAAGGGAAAATATATTACTCATACCATCTACGTCTTTTTTTTGAGACAGAGTCTTGCTTTGTTGCCCAGGCTGGAGTGCAGTGACTCGATCCCGGCTCACTGCAAACTCTGCCTTCCAGGTTGAAGTGATTCTCCTGCCTCAGCCTCCCTAGTAGCTGGGATTACAGGTACCTGCCATCATGCCCAGTTAATTTTTGTATTTTTGTAGAGATGGGGTTGAACCATGTTGGCCAGGCTGGTCTTGAACTCCTGACCTCAGGTGATCTGCCTGCCTTGGCCTCCCAAAGTGCTGGGATTATAGGCGTGAGCCACCATGTCTGGCCCATCTAGGTCTTTTAAACCTTAACATTTGAAGAAAAAGATATAAAATTAACCTGTGGCTGGGCACGGTGGCTCACGCCTATAATCCTGGCTCTTTGGGAGGCTAAGGCAGGCCGATCATGAGGTCAAGAGATTAAGACCATCCTGGCCAACATGGTGAAACCTCATCTCTACTAAAAATACAAAAATTAGCAGGCGTGGTAGGAGGAGCCTGTAGTACCAGGTACTCAGGAGGTTGAGGCAGGAGAATGGCTTGAACCCGGGAGGTGGAGGTTGCAGTGAGCCGAGATTGCACCACTGCACTCCAGCCTGGCAACAGAGTGACACTCCGGGTCAAAAAAAAAAAAAAAGTAACTTGTAATAAAACTTACTCTAGAAAATGTAAACTTTCCTTCTTATGGGTAAAAGAAAATGCCAATTACCAATCTTGACAAGCTCCATCCACTGCACACCTTTGGTACCGATTGCGACCAGTGAGAATCCTATAGTAGAACCCACAATGCAGTGCGTTCCTGAGATTGGAAGCCTCAGGAAGGAAGCAATCAGCTGCCACACAGCGGAACCTACAGATTGAAGGACAAAAAACCATCAGATACAGAGTACAGAGGTGCAGACACCAAGGGAAGAAATCCAAATGTTTTCCATAACAACATCTCCCAGAGTTTAATTTTCTGTGAATTGTTTCTTTACAAAGCGCTACAGCCTGGACAAAAATCACTCAATTAACTTCAGTTAAAGGAAAGCTTCTGCCTTCCTCAACACAGAGGGGACAGGGATGATGGTTATTTATTTATTTTTTGAAGCTAGTCCTGCTCTGTTGCCCAGGCTGGAGTGCAGTGGCCTGATCTTGGCTCACTGCAACCTCTGCCTCCTGGGTTCAAGCAAGCCCTCTGGCTAATTTTTGTATTTTTAGTAAAGATGGGGTCTCACTATGTTAGCCAGGCTGGTCTCGAACCCCTAACCTCAAGTGATCTACCCGCCTTGGCCTCCCAAAGTGCTGGGATTACATGCGTGAGGCATTGTGTCCGGCCAGATTATGCATTTAAAGGCAAGTCTCCTGGTGCTACACACTGACTGCCCTTGTCAGTTTTCAGTGAGGGTGCTGTGTATGAACTTGTTCTGGGGTGAATTTTGGCCAAAACCAAGCAAGAGATTAAAGTCTCGAATGAACACAGAAAGACTAGAAAGGCAATATATTGGGAAAAGATTTTGTTGTAGTTCTGCCTTACAGTCACATAATGAAAAGGACCAGATATTGGCTAGGTCATATTATCTATATAAGAGAGTATAATACCATGTTGCTTTTTTCTTTTCTTTTCTTTTTTTCTTTTGTAGAGACAGCGTCTCACTCTTGCCCAGGCTGGAGTACAGCTGCAAAATCATGGCTCACTGCAGCCTTAAACTCCTGGACTCAAATGATCCTCCTGTCTCAGCCTCCCAAGCAGCTGAGATTACAAGTGTGCACCACCACACCTGGTTAATTTTTAAATTTTTTTGCAGAGACAGGATTTTGCTATGTTACCCAGGCTGGTTTGGAACTCCTGGCCTTAAGCAATCCTCCTGCTTCAGCCTCCCAAAGCCCTGGGATTACAGGCATGAGCTGCCACACTCAGCTAATTATTAAAATTTTTTTGCAGAGACGGGGGTCTTGCTATGTTGCCCTGGCTGGTCTTGAACTCCTGGGCTCAAGCCATTTTCCCACCATGGCCTCCCAAAGTGCTGGGATGACAGGCTCACTGGATGCAGTGAGCCACTGCACCCAGCCCATACTGCTTGTTGATGGTGCCTCTCCTATGAGAAATAACTATGATATTTAACCCAAATTTGGGCATCTGCTCTCAGATCCTACCCAGAATGTTGGACTTTTTATTTGTGTGTCTGATTCCTTGTTGTTAAGAGGTTCTCATTAGTGTTGGCTTTGTGTCCTTTTACCTCAATTTCACCAACTCTTTTCTAGGTTTCATGTTTTTCTAGGCTACAGTTCACTTCAAATATTTTCATAAGCAGATCAGATTTTGTAGTGAGTATTAAAAGCATCAACCGGGAGAGATCACTTTCAGAAGCAGTTGTTGAAAAGCTCCCATGGAACTGTAGGGGAACAAAGGGCCTGGCTGATAAGCTGGGCACGTTATTAATCCCAAACGTTAATTCTGGAAACCTGGTTGCCTGGCAGCAGCAGCACTTTTCAGGGGACCCCTGGCATTTCCTTCAAAGGCATCTGAGTTGCAGGAGGATCATTTATGGCTGTGCAGGACCCAGTCCATGAAGCAACACACACAGTTGCTGCCATGAGTGCTAGGCGTGCTGACCTTTGAGCTGAGGCTGGCTGTGACCCTGTGTCAATCCTTAAGGCGTGCGTTGGGAGGAGAAGGGGCCAGCCTTGTGCTGCCAAACCCATATCAGGCTCCATGGCAGCGCCAGGCCTACCCGCGGACACCTCCTTAAGCCTCCACATCTGAGCCCTGGGCTCCTCGGGGACTAGTGGTTTTAAAAAGAAAGCCAGGGTTTGGAGCACGTTTCATAGCACGGATTCATAGCTTAGAAAATACATGATATGGTTTATATTCTTTTTTTTTTTTTTAGACGGGGTCTTGCTCTGTTGCCCAGGCGCAATCTCGGCTCACTGCAAGCTCTGCCTCCTGGGTTCACGCCATTCTCCTGCCTCAGCCTCCCGAGTAGCTGGGACTACAGGTGCCCGCTACCACGCCCGGCTAATTTTTTGTATTTTTAGTAGAGACGGGGTTTCACCGCGTCAGCCAAGATGGTCTCAATCTCCTGACCTCATGATCCGCCTGCCTCGGCCTCCCAAAGTGCTCGGATTACAGGTGTGAGCCACCGCTACCAGCCTATATTCTTACAATTAAAATAATCTCATGATGTGAGACAGTGATATCAACCCACCCAATTGAATTCAGACCATAAGATTTGTCCTTCCTGAAAGCTGCTATATTTTCTGTGGCTGACTTTACAAAATACATCCTGGAGGAGGAGAGTTTGTAAAGAAAGGTAGGGAGTAATGGGACCACCTGAGAGAGGGAAGAAGGAGGAGAGAGGATAGCAGGGAGGGGAGGAGACAGGGGACAGCTGAGGGAGGGCCTGGTGGGGCCAGGAAATACCTGCAAGAGGGCCTGGGAGTAGGTGATAGCACCTTAGCCTCAGGGGTGTCTGAAGACAAATGGGATCATGTTAGTGTCAGGAAGAACAGAGGGAAAAAGACATACTTTAATGTAAGATAATGGCATCTGACAGAGGAAAGAGATGAAGCATGGGATAAGAGTGCAAGCCACGACCTAGGGAAAGTGGGGAGATGGGCATCTCAGAGGCCGCCATTCCCGTGCAGATGAAAGAAACGGCAGAGCAAAGGCTCAGGCTCCAGGGAGGCTGCCGGGCGGGGGTGGGGTGGCAGAGTGTGGCTGGGCAGAGGGAGCTGGAAGGGGGCTGTGTGCTTCTTAAGGGTTTCGAGGAGCTGGCTCGTTTGTGCTAGTGTGGGTCTTTCCACAAAAAAAGATGCAGAGTTTTGAATTCTCAGATTTTTGGAACCATTGGTGGTTTCCTACAAAATGGACAGACTACTGCTTTAGGGCTGAGCTAGTCCCACAAGATGACTTGTTCAGGACGTTTCACTGGCAGCAATAATTTCTACCCAATCACCTTAACTCTAACACAACTCTGTCAGGAAGCACAGACGCCCAGGGGCTTGGGGAGAAGTGACTAACAGAGAAAACAAAAGAAGCAAACAGAATAGAATTAAGGACAGAGGGAAAGAGGGAGAAGAAAAAAGGACTGTTGGATTTAGAAGAGGAAGACTGGAGAATTCAGGCATCTGGACAGAATCAGCTGTGGTTTTGGCCAATGGTAATTACACCACCATCTTAAATTTATAGCTCCCAGGGCAAAGAACCCGATTTTATGAATCTAGGTAACTCATACAAATTCCCAACAAAATAGGCTTTGAGATTCATTTAACCACATACCAAAAAAAAAAAAGTTTAAAAACCAAAGCAAACAAAATCAAGTTATTCAAGCAAAACCCCAAATTGCTTTGGTAAACCCAAATTCTAGTTGAGGTAAGTATCCTTCATTCTTTCAGTAAAGAGCCAAACGCCAGGGGTGGGGAACGGAGAAATGATCCCGTCTGCAGAAAGAGTGAGCAGATGAAGCCTTGTTCATGAACCCTTCTGTCACACGGAGGTCTTCAGCGTGGCTTCCCTAACAAATTTCTTTAATAAGCAGAACCATGCCTCTAAAGTTTATCCATCAAAAGGAAAAACTTCAGTTAAGACTTAACTTTGTGGCCGGGTGTGGTGGCTCACGCCTGTAATCCCAGCACTTTGGGAGGCCAAGGTGGGAGGATCACGAGGTCAGGAGTTTGAGACCAGCCTGACTAACATGGTGAAACCCCATCTCTACCAAAAATACAAAAATTAGCTGGGTGTGGTGTCGGGTGCCTGTAATCCCAGCTACTTAGGAGGCTGAGGCAGGAGAATCGCTTGAACCCAGGAGGCAGAGGTTGCAGTGAGCCGAGATCACACCACTGCACTCCAGCCTGGGCAACAAAGCGAGATTCCGTCTCAAAAAAAAAAAAAAAGATTTAATTTTGTCAGTGTTTTTCTTGATTTGTCCCATACTTTCAACACATCTAGTCAGATTTTCCTGACTAGAAAAATCTTAATTTCCACTTGATGGAATTAAATCTTAGATATCTATCACAACTAAAAAGGTGAATTTTACAAAGAACGGTTATTTTTCTAAGAGAAATTTCCATTATATCTGACTATGCTGAGATATACATATGTTCCATGAAGGTAAGTAAAATTCAATAATGACTATAGTTGTTGGAATGAAAGTGATCTTGAACCTGATTTTTTTTTTTTTTTTTTTGAGACAGGGTCTGGCTATGTCGCCCATGCTGGAGTGCAGTGGCACAATCACAACTCACTGCAGCCTCAACCTCCTGGGCTCAAGCAATCCTCCCACTTCAGCCTCCCAAGCAGCTAGGACTACAGGCATGTGCCACCATGCCCAGCTAATTTTTTAGTTTTTTTGTACAGACAGGGTCTCCCTATGTTGCCCAGACTGGTCTCAAACTCCTGGGATCAAGTGGTCTGCCCATCTCGGGGGCCTCCCAAAGTTGAACCTGACATCTTTACAACACAAAGCGTCAAGCTGAGAAGTAGGAGCTCCCTGGTGTGTGTTACTGGCCTACAGTGCTTGGTGAATATGCAATTCCTTAGTACAACAGGCTGCTTCTTATCAGACGCCTCGAACAACATGAGATTGGGCCATTGTGAACTTGGTCAATAATCTCTAAATTCCAGGTGTTTAAGAAATGTGACAGGCCAGGTGTGGTGGCTCACGCCTGTAATCCCAGCACTTTGAGAGGTGATGGTGGGTGGATTGCTTGAGGTCAGGAGTTCAAGACTAGCCTGGCCAACATGGTGAAACCCTGTCTCTACTAAAAATACAAAAATTAGCCAGGTGCGGTGGCACACGCCTTTAGTCTCAGCTACTCCGGAGGGTGAGGTGAGAGAATAGCTTGAACCCAGGAGGTGGAGGTGGCAGTGAGCGGAGATCACACTATTGCACTCCAGCCTGGGCCACAGAGCAAGACTCTGTCTCAAAAAAAAAAAAAAAAAGAAAAGAAAAAATGTAAGTGACAAAATAAAGAACTCGGGGGAATGTGGCTGTATTCTTAGTACACCAGCATCTTACCTCCTGCTGCAGGACTCTTCCTACAAGAGGATATGTCCTGTTGAAAGCAGAAGGTGGTAGAATTCCTCTCTAACCCTCTTCTCCCTAACCAAATTACCCGTATACATCAGCTGTCTGTTGTGTCGTCATCTCTACCTAGAGGCAAGCAGAAAAAGAATCCTGTCAGCTGCACTTAACACACGCCTGCCGGGAAGGTTCTTTTCTGTCGTAGCGAGGGCAGTGATGGGAAGACCCACGGGGCCGAGATCTGTGTCCGCTTAGGCCATGGGGACATCACTCTGTCCAACCAGCCACTCTGCTTATTCACACAGTTCACACACCTCCACACTTCATGTAGACAACTTGAAACTGCAATAAAAGGTCATGCTATCACCAGGCAACACGCACATTATTTTTTGGCCGGAAAACAAAACAAACATACCAAATGGAGCTCCCAGAGGTAGAATCAGAAAATCAAAACAAAAGCCAACAAAAGGATGACAAATAATGTAAGAGACCAGAATTTCTTGAAACACACGCACTTAAGATTTATTTGGTAACTTCTTTAGAACTTAAACTGTGAATATAAAAGTTAGACTAATAAATATTATTTTTGACATCCAAGTTTTCAAAACATTGCCTCCTAATTGATGAAAAACCTTAAGAAAAAAATCTAAATCAACCTTCCTGGAAATTTCATACATCAACCTTGAAAACACATTCACTTAGACAACCTTCAAACAACTCTAAAATAATAAAGCGCTGTTCTACAAAGGTCTTTTTCTGTACTTTCTGAAAAGTATTCACTTAGCTGAAATCTATTTTAGCAACCAAGTTTGCTCAAAAGTTCAGAAAATAAATGGTTGCCTGATATTTAAACACTTTAAAAATCATAAATTAATATGCAGAAAGCAAAAATAAGAGAGTAAATGTGAAACATCCAACCAGTTTTTGAAAAGCCAAAGCAAAAATCACATTTATGGATATGGGCAAAGTACTGCAGGGAAGCGGGTCAGTGGGCGGATGTCCCATCGGTATAGAGAAGAGGCTACTCACCAACCATGGCACTAACTTCCCCAGCCATGAGAGTCTCCACCGTCTCGTTGTACAGGTTCACGTCAATGATACCTTTGCGAA
The DNA here is from genome assembly GCF_000001405.40 of Homo sapiens. Classification (NCBI taxonomy): domain Eukaryota; kingdom Metazoa; phylum Chordata; class Mammalia; order Primates; family Hominidae; genus Homo; species Homo sapiens. The sequence continues at coordinate 42,472,183 of NC_000008.11, forward strand.
TGGTTTCTCCTACTTTGGCGCCTAGTAACACGGAGCCGGTGGTTTCAAATATTGAAGCTAAAATGCATGCCTGCCTCAAGGTCACCACACCAGAGCCCACGGCTGTACCAAAGGAGTTGGCAACATCGTTTGCACCAACAGAAAAGGCCAAGATGAAAGCTATGATGAAACCCAAAATGACCATCCACAAATACTCATCCATGGCCATTTTGGAAAGTGGGTGCCGGGTACTTTTCTTTTGCAGGAATATTTTAAATAAACAAAGCTTGAGGTTATAAACTTCGTAAGGCCAAGAGTTCTTGTAAACAGTGAGTTTGCTCTGGAAAGTGCTGGACAATGTTAGAGGCTGGACAAACTGCTAGCTGCTGGTTTGCAAACTACTGTCAGGACAGTTCATTTGGTTGTGTTCAGTCAGCGGTAAAACACATTCCATATTTTTCCTCCCGATCTGGGAAAGCTGTGATGTCTCCTCCTGTAGCAGAAAGGAAACAAAAGAAATCAATTATACTCAGCAACCTGTAACAGTTTGTTCTTTCAGAAATAAATGTTTTAAGCCTGCTAATGGGATCTAACTTTGGCATGTGACGGACCTAACCATAAAGCAATTCAAGGAAGATTATAATTAGGATAACCACCCCCAACCAAAAACACAAAAAAACCTGCTTTCTAGAATTGTCAGGAGTTGAAGCATGCTTAATAATTACAGACTAATAGTAATCCTTACTAGGTTACATTTTTCATGCAATCGGAAAAACATATTTGGTCATTATTTTCAGAGAGGAACAAGTGCCTCAAATGAGCAAAAGATTAAGAAATGAGAAATTTAGTTGCATGGCTTTTCAAATATGTGGAATGTGTCCAGTTTCCTGGAACAGCAATAACCAAATCTGAGTCTGTGATACCACTGGGTGTGGCCAACGACCCACCTCCACATTTACGCATAAGCAATGAGCACAGTATATTATCATGCATGTGTCTGGGAGAGTTTACAGGCCTGGCGAGAGGTCACTCATCTGGAGGGTGACCAAGGCAGGAACTGACAGGCCCCAGAGAGGAAAAGAGAAGCCTGGAGAATGAGGCAATCCTATCACTACGCCACTATCCCATCTCACTAGGAGGAAAAGCTAGAGGCCCCGCCAGGGTCAGGAAGACCCTTCAGGCCTCCTCGCAGCTCACTGGCCTTAGCTCCTCTCCCCTCCCTCACAATGCCCTGGTGTCACTGTCCCCTTGCAATCCCTTAGAAAGACCAGGCACACTCTCACCTCAGGGCTTTTGTACCTGAGGATCCCTCTGCAGGAAGAATCTTCCCCCACAGCTGCACAGCTCCCTCCTCCCTGCATTCAGGTCCCTGCTCAAATATCACCGTTAAGAGAGGACTTCCCTGACCCCAGAAGGAGCAGCCCCTCCCCCATGCCACTGTTCCTGCTTCTGGGAGGGAGAGGAGATGCCATGAGATACATCCATGAAATAAAAATGTCACTGCAAGCTTCGTAATTATGGTATTCTATTATTGGAGAGCCAAGGCACTGTATATTTTCTTTGAATGGTATCAAGCATATAAATGCTTATTGAGTTGAACTGAATAAATACCACACCATATACAATATAATAATTTGACCCATCAATAAGGTTATTTAAAGGGAAAAATCAGGACACACAATTTTATGTACACTGTGATTATGGCAATGTTGAAAATGCATATAAAAGGCCGGGTGTAGTGGCTCACGCCTATAATCTCAGAACTCTGGGAGGCCGAGGTGGGTGAATCACTTGAGGTCAGGAGTTCGAGACTAGCCTGGCCAACATGGTGAAACCCCATCTCTACTAAAACTACAAAAATTTGCTGGGCCTGGTGGCAGATGCTTGTAATCCCAGCCACTTGGGAGGCTGAGGCAGGAGAATCGCTTGAACCTGGGAGGCAGAGGTTGCAGTGAGCCAAGATCATGCCACTGCACTCCAGCCTGGGCGACACAGCGAGACTCCATCTCAAAAATAAAAAATAAAAATAATAATGCATAAAAATACCCAGGGGTATATACTAAAATTATAATAGAGGTTGAATAGGAAGGTTAGAGACAATTTTTTCCTTTCCTCCCCAAACTGTATACTGTGGTTACATGCTTTTTAAATGAAAATAATATATAATAAACAAATCTACAAACATATTGAGCATCATCGATGTGCAATGCTATAGGCACACAATGAAACAGAAAATATACATTGATAGTTGTTATCATTTCTAAGATTTTTCAGCCTTTGCAATTTTGGAGATTCAGATCCCAAGTGAGACAAATGAAAAGACCACTCTAAGGGCAAAAGACAACATTCCACTGAAAGAGTATTTTATTAATATGACAGGCACACTAAATCAATGCATGAAAATCAAAACTTTAAAAATTGGGGGCCAGTATGATCTATCTCAAGATATAAACAAATTATTGATAAAATCTTGTTTCCCGGGCTACCTTGCCAATAGGACAAACATGAATAATATTCAATTATTGATTGAGAAATACGGCGATGAACAAAAATGGATGTGGTCCTGGCACATCTGGGAAGTCCAGTGAAGGAAACAGACACTAATCATAGCAACACATAAATGTCTATAAACTGGTGACAAGAACTATGCAGGCAGGAGACGGTGCCACACAGTGTCGTGAGAGCACAGCCGGCGGGACATGGTGTAGCAGGCAGCAAAGGCTCACCTGAGACCTCAGACGGCCAGAGTCACGCTGGGCCTGGTGTGGGGGGTGGGGGGGACACTCATTCCAGATGGTTCTCATGGTGGGAAGGAGGGGCCAGGAGGCAGGCCCGGGTGAGGGGAACCAGGATGAAGGTCGGGTGGGTCTGGTTAAAGACTGGCCACCATGTGGACAGTGGGGTGCCACCGAAGGGTTTTAATCAGAGAGGGGTATTGGCGTGACCAGACTTGGCTTTTCCTTTTTTTTGCTCTGTCACCCAGGCTAGAATGCAGTGGCACAAGCATGGCTCACTGCAGCCTTAACCGCCCAGGCTCAAGCGATCCTCCTGCCTCAGCCTCCTCAGTAGTTGGGACTACAGGCATGCACCATTATACCCTACTAATTTTTAAATTTTTTGTAGAGACGGGGTCGCCCTATGCTGCCCAGGCTGGTCTCAAACTCCTATCCTCAAGTGATTCTCCTACCTCGGCCTCCCAAAGTGCTGGGATCACTGGTGTGAGATACCATGCCCGGCCCAGACTTAGGAATTTTTCTGTTGTCTTTGAGACAAAGTCTCACTCTGTCACCCAGGCTGGAGTGCAGTGGCGCGATCTTGGCTCACTGCAACCTCTGCCTCCTGGGTTCAAGAGATTCTCCTGCCTCGGCCTCCCGAGTAGCTGGGATTACAGGCACCCGCCATCATGCCCGGCTAATTTTTTTGTATTTTTGTAGAGATGGGGTTTCACCACGTTGGCCAGGCTGGTCTTGAACTCCTGACCTCAGGTGATCCACCCCACTTGGCCTCCCAAAGTGCTGGGATTACAGGCGTGAGCCACCACACCAGGGCCCAGAAGATCCTTCTGGCTGCAGTGTGGCGACCACATTGGATACAAGGCAAGCAGAAACATGGAGGATGAGTCAGGAGCCCGCTGCATGGCTTAGGCATGAGATGAGGCATCCGGGACCAGGCTGTGGACGGTGGTGGGTGGGAGGGAATACGATGATTTAAGAGAACTGCAGCGGCAAAATCCAACAGGACCAGATGGTGGATTAAACATGGGGGTGGAGAGAGGATACATGGTTTATGGAACCGAAGTGAAAAATAACCGAGTGGGTTTTTCTTCTCTTTTGCATTGTTTTTAGTTTTGCTTTTTGGGGCTAGGATGGGGTCTGACCACAGGTGCGCTTTTGATTGGGTGAAGTAGCCGGGTTTACTGTGTCTTTTTTTTTTTTTTTTTTTTTTTTTTTTTTGACACGAAATCTCGCTCTGTCGCCCAGGCTGGAGTGCAGTGGCGCGATCTCGGCTCACTGCAAGCTCCGCCTCCTGGGTTCACGCCATTCTCCTGCCTCAGCCTCCGAAGTAGCTGGGACTAAATAGGCGCCCGCCACCACGCCCGGCTATTTTTTTAAATTTTATTTTTAGTAGAGACGGGGTTTCACCGTGTTAGCCAGGATGGTCTCAATCTGCTGACCTCGTGATCCGCCCGCCTCAGCCTCCCAAAGTGCTGGGATTACAGGCTTGAGCCACCGTGCCCGGCCGGTTTACTGTGTCTCAATGGAGGACTCCCTTGCTGTGCACCTTGAATATGGCAGTGGCTGTACTACTGTACATGCTGTCAAAACTCATGAAATTCACACAGGTGAACCACAGGAGCGCCCTGGGTGGGAAGAGCGGCTGGCACAAGCCCCGAGCAGCTTCGCCATGGCCTGGTTTTGCTTGGGGACGTTGTTAATCATCTTGATGTTCCCCTTGGCACTGTGTCAGCCCGGAGATCCCCTCTCCTACTTAAACAGCCTTAGACAACTCATTTCCACAATTGTGCCTATGCTCTTTAGCGCGGCTTTTCTTCTTCACACTCACACCCTCAGCCCACCAGCCTAAGTCCAGCAAGCACCTGCCTGAGGAAAAAGGCTTGCCACCTTCTTTCCTCTCTGTGGTTACAAAAGGAACATTCATTTCTCCTGCGTGGAGAAGGGCAACGAGCACAAGACCTGCAGTCGGGGACTCTAGGTCCATTCCCGTCCGGCCAGCTCCTGGCTATGCAACCCTGGGCAAGTCACCTCAATGACTCACCTGAACCGTGGGGACTGTGGCAGATGCCTCGCCACTGGTTACATGTAAACGCAAAGGCCAAAGCTCAATGCCAGCAATCAATATGTGGTGACTGTTACCATTCTTAGCAGATAAAGCCCTGGGGCAAAGGTCGGAAAGCATAAGGCCCCGTCGCAGTTCTGTTCCTCTCTAGTGGCTGACCCTGGGTACCTCAACACGCTTTTTGAATTGCGGCATGTATAAAATGGGATAGTGATGGCGCATGCACTTTACAGAATTATTGTGAGGAACAAACTTAATTGGGTAGAAGTGTTTCGCCTCAAGCAACTTGTAATTACTGGCATCGCTGTAGTCACAGGAAGAATAACAAATGAGAGGTTCCAGAATCCTTCTGGAAGGATCTTTCTCAGGCAGCCCTGTGCCCCACTCTCTTCCCAGTCCTGTGGGTTTCCCCAGCCTCCTCCCTTAGACCTGCTCTTCTTCCTCAACACGCAGACACTGACCTTGTTTTTGATTAAAGACTGACACATGTTGTGAGGGACAGGGACTTTTTTTTTTTTTTTTTTTTTTTTGAGACCGAGTCTTGCTCTGTAGCCCAGGCTGGAGTGCAGTGGCGCGATCTTGGCTCACTGCAACCTCTGCCTCCCAGGTTCAAACAATTCTCCTGCCTCAGCCTCCCGAGTAGCTGGGATTAAAGGCACGCACCACCATGTCCAGCTAATTTTTGTATTTTTAGTAGAGACAGGGCTTATCACCATGTTGGCCAGGCTGGTCTTGAACTCCTGACCTTGTGAACTGCCCGCCTTGGCCTCCCAAAGTGCTGCAATTACAGGCATGAGCCACTGCACCTGGCCTGGACAGGGACTTTTTAAGGGAAGAAGGGAAGCAAAGAGGTAGAGAAGAGAAACACTAAAAGGGCGCTAAGAAAAAAACCACTCAACGTGGTAAAGACACTTTGGAAAACTATTGGCAATTTCTTTTTTTTTTTGAGACGGAGCCTCACTCTGTTACCAGACTGAAGTGCAGTGGCGTGATCTCGGCTCACTGCAACCTCCGCCTCCTGGGTTCAAGCCATTCTCCTGCCTCAGCCTCCCGAGTAGCTGGGACTACAGGTGCACACCACCACACCCAGCTAATTTTTGTATTTTTAGTAGAGACACGGTTTCACTATGTTGGCCAGGATGGTCTCGATCTCTTGACCTCGTGATCAACCCGCCTCGGCCTCTCAAAGTGCTGGGATCACAGGTGTGAGCCACCATCCCTGGCCAATTGGCAATTTCTTTTCTTTTCCTTTTCTTTTTTTTTTTTTTTTTGAGATGTAGTCTCACTCTGTTGCCCAGGCTGGAGTGCAATGGTTTGATCTCTGCTCACTACAACCTCTGCCTCCCAGGTTCAAGCAATTCTCCTGTCTCAGCCTCCCCAGTAGCCAGGATTACAGGCATGCACTTCCTCCTCCGGCTAATTTTTGTATTTTTAGTAGAGACAGGGTTTCACCATGTTGGCCAGGCTGGTCTTGAACTCCTGACCTCAAGTGATCCACCTGCCATGGCTCCCAAAGTGCTGGGATTATAGGCATGAGCCACCGTGCCCAGCCAACTATTGGCAATTTCTTAAAAGTGAAGTGTACACTTGCCACACGACCCAGCAGCCTCAATCTAGGGTGTATTTACCCATGAGAAACAACTACCCATGTCTATACAGGGAGAGCTCTGCTGTGCACCTTGAGTATGGTGGTGGCTGTATTACTGCACGTGTTGTCAAAACTCACGAAACTGTTCACTCACAACTGCTGAGCTTTATTTATTGAGTTATATACAGTCTACCTCAATAAAAGTGATCAGAAAAAATGCTGGTCATAAAAGGTAATGTTCACTTTTGATATTTTCCCTTATCTATATTGCAAGCATTGCCCCCCACCTCCACCAAGTCCCCTAGGATGGTATATAGATTATACAGTGAAAAAAAGAAAAAAAAAAAACACAGTTCTCTTTTCAGTGAGAAAGGGAATCTTCCGCTGAGACACAGAAAACCCAGCCAGTTCACTCAGTCGAGCAAGGATTCAGGGACGGGTGATGTCACAGCACATTTAAAACAATGGCAGCGAGAAGACGGATCGAGGAGGGGCTCGGGACATGACTCTTCTGGGGCCAGGGAACAGAGGAAAGGCCTGCTCCAGGGCCAGCCTACGGACCTCTCTTCAAATTCACAAGGAAAAGAAAAGCTGGCTTTCTGCAGACAAGCCCTCCAGATGGCTTCTAGAGGATCTCACGGTAGAAACCCATTCGTTAGTATTAAGTTTACGCAAATATAAACATTTCAGGTGAAAATCATTCCCATGGGGAACCACAGACTGAACATCCTTTAAATGTGAAGTTCTGGGCACTTCATAGACCAAGAGCTGCAAGGACGTCACTCAGAGAAAGTATGAGTGTGGGCAAGCTACAATCACAGGGTCACTCTGATCTGTGACCCCAAAGTCAACTCTGAAATCAGTTCTGCAAGGGTAACTGTTATGTTATCTGTGATGAAAGTTTCTGTAATGGTATCTACCTAAGTACAGTTAGAAATGGTTTACACAGTTCTTAAAAAAAAAAAAAGTAGTTATCTTCTTATTGAAATGGTTCTTAGCTGGGCGCAGTGGCTCATGCCTGTAATCCCAGCACTTTGGGAGGCCTGAGGTGGGACCATCACTTGAGGTCAGGAGTTCAAGACCAGACTGGCCAACATAGCAAAACCCTGTCTCTACTAAAAATACAAAAATTAGCTGGCATGGCAGTGTGCATCTGTAATCCCAGCCACTCGGGAGGCTGAGGCAGGAGCATCACTTGAACCTGGGAGGCAGAGGTTGCAGTGACCTGAGATTGAGCCACTGCACTCTAGCCTGGGTGACGGAGTGAGACCTTGTCTGGAAAAAAAAAGAAAAGAAAATGGTTCTTGTCAACTCACCAGGCCAGGTCAGATGCACGACAACTCCAGGGCTCTAGATTGTGAATGAGGAGCACTCAGGGGGTATGGGTGCTCTTTATGACATCAGCCTCAACTGCTCAAGCAAATAGGCAAAGACTTTGAAATGTGGGCAAATAATGCACAGATGTGGACTGTAGTGTCATTTATTATGATCATAGAAAAGAAGAAACATCCAAATGTTCCCAGTCAGGGGTGTGGCTAAGGCAACTTCTTCTAAAAGATGAAATATTAGGTAGCCACTACAATGATGTAACTTGAGAGATTTTCATGACACTGGAACACAGTGATCCTAGGTGAAACATGGGAACACACAATGACATTAGCCATATGACCTCCGCTATGTTTAAGAAAGCACCGCCTAAGACTTTCAGGAAATAAGCCCAAAGGTTAATTGCACTTCTCTCTAGGTCTCTTTTTATTTTTTTGACGTTATCCAAAATTTTCTACAATGTGCAATGACCACTTTTATCACTGGAAGACGCTTCAAAACACTACAAGGTACATTTTTTTAAAAAAAGTTAGGAACATATCACAAAAACAGGCTTAGTTTTCTTAAATAAACAAAATGAATTTACCATGAATCTATTTATGTTTTCAGCCAGGGCCTCAATTTTTCTCCAGGCTTACTACCTACGATGTAAAACATAAAACACATTCTGTATTCCTTTATTTATCTTTTTCACTGTCAAGAATATCCTTTTGTCTAGTATTGGAGCACTTGGTAAAAAGGTCTCTGCATGGTGTGGAGTCTTCTACTATATTCCAGTTATTTATTTATTCCTTTATTTTTAGTTTTGAGACAGAGTCGGTCTGTTGTCTAGGCTGGAGTGCGGTGGCATGATCATGGCTCACTGCAGCCTTAAGCTCCTGGGCTCAAGCAATCCTCCTACCTCAGCCTCTCCAGTAGCTCAGACTACAGGCACATGCCATCATGCTTGGCTAATTTTGTTTTCTTTTTGGTAGAGACAAGTCTCACTATGTTGCCCAGGCTGGTCTCAAACTCCTGGACTCAACTGATTCTCCCGCCTCAGCCTCCCAAAGTGCTGGGATTACAGACGTGAGCCACTGTGCCCAGCCCTATATTCAATTTATATTCCAAAGGGCCCATGCTCAGTCACAAAGAGTCTTTCTCAGTTCTTCCCTCATCTTCCTTATCCTTCTCTTGAGGTTTGGCCCTCAAGACTGAACTGAATAGAAAGTATCTTGATGGTGCCAAGGACTCTGCTGGCCTCTTTTCTCCTGAAACTGTTTGAAGCTAATGCTTACAAGAAGCAACCTATAATTAAGCTTTTATTCCTGTTTTGGTTTACAGAGTTAGAAGATCATAGAACATTAGGGTCTGAAGGGACTTTAGCAGTAATCGAGTCCAATTTTGGTCATTTTAAAGACGTGGCTGCGTCACTGAAAGTAGATTTAAACAATGAGTCCCTAAATGCACTCTCTCCTTCCCATGAGTCCACACCACACCACACCAGGGTAGGAGGCACTGAAATGAAAGCAATGCCGAGAAACTAGGAAGTGATGCTCCTGGCTGACACTTGCCAGGCCCTGATGATAGGAGGTCCAACTCTGGGCGCTGAGGTTCTCTGGGTTCCTGGCCTAAGCTGGGGGTGGGCAGGGAGAGACATGGGAAGGAGGGAGGCTAATAAAGAGAATGGACTCACAAGAATGCTGCCGGGCTCTCACCCTTCAAAATTGTCAAGATCAGATGACATCTTCTGGTCCTGTCCAACTCTATTATTCTACATCAACCAGAGACCACAGGGCCAGGAAGAGGCCGTTTAGCCTGGAGCTGTGAGCCACAGGATTGTCCTGTAGGGAGGGGTGGAAAATTCTGACCCTGTCTTGAGCAGTGCAGTCAACGGCCTTCGTGGACTTATGGGACATGAACAGACTTACTTTGGCGTTTGGTTCTCTAGCTAAGATTCCTGCTTCGGACCCTGAGGGTTCAGCCTTCCCTGCCCTTTTTCCTTCCAGGTCTCATTCCTGCTCTGTCCACACTCCCTCCGCATTCTTCTCATTTCCACAGGGAAGTTTCTTCCCAGCCGTAAAGCTTCTGTGATATTTAGATGTTTTCCACACAGCCTCTTACTCTCTGGGAAGGCATTGCATAAATCTACAATAAATAAATCTAAGTGCATATATTTTTAAAGGAAAAGGAAACAGCAAAAAATAATTAAAATGAGAAAAAGTTAGAGGAGTTAGGATGATTTGGCCCGAAGAAAAGATTTCGAAGGTACGACATGACTTACATGGAAAATATTTTTTTTTAGTAGAAAGGCTGCCTCAGGATATGTAAGTGCCATCCTTAGTGACATTCAAATGGAATCTGAATGAACGTATGACAGGTAATTGTAAGATTTTATTTGTTATTTTCCTTTTACATTTACAATTCAATGAGTCCATGAAAAAGTTATTATTAGGAAATATATCAGCCTCTCTTTATCTAATTTGAGGACACAGCACAAGGAAACAGTCTTTCATGTAAGAAAAAAGACTGTTATTTAGGCTGGGCGAGGTGGTTCATGCCTCCAATCCCAGCAGTTTGGACACAGCACAAGGAAACAGTCTTTCATGTAAGAAAAAAGACTATTTAGGCTGGGCGAGGTGGTTCATCCCTGCAATCCCGTCAAGGTGGGCGGATCACTTGAGCCCAGGAGTTTGAGATCAGCCTAGGCATCATGGCGAAACCCCATCCCTACTAAAAATACAGAAATTACCCAGCTACCCAGGAGGCTGAGGTAGGAAGATCACCTGAGCCTGGGAGGTCAAGGCTACAGTGAGACTGGAGTGTTGCCACTGCACTCCAGCCTGGACAACAGAGTAGGACCCTGTCTTTAAAAAAAACAAAACTGTATTTGGCTGGGCACGATGGCTTATGCCTGTAATCCCAGCACTTTGGGAGCCCAAGGCAGGTGGATCACCTGAGGTCAGGGGTTTCAGACCAGCCTGGCCAACATGGTGAAAATCTCTCTACATGGTAAAAATCCGTCTCTACTAAAAATACAAAAAATTAGCCAGGTGTAGGGGCAGGTCCCTGTAATCCCAGCTACTCAGGGGGCTGAGGCAGGAGAGTCGCTTGAACCCAGGAGGCAGAGGTTGCAGTGAGCTGAGATTGTGCCATTGCACTCCAGCCTGGGCAACAAGAGCAAAACTCAGTCTCTTAAAGAAAAACAACTGGGCTGGGCACAGTGGCTCACGCCTGTAATCCCAGCACTTTGGGAGGCCAAGCTGGGTGGATCACTTGAGGTCAGGAGTTCGAGACCACCCTGGCCAACATGGTGAGACTCTGTTGTTTCCGTCTCTACTAAAATCCGTCTCTACTAAAAATACAAAAATTAGGTGGGCATGGTGGCAGGTGCCTATAATCCCACCTACCAGGGAGGCTGAGGCGGAGGCATTGGTTGAACCCAGGAGGCAGAGGTTGCAGTAAGGCGAGATCGTGCCATTGCACTCCAGCCTGAGTGACAAGAGCAAAACTCCGTCTTAAAAACAAACAAACTAATTAACTGTATTTGGATAGGAGAAACACATTTATAATGGAATAGGTTGCAGCCCACCGAAGTGAGCTCCCACTGGAAATGTGGACTCCCCAGCAGTAGAGACTTTTAAAGTAGATCACCGCCTTGCTGGAGAGTCTGAGGCACACTACTGTCTGGAAGCGAGGGACGAGAATAGCCAAGCTTTATGAATTTATTCCCACTCTCTAACACAGAAAAGACTCTTCAACATTTTCTCCTTTCTTCCTTTCCGTATGCACTATAAATGGATTCCCCGCCCTCCCAGATATTCTAGGTATTTTCTTCACTCATAACCAAAAATAGGTAGATATTCGTGAGCAAATCGCTTAACATATGAAACTTCTATCAAATGACAAACCTAGGATCACTTGTTCCAATTCTGTGCCCTGAAATGTTGGACTGTTTGGCTAAGTTCCAAGAGCTATATTAGGAAAATACTTTCCCTTCAGAGACAGTTTAAAATGGAACCATGTATGAAAATAGATATGGCTCTTACATGTTTATTTGCTAACTTTGTTTTGATTCTATTGGAGGTTCAATAAAAATATGGATGGTACTTATAAAACTTTTTGTTCCTGGTACAACCGCATATTCTTTCCATTAATGCAACATTAATATAAACAGAGGAGCTGACAAATGAAATTATCTTAACTCCTTTCCATGCTCAACTTACAGCCCCATATTTCTTGTTATCATTCCAGAGATTCTTAAGCAATTGTTCTTAGCCAGCAGAAAAAACAACAGAGGACAAATGATTATTAAGTTGATCTAGGCAGCCTCTTCCTCTTTGCCATGTGGGAGAATCTGTTCAATTCTCTGAAGTGCTTCATCAGAAATCTGAAAACCTGATTCTACTTCACTAATAACTTGCTAAATTGGCAGTATAAACACACTAAACAAGGCAATATAGTCCCAAGAGCGTTCATTTGATTGGTAAGTCAGGTAGAAATTTAGCAGTTCCTCTCATCTTCTATGGAGACTGAGAGTGAAATCTTTTTACTAAATTAAGAAACCATGAGCACTGGCTTGATATTATTAATACCTTCACAAAACCATGGGATGGCAGTAAAAAACACAAAAGAGAAAAGACATTTTATAAGATTTCTTTGAAAACTATTTCCTCACTCTGAGAATGCTCATGGCTCTTAATTCCCCATGCACGATAAAGATCATCTTTCTTGCACTCTGTGCTTTCAAAGCTATCTTCCAGCTTTGCAGGAGAGGCCATGGGTGCAGAATGGGGTGCAGCCCCATGGTGTCCCCTGACAGATCCAATGTGCAGTCTGATGAAGTGTGGGTGGGTGTGGTCTATGGCTGGCAGCCACCATGATCCAAGAGAGCCTGACTTGGGAGGGCAGCCAGGCAGCTAAAGGCTGCTCCCATATCATGCGGGAGCACCTGGGCCTGGCCTTCCAGACCCCGAGGGCATCCAGCCAGCTGGGTGTTCTGCTTGCTGGTCTACACGCAGCCACTGAGCATCTCGGCCATGCAGCTGGCCCTGAGACAGCAGCAGCACAAAAAGGCCTCCAGGCCAAGAGGTGAACAGGGCACACGACTAAGCACAAGGCCTGCATTTGGACCAAAGGGCACCCTGGCAAACCTAAGCCCAGAGTGAGCCCTCGAAACTGCGGGAGGGAGGTGCTAACAGCCCAGCCTCCAGCCCACCTTTCCTCCTTCGCAGAGGTCAGGACAATCACAGCCCTTCCCTTCTCCCACCCACTGTGCCTGTAAAGGGGGGCTGAGATGACCAGGCATCAGAGTCACTCATTTATTTCCTCACTGCTTCTCTCACTGCATGGAATGTTCAGGGAGGTCAGCTGATTTCCCTGGGTACACTCACGGGGTAATGGACACAATGCGTACAAATAAAAGACCCAGAAAGCACCCCCCTCCAAAAAAGGGGAGCTTGTCAAGCTCCCTGTGCCTGCATTTTTCCTTTAGAAAACTTGGGGCTAGGCCGAACGCGGTGGCTCACGCCTGTAATTCAAGCACTTTGGGAGGTCGAGGCGGGTGAATCGCCTGAGGTCAGGAGTTCGAGACCAGCCTGGCCAACATGGTGAAACCTCATCTCTACTAAAAATACAAAAATTGGCCGGGTGTAGTGGCGGGCGCCTGTAATCCCAGCTACTCAGAAGGCTGAGGCAGGAGAATCGCTTGAACCCAGGAGGCAGAGGTTGCAGTGAGCCGAGACCGTGTTATTGCATTCCAGCCTGGGTGACAAGAACAAAACTCCGTCTCAAAAAAAAAAAAAAAAAAAAAAAGGCCAGATGCGGTGGCTCACACCTGTAATCCCAGCACTTTGGGAGGCTGAGGCGGGCGGATCACAAGGTCAAGAGATCAAGACCATCCTGCCCAACATGGTAAAACCCCATCTCTACTGAAAATACAAAAATTGGCTGGGCATGGTGGCGCATGCCTGTAATCCCAGCTACTCGAGAGGCTGAGGCAGGAGAATCGCTTGAACCCGGGAGGCGGAGGTTGCAGTGAGCCGAGATTGCGCTGCTGCACTCCACCCTGGCGACAGAGCGAGACTCCGTCTCAAAAAAAAAAAAAAAAGAAAACTTGGGGCTAGAGAGATTGTTTCAAGGTCAGCATAGAGCTTTCTTATAAACTGGAGGGCAACCAGATAGAAGCTGCTCTTTCATATTTTAAATTAGTTAAGAAAGAAAAACGAATATGTAATTATATTGTCTTTTATCATTAACTACTTAATTATCTTTAGCAGAGCTCTCTCACTGTGTGTGTGTGTGTGTGTGTGTGTGTGTATGTGTGGACTCAAATTACTGTCTAGTGTCACTTCCTTTCAGCCTAAAGAACCTCCTTTAGTATTTTTTTATTTAAATTTTTTTTTTGACACACAGGTTGGAGTGCAGTGGCACGATAATGGCTCACTGCAGCCTTGATCCTCCTGCCTCAGCCTCCCAACTAGCTGGAACTACAGGTGTGCGACACTGTGCCTGGCAAGTTTTTTTGGTAGAGATGGAGTTTTACTATGTTGCCCAGGCTGGCCTAGAACTCCTGGGCTCAAGCGATCCTCCGGCCTTGGCCTCCCACAGTACTGGGATTCCAGGTGTGAGCTGCCACGTCTGCCTTCCTCTAGTGAGGTAGTTCTGCTAGCAATGGATGGAATCTCTGTTATTTATGTGGCAGTGTTTTTATTTTGTCTTCACTTTTGAAAGACAGCTTTGCTGGATGAAGGATTCTTTCGGCACTTTAATATGCCATCTGCTGCCTCTGGGCCTCACTGCCTGATGGAAGTCAGCTGTCCATCTTACTTGAGTTCCACTGGACTTGACAGTCACTTCTCTCTTGTGGGTTCCAAGAGTTTCTCTCTGTCTCTTAAACTTCTTGACTGCAGTATGTCTGTGTTTATCCTAACTGAATTTGGCTAAGTTGTCTGGATGTGTACATTAGTGTTCTTCATCAAATTTGGGAAGTTAAAATAAATTACTACAGATTATTTTTATTTTTATTTTTTTTGAGACAGAGTCTCGCTCTGTTGCCCAGGCTGGAATGCAATGGTGTGATCTCAGCCCACCACAACCTCCACCTCCTGGGTTCAAGTGATTCTCCTGCCTCAGCCTCCCGGGTAGCTGGGATTACAGACATGTGCCACAACGCCCGGCTAATTTTTGTATTTTTTAGAAGCACGGTTTCACTATGTTGGCCAGGCTGGTCTGGAACTCCTGACCTCAAGTGATCCACCCACCTTGGCCTCCCAAAGTGCTGGGATTACAGGTGTGAGCCACCGTGCTTGGCCATGGTTTCTTTCTTTTTTTTTTTTTTTTTTTGAGACAGAGTTTCATTCTGTCGCCCAGGCTGGAGTGCAGTGGCGCGATCTTGGCTCACTGCAAGCTCTGCCTCCCGGGTTCACGCCATTCTCCTGCCTCAGCCTCCCAAGTAGCTGGGACTACTGGCGCCCGCGACCACACCTGGCTAATTTTTT
This sequence comes from Homo sapiens, assembly GCF_000001405.40. NCBI lineage: Eukaryota > Metazoa > Chordata > Mammalia > Primates > Hominidae > Homo > Homo sapiens. The sequence goes on from NC_000008.11 coordinate 42,487,351, forward strand.
GTGTTTTTAGTAGAGACGGGGTTTCACCGTGTTAGCCAGGATGGTCTCGATCTCCTGACCTCATGATCCACCTGCCTCGGCCTCCCAAAGTGCTGGGATTACAGGCGTGAGCCACCGTGCCCGGCCTATTTTTAAGTGTTGAAATACTGTTTTCTGCTTTCTGCCCCTTCTCTGTCGGTTCTCCCACTGATGCACTGAATCGTGGCCCACATTTCTCTGGCTCTGTTCATTTTTCTTCATTCCTTACAGCAACATCTCTATTGTTTGGGGATCTTTCTTCTGGCAACTCTAATTTACTGCGAAGCCTCTCTAGCGAACTTGTCATCTTGGTTATTATACTTTTCAACTGCAGAGTTTCTTTTACAAAATGTTTTTAAATTATGGTAAAATACACATCGCATAAAATTTACCATCTTAACCATTTGAAAGTGTACGGTTCAGTGGCGTTAGGTATATTCACAGTGCTGTGCAACCACTGCCACCATCCAGCCACAGAACTCCTTTCATTTTCAAAACTGAAACTCTGTACCCATTAGACAATAACTTGCCATTCTCGCCTTTCTCCAACCCCTGGCCACCAACATTCTACCCTTAGTCTCTATGAATCTCACAGCCTAAGGAGCTCAGGGGAGTGGAATGACACAGCATTTGTCCTTTTGTGACTGGCTTATTTCACTTAGGGTTCATCCACGTTGCAGCATGTATGAGGATTTCCTTCCTTTTTGAGACCAAGTAATATTTCCTTGTAGGTGTAGACCACACTGTGCTTATCCATTCATCCATCAGTGGACATTTGTGCTGTGACTTTTAGCGACTGTGAATAATACTGCTTTTTTTTTTTTTTTTTTTTTTTGAGACAGAGTCTCCCTTTGTGGCCCAGGCTGGAGTGCAGCGGCTCGATCTCTGCTCACTGCAACCTCTGCCTCCCGGGTTCGACCGATTCTCCTGCCTCAGTCTCCTGAGTAGCAGGGATTACAGGTGTGCACCACCACACCTGGCTAATTTTTTTTTGTATTTTTAGTAGAGACGGGGTTTCAGCATGTTGGTCAGGCTGGTCTCAAACTCCTGACCTTGTGATCCGCCCGCCTCAGCCTCCCAAAGTGCTGAGATTACAGGCGTGAGCCACTGCACCTGGCCATAACACTGCTATTAAAATGGGTATACAAATATCTTTCCAAGACCACACTTTCAGTCCTTTTGGATATATACCCAGAAGTGGAATTGCTGGATGTGGTCATTCTAATTTTAAGTTTCTGAGGAACTGTCATACTGTTTTTGACAGCAGCCTCACCATTTAGTATTCTCACCAATAGTGCACAAGGGTTCCAATTTCTCATTACCCTCATCAACACCTGTTATCTTCTGTTGGTTTTATATTTTTATATGATAGCCATCCTAATGGGTGGAGGTGGTAGCTCATTGTGGTATGATTTTTCATTTCCTGAATAATTTGTGATATTGGGCATCTTTTCACATGCTTGTTGGCCATGTGTATTGTCTTCTTTGGGGAAATGTCTATTAAAGTCCTGTGCCCATTTAAAAAATCAGGTCGTTTGCTTTTTGTTTTTGAGTTATAGGAGTTTTGTTTTTTTTTTTTTTTTTTTTTTGAAATGGAGTCTTGCTCTGTCTCCCAGGCTGGAATGCAATGGTGCAGTCTTGGCTCACTGCAACCTCCGCCTCCTAGGTTCAAGCGATTCTCCTGCCTCAGCCTCCCGAGCAGCTGGGATTACAGATGCCTGCTACCACGCCCAGCTAATTTTGTATTTTTAGTAGAGACAGGGTTTTGCCATGTTGGCCAGGCTGGTCTCGAACTCCTGACTTCGGGTGATCCACCCGCTTCGGCCTCCCAAAGTGCTGGGATTACAGGCATGAGCCACCGCGCTTGGCCAGGTTCTTTTTTTATTTTATAATTTCTATCTCTTCATGAATATTCTCTGTTTGATGAGTCTGCCAGTGTACCTTCTTTCCATTACCTAAACACGGTTTTCTTTAGTCTTTGAACGTACGTGTAATGGCTGCTCTGAAGACTGTCTGCTAAGTTCAGTATCTGGGCCCCCTCAAAAGCAGTCTCCACTGTCTGCCCCCCCCACCCCGCCCCATGTGTGTTTCACACGAGCTAGTTTCTTTACATGTCTTATAATTTTTCATTGAAAACTGGATCTTTTAAATAATAAACTGTAACAATTCTGCTCACTGATACTCCCACTTCCCAGAGGCCTGCAGCTGTCACTTAATTGTGTGGGTACTTGGTTGAACTATTAATGATTCTCTGAAGTCTATTCCCCTACAGTGCGCAGCTGCCAGCCCCACTCAGATTTTCCCCTTGTTTTTATATTTTAGTCTAACTCGCTAGGGATCACTTGTGGGACAGCACAAGCCACTTAGTGGCCAGAGGTTGTGCTGAAGCCCCCGTAGCCTGCGGAGTTTCACCCTTGACCATGGCTGTGTGTGGCTCGAAGACTCCTTCCACAGTTCAGGGAGTAAGGGTTGAAGGCAGGGTCTGAATAAAGGGGCAGCTCAAGAGTGGCCTTCGGGGAGCTGGAGTTATTCTGTATCCTGTTTGTGTTGGTGGTCACAAAAATCTGTGCATGTGTACAAACTCACAAAACTGTACACCAGAAAAAGCAAATTTTACCATGTGCAAATAAAAAAATAACCAGGATTTGTTGTTAGAAAAATATACTTTTATATCTGTATTGGTCTTACAAAGCTGGATTCAATTTGACTGCTTGAGTTCTTAGAAGTTCACTGCTTGCTAGTTAGTGGGGAGATAGAAAATAAAAGCTTTCTTACACCATTGGTCACTGAGGATAATTTCTTCTCAGAATACAATAAAAATATAAACTTAAAAAAATTATCATTATAATAGTTAATAGTATGATACTGTCAGGCTTTTATATCTGACCAGGAGACATTTCTTCTGGATGAGGCTTTTGAGTCTTTTCAAGTAAAAACTCTGGATTTTGGCTGGGTGTGGTGGCTCACGCCTGTAATCCCAACACTTTGAGAGGCCGAGGCGGGTGGATCACTTGAGGCCAGGAGTTCAAGACCAGCCTGGCCAAAATGGTAAACCCTGTCTCTACCGAAAATACAAAAATTAGCCGGACATGGTGGCATGCACCTGTAATCCCAGCTTCTCAGGAGGCTGAGGCGGGAGAATTGTTTGAACCCAGGAGGCGGAGGTTGCAGTGAGCCAAGATCCTGCCACTGCACTCCACCCTGAGAGACAGAGTAAGACTCCGTTTCAAAAACAAAAACAAAAAAACCCCAAACTCTGGATTTATTTAATTGTTGCTGACATGCCTCACAGGCCTGAAGACACTATGACTTAAAGATGAGGTGGAAACCAAACAAATGTAAACAAAAGCAGAGATGGCAAAAATCAGGCCCGAGAGAAAGAGGTGAGTTGCCGGGCACGCTGCCTTCCAAGTCCCTAGGGACACTTAACCGCACAGCAGCTGAGGCAGAAAGTCAGTGATTCCCTCTTCCTGTGACAGCTGCCACTTTAATTTCAAGTCAGGTCTAAGGCAATCACTCTTTTAAAAACCTTTATAACAGATGAGCTCTTTTATAACTCCTAACACCTACGTTAACTACATTCATCTCTCTTACTTTTGCTTTTAGTCTTCAGAGTAAAGATAAAAACAAACAAGCAAACAAAAAAACAAGTAAACAAAAAAAAGACAAAAAAGAGGAAAACAAATGCAATTCAAGTTTTTAAGCTGAGATCCACTCTCTTCTTCCTCTTATAAAAGTCACCCTCTTTCAGGCCGGTGTGGTGGCTCACGCCTGTAATCCCAGCACTTTGGGAGGCCGAGGCAGGCAGATCACCTGAGGTCAGGAGTTAGAGACCAGCCTGGCCAACATGGCAATACAAAAATTGGCCGGGTATGGTGACTCATGCCTGCAATCCCAGAAATTTGGGAGGCTGAGGCGGGCGATCACCAGGTCAGGAGTTCAAGACCAGCCTGGCCAACAGTGAAACCCCGTCTCTACTAAAAAAAATTTGCCAGGCATGGTGGCACATGCCTGTAATCCCAGCTACTCAAGAGGCTAAGGCAGGAGAATCGCTTAAACCAGGGAGGTGTAGATTGCAGTGAGCCAAGATCACGCCACTGCACTGCAGCTTGGGCAACAGAGTGAGACTTCGTCTCCAAAAAAAAAAAAAAAATTAGCTGGGCATGGTGGCGGGCACCTGTAATCCCACCTATTTGGGAGGCTGAGGCAAGAGAATCGCTTGAACGTGGAAGGCAGAGGTTGCAGTGAGCCGAGATCGCACCACTGCACTCCAGCCTGGGTGACAGAGTGAGACTCCATCTCAAAAAAAAAAAAGTCACTCTATTTCTCTTGATGACCATCAGTTTTCCTGCCTTGTCCAACACAGTCTCAGAAACCCTTTTTATCTGCTCTATCCCTTCTAAGGAAGTAAAAAGACATTTTCTTTCTTCTTTTAAGGCATTCAACTTGCCAAGTAACCAAATTTTAACACCTACTATTCCATCTTGATGTGGCATTATGCACATCTATACTCACTTGGTGTGCAGGAGAGCTTTGGGACTTAACTCAGTTAGAACTACTTGGCAGCCAGGACATGCTGATGTCTTGGGAATTGTCCCCCAACAATCTCACTGGGAACAGTACTCTATTCATTGAATATGTGACTATTGAGTGAAGGTGTTTACCCACACCTCTTTCTTCTCCCCAAAGGAAATGAAGATGCACTGGGCTGGGTGCGGTGGCTCACGTCTGTAATCCCAGCACTTTGGGAGGCCGAGGTGGGTGGATCACGAGGTCAGGAGTTCGAGACCAGCCTGGCCAACATGGTGAAACCCTGTCTCTTCTAAAGATACAAAAAATTAGCTGGGTGTGGTAGTGGGCGCCTGTAATCCCAGCTACGCAGGAGGCTGAGGCAAGAGAATTGCTTGAACCCAGGAGGCAGAGGTTGCAGTGAGCTGAGATCGTGCCATTGCACTCCAGCCTGGGCAACAGAACAAGACTCTGTCTCAAAAAAAAGAAAGAAAACGAAGATCTGCCCATGCAAGGTGTGTCTTCACTTCCTAAGGAAGTAATACTGCAGAGAGGAATGTCATGACTACTCCTCTCATATAATTGCAGTAGAAAGACACGAGATGATGAAGAAAGGAAGGCGAGCATAAAAAGAAGAGCATTCCTTATATGGATGACAAATGTAAAGAGGAAACTTGAAAAACCAGCTTTCTCAGTTCCGAGCATTCCAGGAAACATTCTTCTATGAGTAACAAAGGTTCTAAACCAAAGGCTAGGCCAAAACATGGTAGCACATGATTCCAGATTCCTTTCAGTTTATCAAGGCACTTGGTTTTCTTTTTTTTTTTTTGAGACGGAGTTTCGCTCTGTCACCCAGGCTGGAGTGCAGTGGCGCCATCTCGGCTCACTGCAAGCTCCGCCTCCCATTCTCCTGCCTCAGCCTCCCAAGTAGCTGGGACTACAGGCGCCTGTCACCACGTGCCCGGCTAACTTTTTGTATTTTTAGTAGAGAGACGGGGTTTCGCTGTGTTAGCCAGGATGGTCTGGATCTCCTGACCTCGTGATCCACCCACCTCAGCCTCCCAAAGTGCTGGGATTACAGGCGTGAGCCACCACGCCCAGCCTTGGTTTTCGATTAAGTTTAAGGTCTTAGTCCTGTTGAAAGCAGATTCAATTCAGTCTGAATTTCAGCCTCAATGCCCAAAGGAAACCTAGTGACAAATGCCATTTTGCTCCAGGCCCAGGCTTAGGAGAGACTCTCTCAATGACCATCAAAAGTACTTATTCTCATGTGGCACTGTATAAAGCAGGTGGAAAGGGGGGCCTGCTTTAGTGGGAAGTCCCACTTTGTTCAAGATTTTCTTAAATCAAGTGCCACAGGCACCAAAACAGTTACCCACAATAACCTTCTGATTCAGGCCATGAGGACATCCTGGCAGCGTCTGGCAGAAATGACTGAGGGAGCCAGTACTTTCTTAAAGTGCTCTCACATGTAGTGAACGCTGGTGAGATACACCGTGATACTACACAGATAAGTGCCCTGGAAACACTGGCTAGGGGATTCATTCTTTCCATCATCCCTCATCACTGTCACTCAAAATATTACCTGAGACCTACTGCACATGGTTCCACTGTTCACTGCTTTGAATTTAACATTCTGAACTCCGGGCCCTTCTGAAATTTTAATGGATAATCATAACACCAGAAGTGTTATTTTAATTGACTTAAAAATCTGCTAAAGTCCCCAGCTTGCTGCCATTGCTCTCCAAATAATACTGAGTCTGAGATCCTGGCCAAAAATCAGATCAGATTATAGAGTTTGTTAAGATCCAGTGTGGTAGTGAAAGCAGACACTTCCTGGATACCTCTAATACTCCAGAATTAACAGAATTAACCTTTTTCAATGACCAGTACACATCAGTTTACGTGGGTGTCTCTCCAAAAGCCATGATCCCAAGTCTCTGCCTTAAAAATGAATCAGATTTTTCCAGTGTAAAAATAATATTGGCTGGGCATGGTGGCTTATCTCTGTAATCCCAGCACTTTGGGAGAGCAAGGCAGGACTGCTTTAGTTCAGGAGTTCAAGACCAGCCTGGGTAACATAGCGAGACCCTGTCTCTATAAAACATTTAAAAAATTAGCCAGGTGTCGTGGTGTGTGCCAGTAGTCCCAGCTACTTGGCAGGCTGAGTTGGGAGGATCGCTCAAGCTGGGGGAGTCAAGGTTGCTGTGAGCCCTGATGGCACCTCTCACTCCAGCCTGGATGACAGTGAGACCCTGTCTCAAAACTAATAATAATATGTGCTCATAACAAATTTGATAAATATAGAAAATGAGAAAGTAAAACAAGGAAAAATGCTACTGGCCCAGTACTGCAAAATAACCATAATTAACATATTGGTGTACTAGCTTTATCAGTTGGACTAGGCACTACTTATATAAGCCAACTGAGAGGCCACTGCCAAATTAAATAAAATATAAAGTCAAAATAAAAATTAATTAAAATAGTTACTTTTTAAAGAGAAAGTTTTCTATTATTACATAAGTAATCTATGCTTATTGAAGAAAAAAATTAACATACAGGTAACCAAAAAGAAGGGGTGAAAATCACATATAAGCTCACCTCCTAGAGATAGTTATTGCTCATAATAAATGCAGCATTCTTTTCTCAGGTACATACATAGGTGTGCCTTGCTTTTATAAAAATGGGGTCATAAATACATAATGTTTTGTAACCTGCTAGTTTTTACTTGATATACATCTAACGCCATCATTTCAAATGGCTGCGTAGTGTTCTATGCTGTGGAAATACAATAAATTATTTAATCAGTAACTTATTAGGTTGTTTCTGGGGATATTTTATTCAACTATTAGGTCCATAAATCTTGTATAGTCTAATAATAAGTAAAATTTTTTACCTTTTTCTTCAAGTTTAATTTTTTTTGACTGGACAGCTATAATGAGACAAAGTTTATTCCAAACCACTTAACCACTCTTTTTTGTTTTTTTGAGATGGGGTCTTGCTCTGTCACCCAGGCTGGAGTGCAACGGTGCGATCTCGGCTCCCTGCAACCTCTGCCTCCCGGGTTCAAGCAATTCTCCTGCCTCAGCCTCCCGAGTAGCTGGGAATACAGGCATGTGCCACCACACTTGGCTAATTTTTTTGTATTTTTTTTTTTTTAGTAGAGACGGGGTTTCACTGTGTTAGCCAGAATGGTCTCGATCTCCTGACCTCGTGATCCACCCACCCTGGCCTCCCAAAGTGCTGGGATTAAAGCCATGAGCCACTGCGCCCGGCCACGTCTCTTATTTTTAATGACACATTTGTGAACTAGCTACAGATTGATTTTAGAAACGTGATTTTTCCAAGGAAGAAATACCAAGAAAAGAATGACTATTTAGTAATTCCTCTTTGTACAGAAATGAAAATAGCTTTTTGGCTGCCATTATTAAGAACCAAATTAAACAGACACTTGGAATGTTCCCTACTGGCTGTATATTTATTGGAAGTTCATGGGTTTCACAGACTCTACTTATATTGAAAGGCTCATTCAGGGTTAAGATCAGCTCCCTGTGCCCTCTGGAGTGGGGAGACACGTCGATCTTATCTCTGTACAGACACCATGTTCATTGGGCCTCATATGTTCTGAAAACAGACACAGATGTAGAAAATAACAGTGCATGCAGCTTCATGTCTGAGAGGTCAGTTTTTTGAAACATAATGAGGTTGAAAGATTGAAAGACTGAATAGTAACATCAATATCTTATGACCAGGCAAACTACAGTTTGGCTCAAATGTCCTCACCAGTCTTTTCTCACCTCAAGCAATTTTTAGTACTCTGCAAACATGTAATTAACTATGCTATAAAAGCCAAGGATTCTACAGATCCCTCCCCCTTTTTTTTTTTTTTCCAGACAGAGTCTTGTTCTGTTGCCTAGGCTGGAGTGCAGTGGTGTGATCTTGGCTCACTGCAACCTCCACCTCCCAGGTTCAAGCAATTCTCCTGCCTCAGCCTCCCAAGTAGCTGGGATTACAGGCGTGCGCCACCACGCCCGGCTAATTTTTGTATTTTTGGTAGAGAGGGGGTTTCACCATGTTGGTCAGGCTGGTCTCGAACTCCTGACCCCAAGTGATCCACCCACCTTGGCCTCCCAAAGTGCTGGGAATACAGGCGTGAGCCACCACACCCGGCCAGATCCCATTTTCAAGTGCTGAAATATTAGGGCCACAATTTCCTGGCTAAGGTAGGGCGGGTCTTTTTCAGACATGGCAGTGCGTTACTTGTGTGACAGTTTTTATTTTTATCTTTATTATTATTTTTAAAAACCTAGCTCCTGCAGGAAGTATGACACTTTTTTAACAGCACTGGCAAAACATGTCCTCAGAGAGCCCTTTCTTCATTATGAGCACAAAAAGGTTTTATTGTCCTAAATGCTATACAAAGTATAACAAATAGACACTCTCAGCAGCCTGTGTTTTCAACCGGAGACACTTCTGTCAAGCGAAAGCACAAAGGAAAATATACAAAAGGGCACAGGCATAACTAAATTCAGATGCATTTCTATTACGTGCAAATAAAGGTGGGTGGAAGAGAGAGCAGAGAGATGAATAGGGGACTCCTAGGAGTAACTGTTTTGATTGGGAAAGGTGAGAATGGCCACCTTCCTGACTCTAGAGAACTCATTACAGAGGAGAAGGCAGAGCACTTACTTGTGGCCTTAGCCATTCCAATGGAATTAGAATTTATTTGTATTAAGTCCATCCTATGTGTGCCCCTGGGCTATTTGTTGTAGATACAAAAATGTTGTGATAAAATGTGTCCCTCTCCTCTATCTCTAGTGAGAGCTGACACACAGATAATACATTCCACTGTGCTTGGATTCGTTAGGGCCTTCTATGTTGCTTCCTGCTCCTAGGGTGTAGTGGGTAGGGTCCAACTTTCCTTGCAGCCCCCTCTCTTCTGAAATGGGCTGTGTGAAGACAGGGACGGACCAACCTGGCCACAGTCTGTGATGTAAAGTGCTCATGAGCCAACAATAAGCTCCCCACCCCCCATATGGGCTACACGCTACCTCTGCCCAGATCCCCTGCAGGTGGCTGTGAGGTCACATGGGGAGGAGAGTCTGGTAACACTGATAAAATACAGTAGATCCATATGCTAACACAATATTATTCTCACATTATCTCAGGTGAGCCTCATTTGAGAGGAACACTGTCTTAGCTCAGAAAAGTAATTGCAAAATTTTCCTGGTTAATTATTAATCTTCTCTAAGTGACAAAAGGAAATCCAGAGCAAAGTCAGGGCTGGAAGGGACTTTGAGAGGTCATTTATCTCCTGACTTTAGAGAGTACATTGAAAACACTGCAAACAAATATAATCCCATGTTTAGATGACTTCAGGAAAAAGGGTTACATTTTTTGGCATCCAGATTGCCCATTTTATAATACCCTCCATCTTTGCATCTCATCCAGCAGACCTCAAATGTCAACGTGCACCAGAATCACTTGGGAGATTTTTTAAACACAGGCTGCTGGCCCTACCCCATGTTTTCTGATTCAGCAGGGCCTGGGTGGGGCCTGAGAATCTGCATTTCTCACATGTTTCCAGGCGGTGCTGACGCTGAAGAAACAGGGTCCCCACTGTCGGCACCTCTGTTCCAGCCCAACCCTTGCTGGACCTGACCCTTTTATTCTAGATGGAAATAGATACCAGTGGGTCACCATTCTTTGCCACTGAGACACACATATACTTGAAGAACAATTCAAGAGTCTCCCGGTCATTTGTTTCCTCTTCCAGGCTAAATAATAGAAGTTCCCTACCCTCTTATCATAGGTATCATTTTCCAACCCTCAATTGGTTTTTTTTTTTTTTTTGAGGTTCTTTGTGGAGCCAAGTCTCTTTGTTGTGGAGCCATGAACTAGACCCAGAACCTTAGAGACTGGCTGAGGTTGGGCACGGGGGGAGGGACTCACAGACTCACAGAACCACGCAGGCCGCTCATGTTATTACTCCCCAGTACCCAAGCCTTCCTATCAGCCCTTCTTCTGATTCATGTGCTTCTAACTCCTTTACAAGCTGCAATAATGCTCAGTAGACCTTCATAATGCCTTTCCTCTGAGAAGCTGAAGGCATTTCCCTAACTAATATTACAGTTGACTCAATATCCTAAACCAGTGCAGGGTTAAGTAACTTGTTGAATTGCAAACCAGTTCAGGAAGGGAGAATCTGGAACTCCAGATTTCTATCTAAATATCATTTTATGGAGAAAGATGCTTTGATATTTATTGCACTTTATAACAAGTTTACCCCCTCCACATAATAATAATAGTTTTAGGTGCAAGTGAAACTGTGAAGCTTCTCCTCTTTGTAGGAGGATTGCAACAGAGGACTGAGAGTGGGGGGCAAGGCTTCTGGGGTCAGTCTTGTCACTTGTCCCCATCACTTCCCAGCTATGGAGGAGAAAGGGAAGGCACAGCCCAGGTGGCACAGCTGTCTGTCCTAATCGTCTTTGGCAAAAGCTCAGAGGAGCTGAATGCTGAAGTATCCTCAACCCACCCCACTCATCTTGTTTCCCTTTTCTTCATTTTCACATTTTTTTTTCTGCCAGTGTAGTTACTGAATGTCAGGGGGCCCAGTTTCTGTGTCCTGCCTTGTTGTAGCATGTGGGTTGGAACTATGCTTTCCTTGTGCACCGCATGTGCTGTGGGGTGCTTAATACATGCTAAATAATGACAGCAGTACCCCGTATGCCCGAGAAATCAGCCTTCCTCCTGAGGGCCATATCCCATTATGTTACACTTGTTTTTAAGACGGACGGAAGCTGAAGGCATCCCTCCTGCTCACTGCTCCTTCCACTTTAGATGAACAGCTGGAACTCACATAACACAGCCTCTTCCGACAAGATTTCCTTTAGAGAGAGAACATTCTAGGGATGTGATCACTGAGCATCCGGGCTCCAAGCCGAAAGGCAACCTGTTACATAGCGCAGTTCCCATTTAGCCATGCAGGCAAGAGACCCATTAAAACCTCATGTGAGGGAAGAGGTCCCAGAGAAAAGGTTCCTCTCTGCGTCCCTGAGAAACCCCTCAAAGCTTCTGAGCAGAAGGCTATCCCTCTAGGCAGAAAGTAACAGTGAAATAAATCTGCAACCGGCAGCGATTCTGTCAGAGCCTCTGGGTCTGTAACTATTTTAAGACGTGGAGGAGTAGGATGAGAGCACGGGCAGCTGGACAGAGTGGCTCCAACAGGACTGCAGGGGAGACGTGCGGTCACCTGCGGCGTGGGAACAGCAGGGCAAGGGCAGGCGGGCTCGGCTCCTGGACTCCTCCTGCGGCCACAAAGCTGCCCTGTTTCTCCGCACCTGGACCCCCAGTGTGTGACTCTGCATAGAGCTCATCATGATTTGTCGCCCAAGGTCATAACCAGTCACAGCCAGCATCATTTCACCAGGCACACGGGGTAGAAGCAGCGAAGAGAATCGCAGCACCGGCAAACACGAGGAATTCCGGCACTAACACTTATATAATGAAAACCTTCTCCGCTCTCACTCACCGCTGCCACTCTCTCACAGCACGTAAATCATTAAAACGAACACTCCTCAAGTGTTTATGCGCATTTTAGCAACTCATCATAAAGCACATGCTTCCTAGTAGTAGAAAAACCTACAGAAACGTCTGTGAAATTAAACAATGGATAAATTCGAATCAGCTTTTCTCTTTTGCAGGACTAAGAACTACAATAGGTCAAGTGAATACTGGTGTGAAAACTAATACCCAACTACAGTGTACCTTTAAAAATGCTCCACTGAGATTCTGATGGTGCCTTATTAACAATTAGAAGTAAGAAGTAATAGCAATAAGTCAGAATTTTTTGGATAAAAATATATATTATGAAGGATTACCGGAGCAAAACCCCTTTTACTGCTGAAGATGACATTAGAGGCTTCTGTTATCATTATAATTCATCTGGGCAGCAAATTTCTCTTCAGCTCAATAAAAACTAAGTATGAAGTAAGTTTCTTTCTAAAAATAGCCCAAGAACTCAGTACTACTTTCCTTTCTTACACTCTTTTCCTACTAAATGGAACACTGAAGTATTTCCTTTCATTGTTGACACTTTATGTCATTTGCATTTAAAATCAGACAATACATAATAACAAAGAAGTCTTTAACTAAATCTTTTCAAAATGGGAAAATGGCTTTCACAATACTAACTGTGGACCTGCCTCCTTCCTTGCTCTAGAGATGACAGGCATAGATAGCTGGTGAGCACCTATCCTATCGCCTAGGAGAACTGTTTTATTAATAACAATATTCCTAAAGCTGATACATTTACTTGCTAATTGATAAAGAAATTCCTGCCTGGTTCTCTGCTGTAAGCAAACTGTTTGGCTTGAGGTCAGTCCACATTGAAAACACACTTCTAAATAAGCAAGATGATTCAAATTTAATTTAAAATATTCAATATCAAAATCTTTTGTTTTCTTCAGTACAAATTTAAGTTGGTAATAATGTGTTAGATGAACTGCAGTTAAGGTTACAGAATCCCATGGCCTTTGGTTACTTTTGATAACTAACTCAGTCTAAAAGAGGATGCTTTAAATTATTCTCTAAAACCTTCTTCCTAAATTAATTTTTTAAAGTGCTTCTCTTTAGGCATATATGGGTTTATTTTTTAAGCACAAAATCCCCCTTAAAAGGATAAAAAACTGTCCATCTATACATTCAAGAAAATTACATTTGACACTCCATTATTTCTACAAAATAAACTTGTAGCACAGAGTATAACAGGAATTAACTTTCAACATTTTTTTCTCAAGAATTAGGTTACCATAGTAGAAAACAAAGCTCAATGACACAATACAATGTTTCTGTATTTACAGAAACCATATCCATTAATCAAATATTTTAACATAAAATAATAATCTACAGATTGCTTTTGCAAAAATAAGTAAGAATCGAAAACTTTTTCTTGGGCAAATTGAATAAGGCAGATTTATTGCAGTAGGAGACATTTAAAGAAAAACCTTTTGCCACCTCTCTTAGCTTTCTCTAACGTACCAACCTGAAAGCTTCCAGTTTTCCCAAGAGATAAACATTACTATGACGGTAACATTAGGAAGATTTAAGGAGAAAAGAACAAAGAGAAGTCTTAAAATTCCACCCAGTACTTACAAGTAGTTTCCAAGAAAACTGAGCCACAATTCTTCAGAAGACTGCTCTCCTGATCACAAACACAATCTGAAGTCTAAAATAGATATCCTACCACATTAGGCCGAGAAGTCACATTTCAGCTTGCTAACTTCTACTTTTACAACTCATAGAACTAACCCCGGCTAAAATTAACTGCAGCCAAGCAGCAGGCAGGAACACGCTGATTTGCATCATGTGTGCCGGGATTTATTCACTAGGACAACATCGGTGTCCTCTTAATGGGAAATGCGGCCAAGGGGCGTGCCCTGGTGAACAATACATAGCATCATGATTATGCTAATTACTGAATTCAGTCCAATAATACTAACTTCTTTTAAGTTGTTTTTGCAAGTACTGACAAAGAGAAGGAGTAAGCTTTTTCCCAACAGGCATTCACTTGATTTTTAAGCACATTCAAATCAGACCAAACTTTGGCAACAAGGTGGCAGTGCTGTGTGCTCTTCACAAGCAAAAGCAAAGCAAAAGGACATTCTGTCCGATTATTTAAACAGCGTGATTAGATGCAGCACTACGTGAAATTAAATAGACACAGAATATACATATCAGTAAGTCTATCCACCAGAATCCTGAAATAAAAGCTTTTTCTTTCTCTATAATGAACTGATTGCAGGGACTTGCTTTCTGGCTCTGCCTCCTCCTGCACCTCCCAAGGAGTCGCTATGAAGACACAGATTCAGTAATAAATCACAACTGAGAATAAACATCTCAAATATTTGCAAAGGCATTGTCCTTGGCAAGAAGCATTTTAAGGTGGATTTAACTCCTTGGCTAGAAAAATTGTCCTCTGTAGGTGACTGACCATCTACAAAGCATGTTGGAACTCAAGTTAACAGGTAAAGACCCCAAACATACAGCTGACACTTAAAAGAAAATCAGAACATGAAAAACTTTCTCTCGAAAATATAAGTACAACTTATAACAAAGACACAAAACCGCTTAGTATCTACTCAAGACGGTTTGGGACTAGTTTGCTTTAGACTAAGTTCTGATGACATATTTTGCTCTTATTGAACACTCTATGAAAGATATCAAAGCACTTTACAAACATCAATCAAATCTCCAAGCATCTTTGGGAGATGTCATTTTCCTCTTTTTTTTTTTTTCCCACAGACAGGTAAAAGACAGGGTAATTCCATTTCAACGACTTCAACCAACCCTGGATCACCCCATCTCCTCCTGAGACCTTTATAACATCTTCCGTATTAACCACTTACCTATAATCCTATAGACCTTTTCAGAGCCATTTGTTTTCCTCATTTTAAAATGTCATATGTTAGTTTGGACTTCAGGAGATTCACTCTACTTAACACCCAGATGCCAGGCCTGAACCCCAGGGGCTTAAAAAGCCCTCCTTGACTCTCTCTTGCAGACAGGTATCCTGCAACATGGATCCCTAAAACATGGCGATGCCCTCAGGAGGCACTGTCCATCTGCAGCCTGCTGCCCAAAGCACAAACCGGTTGATCTTCATTGGTGTGAGTTGGACATCACCAGCACAATCTCCCTCCTGTTGTTTACAAACACTGCTGGCTGCTGATCTGAGATTGCATCCCCTCGGCCTAACCTGAGGCTCTGTGCCAGCACCTGCCCCACCTCTGCAAGAGGGTGGCTGGTATGCATTCCCCTTCACTCCAACCCAGAGTCATGGGAGGCAGGCATTTCCTGCTCTGTGCTGAAAGGAGAGAAGTCAGCACTCATCAAAGATGGCTAGCTGCTAATGAACAGAATTATTCTCAATAATCCACTGCAAACTCACTCCAGAAGTCTTAATGCCAAAAAGGACCTTGTAAGGCTATTTTTGACACGATATTCTCATCCTATTATGTCATAGTTCAGGACAAAAGTCTCTAAGCCAAAATATTATTTCTGCCCTAAACCAGAAAGTAAGAAAAAGCAAATACACCAAGTGCATTTCTGCATCAGAGTTTGTATTGGAAAGGAGCAATCTGATGTATGATGGATCCTACATCCATTCATTGGAAGGCAGGGGCCCCTGAGCAATGCTCCGGTTCCTCACATGTCAGATATGCCTAGTATGACTCTGCTGTTTCAACAGCAGCCACACCTGTTCCACAGTGGAAGAACCAAAGCATTCCAAATAAAAGAGTCTCCTCCAATTTACATTAGTCATTCTGCTGCTTCCTTTTCATTAGTGAAACTACTTGAGTCAACAGTGCTTTTGTTCTAGGTATACTTATGACAGTAGATAAAAATCTGTATCAGAGTACCTTGAAAAGCAGAGTAAATTCTTCCCATTTGTTCTCATTAATTTTTGGTGGTAGAGGAGGGACAGGGAAGGCGGTGACCTATGGGATCTTTAGTTCAACGAATCCATGAAATTAAAGAAAATTACTATGTTTATGAATGTCCACTAATGAATGAACCCAGATACCAACCTTCTATGAGCAGTTACATGTATAATTTAAAATTTTCTAGTAGCTGCTTTTAGAAAAGTAACAATAAAGAGGTAAAATTAATTTAATAATATATTTTAACTCAATATATCCAAGATATGATCATTTTAATGTGTAATAATCATAAAAACTATTAATGAGATATCTTCATTCTTTTGTTTGTACTGCCCCAAGCCTGTGCAATCCAGTGCGTATTTTACAATTAGTACATTCCAATCTGGACAATCCACATTTCCAGTGCTCAGTACCCACATGTGCCTGGTGACTATCATAGTGGAAAGCCAGAGTGTACAAATATCTTCCTGACAACAGCTTTTCTACAACATGTACTAATATTTACATGTTTCTGGGCATGTGCACACTTATATACACTCAAGAAACATCAACTAAATACTGGGCATATAGGATGAAAAACGCCTAGTTTTTGTCCTCAAGGAGCTCAAAGTTTAGATACTTGGCATCCTTTGTTTTTTAGAGCTAGGGTCTCATTCTGTCACCCAGGCTGAAGTGCAGTGGCACAATCATGGCTCACTGCAGCCTTCACCTCCTGAGCTCAAGCAATCCACCCACCTCAGCCTCCTGAGTAGCTGGGACTACAGGCACGTGCCAGCACACCTGGCTAATTTTAAAATTTTTTTGTAGAGAGGAGGTCTCACCATGTTGCCCAGGCCAGCCTCGAACTCCTGGGCTCAAGTGATTCTTCCACCTCAGCCTCCCAAAGCACTGGGATCACAGGCATGAACTACTGCCCCTGGCTTCTTGGCATTCTTTACCTTTGAAATAATATGCAAAATATTCTGTGTTCTCTGTGTGTATTCTTCTGGGGAGATAACTTTCTTCATCACTTTATTAAAGGAGTCTGTGTCTCAAAAAGGTTAAGAGCCAGGAGACTAGACTAGTAGCAGATGCTGGGAGAAATGGAGAGCTAAGGAAAATGAAGGAACTGAGACAGATAGAAGGGGAAAGATCCGAGGAGAAAGAAAGACTAAAAGGAAGATAAATAAACAAAAAAGAGAGAAGAAGAATTTCATTGCTAGACATGAAATTTTAGTTATAAAATCATATAATAAAAATTGGTGGCCAGGCGTGGTGGCTCACGCCTGTAATCCCAGCACTGTGGGAGGCCGAGGTGGGTGGATCACGAGGTCAGGAGTTCAAGACCAGCCTGACCAACATGCTGAAACCCTGTCTCTACTAAAAATACAAAAAAAATTAGCCAGGCATGGTGGCGCACGCCTGTAGTCCCAGCTACTCAGGAGACTGAGGCAGGAGAATCCACTTGAACTTGGGAGGCAGAGGCTGCAGTGAGCCAAGATCATGCCACTGCCAAGATCACACCAGCCTGGGCAACAAAGCAAGACTCCGTCTCAAAAAAAAAAAAAAAAAAAAAAAAAAAAAAAAAAGGCATGTTCCAGTTACTATGCCAGGTACTGGGGACAGATACAGAGATGAAAGACAAGGTCTCTATGTCCAGGGAGTTCACATTTTAGTGACAGGAACAGACTCACCCAGGCAGATACAATACTTGGGTAAGTATGAAGACGCAGTTTATGTGCAATGTGCTATGGCTACAGCGGGGAGAGGAAGGAGGGTGCCACACAAGAGGGACGCAATACCCCCCCAACCTTTTTTTTTTTTTAATTGAGAAGATGTCTCACTCTGTCGCCCAGCCTGGAGTGCAGTGACACAATCTTGGTTCACTGCAACCTCCACCTCCCAGGCTCAAGCGATCCTCCCACCTTAGCCTCCCAAGTAGCTGGGACTATAGGTGTGCACCACCACACCTGGCTAATTTTTATATTTTTTGTAGAGATGGAGTTTTGCTATGTTGCCCTGGCTGGTCTCAAGCTCATAATAGGATAGTAAATAAATAGGCTGGGCTCAAGCAATCCACCCAACTCGGCCTCCCAAAGTGCTGGGATTACAGGCGTGAGCCACCATGCCTGACCCCTCATTTCTTAAATGAAGGTTATTTTCTGATCAAATTTTAAATCTATGTTCTGGAATAACTCAAGATTCTGCATTTTAGTTTGGAACCTTAGAAAAGCATGGATAGGTCATGGAGAAATCAGGTATTCTAAAATATTTTAAAATGACATCTGGAAATAGCAGTGAAGTTTCTATTCTGAGCTATTTATCATCAAATTGAACCTGGTTATTTGATCCAACTATTTAAGGTTGAGGCAGGAGGATCACTTGAGGTCAGGAGTTTGAGACCAGCCTGGCTAATGTAGCGAAACCCCGTCTCTACAAAAAACTTAGCCGGGCACGGTCACACATACCTGTAGTCCCAGCTACTTGGGAGGCTGAGGCATGAGAATCAGTTGAACCTGGGAGGCGGGGGTTGCAGTGAGCTGAGATCACGCCACCACTCCAGCCTGGATGACAGAGTGAGACTCTATCTCAAAGAAAAAAAAAAGCCATCAAAAAATGAACATTGAAGAAAAAACTCTTCAACTCGTTAAGAATTCTCTGTATTTTATTTATTTATTTTGAGACAAAGTCTCTGTCACAGTAGTGCAATCTCGGCTCACTGCAACGTCCGCCTCCTGTGTTCAAGGATTCTCCTGCCTCAGCCTCCTGAGCAGCTGGGATTATAGGTGTGTGCCACCACGACCAGCTGATTTTTGTATTTTTAGTAGAGACGGGGTTTCGCCATGTTGGCCAGGCTGGTCTCAAACTCCTGACCTCAGGCATCCATCCACCTTGGCCTCCCGAAGTACTGGGATAATAGGTGTGAACCACTGTGCCTGGCCCACGTTAGGAATTCTTTGGATTGTAGCTGTGGACTCAGAAAGACCTGGGTTCAAAGTGTACCCCACGACCTACTAGCTGTCTGACCTCGAGCAATTGAGCTCACCTCTGTGACTTGGCTTCCTCGCCTGTAAAATGGGGATAATGTTGCTGACATCAAGGGTTGGTGTTGGAAGGAAGTGAGATGTATCTAGCACAGGCACACAAAGAGTCTCATAAACGGCCGGGGCCATTATGCTCACAGCAGGTCTAGCAGCAGTATGGTACTTGCTGAAGGGCAATTTGGGATATTTACTGAGTGCGGATTAAAGGCTCCCTGTTTTTATAGCATGAAGCTTCTTCAAAAAATAAAATGTTGAAAGGAATTTCAAATGGTCGTTAAGTATTTCAGGAAAACCAGGGTTTGTAAACTCCTTTGGAAAACTCTGTAGCTGCGCCAGCCTGTTTAATTTTCTCCGTGATATGGTCTCATGTCCCCAGCCAGAGGTTAGCACAGGATTCAGGGTCACTGACTGAAGAACACAGGCGAATCATGTGTCTGGGCAGATGGCTGCTGTAAAGTCCCCCTATTCCTTCCTTACCCTAGGGAGTCCCTTCCTGCACTGACTCTGGGCTTGGCCAGTAGGACAACAGCAAACATAATGCTGGGCCCTGGAAAGTGCTGGTGCATGGGGGCTCACCCTCTCTTGCAACTTCGAAATGCCCGCCCTGGCTTGCCTACTACAAATGAGAAGGCCACATGGAGTGGGGATGCACCATCACTGCTGAGTCCCTGCCACTGGTCAGCCCGCTGAGCACCTGATGGGTGGGTCAGGCCATCGTAAACCACACAGCCAGCCAGCTGCCAGCTGACTGCAAAGTCCAGCCAGGCTTGCTCAAGTCAGAACCACTCCGGTGCCCTACAGAACTGTGAGGTACAGAAAGAAATGTTTGTTTTTTTGAGCCACTAGTATCAGGTGGTTTGTTATGCAGCAAAAGCTGACTAACACACATTCCTCCAAAAAGGCTGCATGCTCAGGAGGGCTACACCAGTGTGATCCACAGCGATGCAGTCTTCACACTTCAGAAACGGACTCAGTTCACATACATACAAACAGAGAGCTCTAACTCTACACAGAAGAAACTGGTATCCTCTTCAGCTAAAAAAAAAAAAAAGACGCAAACTCTTCAAGACAGTTCTTTAAAAAACCTTGATAAATAGCTAATTCAGCATAATTTTATGACAGTTTTTATCAGGATTGTGAAAGTAAAGGCAGCATTATGACTGCTGTTGTTTGAATACTCATTTTAACATAGTTGATTTTTTAAATTATATTGGAATTCTCTTGGGGCTTTCATACTGCTCTACATTCAGAACAGCCACCTATTTAACAAACATCTGTTAAAGCACCATCAGGAAACTCCCAAGCATTTGCAAGATTTGTATAAGTGGCAGGATGCCCATGACCACAGCAGAAAGTGGTGTCAATGACAGTTCTGCCTTTAAGAGGCTCATAATGTGATGAGTCATGACACTGTCCCACGGTCCATAAACTTATCATATAAGGGAGTAATTAGTAAGCATTCCAAAAGTTAAAAGTTCATTCCAATAGGAACATAAGCAAAGAAGAGGCTTCCAGTTGTGTTAATCAAGAAAGGCTGGCCCGGCGCGGTGGCTCATGCCTGTAATCCCAGCACTTTGGGAGGCTGAGGCGGGCGGATCACCTGAGGTCAGGAGTTCGAGACCAGCCTGGCCAATATGGTGAAACCCCATCTCGACTAAAAATACAAAAAAAATTAGCTAGGCGTGGTGGTACATGCCTGTAGTCCCAGCTACTCAGGAGACTGAGGCAGGAGAATCTGCTTGAACCCAGGAGGTAGAGGCTGCAGTGAGCCAAGATCGTGCCACTGCACTCCACCCTGGGCAACAGAGCAAGACTCTGTCTCAAAAAAAGAAAGAAAGAAAGGCATCTTCAGCCAGGTGCAGTGGCTCACACCTGTAATATAATCCCAGCACTTTGGGAGGCTGAGGTGGGAAGATCGCCTGAGGCCAGGAGTCCCAGACCAGCCTCAGCACCATATTGAGACCCTATCTCCATTTTCAAAAAAGGGATCTTGGAGGGAGTGGTATTTGTTTTTGTTTGTTTGTTTGTTTTGAGACGGAGTCTCGGAGTCTCGCTCTGTTTGTTTTGAGACGGAGTCTCGCTCTGTAACCCCAGGCTGGAGTGCAGTGGCATGATCTCAGCTCACTGCAGCCTCCACTTCCCAGGTTCAAGTGATTGTCCTGCCTCAGCCTCCCGAGTAGCTGGGATTACAGGCACCTGCCACCACGCCTGGCTAATTTTTGTATTTTTAGTAGAGATGGGGTTTCACCATGTTAGCCAGGCTGGTCTTGAACTCCTGACCTCAGGTGATCCGTCCGCCTCGGCCTCCCAAAGTGCTGGGATTACAGGCGTGAGCCACCACACCCGGCCTGGGAGTGGCATTTGAATGGAGCCTTCTCCTAAGCTCTCAACAGTAGCAGGAGTAGAAAGAACACTATACAGAAGCAACACACAAGCAAAGATGGAGAAAAAGGAAAGCTATAATGTTTGTCTAGGGGACAGCTTGATTGAGATTCAAGCTCCATCAAGTAATAGCTGCTTTGATGACTAAATTACTTAATTTTTCCAAATCTAGGCTATAAAGTATCCAATGAAAGTGGCATCTGCAGCAAGGCTACCTGGTTCAAATGCCAGCTTCATCACTTTGTAGTTGTCTTGGGCAATTACTTTCTCACTGTGCCTTCATCACTTTTAAAATGGGAATAATAATTATACATGCCTCACGGGGTTATTATGAAGACTAAATGAGTTTTTCATTTGTAAAGTATGTAGAATAGTGCCTGGTATAAATGTTTTGTTAAATAAACATATGTTTATGCATACACAGCAAACAGTTATATAGATATAGATAGGCATGTATGAATGTAGATACAGAGATACAGCTTTATCACCAAGAACAGTACCTGGTATGTAGAAAATGCTAAACACACTTAAATGTTTCCCTTCCTCCTCCATTGTCTGGAGTCCACAGAGATCTAGAGCACAAGGTCAGACACGTTCCATGCACCCCAACATCAGCCTCCACTCAGTTAAAAGAACACAGGCTGTCCTTCCTCTACTTTCACACTGGAAGCTTTCTCCTTTCTCTTGGGGGCAATAATTCTGCACTTGCTGATACAAGATGCTAGGCTTAGCCAGGCACAGTGTCATGCCTATAATCCCAGCACTTTGGGAGGCCAAGGACATAGCATTGCTTGAACCCAGGAATTTGAAACCAGTCTGGGCAACATAGTGAGATTTCGTCTCTAAAAATAAAAAAAAAATTAAAAATTAAAAATAAAAAAATTAGCGGGTGCAGTGGTACCCGCCTGTAGTCCAAGGTACTTGGGAAGCTGAGGTGGTAGGATATCTTGGGTCCAGGAGTTTGAGGCTGCAGTGAGTTATGATTGTGCCAATGCATTCCAGCCCGGGCAACAGAGCGAGAACTTGTCTCAACAAAACAAAACAAAACAAAACAAAAAGATGCTAGGCTTGAAACCACTAGAGACAGATACAACATGGCCACTAGCTTCAAAACAAAAGAGCACTAATACCACCTTATGTGATATATGCACCTCAAATGGAAAAATAAGCACAGGCTTATTAAGTGCAACCTTCACTTCTATAATTTATTACTATGCAAGCTAATCTAAAATGAGAAACTCTGAATGCAATAAGATTTTGGGGAAAAAGTCAAAGATTAGATTTAAAGCCACAGTAATTCGAAAGTTAGGTTAACAAAAACCTTACTAATCCCAGACTAATTTGGCTTGAACTAGATATATATCTAAACTGAAAATACTTTTAAATGCAGTTTTATTACTTGAATCAACAAATATTAAACTGAGTTTCCTCTGTTTTTAAAAGGAAAGTACTAAGGATAGTTACTGGATTATACTAAAAACAAAAACAAAAAAACCCATTAAAAGTGCTTGAAAATATTCGACTATGTTGAAATAAGTAACATTTTCCTGCAATCTTACAGTATTTATTTGTTTAGAAACCACTTTTTCATAGGTATCACCAAGGTAAACTCCACCCATCACAAACAAAGGCTTATTGTCAATTCTGTATTGGATAGAATGTGAAATAATGAGTTGTGCTAAACTGCTAATCATAAACATCCACTTCTCAGTTTACTCCCTCAGATAATAGGAAAACTATTAAGTATCAAGCAACGAGCTGCTAATTGCCCAAATCTTTTGATACACAGTATAAAATACTAATTTTTGTGATTTCAATCTATATTGTTTCACAATCATTCAAGTCTGTTTCAAAAGCACTTAAGGGTCTTTAGGTAAGGATTACCCTACTTTTAACTTGAAATTTAAGGCTTTCTGAGGAAAAGAGGGCTGTAGGAGTCTTTTAACAGAGCCATATTCCTGGGTTCAGTCAAACTGAACCAATTGCTAGCTTTGAGACAGTAGGCAAGTTATTTAACAGAGTTCTCTCTGCCCATCTGTAAAATGAGGATAAGGATCCATCTACCTTCTAGGAATGTTGCAAAAATGACTCAATGCACATAAAGCACTTACAACAGAGCTTGGCATGGATTTTTGAAAAAAAAATTTTATACATGGATTTTTTAAAAAAAAGAAAATATACATATAATATATATATTTTATATGTAAGCTATATAAAGTAATGATGAAGGAGAATTCCTAGTTAAACCACCTGGCCATGGTAGATAGAAAATCTGTTCTGGGGCTCTGGGGCTTTAGGTCCCCTTGCTACCTATTTCAGGTAGACAGGGAACTTGCAGGGTATGCCTGAAAGGACCCTCAAAATGACAGTGGAGAGCCGCCAGCTTCACTGTGAATAATTTCAAGTCCATTCTCAAGACTCCTGCCTTTTCACTATCAGGTCTCTGAGCATCTATAAGAGGCACTTGAAGGGCAGATGCCCACGTGTGTGGTGGAAGACAATACTTGATACCAATTTTCCAAGAGACGTGGAAATCAAGAATATGTTTTCTAATTTGTAATAGTTTTGCTGTAAATGGGTATGATCTGTTTCCAAACAGATAAACTAAGAAGTGGTCACTTTTGGCCAGGCGCAGTGGCTCACACCTATGATCCCAGCACTTTGGGAGGCCAAGGCAGGCGGATCACGAGGTCAGAAGTTCAACACCAGCCTGGCCAACACAGTGAAACCCCATCTCTATTAAAAATACAAAAATTAGCTGGGCGTGGTAGCGGGTGCCTGTAATCCCAGCTACTCGGGAGGCTGAGGAAGGAGAATCGCTTGAACCTGGGAGGCAAAGGCTGCAGTGAGCCAAGATCGCGCCACTGCACTCCAGCCTAGGTGACAGAGCAAGACTCCATCTCAAAAAAAAAAAAGAAGTGGTCACTGTTAGGGTAAGCAGTTCAAAGTCAAGCTCAAATTAAGAGATAAAATATTTATAAGAGGATCTAGTTGCACTTGGCTATAAGAACCCAGCAGGTGACTACTTCCACAGGTCTCTTGATAAACGTACATGATTGTATCCTTAGGTACTAAGTATTTCATTTAAAAAGTACTAAAAAAATGAGTGTTCGTTTTCAAAGTAGCTGTGATAAGCAAAAAACAAACAAAAAACCCCACCAAAAAAACCATAAAACCAAACCCAGAAGGATCAACAACTCAGCTCTCAGAACTATAATAGCCCAATAATTATAATAATCCAAGAGACCATTCTGAGAAATACCAGAGACCAGTTCCTTCATAATACAGGGGGATGGTTCGCAAAAGAGGAGTGGACAAACAGTACTGGGATAGTCATGGTTGATTGTAGACTGCGAAATAAAAGCCAATTATCCATTTTAGACATTAATGCTTTCATTTTAAGAGTTGGTTTCTTCTTTTTGACATTATATTCTTGCCTCTCCAATTGCCAGGACAGGATTCATTTCCCACTTCTTTGACTCAGATCTGTTTTTTAAAAATGCTCTTTGAAAACAACTGAAAATTATCCTTTTTAGTTTCCCAAACTAAGAACCTTTTATGTAAACCATAAAGAACAGCTCTGGATAGATCCAGATTTCTTTACGGCTTAAAAAAAAAAACTTGAAAAACTCTTTTTTTTTTTTGGAGATGGAGTCTCACTGTGATGCCCAGGCTGGAGTGCAGTGGCGTGATCTCAGCTCACTGTAACCTCTGCTTCCTGGGTTCAAGCGATTCTCCTGCCTCAGCCTCTCGAGTAGCTGGGACTACAGGCGTGCGCTATCACACCCAGCTAATATTTGTATTTTTAGTACAGATGGGGTTTCACCATATTGGCTAGGCTGGTCTCGAACTCCTGACCTCAAGTGATCTGGCCACCTTGGCCTCCCAAAGTGCTGGGAATACAGGCCTGAGCCACCACGTCCAGCCCAAAAAACTCTTTTTCAATAAGATGGATAAAAATGTAAAAGGGCAACATATTTATAAGGTCCAACCAACACTGTGACTTTGAAAAAGAAAATTCTTGCCCTTCTTATTTAAAATTATTAAAGTAATAAGCAGCTAGTTAGACAAAGAGCATTCAAGTTGTTCATACACAGCAGATCAGAACTATGCATTCCCAAATCACAACATCAGATTAGTAGTCACTGTTCTTTGTATCAACTTTAAATACACCATTTCTTCTCATAAGAGTGTTGTGGTGGTCAGTGCTCAGGAAAAATCATTAAGATAAGGAACGAATAACACAAAACACCCCTCAAACAGTATCCAACAGAGTATCTCTGAGATCATTTACTAAAGTAATCTCTCTCAAAACCACTTTTATGCTTAAACTAATCCTAGGCACTGAAAAAACAGGAAGAATAAATCACATTTAACTTGCCATTCTTTAGAATGCTGGACAATTCTGAGATGCATGGAGGAAAAAAAGTATTAAAAATAGCCAAGAGAAGGATTAGACAGCAGCTAAAACACAAAGGCCAGGGGTGAGATCAAAATTAGAAACATATAACGTCTGGAGAACTGTCCATATAAGGGCATCCTCATATCAGTAACTCAGTTGGAACAATCCACTGGGCAGAATTAACAGCTGCCACCATCACAGTGGCTGCCTCTCCACCTCTCATTCAGAAACCGCTGGAGTCTTGGGAGACACATATGACATGACTTTATGCTGTTATATTCAGACAGTCAATGTTTGGGGGTATTTTAAAAGCTGGTCTTAACTTTCCTCGTCCTAGATGATAAACTTCATATATTTTGATCTTGCCTTTTTATACAGGTATGAAAAAGCAATACAAGAGGATAAAACTTTGCTGAGCACTTTTAACCACTCCTATACCACATTGACTTGCATTCCCCAACCCCATAGATTTCCTGACTCCCCTGAGCAGGCGGCTGGTTGTACATTCTCATGTGTTCATTTATCCATCAGGCTCTCAGGGAGCTTCCTAACCTGGTGACAAGTGCTTGAGAAAAGAAATGAATAGGATCTTATCTTGCAAGAGTTCAGTGTGCCCTGGAAGACAGGTATATAAATAATTATAATACAGGTAAATCCTGTAACGGAAGTAAGGGATGAAATTCTCTCTGGGGCTTGGGGGAGATTTTGCGATGGAAATACCCAGGCAGAAAAACAGTGAAAGGCATTCTAGGAAGAGCAATCAGTACAGGCAAAGGCTCAGGGGTAGGAAACCATGTAGCATGTTCTGGGAATAGCAGAAGTATGTGTTCTGAATACAAGTGATGGGATATGAATGGGAGAAGAGGTAGAAGATTAGGTTGCAAAAATACATTGGTGCTAGATTGCTGGGGCCTACAAGCACCATGCTAAGGAGTGGGTCCACTATCCTGTAGCTCTGAGGCTCTCAACTCTGGATACACATTAAAATCTCCTGAGAAGCTTTAAAACAAAATGCTGACGGCCTGTTATTTGTTAGCAATAATAATTGGGTCCAGGCATCAGCAGTTTTTAAAAACTTCCCATGTAGCAATTCTAACCTGTGGGCAAGAACCACTCCTGTGGGCAACAGGGAGTCAACACCACTGCATCAGCTTAGGATAGCAATAGAAAAACATTAAAACAATAGTTAACTGGGTAACAGTGTGAAGAGAAGATTAGAAACAGAGACTAGGGGAGAACTGTCAGTTTATAGGCTACTGGAAACAGGCAAGAGATAAGAGTAATTATTAGCCTTTTTTGGGTTACGGACTTGCATGAATGCCAACGATAAAAGCTAAAAAGCCCTCCCCTGGCTGGGCGCGGTGGCTCATGCCTGTAATCCCGGCACTTTGGGAGGCCGAGGCAGGTGGATCATTTGAGGTCAGGAGTTAGAGACCAGCCTGGCCAACATGGTGAAACCCCATCTCTACTAAAAATACAAAAACTACCCGGACATGGTGGTACGCGCCTGTAATCCCAGCTACTTGGGAGGCTGAGGCAGGAAAATTGCTTGAACTCAGGAGGTAGAGGTTGCAGTGAGCTGAGATCACACCACTGCACTCCAGCCTGGGCAATGGAGTAATACTCTGTTTGAAAAAAAAAAAGAAAAAAAAAAAGCCCTTTTCCTAAGAAACATGCACGTATGTCAAAAAACGTACATGTAATTTCTGGGGCTGATGAAGCTCTGTGAGTGATGGATTCAGCTTAGGGAAGCCTGGTGTAAAGGCAGTGATGGAAAAAGAGAGACTTTGGAGGTAGAATCATAGCACTGATGACTTCAGTGGGGAAAAAAAGAGGAATTAAGGATGACACTATCACTTCTAGTGTGAGAAGTATAAACAATAAACATGTACTGTGCACCTAAGTGTCAGGAACCGTACTAAGCACTTAACATGTATTGATCTCATTGATTTTTCCCAATTCTATAAGACAGATTGATATCACATCTGTTTCACAGCTGAAGAACCTGAGATTTACAGACGTTAAATTAGCTTGTCCAAGGTCACATGGAGATAAGTAGCGGGGCAGGAATTGAATCCCAGACAGTTTTGACTCCGGAGCTTGTGGTATTAACCTCTCCCCATGCTATCTCTGATGAATGGTACTTGTGCATTAAACAGGGGTGACAGGAGAGTATGGCAGGAGTAGGTTTAGCATGAGCAAGGTGGGGTGGGGATATAAAAAATTAGTTTTAGACATGCTGTGTTCAAGATAATACAAGACATACAGATGACAGTATCTGTTAAATCAGAAAAAATAGGAAAGAGATCAAGAGGTGAGAGAAGGTGGTATGGTAACAGAATATAGTATTTCTGAGTTCTCTCCAGGTGCCGGCGCTGTGCTGAGTGCTTACTCACAATGGCAAAAGTCTATCACTATCTTTCTTCTGCAAGTGAGAGAACAGACCTAGGAAACCAGGGTCACACAGCCACTAAGTGCTGAAGCCAGATTTGAATCCACGAGGCTACCTTCCTAACCTCTAACCCACCCCTTCCCCGCACTCTAAAAAGTAGAAATCCCGGGGTCATAAGTGACTGTAACCCCCACCCCAACAGTTCTAAGACTGCTAGTGTGTCTTAGAACAGGGGTCTAAGATACAGGGTTTTTTAAACAAAGTTTTATATAAAAATGTTTGACAATATTTATGTATTTCCACAGCTTCAAGGATTTTTATATTGTTTCAATTATCAAAGAGTCATAAGGGATAGCTTAGTCTCAACCAACAAATATTGGCAGTGCACTTCCACAGGTCGGTATGCAAGCTTGGGTGCAAACCATGGGCATGACACAGCATGACACCAGTGCCACACAGAGCTGCTATGCAAGTCAGAAGCCAGGACAACTAGTCTAGTGGAGACTGTGCTTCCTGAAGCCATAGCGAGGGCAGGAAGTGATGAAATTTCCTTTTTTAATCATTTTTGTAATTTGGAAAACTGTGATTCTTCTCCTCTCTAAAGTAACCAAAATGAAATCTTAAACACTATCCTACAAGTCCAGACTAGTTACTTCAGGTGGAACAGCAGAGTAACTTACGCACTGCAGTTTCAGATAAAAATCGGTTATTTTTCAATTCTCAGCACCTTTGAAATACCTGTACTGACAATCACGTAGCCTTTGAGTCAAAAGCACTCCTTCCATAAAAGTACTTTTAAAGGGAATACAATATTATCCTAGAATTTTTTCCTGTTTTAGAATTAAGGTACCTAAGAGAAGAAATATAAAACTCCAGTTAAGAACTTCTGAAGTCCTGTTTTATAACCTCTGGAGCTCAGACTTGTCCATGGCTTGGCTTGAAGGGTTCCCCAACCTGGGAGGTCATTGCTCTCTAGGGCAGCGCATCCTATTGCTGGAGAGCTCTCACCACCACAAGATTCTGTCTTAGACCAAGTAAAAATCCTTTGCCTTATAATCTCTACTCATTCATTCAGTTACTGAGCACAGAAGAGCTACATACCATCCTCTGGTCTTCCTATTCCCTGATCTATAAGGGCTGCTACCACTTTCCTTTTATACCATCCTTCAGATCCAACAACCAAACTCCTTTAGCAGCAGTTCCTGATATGACTTCCTTTCTCCATCCACCACTAGTCCTGCCTCCCTCGTTTGCCAATGTCTCACCTAAACTGTGGTTCAGAGACTTAAACACAATTCATCAACGGTGCTCTAACTAACCCACAAAACAGGACAACAGACTCGATGTAATCTAGGCACCCATCAGTGCAACCTGAGCTTGCTGTTTTTAGCAGCCACATCACAGAGATGCCTCACATAAGCCTGTGCCTCAATAAACTCTGAGCTACTTTTCATCTCGTGCACTTGAGACCGTCCACCACCCCCCAAGCATTTCTCAACTCCTGCAGATCATTTATCCTTAGTATCTCATGTTGCTGATTTTAGAACATTATTACAACCTATTCAGATCATTCTGAAACTAGAATCTGCTATCTATAGTATTAGTCATCTCTCCTAATTTTATGTGACCTGGAAATTAGATAAACTTACTTTGATCCAGGTCTTTACAGAAAGAGGATACTGTGATTTAAAATGTGCTATTCAGGCTGGGCGAGGTGGCTCATGCCTGTAATCCCAGCACTTTGGGAGGGTGAGGTGGGAGGATCACCTGAACCTGGGAAGTTGAGGCCGCAGTGGGCCGTGTTCGTGCCACTGCACTCCAGCCTGGGCAACTGTAGTGAGATCCTGTCTCAAAAAAAAAAAAACAATAATAAAATAAATAAATAAGTAATAAATAAAAATGTGCTATTGATGGGAACTTAGAGTACCTTACAGGTTTTTTAGGCTTAGTAATATTCTCTAATTGACAATATATTATCAATTTTTAGCCATATCTGCAGCAAGAGCCCCTTTGAAAATCTGATGAAAGCCATAAAATGTACAAGTGTACACAATTTTGCCATCAATACCATGTGGTTCATGGACCTCCATGAAGCCCACCATGGTCCTTCTGTTGAGGAGCCCCATCCTAGGGATTCTAGGGCCTCTGGAAAACATTCTGGTTGCCAGGATTCATTAGTATCCAAATATTCCTAAAATAGTTGATTATCCTATTAATGCCCAACTTAATATCCAGAAGGAGTCAATTAACTGGAAGTCAACTGACACTAACTCATTTATTCTAACAGAGAAGACATCCAGAAACTAAGAAATCTGACCAAAACCAAATCATGGATTATAAGAATACTTTAGGAAAAAAGCACAAGTCCCTAAGGTTGTATGTACAAAAACATTGTTTGTAGTGGCAAACTTTTTTAAAGAATTATTTATTTATTTATTTTTGAGACCGAGTCTTGTTCTGTCACCCAGGCTGGAGCGCAGTGGTGCAATCTCAGCTCACTGCAACCTCCGCCTCCCAGGTTCAAGCGATTCTCCTGCCTCAGCCTCCACAGTAGCTGGGACTACAGGTGCGTGCCACCACGCCCAGCTAATTTTTGGTATTTTTAGTAGAGATGGGGTTTCGCCTTGTTAGCCAGGATGGTCTCGATCTCCTGACCTCATGATCCGCACACCTCAGCCTCCCAAAGTGCTGGGATTACAGGCATGAGCCACCACGCCCAGACAACTTTTTTTAAAGAAAGGAAACATCCTGAATGTCCCTTCAATGTCCATTCACAGGGAAATGGTTGACTATATTATTTTACATAAAGCCATACCAAATGGCTATTCATATTTTATTCATAATGGCTATCAAATTTTATTCACATTTTTGAAACAAGAGTTAAATCTATATCTATTGACCTGGAGGCATATCTATGATATATTGAGGAGGAAAATCCGGCTTCAGAATCATGTTCAGAGTTTGAGCCTATTTAAAAAACAAAAATCTAACAAACCCTATGTCATTATACATGCTTTGGAGTACAGAAACAGGTGGGGAGGAATTCACATCAGGCTATGAACATGGGTGGGACATTAACTCTTGTTTTTTATTCATCCGTGTATACTTTCACTTGTTACAAGTAAATAGTTTTACAAAGTAAAGAATTAAGCTAGAAAAAGAGAAGAATGTGGCCCACAATAGGCCCTGTCAGTACTCAAGATGGCTCAGCCCCACACTCCACACAGGTTTTCTAGATGCTCAATTTCCCAAAAAGTTTCCCACCCATCCCACTTCAAAGTAGATGAAGCCCACTTTCCTTTTTGACTACTCAGTGATTCTGAATTTCTCACTGTTTTGGGTATTTGATTCCACTGCATAAGCACTATTCTGCTGTACATATTAAAGCTGTGACCTGAAGTTTAAATGTGTCCACCATTCACAAGGGTGATTTTCCCCACCCTCAGGAAAATACTAATCTCAGCAGAGCCATAAATAAAAGCTATGTGGAACGCACAGTAGTCTAATGCACAGAGGACAGATGCAGGCACTGTACTCAAACTGTAAGGTGCTGAAATTTGAGCACAGACGCTGTTCCTGTTAGTTCAGTGGTTCTCAGTCTTGGCTTAACAGAAGTATCACCTTGGCAGCATTTTTAAAAAATACTGACCAGGCACGGTGGCTCACGCCTGTAATCCCAGCACTTTGGGAGGCCGAGGCAGACAGATCACGAGGTCAAGGGATTGAGACCATCCTGGCCAACATGGTGAAACCCCGTCTCTACTAAAAATACAAAAATTAGCTGGGCATGGTGGCATGTGCCTGTAGTCCCAGCTACTCGGGAAGCTGAGGCAGGAGAATCGCTTGAACCCGGGAGGCAGAGGTTGCAGTGAGCCAAGATCGCACCACTGCACTCCAGCCTGGGCGACAGAGCGAGACTCCATCTTAAAAAAAAAAAAAAAATTACAACCAACACCTGGGCGCCACTTTCGGAGATTTTAATTGAATTGGCCCAGCATAGACACTTGCTTTGTTTTTAAAGCTACCTAGATATTT
This sequence comes from Homo sapiens, assembly GCF_000001405.40. Classification (NCBI taxonomy): domain Eukaryota; kingdom Metazoa; phylum Chordata; class Mammalia; order Primates; family Hominidae; genus Homo; species Homo sapiens. The sequence goes on from NC_000008.11 coordinate 42,519,553, forward strand.
TGAATATGCAGTTGGGGTCAAGAACTACTGCTTTTTATATTTCACTCTTTTCCTTCTCTTTTTCTAACTTCTTACAAAGAGCACTTCCTTTATCAGGTATGTAAAGGCTAGCCAGATACATCTGGGAAGGCCAAAACCTATGGACCAGCCCCTGCCTGTCTCCCATCCATAACCTGGAATGTCTTTATGTTGGCTTTTGATGCCCAACTTAAAGTGACTTAAATTTATGGCTGTCATAGTTAGAAGCCCCTCACATGTCAAAAGAATATTTGTAGCCTCACTCTGATAATTTATCATGTATAATTAGCCTGGAAGACAATGATTTTATAAAACATATTAGGACCCCAAACATTTTGGAAAACAAAAGTGCCAGTGGTGCTCTACCAATCAGTTGAAATGTTGCCGGACATTAGTCAATTAATGAGTTTCCCAATTTCCCAACTCTTTATGCTAATCTTTTTTTTTTTTTTTTTTTTTTTAAGACAGAGCCTCACTCTGTTGCCTAGGCTGGAGTGTAGTGACATGATCTCGGCTCACTACAACCTCCATCTCCCGGGTTCAAGCAATTCTCCTGCCTCAGCCTCCCAAGCAGCTGGGATTACAGGCACCCACCATCACACCTAGTTAATTTTTGTATTTTTAGTAGAAACGGGGTTTCACCATGTTGGCCAGGCTGGTCTCAAACTCCTGACCTCAAGTGATCCGCCCGCCTCAGCCTCCCAAAGTGCTGGGATTACAGGCATGAGCCACCGCGCCCAGCCTCTTTATGCCCATCTTTATAAGTATTTTAAAAATTCTTCATGTCCACCCAGGAACACCAAAAAAATAAATAAGTAAAAATTAACCTCTACCACATTACAAAGAATTGATATTTTAAAAGCCCGTTACTTGAGGCTGGGGGCGGTGGCTTACGCCTGTAATCCCAGCACTTTGGGAGGCCGAGGTGGGCGGATCATGGGGTCAGGAGATTGAGACCATCCTGGCTAACACAGTGAAACCCCATCTCCACTGAAAATGTAAAAAATTAGCCGGGCGTGGTGGCGGGTGCCTGTAGTCCCAGCTACTCGGGAGGCTGAGGCAGGAGAAGGGCGTGAACCCGGGAGGCGGAGCTTGCAGTGAGCTGAGATCATGCCACTGCACTCCAGCCTGGGTGACAGAGCAAGACTCCACCTCAAAACAAAAAAACAAAAAACAAACCAAAAAAAAAAACCCCATTACTTGAAATATTTTCCCCATCCAAATGTACTGTCTGAGAACGGTAATTATTCCCCACAAGAAAAAGCTCAATAAAACATTAAAAGGGATTCATTAAGAAAAGAAAATAATATTTGAGTACGTGTTGTCTTACAGTATACATAAGACAGGGTTCTATATGTTGGACTCAGCTGCAAATTATACAGAAAGATATTTTAAAACAAGGTGCAATGTATATTATTTATAATGGTTGCCATTAAGAAATGACTGTTTATAAGTGCTGACTGCATTAGCATGTATATTCAAAAAAGCCTAATGTTCCATTTAAAAAAAATTTGATCTAGCAATCACACTCTTCAGCATTTTTCCCACAGAAATGAAAACTTAGGTCCACAGAAAAACCCGTACACAAATGTTCATAGCAACACTATTTGTAAAAACAAAATAACCCAAATGTCCTTCAATGGACAAATGGCTAGGCTGTGGTATACCTGCATCATGGAATACTACTCAGCAGTAAAAAGTAACAAACTGCTGATACTCAGGACTCAATGCATACTCAATACTCAATGGATCTCAAGGGCATTATGCTGAGTGAAAAAAGCCAATCTCAAAAGGTTACAGATTGCATGATTCCATTTATATAGTATTCTCAAAATGAGATCAGATTAGTGGCTACCAGCAGTTAGGGGCTTGCTATAAAGGGGTAGCAAAGGGAAAGCCTTGGGGTGATGAATCGATCCTGTATTTTTTTTCTTCTTGAGACAGGGTCTCCCTCTGCTGCCCAGGCTACAGTACAATGGCACCATCATCGCTCACTGCAGCCTCAACCTCCTGGGCTCAAGTGATGCTCCCACCTCAGCCTCCTGAGTAGCTGGGACTACAGATGCATGCCATCACACCTGGCTGATTTTTGTACTTTTTGTAGAGATGGGGTTTTGCCATGTTGCCCAGACTGGTCTCAAACTCCTGGGCTCAAGCGATCCTCCTGCCTCAGCCTCCCAAAAGGCTGGGATTACAGGTGTGAACCACTATGCCCAGCCAATTCTGTATCTTGATTGTGGTAGTGGTAACACAAATCTACACGTGATCAAATTGTACAGAACTATGGACACGCTTCACCAATGAGTGCATGTAAAACAGGGAAATCTGGGAATAAGCTCTGTGGGTGACTCAGATTTATGGCAATTTTCTGGGTTTTTGGGGAAAACTGAGTAGAGGGTAAACAGGACCTCTCCGTACTACTTTTTTAACTTCCTGTGAGTCTGTAATCATTTAAAAACAAAAAGTTTTTTAAAAGTTTGTGAAGAGGGTTGCCCATTTAGGAGACATAAACCATTTTTCCTAACCTAAGTGAAGGTACAAGCACGTAAAGGGGAAAGATGCAAATGGATGGCTAGAGAGGAGAAGACTGCCAGAATAATAGTGAGCAAGCAGTTATCACGTCCCAGGTACTAGAGCCTATCTCATTTAACTCAACAGACAATCCAATGAGGTGGCTGCTGATAAATATCCTTACTTTTCAGATGAGGACACCGAAGGATGGAGAAGACAAGAAATTCATTCAACTTCAGCTGGTAAATAGCCAAGGTGTCAAAGTTAAGAAAAGTAATACAATTTCAAAGCAAAAAGGGTTAAGAAAAAGCACTACTGGCCAGGCATGGTGGCTCACGCCTGTAATCCTACCACTTTGGGGGGCCGAGGCGGGTGGATCACCTTAGGTCAGGAGTTCAAGACCAGCCTGGCCAACATGGTGAAACCCTGTCTCCACTAAAAATACAAAAACCAGCTGAGTGTGGCAGCAGGTGCCTGTAATCCCAGCTACTTGGGAGGCTGAGGCAGGAGAATCACTTGAACCCGGGAGGCGGAGGTTGCAGTGAGCTGAGATCGTGCCACTGCACTCCAGCCTGGGCGACAGAGCAGGACTCCATCTCAAAAAAAAAGGTATTATTGTAGCAAAAAGGTTTCTTTTCTCTTCTTTAGAGACTTGTTCTGTCACCCAGGTTGGAGTGTGGTGGTGCGAGCATGGCTCACTACACCCTTGAATTCCTGGGCCCAGGCGAGCCTCCTGCCTCAACCTCCTGAGTAGCTAAGACTATAGGTATGCATCACCACACCTGGCTAATAATAATAAAAAAAAAAAATCTGTAGAGATGGCGGGGTGGGGGGGGTCTCTCTGTGTTGCCCAGGTTAGTCTTGAACTCCTGGCCTCAAGCAATTCTCCCACTTTGGCCTCCCAAAGTGCTGGGATTGCGGGTATGCACCACTGCTCCCAGCAAAAAGGGGTTTTAAAAGTAGCTTAGAGGCCAGGTGTGGTGGCTCATGCCTGCAATCCCAGCACTTTGAGAGGCCGAGGCGGGCAGATCACGAGGTCAGGAGTTCGAGACCAGCCTGGCCAATATGGTGAAACCCCGTCTCTACTAAAAATACAAAATTAGCTGGGCATGGTGGCACATGCCTGTAGTCCCAGCTACTACGGAGGTTGAGGCAGGAGAATCGCTTGAACCTGGGAGGTGGAGGATGCGGTGAGCCGAGATTGTGCCATTGCACTCCAGCCTGGGCAACAACAGCGAAACTCTGTCTCAAAAAACTAAATAAATAAATAAAATAAATAAATAAATAAATTGCATATTTTAACAGTATGTGAACAAACAGAGGCTATTATAGCATAAATTCAATGCAAGTAAATGGGTATTTAAAAGGAAATTTGCTGTTCTGGTTATAAAGTTTTTGAGACAGGGCTAGTATCTCACTTAATTTTAAAGATCAAGTGAAACCCCAAGAAAAGACAATATTTAAAACATCAAGAGTATTAATCATCCTTTTAAGTCATCAACAGTCAAGTAATCCACTTAATGTGCTGCTTGAAGAAAATAGAATAAGCACTGTCCATTCTGCCTTTAGGTTCATCTCTGATATCAGGGGTATTCTTTCCTCTGAAGTCATCTTCTTAAAAACAAATGCAAAATCAACATGTTGGTTTTCTTAGAAGCTTTGTAAAGTCCCAATGCAGGAAATTACACGTAAGAATGTTACTTGACCTTCAGAAATCCCTCACAGAAGATCTGAGTGGAACAGCTCCACCACCACATTCCCATCCGTGGCTTCGGCTAGTGGCGAAATCTGAAAAATAATTCTTCTTGTGATATGTCCTTGGAATTTCTTCCTCACGTACAAAGCTTAAGAGTTAATTAAGGTAAAAAAGCAACAATATATAGTTAGAGATCGGCCATACAGTCATTATCAATCTTTCGGCCTCGAAGAACTCAAATAGGAGATTATTTCTTCCAACTAAGACCCTCAGACAGCAGATTTTGATAAAAGCTGTAACCCAGGCCATTCTGCTGGTGGACAGAATCTCTCCCTAATTGCTGGGAGAGTATACCAAGGAACTGTATTTTCACTAAAGCCACATTTTAATTCATGATAAACACAACTTCTGGAAATTTTTACAACTAAATATTCTTAAATAGAAAGGCTTTTAAGATATGAAAATGGTATTATGGTTATGCTTTGAAAAAAGTTTTTTCCTTTTGAATATACTGAAATATTTATAGTGATTTAATATGTGGGATTTACTTCAAAATAACATGGTGGTGGGGGGAGTGGGTAGAAGTTTTAACACGATTGGCCACAAATTTATAAAGCTGGGTGGTGGGGACATGATTAATTACACTATTTTGTCTTCTTTAAGCTTAAAAATTTCCAACATAAAAAATTGTGCATATCCTTGCATGAGATATAAAATATACCCATGCAGGCTGGGCGCTGTGGCTCACCCCTGTAATCCCAGCATTTTAGGAGGCCGAGTCGGGCAGATCACAAGGTCAGGAGTTCGAGACCAGCCTTGCCAACATGGTGAAACCCTGTCTCTACTAAAAACACAAAAATGAGCCAGTTGTGGTGGCGAGCGCCTGTAATCCCAGCTACTTGGGAGGCTGAGGCAGGAGAATCGCTTGAACCCGGGAGGCAGAGGTTACAGTGAGCCAAGACTGTGCCATTGCACTCCAGCTTAAGCAACAAGAGCAAAACTCCATCTCAAATAAATAAATAAATAAATAAATAAAAATAAAAATAAAATATACCCATGTAACAAGAAATTCTGAGACTGAGGCAGAAATCCAGATTCTTAAATGCTTTTGCTACTGCATAATCCCAGGCAAATCATCTCACCTAATAAAAAGTTTCCTATTTCTAAAATCCACTGCTAAAGCATGATGATTTCTAAGGTTGCTTCCAGGTCTAATATTTTTACTCTGAGAATGCTGTTTTGTTTTTTTCTGAATTGAGTTTTAGTTCATCTTTTGTTAGCTGTCTACAGTAGCTGACTCTATATTGAAAAGGCACAGGTGTCTCAGACAAGTGTGATCTCAAAGCAGCTCTTTAGGACTGCTGGTGCCACACCCACCATCATCCCTCACTAAAGGAAATACAGAAAAAGGAAGGGAGGCAACTCTGGTGACAGATACACCTCTATTTTTCGTGAGAATGCTCACGCCTCTGAAATCTGCTTACGTATTATTAAGAGTCACATATCACATGAAATGTAAAATGGCTGGGCACGGTGGCTCACCCCTGTAATCCCAGCACTTTGGGAGACCGAGGTGGGTGGATCACTTGAGGTTGGGAGTTTGAGACCAGCCTGACCAACATGGTGAAACCCCGTCTGTACCACAAATACAAAAATTAGCTGGGCATGGTGGAGAGCACCTGTAATCCCAGCTACTCAAGAGGCTGAGGCAGGAGAATTGCTCACACCTGGGAGGTGGAGGTTGCGATGAGCTGAGATCGCACCACTGCACTCCAGCCTGGGCAACAGAGCAAGACTCTGTCTCAAAAAAAAAAAAAAAAAAAAAAAAGAAAGTAAAATGGGCAGACCTTTCTGAATACATGATCGACAATTTTCATAAATGTCTTCTGAAGACTGCTTATCACAGTATTGTTTACAACTGATTTGATACCTCAATTGCCATCAATAAGGGATTGGTTAAATTATAGTAGAGTACATTCTTACAATGGAATACCATGCAGATATTTAAAAAATTAAGATATAAACCCACGATGATAGGGATATGGCAAGGGGGCACAGGAACCAACTGAAATAGCTCCCAACGACAAAAGCTAGAACAATCTGAGCAATAAATAAAGTAGCATTGGATTATAACCCAGGGTATATTCATGAGTATATACAGATATAAATGTTGAATAAAGAAATGGAGGAGATAGATACAGCTCCTGTACAGAACTCCAAATCATCTACATAGATATTCTGCCCTCAAGGAGGTAGGCATAACTTCCCACTCCTGAAGCGTGGGCTGCCTTCCCAAGAGGGAAGCACAGAAACAGGTAAGAAGGAGGAACTCTGCAGTGGTGAAGCTGGGCAAACACGACCCCAGCAGAGTGACTAAGGTCAACATCAACACTGATGAGTCATGTTGACTGTATATACCTCTGAAATGATGTGATGAAAATGGCCTGCTGCCTCTGTGATCTCCCTCCCTGAAACTCCTAACCCCAGCATAACCATGAGAAAAACAACAGACGAATCTCAACTGAGCAACATTCTACAAAATATCTGACTGGTGAACTGAAAACTGTCAAGGTCATTTAAAAAAAAAAAAAGAAGTCTTAGAAACATCACAGCCGGCTGGGTGTGGTGGCTCACGCCTGTAATCCCAGGACTTTGGGAGGCCAAGGTGGGCGGATCACTAGGTCAGGAGATCGAGACCCTCCTGGCTAACACAGTGAAACCCCGTCTCTACTAAAAATACAAAAAATTAGCTGGGTGTGGTGGTGGGCACCTGTAGTCTCAGCTACTCGGGAGGCTGAGCCAGGAGAATGGCGTGAACCCAGGAGGCAGAGGTTGCAGTGAGCCGAGATCGCGCCACTGCACCCCAGCCTGGGCGACAGAGAGAGACTCTGTCTCAAAAAAAAAAAAAGAAACTGTCACAGCCAATGACTGAAATCTGAATAAAGTATGAAATTTTGGTAATAATAATAATAATGTATTGATATTGGTTCATTAATTTTAGCAAATGTATGACATGAATGTAAAATGTTAATAGGAGAAACTGGCAACAGGTGCACTGGCTTCCACCTGTAGTCTCAGCACTTTGAGGGGTCACGGTGGGTGGATCACTTAAGTCCAGGAGTTTGAGAACTGCCTGAGCAACATAGCAGGACCCCGCCTTTACAAAAAAATAGAAAAATTTGCCATGCATGGTGGCGTGCGCCTATAGTACCAGCTACTTGGGAGGCTGAGGTGGAAGGACTGCTTGAGCCTGAGAATCGAGGCTGCAGTGAGCTGAGTTCGTACCACTGCACTCCAGCCTGAGTAACAGAGTAAGAGCCTGTCTCAAAAAAAAAAAAAAAAAGTGGGCCGGGTGTGGTGGCTCGCGCCTGTAACCCCAGCACTTTGGGAGGCGGAGGCGGGCAGATCACCAGGTCAGGAGTGCGAGACCAGGCTTACCAACATGGTGAAACCCCGTCTCTACTAAAAATACAAAAATTAGCCGGGTGTGGTGGGGTATGCCTGTAATCTCAGCTACTGGGGAGGCTGAGCTTGCGGTGAGCCAAGATCGCACCATTGCACTCCAGCCTGGGCGACAGAGCAAGCCTCCATTTCAAAATTAAGGAAAAAAAAAAAAGAAACTAGATGTGGAGTATACAGGAGCTCTATTAATCTTTGCAACTTTTCTATAAATCTAAAACTTTTCTTAAAAACAGTTCATTTTTAAAAATGGGGAAAAGGCCGGATGCAGTGGCTCACACCTGTAACCCTAGCACTTTGGGGGGCTGAGGAGGGCGGATCACCTGAGGTTGGGAGTTCAAGACCAACATGGAGAAACCCCATATCTACTAAAAATACAAAATTAGCCAGGCGTGGTGGCGCATGCCTGTAGTCCCAGCTACTCGGGAGGCTGAAACAGGAGAATCGCTTAAACCCAGGAGGTGGAGGCTGCGGTGAGCCGAGATCGCGCCACTGCACTCCAGCTTGGGCAACAAGAGCGAAACTCCGTCTCAAAAAAAATAAATAAATAAAGGAAAAAATTTTGAATGAAGATATAAATGTATAATGACATAGAATAATGGCCAAAATATAATAAATGAAATTAGAATTAAAAACAACATGCCTATTATAAATCTATTTGTATTTTAAAAACATGTGTATGTGTCTATACACCAAAAAGTCAGCGAAACTATACATCAAAATGTTAACCTCTGGGTGGTAGAACTACTAGTCATTTTCACTGCTCTCTTCTTTATACCTTTCTGTATTACCTGATTTTCTATTACCACTAAGCACTGATTGCTCTTAACACTGAACCTCATTACTTCTACAACCAGGAACAAAGATATGTTATTTTGGAAAAGGTGTATACCACAGGATATTGATAGAGTACTCCTTAGCTCAAAAGAATGTGCATTTATATGACAGGGCGCGGTGGCTCACACCTGTAATCCCAGAACTTTGGGAGGCCGAGGCAGGCAGATCACGAGGTCAGGAGATCGAGACCATCCTGGCTAACACGGTGAAACCCCGTCTCTACTAAAAGTACAAAAAAGTTAGCCGGGCGTAGTGGTGGGCACCTTTAGTCCCAGCTACGCAGGAGGCTGAGGCAGGACAATGGCGTGAACCCGGGAAGGAGAACTTGCATTGAGCAGAGATAATGCCACTGCACTCCAGCCTGGGCGACAAAGCGAGACTCCATCTCAAAAAAAAAAAGAAAAGAAAAAAGAATATGCATTTATAAAACAGCCAAATTTTACTTTTTCAAGGGGAAATATTTGAAAAGGCAGTACAGAAAAGTGGTTGAAAGCACAGGATTTAATCAGACTTAGATTAAAATCCTGGCTTAATCATTTACTTTCTGCACGATCTTGGGTAATTCCATCATATCCTGCCTCAATGTCCTATTTTATTTTTTTAATTTTTTTTGAGATGGAGTTTCGCTCATTGCCCAGGCTGGAGTGCAGTGGTGCGATCTTGGCTTACCATAACCTCTGCCTCCTGGGTTCAAGCGATTCTCCTGCCTCAGCCTCCCGAGTAGCCAGGATTATAGGCATGCGCCACCATGCCCGACTAATTTTTGTATTTTTAGTAGAAACGGGGTTTCTCCATGTTGGTCAGGCTGGTCTCGAACTCCTGATCTCGGGTGATCCCCCCGCCTCAGCCTCCCAAAGTGCTGGGATTACAGGCATGAGCCACCGAGCCCGGCCTATTATTATTATTATTATTATTTTTTGAGACAGGGTCTTACCCTGTCACACAGGCTGGAGTGCAGTGGCGTGATCGTACCTCACCATAACCTCAAACTCTTTGGCTCAAGCAATCCTTCCACTTCACTTTCCCAAGTAGATGGGACTACAGGCACATGCCACCACACCCAGCTAATTTTTTTCAAAGAGATGGAGTCTTGCTATGTTAACTAGGCTGCTCTTGAACTCCAAGGCTCAAGTGATCCTCCTGCCTTGGCCTCTCAAAGCACTGTAATTACATGTGTGAGCTACCTCACCTGGCCCATTTCCTCATTTTTTTAAATGTAATAAATAAGAAATTTTAAAATTAAAAGAATTTTGAAAAAAATAAAATGTAATACAACCAATCTGGAGGACTACCCCAACATCTATTTATTTACTTATAATCACATATTCTATGAGTATATTACAGAAAATATGTTTTATCACATCATTTTATTAGAAAATTACATAATAGCAATGGGTTAATGTATGTCAAGAACCTACTGAGGCTCCATAATGGAAACTGTTACTATTAATAGCATAGTAAATAGCCAAGAAAAACTAAACACTGTCAGGAAAAGCTCAGTTTCTCAAAAAACATAATAGGGAACCATGAAAGACAAAACCAGTACCTCAGCTCATCCTACATCTCAGCAATGCCTCAGACATTTCTGCTAACAAGACATACATTATGAAGATTACACATGCTCTTGTTCACATGCCCACAGGACTACTGAGAATCTTCCAGAGAACACAAATGAAAGCCACTTTTCTAATCATCACCAGCTTAAACTAAGCTTTGGATATTAATGCACCAAGTCTCCCTGTCTATGGGAATGCAGTTTTCCTCTCTCTGAATCGATACAAAATAATACTAATCATAAAATATACACTAAACTTATTTAAACCTTTTGATTATAAGTGAAATAACTTTTAAAAAAGAAACTTTAGATACAGTATATATTTTGATCTTTATCAAAATCCTGGGCTGGCAGTTCTATCCAAATACCAACATTTTAAAATTACCCCAGCTACAATCCTCATAACGCACAAAATCACAATCTGATGGACAAGTTTAATCATGCAATGAGTATGTGATTTTTTTTTTCCAAGCCAAACAACCTGGGTCAAAAGAATGAATTTTTTCAGGTGAAAAATTTACCCAACCTAATTTATCAGATGGTATACAGGCCAGAGACCCATATTTTAAAGAGCTGATAATTTAGGAAGATAATAAACCATAAACAAAATTCAAATCACTGTGCCATATTTTTTCTACATTAGAAATGCAGGAAGTTAATTTAAACAGCAACTTTTAAAAAAGCAAAAAAGTTAACTTTGTCCAAGTCTCCAAAACAGATATTATTCAGGAAATATACTCAGGTTGGTATTAAATATATATAACCCAGTGTTGGGATTACAACTATAAAAAGACTTAGTAATATTCTAACATACTCCAAAACTTCTGTATCCATAAATTTTACTCAAATCTTCCCAAAAGTAGTCATTGCGAAGACCTACTCCAATAATGTTGACATGCTTCTTCTTGAACAGGCTTCAGAAACCTGTGGCACATTTTGGTCAAATATGCTCAACTGTTGCAAATTTTGAGAATGGATTTATGGAAGACACAAAAGTCACTAAAAAAGACATCTGGTAAACTGATCAGGCTAAATAAACTTCTTTTAACTAAAAAAAGGGTGAGGTGACTAACTATAAATATGGTTAGTATTTTGGGTTTTGTTTTTGAGACAGTCTTACTCTGTCACCCAGGCTGGAGTGCAGTGGCATGATCTCAGCTCACTGCAACCTCCACCTCCCGGGTTCAAGGGATTCTCCTGCTTCAGCCTCCCCAGTAGCTGGGATTACAGATGCCCGCCACCACGCCTTGCTAATTTTCTTTGTATTTTTTAGTAGAGATGAGGTTTTACCATGTTGGCCAGGCTGGTCTCGAACTCCTGACCTCAAGTGATCTGCCCGCCTCGGCCTCCCAAAGTGCTGGGATTACAGGGGTGAGTCACTGAGCCCAGCCAGACTCTCCCTATTAATCAGTTCTCCTGTAATAGCTGCTACACACATATATTTTAGCATCTGCCACACTGTACTGCTATCATTCACGTATTAATATTCCCTATTCAACTGTGAGCCTCCAGAGAGAAAGGACCATACCTTATTCATCTCTATAGTTCCAGAACACAGGCTGGACCTAGCACATCTACATAAGTTCCTTGTTAGTAGCCTAATTGTGGCTTTGCGGCCATTCTTTACTAACTGCTCAGGGATGGTGAATATTACAGGACCATTAATGGACTCTTAGCCATTCTTTTAGCTCTAAGATACCCAAACAACCACCCTCACAATTAAGGCAGGCTCAGCAGAAAGAATCTTCAATACAATCAACCCCTCTTTGTAGGGCTGTTCTTATATCTTAAACACCATGAATGTGATATATAAGGGTTTTTAAGTTGAAAAACTGCACTCACATCAGTCTACCTCCAGCAGTTCACATATATTATAATAATTAAATGACAGGACAGCACCATATTCATAGAATATAGAAGAATAAAGGAAAAATATGAGACAATGTGAGTCAACAGCATAATACAAAGTTTTGCCAAAAGCTCCATTTTCACAATGCTACAACTACAGGGTCCAGAGGGGTAAGACCACACAATTTATGAGCTTTCCCACACAAGAAACGAAAAGGGTTGGTTGTTAATGGCATTCTGACACTATTACAGTATAATTACAAAATGACACAGGTTAATATTTAAGGAGACATTAAGCCTCTCAAAAATAAAATGAGTATTTACAAGATTAAGTCTCTGCTTTTTTTTTTTTTTTTCTTTTTGAGACAGAGTCTCGCTGTCACCCAGGCTGGAGTGCAGTGGCGCGATCTCAGCTCACTGCAACCTCGGCCTCCCGGGTTCAAGAAATTCTCCTGCCCCAGCCTCCCGAGTAGCTGGGACTACAGGTGCCTGCCACCACGCCTGGCTAATTTTTTTTTTTTTTTGTATTTTTAGTAGAGACGGGGTTTCACCATGTTGGCCAGGATGGTTTCAATCTCCTGACCTTGTGATCCACCCAACTCAGCCTCCCAAAGTGCTGGTATTACAGGTGTGAGCCACTGTGCCTGGCCAGTCTCTGTCTGCTTTGTTAACTACTGAAGGTCTTAAAACTTAAAGGAGAATGTAAACTACAAATGACCCAATACTAAAGCTAGTTAACGGAAGTACTGATACTTTTTATTCTTTTCAGGGACCGTTTATCTAAAAAATGTTAAGGCTTATGCTTTCAGATCTCAGTCCAATTTCTAGAAATTAACAATGAGTCCTTTTATAGCACTTACCTTTCTCTTCCTGCCTTCCCCACCTCCACCCCAAACTTGCTTTGGGTGTTCTTTAATCTTTCAAGGGAGTGATAAATGTCACAAACTCTTAAATAAAGGGCTGAAATGGCAGCGTATGACTGTTTTGACTGTCTTTAAAGTAGTATTAGTCTTCTAGAATACTAATCTAATTCTTAGAAACAGAAAACAGAGGAAGCTCAATGTTCGAAGGGAAGTTAATAATAATTGATTCATCCTGGCTACCCAGGAAATGCACAGTAAGGATGTGTGTTCTATGTAAAGGCAGACAACAAATCCATCTAGTAATACCTATTAATAGAAAAAGAGCTCAAGGACCAAGTGCACAAGGACTAACAAGCACAGGAAGAAAACAAAATAAATGTGGAGACGAGAAGGAACCAGAGCTAGATAAGACACACGGGAGACCAAGGCGGTGGAGAAGAACAAAGCAGGACTGACCGGGCTGAGTGGAACGTAAGTGGACCACAGGCGAGGGTGAAGTGGCAGGTGCGCAGGCGGGAGGGCTAACAGCAGCAAAAGACGAGGTGGCCCAGAGGAAGGCACACCCAAGTCCACAGAGGACGGAAAGACTAGGCTGAATCATGGAGAAGGGAGGGAGTAGGCAAAATACAAGAAACTAAATAAGAAATTCTGGACCGAAGAGGAAAAATATAAAAGTGGGACCAAGTGATAAACAGGGCAGAAGGAAGCTAAAAGAATGATGCAGAACAGGCCTATCAGGGAAAGAAACACTATTTTCAAAATGATGTATGGAATTTTGCTTCATTAAATTAAAAATATGTTCCTTTGTTTATATTTCTTCCTGCTGGTTAAGACTTCATTCATAAAAGCAAAAATTGTCCTCAATTTACAGAAGAAAAAATTGTTGATGAGGTTAACTGACTTAGCCATAACAGCTGAAAACAATGACATGCACTTACGGCAAGTGCTCTTCGTTCTAATCAACAAACTACTTATTAAAAAAATGTGCCTATTGGGCCAGGTGCAGTGGCTCACACCTGTAATCCCAGCACTTTGGGAGGCCCAGGCAGGCGCATCACTTGAGGCCAGGAGTTCAAGACCAGCCTGGCCAACATGGTGAAACCCCGTCTCTACTAAAAATACAAAAATTAGCTGGGCTTAGTGGCGCATGCCTGTGATCCCAGCTACTCGGGAGGCTGAAGCACGAGAACTGCTTGAGCCCAGGAGGTGGAGGTTACAGAGTAGGTTTATATTTACCGAGATTGCGTCGTCATCACACTCCAACCTGGGCAACAAACTGTCCATGCACATTAATGGCCTTAATGATCAACTGTTCTTTTTTTTTTTTTTTTTTTTTTGAGACGGGAGTCTTACTCTGTCGCCCAGGCTGGAGTGCAGTGGCGTGATCTCAGCTCCCTGCAACCTCCACCTCCCAGGTTCAAGCGATTCTCCTGCCTCAGCCTCCTGACTAGCTGGATTACAGGCGTGCACCACCATGCCCGGCTAATTTTTGTATTTCTAGTGGAGACGGGGGTTTCACTATGTTGGTCAGGCTGGTCTCGAACTCCTGACCTCGTGATCTGCCCACCTCGGCCTCTCACGCCACCATGCCCGGCCCTGTTCGTTACTTACAAAAACTTCTCCCTCTCTTTGTGCTTACTAGCATTTGAAGAAATCCCTGCTTCTTACTGCCTGCCCCTCAAAACAACAAAAGGGGCCAGGTATGGTGGCTCATGCCTGTAATCCCAACACTTTGGGGAGGCTGAGGTGGGTGGATCACCTGAGGTTGCGAGTTCAAGACCAGCCTGGCCAATATGGTGAAACCTGTTCTCTACTAAAAATCCCAGCTACTCGGGAGCCCAAGGCACGAGAATTACTTGTACCTGGGAGGCAGCGGTTGCAGTTAGCCGCGATCGCATCATCGCACTCCAACCAGTCTGGGCGACAGAATGAGACTCTGTCTCAAAAAAAATAAATAAAAAGGAAAGAAGAGGTAACACTGACATCGATATTGCTAAAAAAGAAGCTTAATGCAAGTTTAACACAATGGTTAAGAGACCTCATACATTTTCTATACATTTCTACTACCCATGTTTTTCTGGTTTCCTAGAAAACTGAAAATAGAACATAGAGATTACCCTTCATTTCCACCTAGAATATGAGAACAACAAAACACTGAACAAGAACATATGAATAGTAAAGAGTAATGCTGGAAAGAACAGAAATTGTTCTATTCTTGATCCTAGAAAATAACCTAGGGTAGAATGCAACTATACCAAAGATCTATTTGCGAGGATTTAATTTTTAAACTGAAAAAATATGGTAATCAGATCTTCAGTGCCAAAAATTATTTTTAAAAACGTAGGCATATACAGAGGCTGGGAGTAGATAAAGGTGAAATTAAAGTCATAAGAGTATGAACAAGAAGCAGCACATCACTATGAAAAAGCAATTCAGCACACGACACCCTTTAGGAATTATTCAATGAAAGCCAATTTCTGGGGACCAACATCCCAGTGAACTGTTCCTATTTGTTCTCCCACTGTTGTTACCTCCTATTTCTCTGTCCATACAGAGTAAAACTCTGAGCCTAAGTAAATTACTAGCCATTGCAGTAGTGGAAAATAACTTAATATTATACACAAAAGCGGATGGGTTAACAAAGATAATGTAAGAAACAACTAAAAAAAATGTGCTGGAGTCCTGTCACTCATATTTTCAGAACTTTCTTCTTCAGCTGCTCAAAAATCCTCGATGGAATTGAAGGTGCTTCTAGAATATGCCTTTTCTTTGGTTTTTGACTATTCTTCCGTGAATATCTTCATGAGTCATTTGGCCAGGCAGTCCACTCACAGGCATCTGACACATTATTATTTAGTCCTGGAAATGGTTGCCGCGCCACAGGCTTTAGGAGGCTTCCTGTGGGAATAAGCCTGATGTACTGGTCTCTGCTGCAGACATGCTGAAACTAGGTTTATCTCTCACATTCAAAGATGGCATTGTTTCCAAGGAGATGCCTTTAAAAAAGAAAAGTTGAAAATCAACTAGATTAAAAAAAAAAACTAATAATGCAGTGCAAATTTTCATACAATATTGTATTTCAGCTAAGACTGAAAAATAATTCTAATAAGAAATTTTAATGTTTCACTTCAGTTTTAAGTATACAATATTTTCAAAAAAACTTAAAAGGGCATCACAGGGTATACAGTAAAAGAACCGCAAATAATTGAAAAGCATGGTTTACACTCCGCTGTAAGATGAACTACTGAATTGATGACTTGGTAAACTTCTTCCAGCCATAGGATTCTGAAACTGTATTATCTGGTGACTAAATCTTGGTACCACTGAACCAAATCTAGGCAAGTCATTTGTTTGCCCAGGTTTTCTTAAATATAAAATACAGGGCTGGTTCTTCTTACTGGAGAAAAGGCACCAGAATCACTTAAGGATGGTTTAATACTGATGTCCGGGGCCTGTGGCAGCAGCTCTACCAAATTTGCGTCTCAGGAGTTAAGTGAAGACATCTGCTACTTTCAGGATAAACCCTGGGTCATTCTGCTGTACATTCCTAGTTAAAGAATAGATCACGTCCAGAATCCAGCTCTCCAACCCTAAAATTCATAACATGGGACTGGTAGAGATTTCATTAAATTATCCTAGCTTCGTAGGCTGAAAATAAATTAATCAGTGTATCATTCTCTCTTTCCCTAAAAGTTTCCCATTCAGGGAAGAGTCTGAAATGAAGATTAGGGCTAACGTGCAAATTGGATAAAAACTACAATATAGACTATTTTAACTCAAGTTTTCCAAATTACTTCCTCAGATACTTAAACAGAACACAAGGTATAGGTCAATATTCATTATTACAAGTTTCTTTTATGCAGGCCATCCCGAAATATATGATGTTCTTCTTAAGGGAGCATAACGAAAGCAGCAAGTCATTTCATCACTGACTCAAATTCTGAAGCTACCCCCAAGATAAATGATATGATATCCTTCCCAGTAGAAACAATCTGTGTAATACAGAATACTGTACCTGCAACGTGTGTGTGTCCTCCCTGGCTGCTAACCAGGCTTGCAGCCCAGGCTTCATTCAAGGGCACTTCCTCCTAATTCCTGGACAGCTGGTGTGGTGATGTATACACTCCCCTATCTGTGGAGCCATTTAGATTCAGTGACTGTTGATGCCCGATGCCCCCAAAATCATACTGTCAGCTCCCAACAAAAGGGAGACATACTGGGACTTTCAGAGAAATACCACTGTTCTTCATCTTGCTGAAATTTATAGGCCCTCATCTAATTCTAAACAGCTTCAAACTGACTTTATTCCAGGTGTGTCACCAAATCAATCACACAATTTTACATTTTTTTCCACCAAAGGAGTATTACTTGGTTTGAAGAGACCTCCTGACCCCAACAGCATTCTCTATTGCTCAATACAACCTGAAAAAGTGAATCAAGATTCTACAAAAAGGTTGGGCACAGTGGTTCACACCTGTAATCACAGCACTTTAGGAGGCCAAGGTGGGTGGATCACCTGAGGTCAGGAGTTCGAGACCAGCCTGGCCAACATGGTGAAACCCCGTCTTCTACTAAAAATAGAAAAATTAGCTGGGCGTAGTGGCAAGCACCTGTAATCACAACTATTCGGGAGGCTGAGGCAGAAGAATTGCTTGAATCCGGGAGGCAGGGGCTGCAGTGAGGCAAGATCGCGCTGCTGCACTCCGGCCTGGGCAACAGAGCCGGAGTCTGTTTAAAAAAAAAAAAAAGATTCTACAAAAAGGCCAGGCACAATGGCTCACTGACGTACCCAGCACTTTGGGAGGCTGAGGCAGGAGGAGGGTTGTTTGAGCCCAGGAGTTCAAGACCAGCCTGGGCAGTATAGTGAGACCTCATCTTTACACAAAATTTAAAAATTAGCTGAGCACAGTGGTGCGTGCCTGTAGTCCCAGCTACTCTGGAGGCTGAGGTGGGAGGATTGCTTGAGGCAGAGGCTGCAGTGAGATCACACTACTGTACTCTAACCCGGGCGACAGAGTGAGACCCTGTCTCAAAAAAAAAAAAAAAAAAAAAGATTCCACAAAAAGATAAAGCAAATGGACAGAAGTGTATAGGAAACCTTTAGTAATACCCACATTAAGGTAAATTACTACCACTAGGGCTTCAAATCTGGTAAGTGTTTAAAAAAAGAAATGCAGTAAGATATCCAGTGTCATTCAATATTATTTTATTTGGCATAAGTTTTTTGATACTAAATTAGTAACAAGCAATCATTGTCCTATGTCCTGGTGAATCACTGTTCTAGAATTCAGTATCTATAAAAAATCATAATCCTCAGCTTTGAGATTCAAACTTCAGTTTCTCTCCACCATCTTTAGTCATTTCAATATATAATGTCCCCTTAACCATTCCATTATCAATGTCCTCTATATAGAAAATCCAGCATTCCTTCTGCAGTTTAGAGACACTGCAATCTCTTACGCTACTTTGAAATTTTTAAAAGAGCATCTCTTACAGCTGCAAAAGTAGTGCTTAGATGTCCCTTCGAAGTATAAAGTAAAGCTCCCCAGAGAAACCACACCGCCTCTGGAGCCAGACTGCCTACTTATGATTTCCGGTACGATCTTGAGCAACAAACTTAATTACTTTGCTGTGTCTCCATTTCTTCCTCTGAAAAATGAGGAAATAATTGTACCTACTTCAAAGGATTGTTGTGAGGTTCACATTTTAAGCACGACATAAGTATTAACTCTTATTTAGCTCCAAATTCTAGTACTGTTTCACATGTGTACACTAGGTTTGCCTAACTAAAATATAACCTACCATTTTGAGTATCTTTGATGTTTCCCCACGGTATGTAACATTCATTTAATAGGTAAATATAAACCTACTCTGTATATATACATGTATATTATATATATTATATATTACATATATTACATTATATATTATAGGTATTATATAATATTATATATTATACTGGATACCAAGGCAATTCTCAAAAATAGGATATCCTGTAGCCTTGAAGAGCTTATATTTTGGGTGAGGAAACAAAATACATGAAACACTCATGTATCAATATAAAGCTATAAAAGATTCACTGTCACAGAGTGTGGTATACACAGTTAATGTTCAAAGAATCATTGTGGGCTGCAGATTGCAGAGAAAGTCAGGCTGGAGTGGCCCTGCACCTAAAAGCAGGTGGGATCTTCACTAGTGGAAAGTGGAGAGAGGATTCCCCAGGGAAAGTGCTCATTCTACAAAGGTTTACATAGCACTCTCAGTTTGCCAGGTTCTGTTCTAGGCCCCAGAAAAAAGACAATGAGTGAAACAGAAGAAGTCCCTGCATTCAGGGAGCTTAAAGGGCACTCCATCTGAGAGCCAAATTTTGAAGGAATGAGAAACGCTTGTCTTCCTGTCATAGGAAACACATCATTTAAATGCCTTATGAACAGGAGCCAATGCTGTTATTACACTCACTATGGCTTTCCAACAGTGAAAAACATACAGAAATTCCAAAATTTTTTCATGTACTGTAATATACTGCATTCTAAATCAGTTCCATCTTTAAAAAGCACATAGGCCAGACACGGTGGCTCACACCTGTAATCCCAGCACTTTGGGAGGCTGAGGAGGGCAGATAACGAGGTCAGGAGATCGAGACCATCCTGGCTAACACAGTGAAACCCCATCTCCAGTCACAAATTCACTCCAAAGGAAAACATGTATACATCTTTTTTATTCTAAGATCCTTCCATTAATGACAACTCTCAACTCCTCCCCTCCCCAAAGAGAAAATGCCTTTAAGTAAAGAAACCCTCTTGTAAATACTGACTAGCAAAGCATTCTTAATCTTTTCCTCTTCCCAAAGATGGACCACCAGAATCTTCTGATAGCTAAGTTCCAGCATGCTTTTTTAATCACAAAGAAGACACACATCCAACTCTCCAGTCCTTTCAACTCGCAAGAAAATGTGAACTGTTAAGTTAAACCCTACGCTCATCTCGGAATCACTGTTAATTGTAACTGTTATGCCTACACAAATCATTAAATTCTATCTTCAAAATAAAATTAAGGAAGCCAAAACTGTTCAATTAAATCCAATCAAAAAACTTACTATTAATGCACAAAGTACTGGACTCAATACTAAGCATATGTTCAAGACATTTAAAGGCAAACTAAAAACTTAGACACACAAATCTTTCACAACTAGCTACAATGTAAATAACATCCTTAACATTTAAATGCCCAGTAAAACTGTGCTAGACTCATCAACAAAGTAATAGCCAGTCCACTGTTTTTTATTTTTTTAGTTTGGTATTGGAAAATTAGCCTTGTTTCATTATGTTTGTTTACCCTTAATTAGGAATGTCACTTAGAAATTAAATATGGAAAGAGGGGGCCATTTAAGAAAGGACCATTAGGGCTTTCTCAATATTTACCTTTTTCCAATGTCCTAGCATAGCCTGTTCACTGGGTGACAATGTTATATAATAGAAACTCTGATAAATAAGAGACACGGGGCTTTGGAAACTATTCAGCACCTAAATAAAGGGACTAATTGTACTTCTATGAATTTTTAAAGCCATCTTCCAACTTGAAAAACACATTAATTTACTCTATGGGTAACATTTTATATTGCCAACACTCTTATTTTACAAAGGCATAAACAAGCATTTAATGCACACGTTTGCCCGGCGCGGTGGCTCACGCCTGTAATCCCAGCACTTTGGGAGGCCGAGGCGGGCGGAACACCTGAGGTCTGGAGTTCGAGACCAGCCTAGCCAACATGGTGAAACTCCGTCTCTACTAAAAATACAAAACTTAGCTGGGCGTGGTGGCGGGCGCCTGTAATCCCAGCTACCTGGGAGGCTAAGGAAGGAGAATCGCTTGAACCCGGGAGGCGGAGGTTGCAGTGAGCCAAGACAGTGCCATTGCACTCCAGCCTGAACGAGAGCAAAACCCCGTCTCAAAAAAAACAAAACAATAACAATAATGTACACGTTTCACATTTGGACACACTGAAATCAAACTCACGTATTCAAATTTTTTTAGATTAAGTTACATAAAGCATGCACACCATTTGGCACAGGCCCGGCAAACAATCAGTACTCAACATCACCTGTTATTTTCCTGATTTTCCAACTTTAGAGTCAAACTAAATGTTATAGAATTATATGTATGATTATGTATATACAATATATATAAATACATATAAATACCGTAAATTAAGCTAGTATGTTATTGCGTAAAGTAATGGTCTTACCCTAGACGAAGGTGAGTTTAATTGTAACAGATGAAACAAAGAATAGAAAACTTGTTAAGAAGTGTTCAATGTAAGCTCTCATCTCTGCAGGGTTTCATGTGACTTATAATTACCAGTCAGCTGGTCCTAGAGAACTTAATCAAAATGTATAGTAAAGACGAACTACGTGGACCAGTGGCCATTTATCTGCAAGGTGGCACCAGCCACTGACATCTGATCACTTCCATACTGATGCTGAAATCCTATGCAAATTCATTACTTAGGTCAAGCTGGGAAACACTTCTGTCAAGTCACTACACAATTAAATAAAAATACCCAAAAGGGACTTACACTGACAATGCTATAGCATCCTGGCCATATCCAGTTTTGAAAACACTACGGTGTCAGCCACGCACCATTTAGGACGGGGAGAATGGAAAGCCAGTTTGGAGAACAGACGCTTTCTTAAGAGTACACGTGAATATGAAAAGGGACTCTATGCTCTCAAGACCAAAAAAGAAATCCTCTGCGCCGCCCGGCTACATTGCGCCTGGTGGGACAATGTACACGACCCCTCCCCCGCCGAGTCCCACCCCAAGCGCGCACAGCGGAGCAGGAGGCGCCCGGCACTCGCAGGTAATGCCCGGTCCCTGCCACTTCCGTCGAGTTTTCGCAAAGGCGCCGCACGGCAAGCGACGGCCAGGTCCACGTGGGCCAGCAGGCGCGGGGGACGCAACCCGCCGCCGCCGCGAGCCCCGCCGGCGCCGACCAGCCCTGGCCCCCACCCGCGGGAGCCCGGGAGTCGGGCCGGGGGCTCGCGGGAGGCGGCGCGCGCAGCCCGGGCGGGGGTCGCGGCGCGGTAGGGGAAAGGAGCCCGGCTCCACTCACGCGCCCGGGGGCGGCACTGGGGCCGCCGCTGCGTCTCTCCGGCTCAAAAAACTGAAAAGGGGAAAGGAAAAAAAAAAAAAAAAGACCTGGCTCCTCGTTTCATCCGGAAACCGACCGGCCGGCAGGAAATGACGAAGGCAGAGGGCGTCCAGGTCCGCTCGGTAACCGTTTCCCGCGCGCCCGGCCCCGACTCCGGGGTAAAGAGCCCCGGAGCGGAGCAGCGCTGGCCGCGTGCCGCCTCCGGAGCCGGCAGCGTGAGTGGCCCCGCGTCCCCGCTTCTCCCGGTCCCCGGCGGGGCCGCGTCACCCGGCCCCGCCCCGCGCCGCCCGCCCCGCCCCGGACGCGGGGGTAAGGGGGGTGGCCGCCCGCCTGCCCTCGGTCCCGTGCGGTCCCCGAAACTCCGAGCACCCGCCCGGTCCCGGCGCGGAGCCCCTCGGCGTCGCGTGGAGCTGCGAGTCGCCCGCTTCCGGAAGCGCACACGGGCCAGTTGCGGCGGCCCATCTGCCGGGGCGGCGGGGGCTCGGCGGGAGGGTTGAGGCTGAATCACGCGCAGCCTGCGGGCGGCGGAAACGTCCCTAGAGCCTCGCCGCCCTGGGACCCGGGCTGCTTCCTGGGAGAGGATTACATTTTCTCCCTGCTCCACTTGACTTTCTTCCGGAAGGAGCAGGTCTCGCAGGATCGGGGCCAAGACTGGAAGAGTTCAGGTTTGGGAGTCGTGTGTATAACAGCCCCGCGCCTCCACGCCCAGGCCTGTGTGGCTTTGGACAAGTTATATAACCACCGCCGCCACCCCAGTTTCTTCTCCTGTAAAATGGAGCTTTAGTGCCGCCCAGCAGGGTTGTTGGGATAATTCAGTGACTCTGTGGACTGCCCAGCACCTGTGAATTGCTTTCCTGGATGTTGGGTGAAGGCCTGTGAGCTTGTATGTACCCTTTGGCTTCAGAATACCAAGCCTTTAGTGTTTCAGAGGGATGAGAGAAAGAAATCCCATTTTTTGATGCAGAGGATTTTGTTGTAAGGGACTCTAGGAACTAAGTGGTTCCAATGTGAATTTGTATCAAAGTAACAAAGTTCTAAGTGAGAGACAAAAATGATAACATTCAAGGCACGATGACAAGCGGTGGTCAATTTTAGAATCACCTAGACGTGACATCAGGAACCCAAAATCACGACACAGATTTTAAAGCTTATGATACAGTGACCTAGTCCCTAGAAAAAGTAGTTCTCGGCTGGGCACGGTGGCTCACGCCTGTAATCCCAGCACTTTGGGAGGCTGAGGCGGGCGGATTGCCTGAGCTCAGGAGTTTTGAGACCAGCCTGGGCAGTATAGTGAGACGACCCCCAC
This sequence comes from Homo sapiens, assembly GCF_000001405.40. Taxonomy (NCBI): domain Eukaryota; kingdom Metazoa; phylum Chordata; class Mammalia; order Primates; family Hominidae; genus Homo; species Homo sapiens. Next base: position 42,542,797 of record NC_000008.11, read on the forward strand.
CCCACCCCCGTCTTTAAAAAAAAAAAAATAAGAATTACCCAGGCATGGTGGCACTTGCCTGTATTCCCAACTACTTGGGAGGCTGAGGCAGGAGAATCCCTCGATTCTGGGACGTCGAGGCTGCAGTGAGCCGAGATCGCACCACTGCCCTCCAGCCTGGGTGACAGAGTGAGACCCTGTTTTTGTAAAAAAAAAAAAAAAAGTAGTTCTCATCCTAAAAGTTTGTCAATCTAAAACCAACCCCTAGTTGTAATATATTGGCAAGTTTATATACTCTTGTTTACTTGAGACTTAATTCAGCCCATCCTAGCCTCTCCTTACTGAAATAGTTCAAGCATTACATTACAGGAAAATGTGAAAAATGGTGTCTTGCTTTAGATTCCAGAGGAAGGCTGTGGTGGTATGCAGTAAGCACGCAGCAGGTGTATGTGTGTACACTTGGTTACACTGTGGCATGCCGGGGAGGAGGGGACGGGGTCATAGTTCAGGCTGCCTGTGGGCTGTGGGTCTGTACTGTGACTCAGGACCAGAGCACTCCTTACTCCTGGCAGCCTTATAAAGTCATGCCATTGATCATGATTGAGGACTGGGCGGGAAAGGCCTCCCCTCTGCAAATCTTTCACAACTACACTCCTAAAAATAACTCAAGTGCATGTGCCTGGAAGCGCAGAAGAGTGACTTCATGACATACCAATCATGTTGTATAATATAGGTTGTATAATTCACGTTAAAATTTTACCGTTCTATGTCAGCAGTAATTAGAAATTTTTTCCTAAGTGTAATTAAAGACCTGCATATTTGGGGCAGGAGGAAGTAGCGCTTTTGAGTAGGAATATACCATTTACTGAGTGGCACATGAACAGAATCTTGTGAAAAATTAAAGTAAGAAATTAACCTGGTTCTGATCCATTTTGTCATTAGAAAATAGGAAACATTTTTTAATTTGTCAGATAAATGACACCCGTGAAATGTTCTAGTGGCCAGTGCTGTATGGTTCCCCGTTTCTTGCCTAATTTGTTAATAACTCTCAATCCTGAAAGCTGCCTCCCTTGCTGCATAATTGTCCTGGGCCTTCTGCAGCATCTCAAATCAGACACATAAAGTCATCTTTTTTTTGCCAAACACGGTGGTGGTGGTTGCTATTTTACACTTTGGCACCAACGAAGTTTGAGATTCCATAAATTATAAAGACAGTTATAGTGTCTGGGCTTCCAAAAGTTTCCATGTCTAAAGTAGGCTGATTACTTACTATAAACCATAAAGTTACATTCAGAGGAACTCTGGAATTTAGTTTTGAGGAATAAGAATTGAAACTCTCAATATGTCAAATACCGGCCGGGCGCGGTGGCTCACGCTTGTAATCCCAGCACTTTGGGAGGCCGAGGTGGGCGGATCATGAGGTCAGGAGATCGAGACCATCCTGGCTTACACGGTGAAACCCCGTCTCTACTAAAAATACAAAAAAGTAGCCGGGCGCGGTGGTGGGCTCCTATAGTCCCAGCTAGTCAGGAGGCTGAGGCAGGGGAATGGTGTGAACCCGGGAGGCGGAGCTTGCAGTGAGCCGAGATCGTGCCACTGCATTCCAGCCTGGGTGACAGAGCGAGACTCTGTCTCAGGGAAAAAAAAAAAAAAAAATGCCAAATGCCAAATACCTCTGTACCTCTCACTCAAAAAAATCCACAGCCAGTCTTTAGTATCTAGGAATTGGGTATAGTCTAGTGTTTAAACAATATTTAGATAGTGCATCTGCAAATTTTTACAACTTAATTTCTGTTTTTATTGTTCTCTGGCTAATTTTCACGAGACAAATCTTTATATTCAGCAGACACCCATAGTTAGTTTAGTCAAATCACTCCTGCCCTCAGTGTGAAGAGTTGAAGTTAAATGGCTGTTCATGATACTCACTTTATTCTAAAGGAGTACAGTATGTCCCCAAACATCTGACAAAGTCACGTTGTCAGAAAGGCAGAAACATGCCATGTGGCTTAGGAACAGACCTCTCCTGAAATTTCATTTTTCTCATATAGAGGCAAGCTAAAAGAAAGAACTCTGCCCTCAAAACATGTATATTAACTAGCTGGCCAAATCTACACTAATGAACACTTTGGAGGTTTACAGCATGGACTCCTGCAAGACATTTTAGTGAAAGAATTTTTGTAATGCCTTCATTGTTGTAGGCAGCGTAGAAAAAAATCACCAAACAACTTTTTAGACTGTTTTTCTTGGTATTAGAAAATGACTGATTCTCAGAAACTACAGTGCAACTATCACTTATATTTGTCCATTTTTCTCCTGTATATAGAGTGTCTAAAACAACACTTCTGGATTTTCTTTACATATTAGGTCATTTTACTTAGACTTACCTTTTATGTCCCAACACAAGGGAGGAACTCTCTTTAAAGAAAAATTCAGTTAACTTCTCAAACACAAAGAAGAAGTCATTACTTTTACTTGCTGTTTGATGCACTTGCTGTGACCACTCTAACTTTCTGTGGGAATGTCCAAAGAATGCATTTCCTAGGGTAGATGTCACAGCTGTGTCAATAGCAAAATGTATCTTTTCATCCCATAGCTTCTTTCAACCAAATTTGTCCAGCAGGCCAAAACTAGATAAAGCTCTAAACGTTTCCCAGTGTGGGAGGCATGCGGGGTGAGAGAGCCATGTTCTGGCTGTCACATCCTTGCTAGGCTGCTGTGCAACACTTTTGTAGCAGCACAGCCAGGTGTTGAGTCTCTGTGGTTTTTGTTTTTTGAGATGGAGTCCCGCTCTGTCACCCAGGCTGCATTGCAACTGCCTGACCTCCGCTCACTGTAACCTCCGTCTCCCAGGTTCAAGCAATTCTTCTGCCTCATCCTCCCAAGTAGCTGGGATTACAGTCACCCGCCATCATGCCCAGCTAATTTTTTGTATTTTTAGAGAAACAGGGTTTCACCATGTTAGCCAGGCTGGTCTTGAACTCCTGACCTCAGGTGATCACCCACCTCGGCCTCCCAGAGTGCTGGGATTACAGGCCTGAGCCACCACGCCCAGCAGAGTCTCTGTTTTAAAGTATTCTGTTACTTTCCTCTGGGTGTTACAATTTGGAAACTGCAATAACATTTCAAGCTCAGTCCTTTTAGTAATATTATTTTTTATCCCAAGTTTCTTAAAGGGCCAGATTGTAAATATTTTAGGTTTTGTGGGCTTTGAAACAAAATCAATATTGTGTAGGTGCAGTCCTTGGTATTTGGGAGATTGGTGCCAGGACCCCCTCAGATATCAAAATCCGTAGATGCCCAAGTCCCGATATAAAATGGCATAGTATTGCATATAACCTAAGCACATCCTCTATGTACTTTAAATCATCTCTAAGCACTTACAATACCTAATACAATGTAAATGCTATGTAAATAGTTGGTATAATGTATTTTTTAAAATTTGTATTTTTTCCCAAATATTTTCCATTCACAGTTGGTTGATTATGTGGATGCAGAACCGTCAGATAGAGAGGGCCAACTGCACCATTTAAAATGTGCCACTTAGAAATGTAAATCCCATTCTTGGCTCATGGGCCGCACACAAACAGGTGGTGGACTGGATTTGGCCAGCAGGCCATATGTTTGCCAACCCTTCTCCAGACAGTGCTACCATCATTAATTAAAAGAAACCCTGCTTTCTTTTCTCTCTTACAGCCCCATGGCTGGGGGTTATGGAGTGATGGGTGACGATGGTTCTATTGATTATACTGTTCACGAAGCCTGGAATGAAGCCACCAATGTTTACTTGATAGTTATCCTTGTTAGCTTCGGTCTCTTCATGTATGCCAAAAGGTAAATTTTTGTTTCTCAGGGTAGATAAAAACTGTGCATTTACAAGTTTTGCTAGTTTAAGAAATATGAAATGAATGCATAAAAGTAATTTCATCAGGCTGGACGCAGTGGCTCACACCTGTAATCCCAGCACTTTGGGAGGCCGAGGTGGGCAGATCACGAGGTCAGGAAATTGAGACCATCCTGGCCAACATGGTGAAACCCTGTCTCTACTAAAAATACAAAAATTAGCTGGGCATGGTGGTGCGTGCCTGTAATCCCTGTTACTTGGGCGGCTGAGACAGGAGAATCACTTGAACCAGGGAGTTGGAGGTTGCAGTGGTGTACTCCAGCCTGGCGACAGAGCAAGACTCCGCCTCAGAAAAAAAAAGAAAGAAATTTCATTATAATTTTTGTTCTAGTGCTGAAAGACACTGTCTACTCTGGTCTCAAGCATTGGTGGCCAAGGTTTGGCTCTGAAAACCCCATTGCTGGCCAGACACGGTGGCTCACACCTGTAATCCCAGCATTTTGGGAGGCTGAGGCTGGTGGACCTCCTGAGGTCAGGAGTTCAAGACCAGTCTGGCCAACATGGTGAACCCCGTCTCTACTAAAAATAAAAAAATTAGCTGGGCGTGATGGCGTGAGCCTGTAATCCCAGCTACTTGGGAGGCCGAGGCAGGAGAATCACTTGAACATGGGAGGAGGATGCAGTGAGACAAGATCGTGCCATTGCACTCCAGCCTGGGCGACAAAGTGAGACTCCATCTCAAAAAAAAAAAAGAAAACCCCATCGCTTTAAGAAATGAAGAGTTAAGTACCACTCTCAGCCCCCAGGCCAGCTGCACTAAACTCTCAATTCTGCAATTTCTAATATAGCCCAATTTTATCATCCAGCCTGGGTTCATTGTCACCCTTCATTGAGCACATTTTTTTTGGCTTAAGTCCCTGAATGCAGAAACACTGACTCCTGTGTATTCAGCAGATCTCCCTTTAGCCAGTATAAGCTTTTCCTTGTTTTTTGTGCATGACTATATCATAGCACTTATTAAACAATGTTAGTTTTATCTGATTACTTGTCTGTCCATTCCACAACATGTCTTTTTTGTCTTTTACTTTTGGGTCCTTGGTGTGCCATATAGTGTAAATCTTCAATAAGTATTTCCTGCTTTAATTCCAGATGTTGTAGCTTAATTTAACTGCTTTTCCACATTCCCTGGCTCCTTTCCCAGAAGTACAGTAAAAAGGGGGAGGTGCAGGGATGCTTTAAAAAGAGGAAGAGCAGTGTTAGATTGGGATGCTTCTGCAGACACATGCTTTACAGGTATCCTGTCCCAAGGTAAAAAGGCATTCGAGAGTTCAAGGTAATTAGTAATCCAGAAATAATTTACGTTTGGCCTGAGGAATCATTCAGAGCCCGCACTTGCGCCCAGATCTCAGCTGAACCCTCCTGGAGCAGCTGGCCTGTTGGCTGCTGAACTCTAGGGGTGGTGAGAGGAGGCACCCTGACCATCACTGATCACCTGGCAGGTGACCGCTTTCCTCTAAAAACAGCCACCGCCGCCTCCCCATGTTTCTTTTAAAAGCAGAGGCACGCTGTTCTTAATTTTAAAAAGATGTCTCCACTAAGCCCATCCTATTGTATTTAAGAAATATGTTTATTCATTACTTTCCAAAATTAGGATCTGCTCACATTCAGTTTATTCTCCAGCCCAGTCATTTAGCTTTATCTGGATGTCATGAAAGGGAGGAAAAATCAGCTGTTTTCTTGTTTGTGATTTTCTCATAGGATATTTGGCTTTTGGAGGATTGAGGAGAATCACAATGGAGGAACTTCACTTTGTTGTGTTAAATGGATGTGTTCAGCTACTTTTCTCACAGCCTCATACTTTTTAGTGAAAGAAAGAATACTTTGAGCCAAGGAAGCAGCTCTCAAAGACAAAATAGAAAGTAAAATGGTCTTGTCATTTAAGTCCTTTTACCACAGCTTCTGATGACCAGGATCATGAGCATATTACAACTCTATAGACATTAATACAAACATCTCTTCTGCATGGATTTTGTGTTTAGGAACAAAAGGAGAATTATGAGGATATTCAGTGTGCCACCTACAGAGGAAACTTTGTCAGAGCCCAACTTTTATGACACGATAAGCAAGATTCGTTTAAGACAACAACTGGAAATGTATTCCATTTGTAAGTATATTCTGTGCTGAAAGATACACATATGCACATTTAAAATAGATTTTCTGGAATTGAGTTCATTTAGCAAAATGTTATTAGAAATCGTAAGTAATGAAAACTTAGTACTTCTTTCAGATGTTTAATATGTTTTTCAGATACTTATCCTTTGTTCCTTTTGTATTTTATACCATTTGCATGTGTTACTGGCTCAAAATAAGACATATAACTTAATTCAACATAGCAGCATTATTCACAATAGCCAAAAGGTGGAAATCACCCATAAGTCCTCAGCCCATGAATGAATAAACAAAGTGTGGTGCATACAATAGAATGTTATTCAGCCCTTAAAAGGAAGGACATTCTGGCCGGGAGTGGTGGCTCACACCTACAATCCCAGCACTTTGGGAGGCTGAGGTGGGTGGATCACAAGGTCAGGAGTTCAAGACCAGGCTGGCCAAGATGGTGAAACCCTGTCTCTACCAAAAATACAAAAATAAGCTGGGCACACTTGCGGGTGCCTGTCATCCCAGCTACTCGGGAGGCAGAGGCAGGAGAATCGCTCGAACCTGGGAGGCAGAGGTTTCAGTGGCCTAAGATCACACCACTGGACTGTAGCCTGGGCGACAGAGCAAGACTCCGTCTCAAAAAAAAAAAAAGAAGTACATTCTGACATGCTACACATGGATGAACCTTGAAGACAGTACACTAAGTGAAATAAGCCAGTCACAACAGGACAAATATTGGATTATTTCACTTACGTGAGGCAAATCACAGAGACACAAAGTAGAATGGTGGTTGCCTGGGGCTATGGAAGAGGGGAATAGGGAGTTTAATGGGTCCAGAGTTCAGTTGGGGATGATGAGAAGAGCTCTGTGGATGGATGGTGGTGATAGTCCCAGCAATGCAAATATATGTAATGCCACTGAACTGTACACTTAAAAATGGTTAAAATGGTAAAGTTTATGTTATGTATGTTTTACCACATTAAAAAAAATCCTTTTAAAGAAACATAAGTATTGTTTAAAAAAAAAAGTACAGAGCCTTGGGGCCAGGTGTGATGGCTCACGCCTGTAATCCTAGCACTTTGGGAGTCTGAGACAGGTGGATCACTTGAGGTCAGGAGTTCGAGACCAGCCTGCCAACATGGTGAAACCCCATCTTTACTAAAAGTACAAAAATTAGCTGGGTGTGGTGGTGGGTGCCTGTAATCCCAGCTACTCAGGAGGTTGAGGCAAGAGAATTGCTTGAACCCAGGAGGCAGAGGTTGCAGTGAGCAGAGATCACACCATTACACTCCAGCCTGGGGGACAAGAGTGAAACTTCGTCTTAAAAAAAATAAAAAAAAGTACAGAGCCAGGAGCTCTGTATGAAAAATTCTAAGTAAAGAACTAAGTTTTTATTGACACGTACACAAAAGTTATTTGCTGTCAGTAATATGCTCAGTAACATAGCAGATACATTACAAACCCACAGTTTATTTCTTTTTTGATGGAAATGATATAAAATAAAATTGATCCAAATTTCTGTTTGCAAGGTGTATCAGTTTTCTATTGCTACTGTAACAAATTACCACAAATGTAGTGGCTTAAACCACACGAACATGTTGTCTCACGGTTCGGTGGGTTAGAAGCTCCACAGCAGCTGCACCGTGCTAACTTCAGGGTGCCTGCATGGTTCTGTTTTTCTAGAGCCTCCAAGGAAAATCCCTGTCTTTGCCTCCTCCAGCTTCTCAGGGCCATCCACACTCCTTGGGTCACAGTCCCTTCCTCCATCTGCAAAGCCAGGAGCATTGCATCTTTCTGACTATTTCATGTCCACATCTCCTTCTCTCAGAACTTAGGCAGGAAAAAAGCTCTGTAATTTTAACGGCCCATCTGATTATGTTGGGCAGATAATCCAGAGTCATCTCCCCATGTCAAGGTCCCTACCTTAATCACATCTTCAGAGTCCCTTTTGTCTTGTGAGGTAACATAGGCACAGATTATGGGTTAAGATGTGGACATCTTTGGGGGCCATTATGCTTATAAGCAGTGAGCACATGTGTGGATTTGCACATTTAATGAATCCCAGCATAATGGGTCCTTAGTGTTCGTGATGTATTTTGTCCTGACAGAGTCTGGTGGTTCCAAAGACACAGGCAACAGAATTCTTTTTTAAATAGAAGACTCCCGAAGTTGTAAGCTTTGGGCTACAAAAATCTGGATCTACCCTGAGTAGCATAAACAAATAGTATCTCTTTCTTGGCTAGTAAAAAACTTAGAAGAGATTGGCCAGGCGTGGTGGCTCACACCTGTAATCCCAGCGCTTTGGGAGGCCGAGGCGGGTGGATCACCAGGTCAGGAGATCGAGACCATCCTGGCTAACACAGTGAAAACCTGTCTCTACTAAAAATATAAAAAATTAGCAGGGCATGATGGCGGGCACCTGTAGTCCCAGCTACTCAGGAGGCTGAGGCAGGAGAATGGCATGAACCCAGGAGGCAGAACTTGCAGGGAGCTGAGATCACGCCACTGCACTCTAGCCTGGGCGACAGAGCGAGACTCAAAAAAAAAAAAAAAAAACTTAGAAGAGATTGAAAGTTTTAAAGCTAAGCAGTGGATGACACAAAGATTTTTAGCCCTGTATTTTCTCTAGTTTCAAGTTAAGACAGTTTTTCTTCAATTAACGTTTCTTAGAAGTACAAAAAGAAGACAGAATTGCATATCTATTTTTTCTTCTAGTTTATATTGAAGACATTTATTATATGTTTAATCAACAATAAGCCTGTTAGGTTTTTAAGTTAAAATATAGTCAAATTCCTTATGTGTGGACAAAAGCATTATTATTAACTTTAAGATGGAAATGACAGGTAATAAAGGAAGAAATTACTAAACATTAATTTTAATAGCTTAGGTCAGGCATGATGGCTCACACCTGTAATCCCAGCACTTTGGGAGGCCAAGGCAGGATGATCGTTTGAGCCCAAGAGTTCAAAGACCAGCCTGGGCAACATGGTGAAACCCTGTCTATACTAAAAATAAAAAAAATTAGCTGGGTGTGGTGATGTCCACCAGTAGTCCCAGCTACTTGGGAGGCTGACGTGGCAGGATTGTTTGAGCCTGGGAGGTCAAAGCAGCAGTGAGCCATGATTGTGCCACTGCACTCCAACTTGGGTGACAGAGTGAGACACTGTCTCAAAAATAAATACAGTTTTGAAATTTTAATAGCTTAATGTTTATATTTTAAAGCTATGAATAATCCTGATACATGAATAATAATAATAAACATATAAAAATGGGCATCAGCAGTGTTGAGAAATTAGAGGATCATGAAGTGTAATACATCTTTTCCAAAGAAACAAAATTGTTTTAATTCTAGACTAATTACTTAGCGGGGTACAGTGGCTCACATCTGTAATCCCAGCACTTTAAGAGGCCAAAGCAAGAGGATCACTTGAGGCCAGGAGTTCAAGACCAGCCTGGGCAACATGGCGAGACCCTATCTCTGCAAAAAATAAAAAATTAGCCGGGTGTGGTGGTGTCTGTCTGTGGTCTCAGCTACCTGGGAAGCTGAGGTGGGAGGATTGCTTGAGCACAAGAGGTTGAAGCTGCAGTGAGCTGTGATTGTGCCACTGCACTGCAGCCTGGGTATCAGAGGGAGACTCTATCTCTGAAACAAACAGACAAAAACTAATTCTTCATTGAGAATCATGACTTGACTGTAATGTAATATTGTTAAGTAGTAATCATTTTGCAGTTTTATTAATTTTATCTCTTCTTTTTCTTGTTGTGAATAGCAAGAAAGTACGACTATCAGCAGCCACAAAACCAAGCTGACAGTGTGCAACTCTCATTGGAATGAAACCTCAGAAAAAGAGCAACAGAAGTAATTGTTTCAAGCTCCTGATTCTTTCTACTAAATCATGAACAGCTTTAAAAACATTTCTGTCTGCATAAAATTATTTTACTTGTAACTTTTCCCCAATTGTTCTGTGCATTGTTTTGCCTTTTTAAATTACATCTCCAAGTGGCTCAAAAGGCCTTGACACAGGGAACCTGCACATATCCAGGATATGTGTAACCAGCGATGGTGACTTGACCTTGCCAAGACCTGTGATTCCTTCAGGATACAATCAGTGAGAAATAAAAACACATCTTGGGAAGTGGGAATCCTGGAGTTTATGCCATTTGCAATATTAAAAAATAAAAATGCAAGTTATTATTTCAATAATAACTTCCTGTTTCATTGTATTCTGTGAGTGATAAGTGTCAGATCAATAACAGATTAATTTGTTGTTAACAGCTCTTTTTTTTTTTTTTTTTTTGAGACAGAGTCTGTTGCCCAGACTGGAGTGCAGTGGCACAATCTCTGCTCACTGCAACTTCCACCTCCCGGGTTTAAACGATTCTCCTGCCACAGCCTCCTGAATATTCTGTTAACAGCTCTTTAATTAATGATCTTTGCTTCTTCAGAACTTGTATGGTAGACCGTCTTTTCTACAGCATGATGCATACTCCTGTGCTAATTTTAGAAGCTTTCTGTAACTAGATTTTTCCTCATTATGCTCCCAGGAGCGAGTTTGTTTTTATCCCCGTTTCATTTCTACCAGGTAGCTCTACTTTAGGCCATACTGGGGACCTGCTGTTGAATAAATGGATGCCTGTGTATTGGTGTTGGCAACTCTGCGGTAGTAGTGCTACCACTGGCGAGGCAGTATTACTGCCACTGGTGAATGTTGCTGTCTGGTTACTGCTGCATTTTTGGCATGCTAAGCTTTCCTAAAGAGCCTCATATCTTTTCCCATGCTGTACTGTACAATGAAATGTTTTTACCTAATTTTTCATGTTTATTTAAATAAAAGCTGACTGGGTAATAGTGGGGAAGTTTAATTGTCCACATAAGTCAAAAGAATCCGTTTTTGAACTAGAGCTATTTTCAATTATAAGAGTGAGCTGGCTGGGCACGGTGGCTCACGCCTGAAATCCCAGCACTTTGGGAGGCCAAGGTGGGAGGATCACGAGGTCAGGAGTTTGAGACCAGCCTGGCCAACGTGGTTAAACCCAATCTCTACGAAGAATACAAAAATTCGCTGGGTGTGGTGGCATGCGCCTGTAATCCCAGCTACTCAGGAGGCTGAGGCAGGAGAATTGCTCGAATCTGAGAGGTGGAGGTTGCAATGAGCCAAGATCACACCACTGCATTCCAGCCTAGGCGACAGAGCAAGACTTCGTCTCAGAAAAAAAAAAAAAAGTTAATAATGGCTTCAAGTATTTCATTTTCCCCTTATTGTGAAATAAACTATATACATTTTAAATGGAAATTAAGGTTTAGACCAAATAAAATCATTCAGGGAAATTGCATTTACTTTTAAAAATGTGTTGTTCAAAAATGTATATATAGTACAAAGTGAATTGACCAAACAGAATAATTCTTAACTCACAAAGGAGTTTGAGCGCACTTCCTACATGTTGAATTTAAATCTGACTAAAGGATTGTAAACAGTTGTAATTATGGGTTGTAGTAACAGAGCAACAAGGGGACAATCTTCTAAACTTGCCTTTGCCTAGGAGAGCTACTGTATATTTCCACAAGTGAATTTAATCAGCAGTAGGAGTGGTTTACTCGTCACTGACATGTGGCACAATCTGGACAAATTACACAAACTGGCTATCTCAGATGTGTAAAATTAATGTACATAAATAAACGTAAGTCACACAATGAATTTCCTTTGTGTCCACTAGATAGAGATGGTCCTAACTACAAACTAGTAGATTATTTGATGAGCATCAAGCCCTGGCAAGTGACAGGAGATGAATTCCTCTCCGTTTTTTCCTTAAAGCAAACTGATGGGAATTGCACACACCCCACTGGCAGGAACAACAGCAAGCCGGCTTTGAAGTCTCTTCCCTGCTTCAACAGCTGAATTGGGGAGAGCGCAAGCCCTGCAGCCACACTTCAAAGCGGCGCTGACTGGCTGTCCTGCTTCTACCCAACATCCACCTGAGACTCAACAGAACTGTTTTCTTTGGAAGAAAAATGGAACTACTAATAAGCTAGTAATTAACCCTTGTATTCTTTTTCTGGTTTCATCTTCCTGTTTTAATGTGTAAGATATTCAGCAGTAAGCACTGGTCAGCCTGCCCTGGTGCACAGCTTGAGTGTGTTAAATAACTGGCTGTTTAGCTGATGCCAGCCAGCTGCGTGAAGGGGAGAAGGCCGCCTCCAAGGACACAGATGTTTGCTGTTGACCTCACGCTGTGTCTGGTTGAGTTATTCATGATTCATCAGAAAATGACATGCAAGGTTTATGGTAAAACTGCTGTACAATCAGAAGTATTTTAAGTATGCATTAGAAGTAAGATAAAATAGTAATAAAAATAGTTTCAGATGTTAAGATGATACAAGAATAAATTTAACCTAGAAAATAAAGGGAGAAGGAATAAAAGAACGTGGTATAGAGCCAAGTAATTCATTCAGTGGTTGGTTCTGGAGTGTTTCCCCTGTGCTTGCTGTATGTGATCCTCTTTCATAGGCTATTCTAATAGCGGAACTAGAATAAGAGGTGCCAGAAAACCAACGGAAATAGGAAGGGCACTGAGCTAATCTCCAACATGTTCACAACAGTGAGGACCAGAGGGCAGGGGCTGGAGCTCCGTGAGTGTATTTCCCACTTGGCTCCTTAATGAAGCCAGAGCCAAACTTAGACAAAGCTATAAAGCAGGAAAAATGTCCCACCTCTCCCTTTTACATCCCTCTTTATCGTCCCATAAGCCTGTGACTGAGACAGGTCTTGAATGAGGATTTAAGAATGGGAATGAGGAACTCAGAACTAAGGTGGTGAACCCTACACACCATAGCAGACATGCAAACTTTCTTTGACCTCTAACCCCAAATAAGTGGCATTCAGCATTGGACCTTATACAAATGAAACTGCTACTTTTATTTTATTTTATTTTATTTATTTGAGACGGAGTCTCACTCTGTCACCCAGGCTGGAGTGCAGTGGCACCACGTCAGCTCACTGCAACCTCTGCCTCCTGCGTTCGAGTGATTCTCCTGCCTCAGCCTCCTGAGTAGCTGGGATTACTGGTATGTGCCACCACGCTGGGCTAATTTTTGTAGTTTTCATAGAGACGGGGTTTCGCCATGTTGGCCAGGCTGGTCTCAAATTCCTGACCTCAGGTGATCCACCCACCTCGGCCTCCCAAAGTGATGAGATTACAGGCATGGCCACTGCGTCCAGGCTTACCTTTATTTTATTTAGATATAGTAAAAAACTAAGACCATTTGTGGAGGTTAGTAACACTCCACAATCCAGATAGGAAGGTGGGGTAAGTCAAAGGGAGGCCCCTCCCTGGCCCCAGTTTTGATGCTGAAGGAACACTGCTTTCACCTCCTTCAGGGTGATGTTTCTAGCGCTAGAGTTTCTTTTCTTCCAAATGGAGAAGTGACAGAGGTCTCACTGTTAGGAAAGAGTGACTCTATCTCTGGGGTTTTTATTTATATATATTTTGACAAATTTCAAACTAGCCAAAGAAAATTGAGAATTTTTAACTACAGCTGATTTGGTGGTGTTAACTGCAAATGCTTTTGGGCTCAGCAATCAGAATTTATTGAGAAAATGAACCACAAAATTGTAAAATGTCTATGAGACAACAAGTAAATGTACATGGTATTCCTTTAGTGGGTAGGGAGAAGGGATTGTAATGTCCCTGAATAACATCTTTATTTTGAGGTCTAAAGAACCAGGCCCATTCCAGTTGACTTTAGTTTTATATAATTCTTTATATCCGAAAGGATTTCTAGCACCTAGTATTGGCATAGTAACTAGCCCAGAGTAAATGCTTAGTAACTACTTGTTGAATTAATCAATTTACTTGTAACGGTTTATAGAGGTGATATTTTTATATGTTTTTTTTAAAGTGTAGTCTCTGCTTCTGGTAATGGCAGAGTAATTGTGTCAGGCTAATTCTTGGAGATAGTGACAATAAGTTCAGGACAAAGTATTTAAAAAACAACTATTTGGGCTGTGTGCAGTGGCTCACGCTTGTAATCCCAGCACTTTGGGAGGCCAAGGCAGGTGGATCACGAGGTCAGGAGTTTGAGACCAGCCTGGCCAATATGGTGAAACCTCATCTCTACTAATAATACAAAAATTAGCCAGGCATGGTGGCACAAGCCTGTAATCCCAGCTACTCAGGATGCTGAGGCAGGAGAATTGCTTGAACCTGGGAGGCAGAGGTTGCAGTGAGCCGAGATCGCACCACTGCACTCCAGACTGGGCATTACAGCACGACTCCATCTCAAAAAAACAAAATGAAACAAACAACCCCCCCACCCCCAACTATTTGGGGGTAACCCTATGCAGACAAACAAACCAGAAGGAAGATGAGCCTTGAGAGAAAGGCACCTGTTGAGATTCTCATTTCTATGGTTTTTTGCCTGAAGGCATTTCCCAGTCCACAGCTCAGGACTATGGGGAAACACAGGCAGAAGGCCACAGTCTCTGAGGACAGAGCTCAGGGACTCTGGAGAGATGACAGTGACAGGGACATCCCAGAAAGAAGTGAGCCACAGAAGAACTGCATGTAAATTTGGGCAAGTCTTTGGCTGATCCTTGAACTATGCGTCTATAATCTCTCAGGAGCCTAGCAGGAAGCAAATCGCTAAAAAGGCTGAAAGAGGCTGAGGTGGCAGTGAGCCGAGGTTGTGCCACTGCACTCCAGCAGCCTGGGCAACAGAGCAAAACTCCATCTCAAAAAAAAAAAAAGCTGAAAGAACTGAGCAGTTTTCAGCTGTTGCCACCACAGGAATTGCCATTCGAGCCTTGCCAAATTAATTTTGCTTGCTAGAACAAAAATCAGCACTTTTCAGAGAAAGAAAACAATCTAGAGACTTTGTATCACTCACAATGTCCAATATGCAAGAAAAAGTTACAGGAATGTGAGAAGAACATGAAAATGAGAACAGAAAGAACAGGAAAATGAGGCCACAGTCAAAGAGAAAAAAATGGGACAATGCAGTCTGTAGCCGAGAAAAAGCAGTCAATAGAAACTGACTTCAAAATTATCCAGATATTGGATTAGCAGATAAGAACTCTATTTAATTTTTATTGATTTTTTATTTTTTTGAGTCAGGGTCTCACTCTGTCACCCAGGCTGGGGTGCAGTGGTAAAATCACAGCTCACTGCAGCCTTGACCTCTTGGGCTCTGGTGATCCTCCCAACTCTGCCTCTTGAGTAGCTGGGACTACAGTCACACACCACCATGCTGAGCTAATTTTTTGTATTTTTAGTAGAGACAGGATTTTGCCCTGTTGCCCAGGCTGGTCTCGAACTCCTGGACTCAAGCCATCTGCCCACCTCAGCCTCCCAAAGTGCTAGGATTACAGGCACAAGTGCTACCGTGCCCGGCCAACAGATAAGAACTTTAAAGCAGCTATTACAAATATGTTTAGAGAAATGAAATACTTTCAGATAAATGATCATTAAAAGGATTTATCAGCAGCAGATCTGTTGTACAAGAAATACTAAAGGAAACTATTTGGCCTAAAGAGAAGTGACAGCAGATAGAAACTCAGTTCTCAGCAAACTACAGGCATATGAATGAACAGATGAGGAGAGACACGGATGGAGCAAGTGGGGCTTTTACCAAGTGGGGATCAAAAGCATGTAGGAGTTTCTTGCACTGGAACAACTTTTTCTATAAGCTTGAAGTTTATAAATTTATAGAAAAAGCATTTATGAATCCATTTCTTATTAAACCAGGTTTTGTTTTTCCTCTCATACCAATCATCAGTAAAATTGAAAAACAGGTGAGGTGTCTAAGGTGTCTTAGACAAGCTTAAGCTTCTTTCTTCTCTACTTAGTCCCATAGTATCCAATATCCTCCTATTCCCTATCAAAATCTACTTCCAGAAAGGAATCTAAAACACACTTCCACAAAAGTCTGCATGACTGATAACAGTCAAAGCGTTACACCTATAGGGCGTTTGGTCTGCATTTTAACAGAGAGAGGTTTCAATAGGAAGGAAATGAAGTTTTTAGACATTAAAGAGCAGTGGTAATTCTTAGAGATGAGAAAGTGTTTATGGCCTCTGAAATCACATCATGTAAGCAATTAACTAAACTCTGCCTTCTTGTTTGGCCACCACTTCCAATTCTGCTCTCCTCTATCATCTTTTTTTGTTTTTTTCTCCCTCCTACCCCGAGACGGAGTTTCACTCTCGTTGCTCAGGCTGGAGTGCAGTGGCGCAATCTTGGCGTACTGCAACCTCTGCCTCCTGGGTTCAGGCGATTCTCCTGCCTTAGTCTCCTGTGTAGCTGGGATTACAGATGTTTGCCACTACACCTTTTTTCGCATTTTTAGTAGAGATGGGGTTTCACCATGTTGGTCAGGCTGGTCTCGATTGACCTCAGGTGATCCACCTGCCCCAGCCTCCCAAGGTGCTGAGATTACAGGCATGAGCCACTGCGCCCGACCCTCCTCTATCATCTTAAACATTAGCAATCAGAGTGTCAGCTGTTCCCCATCAAAATTATTAAATGCACTGGAACTCCTAAAAAAAAAAAAAAAAAAGTTATTCTGGCCGGGCACAGTGGCTTACGCCTGTAATCCCAGAACTTTGGTAGGGCGAGGTGGGTGGATCTCACCTAAGCTCTAGAGTTTGAGACCAGCCTGACCAACATGGAGAAACCCCCTCTGTACTAAAAATACAAAATTAACTGGGCGTGGTGGTGCAGGCCTGTAATCCCAGCTACTCGGGAGGCTGAGTTAGGAGGATCACTTGAACCTGGGAGGCAGAGGTTGCGGTGAGCCAAGATCACCCCATTGCACTCCAGCCTGGGCAACAAGAGCAAAACTCTGTCTCAAAAAAAAAAAGTGATTTCACAGTTTTGAATCCATTTAAAACAGGGCTGTCAACTCTATTGTCTTATCCCCTTGAGACAGGAAGACAGAGTGTGTCCAGAATTGGTTCCTTCCGGTGGGTTCTTGGTCTGGCTGACTTCAAGAATGAAGCCGCGGACGCTTATGGTAGGTATTACAGTTCTTAAAGACGGTGTGTCCAGAGTTTGTTTCTTCAGATGTTCAGATGTGTCCAGAGTTTCTTCCTTCTGGTGGGTTCGTGGTCTTGCTGACTTCAGGAGTGAAGCCACAGACCTTCACAGTGAGTGTTAGAGCTCTTAAAGGTAGTGCTGACCCAAAGAGTGAGCAGCAGCAAGATTTATTGTGAAGAGCGAAAGAACAAAGCTTCCATAGTATGGAAGGGGACCTGAGCAGGTTGCTCCTGCTGGTGGCCAGCTTTTATTCCCTTATTTGGCCCCGCCCACATCCTGCTGATTGGTCCATTTTACAGAGTGCTGATTGGTGCATTTACAAATCTTTAGCTAGACACAGAGCATTGATTGGCATGTTTACAATTCTTTAGCTAGACAGAAAAGTTCTCCCAGTCCCCACCTGACCCATAAGCCCAGCTGGCTTCACCTCTCAATCCCCGTCTAAACAGAACACCCCAACTGCTGCTGGGAATTGGCCGATGACTGCTCTAGCTACTTCCTGCTGGATAGTGGCAAAGAAGGGGCCCTGCAGTTGTAGTGTCCTCCAGAGGGGAACTCTCTAGGCCAGTGAAAGGGCCAGCAGGTCAGTCCAGGGGTCCTTGGTAGAAGTTGTTAGTTGAGCTCATTTGGGGTTCCATTTGTAAGACCATCTGTAGCTTGACGGCCTTGATCCCAGAGGAAACAAATTTGACAAGGAGGTTAAAAATACAGGGCCTGAAGGTGAGTAATAGCAAGATGGCTGCCATGGGACCTAGAAAGGGGAGAAGCCACGTTGCCTAACTCCAGAGGTTAGTATGAGTTTGAACGGCATTGTCTGATTTCAGAAGCCTTTTCCTGTAAATGCCGGGCAGCACCTCATACTATCCCTGACTGGTTAGTGTAAAAACAACACTCTTCCCCTAAGAGGTGCAGAGTCCTCCTCTCTCAGCAGTGAAGAGGTCTAGGCCTCAGCCGTTTTGGAGAGTTACTGCTGCCAAAGAGTCTATTTGGGATCGTAGAGTAAGGATAGATTTCGTTATTTCTTGCAAACTGTCTGAGAAATCCTTTGAGAGTGTGTGGTAGTAGGATAATGAAGTAGATTAACTGGCTATTCCGGTTCCTGTAGCAGTAGCCATTACTAACTGTATAAGTAGGGGTATTAGTTGTATGGCTCTGCGCTGACAGACTTGAGCTTTGAGGGGTACTGATAGGGTCTGATTTCCTGGGGCAATGTTAATGTTGGGACCTAGAAAGACTAAGGTGCAGGTGCCTGTCCAGTTAGTGGGGAGGCAGATATAGGTCGATGTTCCACATAAGAAGAATATACCTTGGCTGGGTAGACAGAACTTGTTGTATATGTTAAAAAGGTGTGTGAGTTTGTTGTTTTCATTTTCCCATACTCCTAGAGTACTTGCCAAGGTAGCCCCGGTGAGTGGCTGGAAAGGGGTGTTGGGGGCAAACTGAGTGGCTCCCTGTGTTCTATTTTATTTTTGTCCTGGCAGGAGCTATAGTATATAGTATGGTTAGTATGCTGCTTAATAATATAATGAAATAGTAAAAGGATTCCATTAAAGGGGCAAGGAGAGGTGGTAAAGATAAAGATTGTGTAGGTTTTCACTTATCTTTTTTAAGGAGGATGGGGTTTTTCTTCAGGATCAGTGGTAGGAGCCTTTTTAGTCTGGGATGTTTCCTTCTGAAATAGGAGATGCAAGTCCTCCAATGGTTCGCAGGTGTATTGAGGCTGGTCTGGCTGATCTTGGGACTCCTGAGCTGACGGTCCCGCAGGTTCCTCAGGGGGTGTCAAAAATTTGACTTGGGTGTGGTGAATCCAAGATTCCACTCCTACCACCTTAACTGCAGTGGGGGTAGAGAGGATTACTGAGTATGGTCCTTCCCACAAAGAGTCCATAGATGGGGAGGTAGAGGGGAGAGATTTGACCAACACTAGATCTCCTGGTTGAAACAACTCTGTACCCTTTTCTCTGTGACATCCTTCAGGTAGGTTTTTAAGATTTTGTTGATATTTTGCCAAAGAAGTTATATCTTTGGCCAAATTGGCCGTTTCCTGATCAAGTAGAAGGTCATTTGTGAGAAAAGGTCGTCCATACAGCATTTCATATGGACTGAGCCCCATTTTGTGGGGAGAATTTCGGATTCTCAACAAGGCCATGGGCAAAAGAGTAGGCCATGGGAGATGAGTTTCTTGTGTTAGTTTCCTTAAGTGCCTCTTGAGTGTTTCATTTGCCTTCTCGACCTTCCCTGAGGATTGTGGCCTCCAGGCGCAGTGAAGGTGATATTGTATCCCAGCACTCTGGAAATTCCCTGAGTTATCGTGGCTTTAAAAGCTTGGACCATTGTCACTCTGTAAGCTTTGGGGAAGCCCAAATCTAGGAATTATTTCATGAATTAGGACTTTAATCACTTCCTGAACCTTCTCTGTTTTGCAGGGGAAAGCTTCTATCCAATTTGTAAAGGTATCAACACAGACCAACAAGTATTGAAATCCCTTTGACTTAGGCATATGGGTGAAGTCTAACTGCCAGTCCTCTCCAGGATAGTGACCTATTCTTTATTCCCCCAAAGGGGCCTTATGATGGACAAAGGGATTATTCCTTTGGCACACCTCACAGGCTTTGATGATCTGTCGGATAGTCCAGAAGAGAATTGGCCCTGTAAATAGGGATTTGGCCATCTGATGAGTGTTTTCAATACCCATATGAAAAGTTTGGTGGAGGATTTTAAGTATTTTCCACTGGCTGGTTTCGGGTATAAGTACCTTTCCTTCTTCTGTCGTTAACCACCCTGAGGGGAGAAAACTATGCCCGGGTGAAAGTCCCCATTCTGTTTCAGTCAGGGAATACTGGGCTTAATCTCTTGGAGGGGGTTGTTCCATACCAAGGGTCCTTCCGTAGGTATTTCTAATGGGAGGTTCCGCCTGGCAGCAATTTTGGCCTGAGCATCTGCCTGATGGTTTCCTTCTGCCTTTTCTCCTTCACCTTTCTGATGGCTTTGGCAGTGTAAGACTGCCACCTTCTTGAGTTTTTGCACTGCATGCAATAACTCCATAATTTCCTTGTGGTATTTAATGGGGGTTCCCCCAGAGGTTAGGAGCTCCCTTTCTTTCCATATTGCAGCATGGACATGTAGGATTAGATAAGCATACTTTCTATCTGTACACACATTTATTCTTTTTCCCTTTCTCAGTTCTAAGGCTTGGGTAAGTGCCACTAGTTCTGCTGACTGGGCGCTGGTCCCTGGGGGAAGAGGCTTACTTTCAAGTATGGTTACTTCACTAACTATGGCATAACCTGCCCTTCATATCCCATTTTCCACAAATGAACTTTTACTGGTATATAGGTTAAGGTCAGGATTAGCTAAGGGGACTTCTAAGAGATCATCTCGGGTGGCATAAGTCTGGACTATAATTTATTGGCAGTCATGCTCGATTGGTTCCCCATCCTCTGGGAGAAAAGTGGCAGGGTTGAGGGCCACACACATACATATTTGAAGCACCGGTCTCTCAAGGAGTAATGCCTGGTATCTAAGTAGGCAGTTGTCTGATA
Source organism: Homo sapiens (assembly GCF_000001405.40). Taxonomy (NCBI): domain Eukaryota; kingdom Metazoa; phylum Chordata; class Mammalia; order Primates; family Hominidae; genus Homo; species Homo sapiens. The sequence continues at coordinate 42,563,347 of NC_000008.11, forward strand.
GCCATAAGCTTCCTTTGGCACCTAGTATGCCATTTACATCATGAGTAGTCCAGACAGTGAGATCCTTTCCTTGTATTATTTTGATAGCCTCTGACACTAAGATGGCCACTGCTGAAACTACCCTTAAACAGTGAGGCCAGCCTTTTGCTACTACATCAATTTCCTTACTTAGGTATGCCACTGGTGTGGGGTTGTCCCACAAGTCTGAGTAAGGACTCCAAGAGCTATCCCTGTTCTCTCTCTGTGATGTATAAAGAGAAGTTTTGTCCTGTGGGAAGGCTTAAAGCTGGAGCTTGTACTAGGGCCTGTTTTAAGGTTTTGAAGGCTCTTTCTGCCCCTGGTTCCCATTCTACTAGATGAGTATTTGCTCCCTGGGTCTCCTTGATTAGAGTATAGAGTGGTCTGGCCATCTTGCTGTATCTGGGGATTCATAGTTGGCAAAAGCTGGTGATTCCAAGGAACCCCTACAACTGTTTTAATGTCTTAGGGCAAGGATAAGCCAGTATAGGCTGTATTCATTCCTTCCTGAGGGTCCTGGTCCCTCTGGCTAAGATTAGGCCTAGATATTAGACCTGCTGTAGGCAAAGCTGGGCCTTCAACCTAGATGCCTTGTACCCTTGATTAGCTAGAAAGTTCAAGAGATCTAGAGTAGCCTGCTGGCATGAGGCTTCTGAACTGGTAGCCAAAAGTAAATCATCCACATACTGAAGGACCAGAGTGCCTGGACTTGAGAAGTGGCCTAGATCTTGGGTCAGTGCCTGACCAAACAGATGAGGGCTATCCCTAATCCCTTGGGGCAAGAAGGTCCATGTAAGTTGGGACATGTGGTCTGTGGGATCCTCAAAGGCAAAGAGAAACTGCAAGTCAGAGTGTGGGGAATACAGAAGAAGGCATCCTTGAGGTCCAGAATAGTGAACCATTCTGCTTCCTCTGGTATTTGAGAGAGCAGGGTATAGGGGTTGGGTACAACTGGATATAGAGGAATTACTGCGTCATTGATGAGTCTAAGATCTTGCACTAGTCTCCACTGACCGTTCGGTTTTTGTACTCCTAGAATTGGGGTGTTTCAGGGACTGCTGCATTTCCTTACTAAGCCTTGAGCTTTTAAATGTTCAGCAATATCCTGTAATCCTTTATGAGCTTCAGGCCTTAAGGGATATTGCCTTTGATAAGGAAAAGTGGTGGGGTCTTTTAGCCTGATTTGGACTGGGCAGGCATTTTTTGCCCTTCCAAATTGTCCTTCCAATGCCCAGATTTCAGGGTTGATTCCCTCCTCAAGTAGAGGACAACAAATGGTTAACTTGTTCCTCTTATTCATATAGATAATAGCTCCAGCTTTGGCTAATATATCCCTCCCTAATAAGGGTGTGGGACTTTCAGGTATAACAAGAAAGGCATGTGAAAAGAGCAAAGTCTCCCAATTACAACTGAGGAGGTGGGAGAAATACCTGGTTATAGGCTGTCTTAGGATTCCTTGGATGGTAATGGACCTTGAGGACAGTCATCCAGGACAGGAGATTAACACTGAGAAGGCCATGCCAGTGTCCAGGAGGAAGTCAATTTCCTGGCCCTCAATGGTTAAACATACCCGGGACTCAGTAAGGTTGATGACATGAGCTGGCACTTGCCCCAGGCACTCTCAGTCCTGTTGTTGGATCATCTGGTTGAGGGCTTCTGGCCCAGAGAACCATTTCACTCTGGGGCAGTGTGCCTTCCAGTGATTGCCTCGGCATAGCGGACATGGATGAGGGGGTGGCTTGTTTCTTGTTGGACAATCTTTTTTAAAGTGTCCTTGTAAACCACACTGATAACAAGCCCTACCAGGTGATTGGCCTGATCCATTTTCTGTCCTCTCTGAACCACCAAGGTTTGTTTGTCTGAGGGCCATGACTAAGGCTGTGGCCTCTCTCTGATCTCACTTTTCCTTTTGGGCCTGTTCCTCTCGGACCCTATTATAGAACACTAAGGTTGCCAGGTTTAATAATGCCTCCAGATTTTGTTCAGGGCCCAGGGCTTGCTTTTGGAGCTTTCTCCTGTTATCTGCAGCTGAATGGGTAATAAACTTATCTTTTAGAATCAATTGACTCTCAAGAGAGTCAGGTGACAGGGGAGTATATTTTCTTAAGGCCTCCCATAGCCGCTTGAGGAAGGCAGGATTTTCTTCCTTTCCCTGAGTTATGGTGGACATCATTGAATAATTCATGGGCATTTTCCTAATTCTCCTTATTCCTTCTAGAACACAGGTCAACAGATGTTTGTGACTCCAGTCCCTATGATCTGAGTTGAGGTCCAAGTGGGGATCCATACTGGGGACAGCTTGCTGACTGGTAGGGAATTTGTCCCTTTCTTTGGCTGTCATTCTATCACTTACTTGACTAAGATACCAGGTATCTCCAAACTCTTGGGCTGCAGCTAAAGCCGCATTCTTTTCATTAAAGGCCAGGGTTTGATCTAACAATAGCATGACATCTCTCCAAGTGTAACTGAAATTTTGCCCTAGACCCTGTAGGACTTCTACATACCTATCAGGATCATCTGAAAGCTTCCCCAGGTGTGCCTTGATCTGCTTTAAATCAGAGAAGGAGAAGGGGACATGTACCCGGGTTGGTCCAAATTCCCTCCCCCTACAGCTTGAAGGGGACATAACTGATAGCCCAGGGGTTTCTGTGGTCCTTTGGAGATTTCTTTGCTTGTTTCCTTCTGGGCAGGGGAGATTACAGGAGGCTTATTAATAGGAAGGGGAGCTATAGGGAGGCTAGCATATGGGGGTAAGCTGAGAGGTCCTCCTGTGGGATGTAAATTGCAAGCTTTGCATACTTGTGGATTCTCCTTCAATGAAAAGAAAGCTCAGACATAAGGTATTTCACTCCATTTGCCCTCCTTCTTACAGAAAATGTCAAGCTGCAGGATAGTATTATAATTTATGCTTCCCTCAGTTGGCCATTTTTCCCCACCAGAGAGAGAATATTGGGGCCAGGCCATAGTGCAGAAAAAAATGAGCCATCTCTTTTTCAGGGTTTGCAGGTCAAATTGGTCCCAATGGCTTAGGATGCATTTCAAGGGTGAGCCTGTTGTTGCCTGAGTGTTTCCCATCTGAAAGACAAAACTGCCCATGGTTTTGGTTTGTTTGTTTCTCCCCCTGCCCAAGAACCCACAACGGTCCCTGGATCCTGCTGATTGGAATAGTTGCACTCACTGAGGCAGCAGCAGAAACACCTCTTGCCCAAGAACCCACAATGGTCCCTGGACCCTGCTGATTGGAATAGTTGTGCTAACCGATGCAGCAGCAGCAGCCTCTTGCCCAAGAACCTGCAATGGTCCATGGACCCTCCTGATCAGAAAAGTTGGACTCACCGACACAGCAGCAGAAACACTAGTTTTCCTCCTAGACTATAAGGAGGACGGAGGAATGTCAGATCAGATTTAGTGGCTCTTACTGATGCATTCTCAAAAACCTGCACCCTTGCCTGTCCTCCTAGGCTGCAAAGAGGACTGAGAAAAATCGGATTTGGTGGCCCTTACCAATGCATTCTTGAAAACCTGTTAGAGTCCTAAGCATTCTCCTGTTAGTATTGGGACTTTACCTGTGTCCCATAAAGATGTTATCCCCCAAAAATGAAGTGGAGGGCCATACCCTGAGAGAGGGAAGGGATCTCCAGAGTTGGAAGGGTGATGCCTTTTGTCCTCACGTATATGAATAGGAAGGATACAATTTCTGAGGCTCCCCACATCCTAGCTTCAGGAATAGCTTTTTTTAGGCCTGCTAGTCTGAGGAGGGATCCTAAAATTCCAGATAAGATAGTCCCCCCCCGCCAACAGGGCTTTGGGCAAAAATTATATCTTTCTGATTGGTGAGACTGGGTGCCTAAAGAAGGTAACAGAGTCCTGGAGTTTATACTAGAAATAATTCTTATAGGAGAAACTAGAAAAGCACCAGAGACAGGGAGTGGTTTTTAGAAGTGGGACTAGCCTTGGAGAAGAGAGGCGAGAGGAAGTTTGTCTGACAGGCATTAGGACCCAGGAGGCAAGGGTCAGGATAGATAGGATAGATGGGTGAGTCTCGCTTGGGCGATGTGACTTTGAGAGTTCCACTCATGGCTGCAGGGTCAAACAACTTGCTGTCAGGACCCTAGGAACTGAATGGCTTTCCTCTCTGTTGACCCTAGGCTCAGCCCAGAAGTACAGGAAAAGCAGAAGCTGGTTCCAGGCAAACCAACACTCCCAACTCCAAAGAATCAGGGGTTGTTAGAGAGCCCTTTCCCAGAAAGCCTGACACCTGTGTCTTTAGTCTGGCGGCCACACTAGCCACTTTTAACTGGCCAACAGGTGTCCAGTATTTAGCCCCCGAATTCTAAGGAAAAATAGGACAGAATAGCAAGCGAAAGGGGTCTGATGGTACTCACCGCTTAGCGATAGGCAATAGTCCCTTCGTGATCGCCAAAATGTGTCCAGTATTGATTCCTTCTGGTGGGTTCCTGGCCTTGCTGACTTCAAGAATGAAGCTGCGGACCCTCATGGTGAGTGTCACAGTTCTTAAAGATGGTGTGTCTGGAGTTTTTTCCTTCAGTTGTTCAGATGTGTCGAGTTTCTTCCTTCCAGTGCGTTTGTGGTCTCACTGACTTCAGGAGTGAAGCTGCAGACCTTCCCAGTGAGCGTTACAGCTTTTAAAGGTGGCACATCCAGAGTTGTTTGTTCCTCCCAGTAGTTTCGTGGTCTCACTGACTTCAGGAGTGAAGCCACAGACCTTTGCAGTGAGTGTTACAGCTCTTAAAGGTAATGCAGACCCAAAGAGTGAGCAGCAGCAAGATTTATTGTGAAGAGCAAAAGAACAAAGCTTCCACAGCATGAAAGGGGACCCAAGCAGGTTGCCACTGCTGGCTCGGGTGGCCAGTTTTTATTCCCTTATTTGGCCCCACCCACATCGTGCTGATTGGTCCATTTTACAGGGCGCTGATTGGTCTATTTTACAGAGTGCTGATTGGTGCATTTACAAACCTTTAGCTAGACACACAGTGCTGATTGGTGGGTTTACAATCCTTTAGCTAGACAAAAAAGTTCTCCAAGTCCCCACCTGACCCAGAAGCCCAGCTGGCTTCACCTCTCAAGAGGACAGCAGATAATAATCTTTTTTTTTTTTTTTTTTTGATGGAGTCTCACTGTCTCACCCAGGCTGGAGTGCAGTGGTGCAATCTCGGCTAACTGCAACCTCTGCCTCCCAGGTTCAAGCAGTTCTCTGCCTCAGCCTCCCGAGTAGCTGGGATTACCATCACCTGCCAGCATGCCTGGCTAATTTTTGTGTTTTTAGTAGAGATGGGGGTTCAGGCTGGTCCTGAACTCCTGACCTTGTGATCCACCTGCCTTGGCCTCCTAAAGTGCTGGGATTACAGTCGTGAGCCACCGCACCCGGCCAGCAGATAATAATCTTTTGGTCACCACCTTAGGCATGAATAAAAGTGAACGTGTGAGTGACCCTTCCAGTCCTGAACTTTTTCAGTGTTGAGAAATGTGAAGATTAGATAGGGAAAAAATGTTTGCCCAGGGGCAAATGGGAGTGTTACAAAGGCAGGTATATAAAAAGATGGTTTCTGACAAACATATGGTAAAATACTATATATACGAATGTTTTTAACTTAGAACTGGTTTTAGAAAAACACACACACAAATAAAACTTTATTTCCTTTCCTCTCATGTCAAGTTTTTCCTTGATCCACTGTAGTACCTTGAGATAGTGAAAGGTGAAGCCAGCTGTACTTCCTGGGTCGAGTGGGGACTTGGAGAACTTTTCTGTCTAGCTAGAGGATTGTAAATGCACCAATCAGTGCTCTGTGTCTAGATAAAGGATTGTAAATGGACCAATCAGTACTCTGTAAAATGGACCAATCAGTACTCTGTAAAATGGACCAATCAGCAGGATGTGGGCGGGGCCAGATAAGGAAAGAAAAGCTGGCCACCCGAGCCATCAGCGGCAACCGACTCGGGTCCCCTTCCACACTGTGAAAGCTTTGTTCTTTTGCTCCTCACAATAAGTCTTGCTGCTGCTCACTCTTTGGGTCCGCACCATCTTTAAGAGCTGTAACACCACAAAGGTCTGCAGCTTCATTCTTGAAGTCAGCGAGACCTAGAACTCACTGGAAGGAATAAATTCCGGACACAATAGTAGGTGTTTAACAAATATTTACTTAATCAAATCAGGTTGAATCCAGTGCCATGCTGTCTCAGAAAGCAGCAGGTCTATGGAATAACTTCATCCTCATAGCTTCTTCCCCTCAGCACAAAAGAGAGGAACAGGGATTCTACCATTCTTGCAGCTCTTTGCTGGCAGTCCAGTGCATGTTGTGAAAGTTAGTAAAGCTCCACAACTTATGCTATTAATACCCTCCAAAAAGCAGAATGGATTTTCCCCTCAAAAAGGAAGAAAGGATTTTCCCCTCAAAACACTCCAGAGCACAGTGTTCTAGATAATTTTCAGGTTTTGTTTTTGTTTTGAGATAGAGTCTTGCCACGTTGCCCAGGCTGAAGTGCAGTGGCATGATCTCGGCTCACTACAACCTCCACTTCCTGAGTTCAAGCGATTCTCCTGCCTCAGCCTTCCTAGTAGCTGGGATCACAGGTGCCTTCCACCATGCCCAGCTAATTTTTTGTATTTTTAGTAGAGATGGGTTTTCACCATGTTGGCCAAGCTGGTCTTGAACTGTCAACCTCAGGTGATCCACCCGCCTTGGCCTCCCAAAGCGCAGGGATTACAGGTGTGAGTCACTGCACCCAGCGAGGAGTTAAAATTTTTAAAAAATATATATAATTATTCTTTGAAAGTGTTCAGTAACAAACTTTCCATTTATCATGCCAATGAAAGTGGTTACATGGAAAAACTGCAAAAGCAAACAATCCAAGTTACACATTTGCTTTTCCAAATTAGTTTGCTATACCAGCATTTTAATTGGTTTGCCATCTCTAAGCTCCTACAATTAATGATCATTCCAGCAAACACAAATCCATTTGCATTCTAAAGGGAAGGAACTATAAAGGGGTTGCAAGTGACCTACAAACTTCCCAGTTGGTATTTGGGCAATCTTGGGTGGACCAATCACATGTTTAACCCTATCTTATGTCCCATTTTAAGACTGACAAAAACCAAGGCCGGGTGCAGTGGCTCACGCCTGTAATCCCAGCACTTTGGGAGGCCAAGGCAGGTGGATCACAAGGTCAGGAGATTGAGACCAGCCTGGCCAACATGGTGAAACCCCATCTCTACTAAAAATACAAAAATTAGCTGGGTGTGGCAGGAGAATCGCTTGAACCGGGGAGGCAGGTGTTGCAGTGAGCCAAGATCCTGCCACTGCACTCCAGCCTGGCGACAGAGCGAGACTCCATCTCCAAATTAAAAAAAGAAAGGAAAAAAAAGAAAGATAAGAGTAGTCATGGTGCAGGTGATTTTATTACACATTAACTTTTTCCATTTTTATATTCAGACTTAGCAAATTACCACAGTAGTCCAAGTGTCACAACATCATGTTTTGAATTTATTTGAGTCACCATCTTCCACAGTTTATAGTATTTATTTATTTATTTATTTTTGAGACAGAGTCTCACTCTATTGCCTAGGCTAGAGTGCAATGGTGTGATCTCGTCTCACTGAAAACTTCGCCTCCTAAATTCAAGCTGTTCTCTGCCTCAGCCTCCCGAGTAGCTGGGATTACAGGTGCCCACCACCATGTCTGGCTAATTTTTGTATTTTTAGTACAGATAGGGTTTCACTATGTTGGCCAGGCTGGTCTTGAACTCCTGACCTTGTGATTAACCCGCCTCAGCCTCCCAAAGTGCTGGGATTATAGGTGTGAACCACCACGCCTGGCCCATTTTTTTTTTTTAAGATAAAGTCTGGGTCTGTCACCCAGGCTGAAATGCAGTGGCATGATCCTAGCTCACTGCAGCCTCGACCTCCTGGGCTCAAGCAGTCATCCCACCTCAGCCTCCTGAGTAGCTGGAACTACAGATTTGTGCCATCATGCCTGGCTAATTTTTTTTTTTTTTTTTTTTTTGAGATGGGGTCTTGCTCTGTTGCTCAGGCTGGTCTTAAACTCCTGGCCTCAAGTGATCCTCCAGCCTCCCAGAGTGTTGGGATGATAGGCGTACACCACCACACCCTGCCCACAGCTTATAGTTCTTAAGCAAAGTCTAACATCCCATTACTGTCTTACATATCAATAAAACATTGATAATCAAACATTGTGTATTGGAAACTGACTGCTACTGAGGAAATATGTCAACAGCCCAGATCACTGAAGAAGGTGCCAGCCTGGCTAATCACAGATAAACTTTACACCCCCTTTTGAGCAGTCAGGGCTTTTATCAGCAAATCTTTCTGGGAAAGGATTTGCTCCCTTTCTTCTTGGAAACTTTTGATCATCAGAGTCAGCTCTCTCTTTTCATCTTTCAGACTTGTGATGTTTTCCACAGAGGACTGGAGACTGGGTTTTAGACATGCAAGTTCCAAGGACAGATTTTCATTTATCTACAAATTATAAATGACTAAAAAGTGGTTGAAAAGTTAATTACTCAGAATTTGCTTATTTAATTGCATTCTAACTTTACTTGAAGTTCTGGATGTTTTTGGCTCCTTCTAAGCTGCCTTATTTAATGGCCTGTGGTCCGTTGCCACGGCAAAACAGAATTAACAATTCTTACTTATGCAAACTTAATACTTGTCAAATATACGCTTTCTTTGTTAAAAAAAAAAAAAAAAGACCTTGGCAAATCTAGTAGGCTTCAAAAGGATTATAAATTTTTAGAAACCTACTCCTTAATTATAGCCGTTTAGAAATTTGAGATGAACACATTAACAACATATGACAAATGTAGACACAGTTCTGCTCACTAACAGCTTTGACTGAAGCTTGACATTTGCTTTTTCAAGCTGTTTGAAAGTAATTTTAGCTCCTAACTATTCTGAATGGAGGGAAGTCACTTCATGGTCCAAATAATCTTTTTCCTTCTGAACTCTATTATTACTTGTCGTTATTGGCCAGTTGAAAGGATCAAGTTTATCTTTCTCCTAAGTAATTAAAATAAAATTTGACTTTTGTTCAGTTTGTATTGTTATATTTAGTGCAATCAAAGGCAACTCTATGTTTCTGTGTATTATAGGACAAGTTTGAAAGCAACAATGTAGGTAGAAAATGAGTTAGGTAACGACTCAGTTAATAGAACACAGGACTAGAAACAGTTCCAGCATATTCCAATCTATGCTGTATCTGTTTGAATTTGAGGATATTATTATTGTTGTTGTTGTTGTTTTTGAGATGGAGTCTTGCTCTGTCGCCCAGGCTGGAGTGCCGTGGCGCGATCTCAGCTCACTGCAAGCTCCGCCTCCCGGGTTCAGGCCATTCTCCTGCCTCAGTCTCCTGAGTAGCTGGGACTATAGGTGCCCGCCACCATGCCCGGCTAATTTTTTGTATTTTTAGTAGAGACGGGGTTTCACCGTGTTATCCAGGATGGTCTAGATCTCCTGACCTTGTGATCTGCCCACCTCGGCCTCCCAAAGTGTTGGGATTACAGGCGTGAGCCACCGCGCCCGGCCGAATTTGAGCATATTATTAACCTTGGTAGGCTTCACTTTGTTCATCTGCTAAGAATAAGACTTCCTTTACCCTAGAATGTTCATTCTAAGTGATACACAATTTAAGCCCCTTGGAAGACAATGTAAAATCCTTTGTTATTATTTAATGTAGTTTTTAATAGGTTACCAACGTATATACTCAAGAGTCTGAAAGAGTAAAATCAGGTATGCATGGAGTCTCTAATCCCTCCAGGCTATGAGAGTTTGTATTTTCTAGCTTTCCCTGCCGTCCCAGGTAAAGGTACTGGCGAATGAAATCTTCTGAAGTACACGAAGCAAGCCATCTCAACAAACTGCCATTTATGAACACATAGCTAGGTATCCCTCCCTCTGAGTACATTTTTAAAGCTTTCAGTTTTCTGTATCATCCTTCATATCCCTGTTTTTCAGATAGAAATATGGACACAGAGAAATTAGAGGAGAGGGAACATTCAAAACTAGAATTGTGTTCTCTTAAGAGACTTTCCAGCCGGGCGCGGTGGCTCATGGCTGTAATCCCAGCACTTTGGGAGACTGAGGCGGGTAGATCATGAGGTCAGGAGATCAAGACCGTCCTGGTCAACATGGTGAAACCCTGTCTCTACTAAAATACAAAAAATTAGTCGGGCATGGTGGCACACACCTGTAGTCCCAGCTACTCGGGAGGCTGAGGCAAGGGAATTGCTTGAACCCAGGAGGCAGAGGTTGCAGTGAGCCGAGATTGCGCCACTGCACTCCAGCCTGGCGACAGAGTGAGACTCTGTCAGAAAAAAAAAAAAAAGACAGACTTTCCACTCTATGTTTCTATGATTCTCCTAATAGAAACAGAAAGATTTAGAGGTCCAAGCATTGTTTCCAGGAGAAAAATAATACAGATATTATTCCTGAGGAATAATGTAGCATGCCTCATTTATCAGATAACAAAGCGACCTTATTATTCAAGTCCATTTGTGATAAAGAAAAGTCAAGCAAATGGCAGCAAGTAATTTTTTCTTACAATATTTTTAAAGTATCATTTTCAAAAACTCAAATATAAGAGTTTCTTTTTTTTTTCTTTGCGTTCACATGATTACCCCACAGTTTATAAATCACAGGTCTATTTTGTACACTTTGTACCAGGCAAGTCTGGGCACGCAAAGATTGTAGCAAGTTCACAAAAGCCACTTCACATGCTTGGTTGTCATTTAGGTTATGACTTTGAGAACAAAAGAAGACAAACTTTTATAATGATAGGCAGGTTTACATAAATTGCTGCACAAACCAAATTCAGAATAACTTCCTGTTGGAAAAGTTATTCTTTTACTGACACTCTGCCATAATACTTTCTGATATTTTAAAAACTATCCTTAGTGGCCAGGCGCAGTGGCTCACGCCTGTAATCCCAGCACTTTGGGAGGCCAGAGAGGGTGGATCACCTGAGGTTGGGAGTTCGAGACCAGCCTGACCAACATGGAGAAACCCCCGTCTCTACTAAAAATACAAAAAATTAGCCAGGCATGGTGGCACACGCCTATAATCTCAGCTACTTGGGAGGCTGAGGCAGGAGAATTGCTTGAACCTAGGAGATGGAGTTTGTGGCAAGCCAAGATCACGCCATTGCACTCCAGCCTGGGCAGCAAGAGCGAAACTCCATCTCAAAAACAAAACAAAACAAACAAAAAAACTGTAACCTCAGTAATTTATAAGTATGACATGAAGGTTTTGGTACCTTTTTCTCCTCTCTTGTTTATTCCTTCTGTGAGTCACTGAGTCTGCAGCCACCCAGGCTTCCAACTGATGACTGGATGAAGTCTAGCTTTTCCCCCAAAGCAGTTATCCTGACACTTTATAAATCACAGAAAGAGAGTCAAGATTCATAGCCTTAGGAGCACAGATAAGACTTGAAGTTTGTTCATTTCCTTCCTCTAATGGCTCTTTTTGCTACAGTTTCAGTTCAGTGACTTAAGAATATCCAAGTTAAAAAAGAAAAGAAAAAAAAGACCCCCCTGCAGTTCAGATATATGCAGTAAAAAAAGCCAGAGCACGGAATTCAGTAGCTACATCCCCCAGGCATATATTGGAGGGATTAGCAATGCGAGCTATGACCAGAGACAGACCTGGGTGAGAAGTGACCACGTGCTGGCAGCCCTCGCTCACTCTCGGTGCCTCCTTGGCCTTGGCACCCACTCTGGCTGTGCTTGAGGAGCCCTTCAGCCCGCCGCTGCACTGTGGGAGCCCCTCTCTGGGCTGGCCGAGGCCAGAGCCGGCTCCCTCTGCTTCCAGGGAGGTGTGGAGGGAGAGGCATGGGCAGGAACTGGGGCTGCGTGCGGCGCTCACGGGCCAGCATGAGTTCCGGGTGGGCATGGGCTCCACGGGCCCCGCACATGGAGTGGCCAGCCGGCACTGCCGGGCCCCGGGCAGTGAGGGGCTTAGCACCTGGGCCAGCAGCTGCGGAGGGTGTGCTGGGTCACCCAGCAGCACCAGCCGGCGGTCGAATTCTTGCTGGGCCTCAGTTGCCTCCCCGTGGGGTGGGGCTCAGGACCTGCAACCTGCCATGCCCAAGCCTCCCTCCTTCCGTGGGCTCCTGCACTGCCTGAGCCTCCCTGACAAGTGCTGCCCCCTGCTCCATGGCGCCCAGTCCTATCGACCGCCCAAGGGCTGAGGAGTGTGGGCACACAGCACGGGACTGGCGGGCAGCTCTCCCTGTGGCCCTGGTGCAGGATCCACTAGGTGAAGCCAGCTGGGCTCTTGAGTCTAGTGGGGACTTGGAGAACCTTTATGTCTAGCTAAGGGATTGTAAATACACCAATCAGCACTCTGTGTCTAGCTCAAGGTTTGTAAATGCACCAATCAGCACCCTGTGTCTAGCTCAAGGATTGTAAATGCACTAGTCAGCACTCTGTATCTAGCTAATCTGGTGGGGACTTGGAGAACCTTTATGTCTAGCTAAAGGATTGTAAATACACCAATCAGCACTCTGTGTCTAGCTCAAGGTTTGTAAACACACCAATCAGCACCCTGTGTCTAGCTCAAGGTTTGTAAATGCACCAATCAGTGCTCTGTGTCTAGCTAATCTAGTGGGGACTTGGATAACTTTTGTGTCTAGCTCAGGGATTGTAAACACACCAATGAGCACCTGTCAAAATGCACCAGTCATCTCTCTGTAAAACAGACCAAACAGCTCTCTGTAAAATGGACCAATCAGCAGGATGTGGGTGGGGCCAGATAAGGGAATAAAAGCAGGCTGCCCGAGCCAGCAGTGGCAACTCGCTCAGTCCCCTTCCACACTGTGGAAGTTTTGTTCTTTCATTGTTTGCAATAAATCTTGCTGCTGCTCACTCTTTGGGTCCACACTGCCTTTATGAGCCATAACACTCACCGCGAAGGTCTGCAGCTTCACTCCTGAGGCCAGCGAGACCATGAATCAACCAGAAGGAAGAAACTCCGAACATGTCTGAACATCAGAAGCAACAAACTCTGGACACACCGCCATTAAGAACTGTAACACTCACCGCGAGGGTCCGTGGCTTCATTCTTGAAGTCAGTGAGACCAAGAACCCACCAATTCCAGACACATGGGTACCTGGGTTTAAATCGCAGCTTTTTTTCTTTCTTTGTTCTTCTTCTTCTTCTTTTTTTTTTTTTTTTTTTTTGAGACAGAGTCTTACTCTGTCACCCAGGCTCGAATGCAGTGGCACGATCTCCGCTCACTGCAACCTCTGCCTCCCGGTTTCAAGCAATTCTTGAGCCTCAGCCTCTGGTGTAACTGGGATTACAGGTGCCTGCCACCACACTTGGCTAATTTTTTGTATTTTTAGTAGTGATGGAGTTTCACCATGTTGGCCAGGTTAGTCTTGAACTCCTGACTTCAAGTGATCTGCCTGCCACGACCTCCCAAAGTGCTGGGATTACAGGCGTGAGCCACCACACCTGGCCTCAGCTCTTTTTCTTACCAGCAGTGCCCTGTGCCCTCATTTATGAAATGGAGATGATATCTCCTCCATAAAGAATTATTTTCAGGATTAAATGAAGTGTCCAATGTTAATTGCTTGGCACAGTGTCTGACAGAATATGTATTCCATTACAGTTGTTATTATTGGTGTTGTGCTTGCTTTGAGCCACTCTATATAAGTTATGCTAAAAATAAGGTGAGAGGTGGGCATGGTGGCTCATGCCTGTAATCCCAGCACTTTGGGAGGCCAAGGCAGGAGAATCACTTGATGCTAGGAGTTGGAGGCCAGACTGGGCAATATAGCGAGACTCCATCTTAAAAAAAATAATAATAAATTAGCCAGATATGGTGGCGCTTGCCTGTAGTTCCAGCTACTCAGGAGGCTGAGTTGGGGGGATCACTTGAGCCCAGGAGTTTGAGGCTGCAGTAAGCTATGATCATACCACTGCACTCCAGCCTGGATAACAGAGCAAGACCCTGTCTCTAAAATAAGTAAATAAGGAAATAAGTAAGTAAATAAATAAATACATTACTAGGATAAATCAGGAAAAAATCATTATTAGTAAAATATTTGTATTATATAATTTTTAAAATAATGAAGTTTCATACTTTCAATAACATACAGTAACAGAACTACATGCATATGTTACGCCAAAGCTACTTGAATGAATAGATAAGAACCCTTCCGAATTACCATAGCAGGATTTAAGGGGTAAGGGGTGTTAGACCTTGATTTCTTTTCTTTTCTTTTTTTCTTTTTTTTTTGAGATGGAATCTCATTCTGTTGCCCAGGCTGGAGTGCAGTGGCGTGATCTCGGCTCACTGCAACCTCTGCCACCCGGGTTCAAGCGATTCTCCTGCCTCAGCCTCCCGAGTAACTGGGATTACAGGTGGCTGCCACCATGCCCAGCTAATTTTTGTATTTTCAGTAGAGATGGGGTTTTACCACCTTGGACTGGTTTGTCTTGAACTCCTGACCTTGTGATCCACCTGCTTTAGCTTCCCAAAGTGCTGGGATTACAGGTGTGAGCCACCACGCCCAGCCAATTTATTTCTTTTATCATTTTTATTTTTATCTTAAAATGGGGTCTTTCTCTGTTGCCCAGACTGGAGTGCAGTGGCACAATCGTAGCTCACTGCAGCCTTGAACTCCTGGGCTCAAGTGATTCTCCCACTTCAGCCTCCTGAGTACCTAGGACTACAGGCATGCACCACCACTCTCAGCTAATTTAAAATTTTTGTTTTGTAGAGACGTTGTCTCCCTATGTTGTCCAGGCTGATCTTGGACTCCAGTCCTTAAGCGATACTCCCGCCTTGGCCTCCCAAAGCATTGGCATTATGAGTATGAGAGCTGCCATCCCTGGCAGTTTTGTTAATTTCAAAAGATGAATCAAATTGTATAAGGCCTCATGATTTCAGTAGTGGTAAGCATAGTCATGCCCACTTCAAGAATAAAATGTGTACAGTCTGGCCAACATGGTGAAACCCTATCTCTACTAAAAATACAAAAATTAGCTGGGTGTGGTGCACCTGTAATCCCAGCTACTCAGGAGGCTGAGGCAGGAGAATCACTTGAACCCAGGGGGCAGAGGTTGTGGTGAGCGGAGACTGCAACACTGCACTCCTGCCTGGGTGACAGACCAAAAAAAAAAAAAAAGAATAGAAAGTGTAATTTAAAAAGAGCCCAGTGGGCTGGGCACAGTGGCTCACACCTGTAATCCCAGCACTTTGGGAGGCTGAGGTGGGTGGATCGCCTGAGGTCAGGAGTTCAAGACCAGCCTGGCCAACATGGTGAAACCCTGTCTCTACTAAAAATACAAAAATTAGCTGGGCATGGTAGCGGGCACCTGTAATCCCAGCTACTCGGGAGGCTGAGGCAGGAGAATCGCTTGAACTCGGGAGGCGGAGGTTGCAGTGAGCCGAGATTGCTCCATTGCACTGCAGCCTGGGGCACAAGAGCGAGGCTTTGTCCCCAAAAAAAAAAGAAATTAGCTGGGCTTGGTGGTGGGTGCCTGTAATCTTAGCTACTTGGGAGGCTGAGACAGGAGAATTGCTTGAACCTGGGAGGTAGAGGCTGCAATGAGCCTCGCAATGAGATCGCACCACTGCACTCCAGCCTGGGCAACAAAAGCGAAACTCTATCTCAAAAAAAAAAAAAGAAAAAAAAAAAGAGCTCAGTTAATGACAAGTTGAATGTCTAAGCCCACTTTTGTGGCTGTAAGAGTTGAGAAGATGAGAAGATGCCTTACCTATAATAAATATATATTGAACAAGTTAATACTATCTCCAGTGAACAATGTGAAAATAGCAATTATTCTTTATGTACAAAATATATGAATCACTACTGTAGGGATTCTATGCTTATAAAGAAAAAGGACCTACTAAAGTTTTCTCAAGGTCAAAGAAGACAGAGATATGAACTCCAAGGCTTCATAAGGAATCAGAACCAGGAACTGGAAACCTGTTGGGAACCAAGGAAGATCCAGTCTCTCTCCCCTTCCCAGCTCTTGCTCTGTTTTGCTCTGCAGGACAGCTTTCTCCCTGCATACCACCTCTCAGTCTCAATCCCTGATCATCGGCACAGCTTTCCCTTCACGGCTGCTTGATGCTACATGACCCCTTGGGGCCAGCATCAGATGCGAACTGACTCAATCTGTCTGAGCCCCAGTTCTACATTCTTAGGAAAGAGATTCTGATTCACTCAGTGTGAGCCAAGTGTCCACAAATGGTCCAAATTACTGTGAACAAGAGACCATGGGAGTGGAAAGTTCTTGGCTAAGGCATTGTAGGGGTGAGAAGAAATGAATTCCTAGAATTCAACTTAGACAATGACATGGCCACTAAAATGGGTCATTCCTTCCTTCCACCAGCACTGACTATCATGAGTCAGGCTGTGCTGGGGACTCAAGGATGAATAATTCCTAGTCTCTAGCCTTGAGGAGGTCAGACTTCAGAAAACAAGACAGGAAAACTAAAGAAACGCTTTAACGAGGACAAAATACAAGAAGTATTAATTCATTCAGGACTCTAGGGGAGTTGATGACTAATTTGATAGAGGGTGTGACAGCAGAAAGATCTGGAAGAATGCATTAAAAACTCACAAAGCACACGCATTAGGCTAAACATGAGTTAACTTATATCAATTTTAGAATTTCTCTTCATTGAAGGACACTATGGACAAAGTGAACACAAATGACAGGTCCAAGAAAAGGCCTTCTCAATCATGAAAACTGACAGGGATTTAATGCAAATCAGTAAGAAAATGATGGTTGCTCCACTGGGAGACGCGCAAGCGTTATACACAAGTAATGCTCATACCAGAGGAGAGAACCAAAAGTGTCAGGTGTCTGAGGAGATGATAACACTCATCCATGATCCCTTTACACCAACAAGACCAGCAAAACCAGTAAGCTGCAGGTGCCCAGTGTGGGCAGAGCTTGAGCTCTGGGCTGGGAGAGCTGACCCATGCATCCGTCCTAGAAGGGCTTCTCAAGGAAGATGAGGATAGAGTGAGGAACCAGCTTGGAAGGGTTTCTGACTCCCAAGTTTGTTTTTTTGATTCTAAAGACAGTGGAGAATCAAGAGAAGATTCTAAGCAGACCCGCGACACAGCCAGAACAAAACTGACACAATGCGGAGTTAAAAACAGACTGGAGACAGGACTGGCTGCTTAGGAAATGAATTGAGGGACATGTCTATATAAAATTATATACAATGATTAAAGAAGAATGCAAAATAGTGTGCAGAGACTAGCAATTATTGTTAAGATTGGCAGAGTATGTTTACTAAGATCAGAAGTGAATCTGTAATTGAGCATATCATGTTTAACATTCAAACGGTTCTTTTTTCCCATGCAGCAGCCTGTTTATGTTTTTTTTTATTCTACAAAATATTGTTTAGAATCCTGGGGCCTAAACATTAAGAGTGTTACTTAAACAAACAAAAAGTACACAGAGATTAAGTCTAGAGTCATTATTCTTTGATCCTGTCTGACAGGTGAAGTCTCAGCAGACTTTGTTGGTTTCTGACAGTTATTTTTTATATGACAGTTATGAAAATTTAAGCCAGGCACAGTGGCTCATGCATGTAACACTAGTGCTTTGGAAGGCCGAGGTGGGAGGATTGCCTGAGGCCAGGAGTTCAAGACCAGCCTGGGCAACATAGCGGGAACCTGTCTCTACAAAAATTTTAAAAAATTAGCTGAGAGTGGTGGCATGTGCCTGCAGTCCTAGCTACTCAGAAAGCTGAAGTGGGAGGACTGCTTGAGCTCAGGAGTTTGAGGCTGCATTGAGCTATGATCTCACCATTGCATTCCAGCCTGGGCAACATAGTGAGACCCTATCTCTTCAAAAAATTAAAAAATTAGCTGGGCATGGTGGCATACCTGTGGTCCTAGCTCCTCGGGAGGCTGGGGCCAGAGGATCACTTGAGCCCCGGAGTTTGAGGCTGCAGTGAGCCATAATCGTACCACTGCATTCTATCCTGTGTCATAGCAAGACTTTGTCTCAAAAAAAAAAAAAGGAAAGAAAATGTAAAGCCTAGTTATACATAAATCACTCTTTACAGAATGTAACTGCTCTGAGTTTATGAGATTATGGGTAATTTTTCAAAATGTCTTTTGAAAAAGTTCCTATGTTGTCTACAATGAGGTTATACCTCCACCCTTAATCTGTACCCAGTTTCTCTGTGACACTAATTGGTTATCCAGCTGGCCGCTAATGTCACTGGTGCCCAATCATGGGGTGGGCAGAGCAGCTGGCTCCCTGAGGAGGGCAGGAAAGCAAGGCCCCAGCTATGGGCAGGTTGTCTGCAATGATGGCACCTACGCAGTTCTCGTGATTTTAAAGACACGAAGCTCACCAGTCCAATGAAGTAGACAGTCAATAAATGCTTGTTAGCTACTGCTTTGTATGTGCAGAGATTTAATTACCTCTACTCTTAAAAAATGGTTCATTTTGGCTTCTGTAACCTGAATATTAATTAGCATGCCATTCTCTTTCCTGTACATCTCCCCATCTCAGAGCAATGCCAGCACTGAGAAAGCACAAAGTCCTTTTTCTTATTTGCTTCCAGTTTTCTAATTTTACCTTCTCCCTCTGCCTTGCTCCCTGTTTTGTCTCAGCCCCAGTCTCTCATCTTTCCTTTTGTACCCTGTGTCCTAGGCTCGATGGCTATGTTCTCACTCATCTATGAGCAGGCTGCATGGAGACCTAAACATAGTCCAGACAGACGAACCCTCAGAGTAAAATATCAAATCCAGCTCATTTGACAATAAAGTATTCGAGCGAACATCAAAGAAGTACGTACACGTTATGTTACTTGCTAGGATGTTAAAAAAAAATGAAATACTTTTTTTTTCTTTTGAGACAGAGTTTTGCTCTTGTCGTCCAGGCTGGAGCCCAGTGGCACGATCGTAACTCACTGCAACCTCCGTCTCCCGGGTTCAAGCAATTCTCTTGCCTAAGCCTCCAGCGTAGTTGGGGTTACAGGTGCTCATCACCACGCCTGGCTAATTTTTGTTTTTTTTGGTTTTTTTTGAGACAGAGCCTCACTCTGTCGCCCAGGCTGGAGTGCAGTGGCGTGATCTCGGCTCACTGCAATCTCCGCCTCCCGGGTTCAAGAGATTCTCCTGCCTCAGCCTTCCGAGTAACTGGGACTACAGGTGCGTGCCACCATGCCTGGCTAGTTTTTTGTGTTTTTAGTAGAGACGAGGTTTCATCATGTTCGCCAGGATGGTTTTGATCTCCTGACCTCGTGATCCATCCGCCTGGGCCTCCCAAGGTGCTGGGATTACAGGCGTGAGCCACCTCGCCTGGAATCATTTTTGTATTTTTAATAGAGATGAGATGGGGTTTCACCATGTTGGCCAGGCTGGTCTCGAACTCCTGACCTCAGGTGATCTTCCTTCTTCAGCCTCCCAAAAATGCTGTGATTACAGGTGTTAGCTACCATGCCAGGCAAAAAAATTAGATACTTAGTATGTAGGCTTTTTTTTTTTTTTTTTTTTGAGACGGAGTCTTGCTCTGTCACCCAGGCTGGAGTGCAGTGGCGCGATCTCGGTTCACTGCAACCTACGCCTCTCAGGTTCACGCAATTCTCCTGGCTCAGCTTCCCGAGTAGCTGGGACTACAGGCGCACGTCCGGCTAATTTTTTGTATTTTAGTAGAGATGGGGTTTCGCTGTGTTGCCCAGGCTGGTCCCGAACTCCTGAGCTCAGGCAATCCGCCCACCTCAACCTCCCAAAGTGCTGGGATTACAAGCGTGAGCCACTGCGCCCGGCCAGGCTAGCTTTTTATTTGGTAATCAGTGGTGCCAGGGATCATGATATGTGCCAGATTGTGTCAGGCCTAATTTTCTTTTTTTCTTTTACTTTTTTTTTTTTTTTTTTTTTTTTTGGTAAGAGACAGGGTCCTTGGCCAGGCACGGTGGCTCATGCCTGTAATCCCAGCACTTTGGGAGGCTTGAGAGGGGTGGATCACGAGGTCAGGATTTCAAGACCAGCCTGGCCAACATAGTGGAACCCCATCTCTACTAAAGATACAAAAAATTAGCCGGGCATGGTAGTGCATGACTGTAATCCCAGCTACTTGGGAGGCTGAGACAGGAGAATCACTTGAACCCAGAGGCAGAGGTTGCAATGAGCCGAGACTGGGCCATTGCACTCCAGCCTGGGCGACAGAGTGAGACTCTGTCTCAAAAAAAAAAAAAAAAAGAGAGACAGAGTCCAGGCTGGAGTGCAGTGGTGCTATCTCAGCTCACTGCGACCTCCACCTCCGGAGTTCAAGTGATTCTCATGCTTCAGCCTCCTGAGTAGCTGGAATTACAGGTGTGTGCCACTATGCTCAGCTAATTTTTGTGTTTTTAGTAGAGACAGGGTTTCATCATGTTGGCCAGGCTGGTCTCCAACTCCTGATCTCAGGTGATCTGCCCGCCTCAGCCTCCCAAAGTGGTGGGATTACAGGCATAAGCCACCATGCCCAGCCTCAGGCCTAATTTTCTTATTGGTTTTAATTTAAGCACCTTTAAAGATTTGCTTCATACTTTTCAGCCATTATATATAGTTTAAAATATTTAAGTAGGCCTGGTGTGGTGGCTCATGTCTGTAATCCCAGCACTTTGGGAGGCCAAGGTGGGCGGATCACGAGGTCAAGAGATTGAGACCATCCTGGCCAACATGGTGAACCCCGATCCCTACTAAAAATACAAAAATTAGCTGGGCGTGGTGGAGTGAACCTGTAGTCCCAGCTACTCGGGAGGCTGAGGCAGGAGAATCGCTTGAACCCGAGAGGTGGAGGTTGCAGTGAGCCGAGATTGCACCACTGCACTCTAGCCTGGCAACAGAGCGAGACTTTATCTCAAAAAAAAAAAAAAGAAAAGAAAGAAAAAATTTAAGTAATAAATGAATAATAAATAATGAACATAGCTGCATTCTACTTAATGTAACAGGTGAGTTCCAGAAAAGAAATATCTGAATAAAATTATGAATAGAAAGAGTAGAACTTCAAGTGACTAAGTTCTGTGAAGGAATTCTGTTGTTAATTATTTAATAATTAAAGAATGATCTTGTAAAACAAGGTGGCAGCATGATAAATTGGAGTAATAATGGGATTTGGAGAAGTAAGAGCCAAGCTTCAGCCCTGAGTTTGCAAAATTGAGCTGGATTATATCCAAACACTCTTAGCCACAGTTTTCATCTATAAAACCAGAATTATTTCACAATGTTATTGCACTTTGCAAATGATAAAGTACTATACAAGTATGAGCTGTTGCCATAATTATCTGCAGATACTTTTATTTCTTATTTTTTTATTTTTTTTGAGACGGAGTTTTACGCTTGTCACCCAGGCTGGAGTGCAATGGTGCAATCTCAGCTCCTGGGAGAAAAGAACCAAATACATCTAATGTGGCTTGGGAATAGCCAGTAGTTCTGCCTGTCCTCACGCCTTAAGGAGCTGTTTTGGAAATGAGGAGAAGAAAGACATTCTCAGCTTCCACGAATTTCCTCAATTCTAGTCATTCTAGCCATCAAAACGGCCTGTGATTCAAAATATCCTTTCTTTTCTTCCTGAGAAACCACAATGAAATTATTTCTTGATTACTAAAGGAAATGGAAGATTTTCTGTTTCAGATGGCAGACTGAGTACATATATTTAGAAACTCTATCACAATGCTAATTAATAATATTTTAAAAACTCCAACAATAAAGAGAATAGAAAAGGGTATGATCAACAAACAAGAGAATTCAACAAATTTCTGTAAACACAAAGTGCACAGAAGTGGCAGTGAGAGATGAGATCGGTGGAAAGCCTAAGTTACTGATGGCCAGGGTTGCGACTGCAGGGCTGGGGCTGAGCACGACCCAGAGAGCAGAGCCTAGAAAGCCTTCAGACTCCTAGGCAGGTACAAAGTGGGTCTGAACACAGGGGGATTTATCACAGTTTTCTTCATTTCTTTGTTTATTTAGAGATAGGGTCTTGCTCTGTCACCCAGGTTGGAATGCAGTGGTGACATCATGGCTCACTGTAGCTTCAGCCTCCCAGGCTCAAGTAATCCTCCCACCTCAGCCTCCCAAGTAGCTAGGACCAGAAGTGCTCACCACCATGCCCAGCCAATTTTTAAACTTTTTGTAGAGATGGGGTCTCCCTCCCTATGTTGGCTAGGCTGGTCTTAAATTCCTGGGCTCAAGTGATCTTTCCTCCTTATCCTCCTAAAATGTTGGCTTACAGGCAAGAGCCACCATGCCCCAGCCCAAAGATTTATAAATTATATTAAAACCAATCCTACCCCTAGAGTCCTCAACTTGCCTATACAAAATGTCTTGTAGCCAGATGTTTAAACCCCAGGCAAAGAAAAGGCATCTTTTCTTTCTTTTCTCTTTTTCTTTTCTTTCTTTCTTTCTTTCTTTCTTTCTTTCTTTCTTTCTTTCTTTCTTTCTTTCTTTCTTTCTTTCTTTCTTTCTTTTTCTTTCTTTCTTTCTTTCTTCCCCCCCCCGTCTTTCTCTCTCTCTCTCTCTCTCTCTCTCTCTTTCTTTCTTTTTTTGTGACAGAGTCTTGCTCTATCACCCAGGCTGGAGTGCAATGCCGTCATCTCGGCTCATTGCAACCTCTGCCTCCCAGGTTCAAGTGATTCTTCTACCTCAGCCTCCCGAGTAGCTGGGATTACAGGTGCATGCCACCACGCCTGGCTAATTTTTGTATTTTTAGTAGAGACGGGGTTTCAGCATGTTGGCCAGGCTGGTTTCGAACTCCTGACCTCAGGTGATCCGCCCCCTGAGCCTCTCAAAGTGTTGGGATTACAGGCGTGAGCCACTGCGCCCTGCCTTGGCTTGGAATTTTTTTTTTTTTTTTTGCATTCCCACCAGCAATGAATGAGTTTCTGTTACTACACATTCTCACCAGCATGTGATATTGTCAGTAGTCTGAATTAATGCCATTCTAATAGGTGTGTAGTGGTACTTCATTATTTTAATTTGCATTTCCATGATGACCTATGATGTAGAGCATCTTTGCATTTGCTTATTTGCTTTCTGTATATCTTCTTTGGTGAGAGATCTGTTGAAGTCCTTGGCCCATTTTTAAATTTGGCTGTTTGTTTCCTTATTGTGGTATTTGAAGAGTTTTGTGGGGTTTTTTTTGCATGTTTCATGTAATATTCCTTTATGTCTTTTGCAAAAGACATATTCCAGATATGTCTTTTGCAAATATTTTCTCCCAGTCTCTGCTTGTCTTTTCACTCTCTTGAAAGTGTCTTCTACAGAGAGAAAATTTTAATTTTAGTGAAGTCCAGCTTACCAATTCTTTCACAGATCATGCCTTCTGTGTTATATCTAAAGTCATCTCCAAGGCCGGGCGTGGTGGCTCATGCTGTAATCCCAGCATGTTGGGAGGCTGAGGCAGGGGGATCACTTGAAGTGAGGATTCAAGACCAGCCTGGCCAATATAGTGAAACCCTGTCTCTACTAAAAATACAAAAAAGAAAAAAATTAGCTGGGCATGGTGGCGCGCACCTGTAGTCGCAGCTACTCGGGAGGCTGAGGCAGGAGAATTGCTTGAACCCAGGAGGTCAAGGTTACAGTGAGTCGAGATCATGCCACTGCACTTCAGCCTGGGCAACAAAATGAGACTCTGTCTCAAAAATAAATAAATAAATATAAAGTCATCTGCAAACCCAAAGTTATCTAGGTTTTCTCCTATGTTATCTTCTAGGAGTTTCATAGTTTTGCATTTTACATTTAGTTCTATGATCCATTTTGAGTTAATTTTTGTGAAGTGTGTAAAGGCTGTGTATGATTCATCTTTTTTTTCCATGTGGATGCCCAGTTGTTCCAGCACCAACGTTGAAAAGACTGTATTTCTCCATTCCAGTGCCTTTGAGCCTTTATCAAATATCAGTTGATTATATTTATGTGGGTCTATTTCTGAGCTTTCTATTGTGTTCCATTGACTTATTTGTCTATTCTGACACCAATACCACACTGTCTGGCTTACAGTAGCATTGTAGTATGTCTTGAAGGCAGGTTGTGTCAGTCCTCTGACTGTCTTCTCCTTCAGTGTGGAAACTGAAAACACAGTAACAAAATATATAGTCTACAGAGTTGATTCTGCAGAATATCAATAAATAAAACAAAGAAGGCCAGGCGCGGTGGCTCACTCCTGTAATCCCAGCACTTTGAGAGGCCGAGGCGGGCAGATCACCTGAGGTCAGGAGTTCAAGACCAGTGGGGCCAACATGGTGAAACCCCATCTCTACTAAAAATACAAAAATTAGCCAGGCATGGTGGCAGGCACCTGTAATCCCAGCTACTCAGGAGGCTAAGGCAGCAGAATCGCTCTAACCCAGGAGACAGAGGTTGCAGTGAGCCAAGATTACAGCACTGCACTCCAGCCTTGGAGACAAGTATGAAACTTCATCTCAAAAAAAAAACAAAAGAAAAATGTGGTAGACTGATCACATTAATGGCACTAATTAATAGTCTTCCTCTATCCATGCCCTTTGCCCTGTAACTTTGAAGTCCCATCCACTTTGATTTTGGTCTCAGCCATGTGACTTGTCAAAGAGACATTTGCATACTTGACCTGCACAGAGGCTTTACTGCTCCTCTGTCTTTGACATGAGATCATATGCAGGCTTGCCTTCAGGAGAATGAGTTACCACTTCAAGTAGAACCGAGTCATTTCAACATTAGCTATGACTAGCCTGCTAGTCAGCCCTCCAGCTGACCACAGACACAAGAGCAAGCCAAGCCGAGATTAGCTGAGTCCAGCCCAGGTTTACAGAACCACCTAGCTGACCTATAGATTTGTGAGAAATTCAGCCTGGGCAACATGGCAAAACCCAGTCTACCTACAAAACATACAAAAATTAGCTGTGCATGGTGGCACACCTGTAGTCCTAGCTACTCAGAAGGCTGAGGTGGGAGGATTGCCTGAGCCCAGGAGGTCAAGGCTGCAGTGAGCCATGATTGTGCCACTGCACTCCAGCCTGGGCAGAGACCCTATCTCAAAAAAAAAAAAAAAAAAAAAAAGATTTGTGAGAAATAGTTTTAAGCCATTACATTTTGAGATGGTTTTTTACAGCAGTAGCTGATAACACAAACTTGAGAAAGTATCCCAGAATTTAGAGAAAATAAAGAAACAGAGGCTGGGCATGGTGGTGTGCACCTATAGTCTCAGCTACTCAGGAAGCTGAGGCAGGAGGATTGCTTGAGCCCAGGAGTTCAAGGCTGCAGTGAGCTATGATCACGCCACTGCACACCAGCCTGGGTGACACAGTGAGTTGCTGTCTCTTAAAAAAAGAAAGAAAAACAGAAAGCAAGAAAGAGAGAAAGAAAGAAAGAAAAACAGAAACAAAGAGAGAAAACATGGATGCAGAGGACAGAGAAAGGAAATCCAACATATGAATAACTAGTATTCCTGAAGAAAACATAAAAATAAATCAAACAGAAGTAATTTTCTTTTTCTTTTTTTTTTTTTGAGATGGAGTCTCGCTCTGTCGCCCAGGCTGGAGTGCAGTGGCGCAATCTCTGCTCACTGCAACCTCTGCCTCCCGGGTTCACGCCATTCTTCTGCCTCAGCTTCTGGAGTAGCTGGGACTACAGGCGCCTGCCACCACGCCCTGCTAATTTTTTTTGTATTTTGTGATTTTGGTAATTTATGACTTCTCTCTTTGTTTCTTTGTCAGTATGGCTAGGGGTTTTTCAAGTTTTAAAAATCTTATCCAAGAAGTAGATTTGGTTTTTATTGATTTTCATTGTTTTTGTTTCCAATTTTGTTGCTTTTGGCTCTTTATTATGTCTTTCCTCTGCTTGTTTTGAGTTTAATTTGCTCTTTTTTTAGTTTCATAGGGCAGAAGCTTAGATTATTAATGTGAGGCCTTTCTTCTTTTCTAATAAAAGGATTTAGTACTATAAATTTCCCCTAAGCCCTGCTTTTGCTGCATTCTACAAATTTGGGTATGTTTTTTAATTTTCATTCAGCTCAAGATATTTTCTAATTACTCCTTAGACTTCCTTCTTGATCCATGGGTTATATGCATTGTTTAATATTTTAGGATTTTCAGGTATCTTTCTATTACTGACTTTTGTTATTGTCACAGAACACATTTTATGTGATTTCAATTTTTAAAACTTTGTTAAAGTTTGTTTTATGGCTCAGAATATGACAGATGTTGATGAGATAATAGCTTTCCTTGTTGTTTAAGAAAGGGTAGGTTGAGCTAAGCCCATTAGTGCATGCCTGTACTTTCAGCTACATGGGAGGATTCCTTGAGTTGAAGAGTTTGAGTCCAGCCTCGGTAACATAGGGAGACCCAGTCTCAAAAAAGAAAAAGAAAGGGTAGGTTATTACTTGCAAACCATCTAGCTGATACAGCATTTCATTCCTAACTTTGACTGAAAGCAAGAAACAGGGTAATGGGAGTAGCTCCAAATAAACCAATTACAGCAATAAATGTATAGGCTTTAATCTATTATATTCCTCCTTATAAGTCACAGGTTTTCAGATTGAGTAAAAAACAAGATCAATCTTATTTCCTTATAAGAAGCAGCTTAAAGCAAAAAGTTTCAAGTTAAAGGATGGGCAAACATATTGGGCAAATACAAACAAAAATACAGTAAAAATTACATTATTATATGAAATAGAATTTGATGTGAAACCATTTAATGAAACCAAGAAGATATGTTCATTATAAATCTTTGTATTGAATGTATAAAGCAAAAACTGACCAGAACTTCACAGGAGTGTGAGTATTTAATAATACCTCTGGCCAGGCATGGTGGTGCACGCCGGTAATCTCAGCACTTTGGGAGGGCATGGTGGGTGGATCACCTGAGGTCAGGAGTTCGCAACCAGCCTGACTAACATGGTGAAACCCGTCTCTACTAAATGCAATAAAAATAGCCAGGCATGGTGGCACATGCCTGTAATCTAAGCTACTTGGGAGGCTGAGACAGGAGAATTGCTTGTACCTGGGAGGCAGAGGTTGCAGTAAGCCGAGATCACACCATTGCACTCCAGCCTGGGCAACAAGAGCAAAACTCTGTCTCAGAAAAAAAAAAAAAAATCCTGTAAATATTGGATAGAGCAATTAAACAAGAAATGTTGAGCATATACAGCAGGGGCCAGCAGACTATTTCTACAAAGGGCAAGACAGCAAATTTCTGTTTTAAATATTAATATATATTAAAGAGTTTACAAACACTGAATTTCTATGTACAACCACAACTGCACTCATCCCTCATCCTAAAGGAGGGAACCCCATATCCCTTTCAGCTGTGGACATGGAATCCACGGTTTCCAGGGAAAGACATTCCTTTTCTTGGTCAGTCTTGATTTGTACCTCCTTTCCATCCTGCACTGTATGAACTAAATCAGCGATTAACCCATGTCTTCACCATGCACATCAAAATAGGGGGTTGTCTTGAAGCATGAACAAGTTACACTGTGCTGTAATTATCCAATATTGTGAAGTTCTGATATTAAAGTTATATTAGCTTGGTGAAATGAATGGGAGATTATTCATATTTTTCTGTGTTCCGCATAATTCTAGGTAACATTAACATTATCTACTCGGAAGTTGGACTCAACTATACAGCTACCTGCTGTATGTGCCTTCTTCATTGGCAGGTTTGTTTTTTTTTTTTTTCCCCAATGACAATTTCAACTTTTCCAAGTTTATTGTTCTGTTCAGTTTTGCTACTTCTTTTTGCATTAATTTTGGTCATTTATATCTTTCTATAAAATCATTTATTTTGTCCAGCTTTTCAAATAAATTTATTTGTAGAAGGTGTTCTTTTATATCTTTTTTTTATAACTGTCTTCTATATCTAAATTTGTCTCCTTTCTAATGTTTAATGTTACATATTCATATTGTATGAATTATACTTGCCAGAGAAGTGTCTATTTTGTTTCAGAGAAACAGCTCCTGAACTTATTTAATACCATTTTTGCACTTAAAAATTTATTTTAGCTCTTATCTTTCTCAATTTCTTCCTTCTGCTTTCCTTAGACTTAATTTTTTTCTACTGTTTCTTTTCCAACTTTTTGAGAAAAATTCTTGATTTATTTATTTTAACTTTTTCCTAATTAATAATAAAATCATTTCAGGTCATAAGTTTTCTTGAATAGTTTTTATCTTATTCCATAATTGGAGTGTTTTAAATGTTTATTGACTGTTTTTATTTACATTTTTATTTTTAATTTCTAATATTATTGTACTGTGATAACAGAATGTGGCCTAAATAACTTTTTTTTTTAATTAACTAAAGTGCTTATTTCTGATGAATAGAGAATGGGTCTTTGTAAATAGTTTCGTAGACTCCCGGGGATATCTGGCCAGCTTAGAACCCCTTTCTTTGAGAATTGTACTCTCTGTGTTCAGGGTGGGTTTCTGTAGCATGCTACCCCACTTTCCACTCCCACATCACAGCTGCCTCCACCTCCCCACTGGCTAACTGGATTGGGAAATGCCTGACCCAAGCTGAGCCAGTCAGGTTTTTTACTCCCAGGAATTGGGAGTTGAGGTTTAGTGACTTGATGCAGATCTCTACTAGTTGAGAAGAAGCCACGTTCTACCTCGTGCAGAGAAGAGAGACAGAGAGAGAGCAACAGCACTGCTTCCTGGCAGCTTCCCAGCTTCCTGCTTTATTCTCTTCTTGAGGTCTCATTATACTTCCAAAATTTGAGTTCCAACATTGAGCTCTTGTATTCCACAATAAACTTTCTTTATTGGCTTAAGGTAGTTTGAGTAGATTTCTATTACCTGTGTAAGCAAGGTATGAAGGTTCAGTCTATTTGGATGTAAAACCGAACTCTGTCTTTGTTTCATTAGAAGCAATTTGCCTCACTCTGTGGGGCAGAAAAAGCTCCACTGCAATGAAGCCAACAGTGACTCTCTCTTCCAGGAAGTGGAGATCAGAGAATGGTGGTATCTAAATACTGAGCCGTCTTTGTCCATGAGAAAGAGGAAAACTGTTCCATTTTTCTTGACAATCAGGGCTTTTCCTAATTTAGAATCAAGGGCTATTAGAAAAGAGGATAATAAGGCTTTCTGGTGTGGAAAGAGACTTGGGCTCAAAGATAGAGGAGGCTGGGAAAGAAGTTGGAACTGGTGAGATTCTCAAATGGGGCTGTTTTCCAGGAAGCACCAGGCTAGCGGGAAAAGAGGGACCTCCGACGGTGGCAGGTTTGCTGCATCGGAGACCGACCTCACTGGCAACAACTCAGGTTGTTTTTTGTTTGTTTGTTTGTTTTGTGCTTTTTTTTTTTTGTTTAGTTTGTTTGTTTTTTGAGATGGAGTCTTGCTCTGTCACCCAGGCTGGAGTGCAGTGGCACGATCTCGGCTTACTGCAACCTTCGCGCCCCCACCTCTTGAGTAGCTGGGACTCCAGGCACATGCTACCATGCCCGGCTAATTTTTGTACTTTTTTAGTAGAGACAGGGGGTTTCACCATGTTGGTCAGGCTGGTCTCGAACTCCTGACCTTAGGTGATTCACCCACCTCAGCCTCCCAACATGCTGGGATTACAGGCATGAGCCACCACGCCCGGCCAACAACTCATGTTTTTAGTCACGGAGTTGCACAAAGCTTTATTCTTTTATTTATTTTTGCTTCTATTTTTACTCCCCTTTGCCTAACCCCCAAACCGTCCTAATGTATTTGAAGTTAAATATCTTTTTATTTGTTCTTATTAAACCATTTACTATTGTTTTATATACATGCATTTTTAAGTTGAGAAATATAATTCACATACTATATAATTTACTATTTTAACATGTACAACTCAATGGTTTTTAGTATATTCATTATATTGTGCAACTATCACTGCTATCATGCATGTACTATTTATTTTACTTTGTTTTGTTTTATTTTATTATTTTGAGACAGAGTCTTGCTCTGTTGCCCAGGCGGGAGTGCAGCCGCACCATCTCAGCTCACTGCAACCTCCGCCTCCAGATTCAAGCAGTTTTCCTTTCTCAGCCTCCTGAGCAGCTGGGACTACAGGCATCTGCCACCACGCCCAGCTGATTTTTGTATTTTTAGTAGAGACCTGGTTTCACCATATTGGTCAGGCTGGTCTCGAACTCCTGACCTCAGGTGATCCACCCACCTCAGCCTCCCAAAATGCTGGGATTACAGGTGTGAGCCACCATGCCCGGCCTATTTATTTATTTTTGAGACACCTAGAGGGTCTTGCCTATCACCCAGGCTGGAGTGTAGTGTTGCGATCACAGTTCACTGCAGCCTCGACCTCCCAGGCTCAAGTGATTCTCATACCTCAGCTTCCCAAGTAGCTGGGACTACAGGTGTGCACAACCATGCCTGGCTAATTTTTTATTTTTTATTTTTGGTAGAGACAGGGTCTCATTATGTTGCCCAGGCTGAACCTTATCTCCTGGAATTAAGTGATCCTCCTGCCTCAGCCTCCTAAAATGCTTGGGATTACAGGCATGAGCCACCATGCCAGCCCGTACACATATTATTGATTTACATACAGGTATTGTGCTGTATTGTCTTTCTGTTTCCTGTGATTGTCATCAATCACTGTGTTTCTAAAGACAATCTATGTTGCTGCATGTGCATGTGGCTCATTGCTTCTCACTGCTATGGAATATTCCATAGTGTACATCTGCCACAATTTTTCTTACCCATTATCTCTGCGATGGACACCTAGGCTACCTTCACATTCCCACAGTAACAGCCAATGCTGCAATGAACATCCTCTTTCATGTCCTCTGTGGGACAACTATATGGATAAGGTTTAACCTTAGTGTTGGAGTCTGGCAATTGTGATGGAGGGTCCATGGTGGGAACCTGAAAGATGAGGTAATTGCTCTTTTGGAGAGGAATTACTAGTCACAGGCTAATCCCTGACTTGACCAAGTTCCACCAGGTAGCTTTCTAGACTAGCTGCCCCAGCCCACAATCCTGCTGCAGTACTTACTGGCTTTCCCGACACTCTCAGTATTATCAGCTTTCTTTTTCTTTTCTTTTTTTTTGAGACTTTAGTTTCACTCTTGTTGCCCAGACTAAAGTGCAATGGTGCGATCTCAGCTCACTGCAACCTTTGCCTCCTGAGTTCAAGTGATTCTCCTGCCTCAGCCTCCCAAGTAGCTGGGATTACAGTCATGTGCCACCACACCAGCTAATTTTGCATTTTAGTAGAGACGGGGTTTTGCCATGCTGATCAGGCTGGTCTCGAATTCCTGACCTCAAGTGATCCACCTGTCTCAGCCTCCCAAAGTGCTGGAATTACAGGCGTGAGCCACAGTGCCCGGCCATTATCGGTCTTTTTTTTTTTTTTGAGACTGAGTCTCGCTCTGTCGCCCAGGCTGGAGTGCAGTGGCGCGATCTCCAGTCACTGCAAGCTCCGCCCCCCGGGTTCATGCCATCCTCCTGCCTTAGCCTCCCGAGTAGCTGGGATTACAGGCACCCGCCACCATGCCCAGCTAATATTTTTTTTTTTTTTTTGTATTTTTAGTAGAGACGGGGTTTCACCATGTTCGCCAGGATGGTCTCGATCTCCTGACCTCGTGATCCACCCGCCTCGGCCTCCGAAAGTGCTGGGATTACAGGGGTGAGCCACTGTGCCCCGCCTATTATCGGCTTTCTATGTCATGCCCTAGCAGGTCTGAAGGGCTATATTCCTGTTTTAGTTTAATTTCCCTGCATATCTTCATGGGTTTATTCGCCTTTTGGGCTTCCTCTTCTTTCATTGCCTGTTGTTGTTGCACTTGTTTGGGTTCGCACCCTTCTCTTTCTCTTTTTCAGCGAAGTTCGTGTCTTTCTTTTCTTTCCCTGTATGCTCTAGATATTAGGCCATGTTTGGGTTAAGAAGCTACAAATATCTTCTCCCATCTGATCTCACTCTTATTTTTCCCCACGGTCTCTCCTTCTCCACGCAGTTAGAGAATTCAAATTGTCTGCACCGAGAGCCTGTGCCAGGCAGCTGCCAAGCACTCAAACAGGTAGAAACCTCACTCTATCTGCCACAAGCACCCTTACCAGCCAACCACAAAGTGGAGGAGACCCCCGGCCTCTTCTGCAAGTCCCTGCTGCCGTCTGGCTTCCCAGTGATAACTTCCAAGAACACTCCCTCATCCTCTTACCCCTCCCCGCAAAACTATAAACCTATGGGTGACATTGACACCTCATGAGGTCATAGGGGAGGACAATCCTCATGTGGAGTTGGTGGTGAGGGGAGTGCAGAAGAGTGGAGAGCTAAGCCCACTGGAGAAACTAGAGATGGTGCAGAGAGCACAAACACTCCACTAAGCTTCAGGAGGAAGGTCTTCGTGAAGGCAGAAATTGGTATAGAGAGGCTGGACGTGGTGGCTCATGCCTGTATTCCCAGCACTTTGGGAGGCCAAAGTGGGTGGATGAGGAGTTCGAGACCAGCCTGGCCAACATGGTGAAACCCTATCTCTACTAAAAATACAAAAATTAGCCAGGCGTCGTGGCATGCACCTGTAATTCCAGCTACTCAGGAGGCTGAGGCAAGAGAATCCCACTTGAACCCGGGAGGCAAAGGCCACAGTAAGCCGAGATTGCACCACTGCACTCCGGCATGAGTGACAGAGGGAGACTGTGTCTCAAAAAAAAAGAAAAAGAGAAAATAAAAAAAAAATGGTACAGAGAGTGGGTTTCTAGTAAAAGGCTCTCAGGGAACATGTGGAGTTGGGGGCTACTGTAGATTCCCCCGTAGCAGGGAGACAGCTGATGATCTATTCTGTCAGCAGACAAGGCCCTTGGGATGCTAGGGAGTTTTGCTGGATTACAGCCCCTTTAAACTGGAACTCTAACTCAGATATCAAAGCCTTTAACAAAACGTATCATCAAAGTGACAGATTCCAGACCAAGGTGGCTTGGCTGGAAACAGAAAAAACAGAGCCAAATATTTGAAAATGCTGAGAACCAGTTTCATAATCACACCAAACTGCAATAAATGAATTCTGTACTTTGCTCCTAACTGTATGGCTAAGGTTTAACCTTCAAGTTGAACTCTGGCAATTGCAATCGAGGGTCCGTGGTAGGAACCTAAACAATGAGCAAACCCAAACTTCTGGGGCAGCCAGGCCCTGGGTCTTCCTGGGGCACTTCCCTCACGTACCACTGCTGAACAAATGCAGGGAGGAAACCTTAGGAAACCTCTTTGGATGATAGGGTTGAAATACAGCAAAAGTGGATGTTTATGCAAAGGAAAGACCCCTTCTGCAAACTACCCCATCAATTCTTCCTGTCCATATACTGAGACTCCAGGGTTTTAGTGGGAAGCAGAGCCCAGCCTACTCATTCTGTCAAGAAACTAGACAAGGTGTGGTCCAGCTCCAACTGTGTTTAAGTCACTGAGAGCTGCCTGGCCCAGCATGACAAGATGATAATGTCTGTATTGGATTTTGGTGAATAAAATGACCAAAAATAACATTGCCAGGCAGCCTCCTTAGGCTCCAAGGAGTTTTGTCACTGGGAAAAAGAGGCTAAGTGGGACCTGTAGTTGACTTAAATATCTTGCCTCTGTTTATGATGCACCTGTCTGAAAATGAGAACCAGACAGGAAGAAGCAGAGCGGAGGGATGGCATGGCAGATTAATTAAGATGTCATATGAATCCTCCAATTCAGCCATGACCAAAGCTACTTCTGTCCAATCGGTACTTTTGTTTCTTGCTTAAGACTGTGTATTAGGCCATTCTTGCATTGCTATAAAGAAATATCTGAGGCTGGGTAATTTATAAAGAAAAGAGGTTTAATTGGCTCACAGTTCTGCAGGCTTTACAGGAAGCATGGTGCTGGCATCTGCTTCTGATGAGGCCTCAGGGAGTTTTTACTCATGGCAGAAGGTGAAGTGGGAGCAGGTGCCTCACATGGTGAGGGCGGGAGCGAGAGAGAGAGGCGGGAGGTCCCAGCCTTTTTTTTTTTTTTTTTTTTTTTGAGTCTTGAGTCTCGCTCTGTCCCAGGCTGGAGTGCAGTGGTGCAATCTCGGTTCACTGCAACCTCCGCCTCCCAGGTTCAAACAATTCTCCTGCTTCAGCCTCCTGAGTAGCTGGGACTACAAGTGCATGCTGCCACACCCGGCTAATTTTTTGTATTTTAGTAGAGACGGGGTTTCACCGTGTTGCCCAGGCTGGTCTTGAACTCCTGAGCTCAGGCAATCTGCCTGCCTTGGCCTCTCAAAGTGCTAGGCTTACAGGCGTGAGCCACCACGCCAGGCCTGGTCCCAGGCTCTTTTAAACAATCAGCTTTCACATGAACTAACTGAGAACCAACTTACCCCCAAGGGGATGGTGCAAAACCAGTCATGAGGGATCTGCCCCCACGGTCCAGTCACCTCCCACCTCCAACTCTGAGGATTACATTTCAACATGCATGAGATTTGGAGGAGACAAATATCCAAATCCTATCAGTGTTGGATTTCTGTGTGTATTTCTTTCTGTTTTTGTGACAAGGTCTCTTGTCCAGACTGGAGTGCAGTGGCACAATCATAGCTCATTGCAGCCTGGAACTTTTGGGCTCAAGGGATCCTCCTGCCTCAGCCTTCCAAGTAGCTAGAACTACAGGCATGTACCACCACACCCGGCTAATACTTTTTGTTTTTATTTTTGGTAGAGACAGGTCTCACTATGTTGCCCACACTGGTCTTGAGCTCCTGTGCTCAAGTGATCCTCCCACAGTGGCCTCCCAAAGTGCTGGGATTAGAGGTGTGAGCCACAGTTCCTGGCTCAGTTTCTATATTTCTATTGCTGCCAACCCAAAAGTCCTGATTAATATAAGCAGTATAAACATTGGAAAGTAAAGTGGAACTTTCATTAATTACATTTATTACTTGGAAAACTCCAGAGAATGAGCTGAACACTAATTCAAACAAATAGAAGAAAGGATGGATTTTTTTTTTCAACAAATGGTATTGGAACATCAGATCCCTACCTCATACCAAAATAACTTTCAGCAAAATAAAAGATTTAATTAAACTGTAAAAGGAATAAATAAAGGTATGGACAATTTTTTTTTCTGATTTGAGAGTAGGAGAGGCTTTTCTTGGCATTCAGGCAAAAGCAGAAAACAAGCAAAGACAGACTTGAAAATAAAATTAACCCTTCTCTGTTTTAATAATAGTAAATAATAATGAAGCACAGGATGAAAATCCATTGAGATTAAGATAATTAGGGAGGAATATCAGGTTTGGGGCTTCTAAGGGGTATCCTTGCGGGTGGAGAAAGTGATGGATTTGATTTTAGACATGTTGATCCTTGTGGGACCACTCTGTAAAAATGAATTAAGAGACATACACATGCACACGTATACAGCCCAGGAGGGATGACAAGGATTGAGACATACATGGTGGAGAACTCAGCATGCAGATGATAGTTATTAATAAATTTACTAGAGTGGATGGGATTACCCAGGAATGAGAAAAGAAGTGGTCCTCAGAACCCTGCAGAACACTGACATTTAAGGAACATAGAGGAAGGAAAATCCAGGAGAGTCCAGGAGCAGCGGCTTACGCCTATAATCCCAGCATTTTGGGAGGCTGAGGCAGGCGGATCACCTGAGGTCAGGAGTTTGAGACCAGCCTGGCTATAATGGCAAAACCCCATCTCTACTAGAAGATGCCAAGCTCCTTCAGGACAGGAGAGGTTCCAAGTTGGATTTGTCTCTGTGACTAGATAATACCTAGCACTGTGCCACGTACATGAGGATATCCAATACACACCCTTTTGTACATGAGGATATCCAATACACACCCTTTTGATCGTTTCCTTTTTTCAAAAAACATATACTAATGTGTCTGGAATTGGTGGGTTTTTTGGTCTCACTGACTTCAAGAATGAAGCTGTGGACCCTCGTGGTGAGTGTTACAGTTCTTAAAGATGATGTGCCAGCAGTTTGTTCCTTCTGATGTTCGGACGTGTTTGGAGTTTCTTCCTTCTGGTGGTTAGTGGTCTCAGTGGCTTCAGGAATGAAGCTGCAAACCTTCACAGTGAGTGTTACAGCTCATAAAAGCAGTGCAGACCCAAACAGTGAGCAGCAGCAATATTTATTGCAAAGAGCAAAAGAACAAACCTTCCACACCACTGAAGGGGACCCCAGTGGGTTGCTGCTGCTGGCTCAGGCAGCCTGCTTTTATTCCCTTATCTGGCCCCACCCACATCCTGTTGATTGGTCCATTTTACAGAGAGAAGATTGGTCTGCTTTACAGAGAACTGATTGGTCCGTTTTGACAGGGTGCTGTTTGGTGCATTTATAATCCCTGAGCTAGACACAGAATACTGATTGGTGCATTTATAATCCTCTAGCTAGACATAAAAGATCTCCAAGTCCCCACTAGATTGGCTAGACACAGAGCACTGATTGGTGCGTTTACAAACCTTGAACTAGACACAGAGTGCTGATTGGTGCATTTACAATCCTTTAGCTAGACACAGGGTGCTGATTGGTGTGTTTACAATCCTTGAGCTAGACACAGAGGGCTGATTTGTGTATTTACAATCCTTTAGCTAGACATAAAGGTTCTCCAAGTCCCCACCAGATTAGCTAGATAGAGTGCTGATTGGTGCATATACACTCCTCCAGCAAGACATAAAAGTTCTCCAAGTCCCCACCCAACTCTGGAGCCCAGCTGGCTTCGCCTAGTGGATCCCACGCCAGGGCTGCAGGCGGAGCTGCCCACCAGTCCGGTGCTGCATGCCTGCACTCCTTAGCCCTTGGGCGGTCAATAGGACTGGCCACTGCAGAGCAGGGGGTGGTGCCTGTCGGGGAGGCTCGGGCTGCACGGGTGCCCACCACAGGGCGGGGGGAGGAGGGGTGGCTTGGGCATGGCGGGCCTCAGGTCCCGAGCCCTGCCCTGCAGGGAGGCGACTGAGGCCTGGTGAGAATTTGAGCATGGTGCAGGCAGGCCAGCAGTGCTGGGGGACCTAGCACCCCCTCTGCAGCTGCTGGCCCAGGTGCTAAGCCCGTCACTGCCCAGGCCGGCAGCGCCAGCTACTCCAAGTGTGGGGCCCGCTGAGCCCATGCCCACCTGGAACTCGCGCTGGCCCACAAGTGCCGCGTGCAGCCCCGGTTCCCCCCCACACCTCTCCCTCCACACCTCCCCGCAAGCAGAGGTAGCTGGCTCTGACCTTGGCCAGCCCAGAGAGGGGCTCCCACAGTGCAGCAGCGAAGGGCTCCTCAAGCGCGGCCAGAGTGGGTGCCGAGGCCAAGAAGGCGCCGAGAGCAAGTGAGGGCTACCAGCACGCTGTCACCTCTTACTAATTTAAAAATAGGTCAATTTATGCTTCAAAATTTAGTAGGAGTGAAAGGATATCTTCTTGCGGCTCCTCTTCTTCAGCTATTTTCCCCCGTGGAATTTATGAATATTATGCTTTCTGTGTATCCTTGCAGAGATATTTTATGCATATGGAAGTAAATCAGAACACATTTTCTTCTTCTTTTTTTTTTTTTCGAGATGGAGTCTTGCTCGGTCGCCCAGGCTGGAGTGCAGTGGCGCGATCTCTGCTCACTGCAAGCTCTGCCTCCCTGGGTTCACGCCATTCTCCTGCCTCAGCCTCTGTAGTAGCTGGGACTACAGGCACCCGCCACCATGCTTGGCTAATTTTTTTTGTATTTTTAGTAGAGACAGGGTTTCACCATGTTAGTCAGGATGGTCTCGATCTCCTGACCTTGTGATCCACCTGTCTCAGCCTCCCAAAGTGCTGGGATTACAGGCGTGAGCCACCGCGCCTGGCCACATTTTCTTCTTTTAAACCTACTGGTTTCAGCTCCCTTTCTCAATTGACACAGTTTTTTGGAAACTGTGTTAGGTCAATAAAACTTTTTCATTCTTGTGATGATTGTATAGTATTTGTTTTAATACTAATCTATATGTTTTTACAGATTACCATCATTTGTTTAATGAGAAAATTGGTGATAGTTTATTTGGGTTATTGCTTTAGCAATACTGGAATAAAAAGCCTTGATCGCTTATCATTTCAGGGTGATGGTTTTGAGATGTGTCGAGTTGATTGGGTCGAACTACAGGCCTCAGAATTCCCTTTCCTGTGAGCCCCCTGGGAGAGTGGGCCAAAGGAGACACTTTTTTCACAGGAGATTGGAGGACAAATGTGAAGAAGCAGCCATATTGTTTTTACCCCTGGAAGGTCAAGGCAGGATCCAAGTGCTTTTCTATTAAATAGTTAATGGGAGTTGTTGCTTAACTCACCTCACTGGACAGGAGCTGCAGCTCGTCAGTACTCGCTCTAGGCTTATAATAAATTCTGCTATGATTTCTATATGCTTATACAGCTTACATATATTTATGTATTTATTTATTTTTTGAGACAGAGTCTTACTCTGTCGCCCAGGTTGGAGTGCAGTGATACGATCTCAGCTCACTGAAAGCTACACCTTCCAGGTTCACGCCATTCTCCTGCCTCAGCCTCCCGAGTAGCTGGGACTACAGGCGCCCGCCACTACGCCTGGCTAATTTTTTTGTATTTTTAGTAGAGACGGGGTTTCACCGTGTTCGCCAGGATGGTCTCGATCTCCTGACCTCATGATCCACCCATCTCCATCTCCCAGTGCTGGGATTACAGGCGTGAGCCACCGCGCCTGCCTACAGCTTGCCTTTTTCTGCTATGATTTCTATATGCTTTTACAGCTTGTTTTTTTTTTTTTTTCTCCTGAGACAGAGTCTCACTCTGTTGCCAGGCTGGAGTGCAGTGAGACAATCTCGGCTCACTGTAACCTGCACCTCCTGGGTTCAAGCAATTCTGCCTCAGCCTCCCAAGCAACTGGGATTACAGGCACACACCACCACACCCAGCTAATTTTGTATTTTTAGTAGAGACGAGGTTTCACCTGTTGGTCAGGCTGGTCTCGAACTCCTGACCCTAAGTGATCCACCTTCCTTGGCCTCCCAAAATACAGCTTGCTTTTTTATGTTTAAATATGTGGCCCCTTTGAAATGTGTCCATGTGTTTGTTTACCTTGTAGTTCTAAGACCATTTATTTTAAATATTCTGTTCTAACTGATTTTAATGTACCTTCATTATGTTATCCATTTCTGTATGTATTCCAGTCTATTTATCAACTTCCTTTTTTTTGTTTTTTTTTTTTTTTTTTGAGGCAGAGTTTCACTCTTGTTGCCCAGGCTGGAATGCAGTGGCACGATCTCAGCTCACTGCATCCTCTGCCTCCCTGGTTCAAGCAATTCTCCTGCCCCAGCCTCCTGAGTACCTGGGATTACAGGCATGTGCCACCACGCCCAGCTAATTTTTGTATTTTTAGTAGAGGCAGGGTTTCTCCATGTTGGTCAAGCTGGTCTGGAACTCCGACCTCAGGTGATCTGCCTGCCTCGGCCTCCCAAAATGCTGGGATTACAGGTGTGAGCCACCATGCCTGGCCTATTTATCAACTTTCTAATCCTTTCTACTGATGTATGTGTAGCATTATTTTATTTTTTGAAGGTTTTAATATTTTAAAATATCTGGTTGGTTCAGTTCCAGTTCTCCTTAATTACTCTTTTTTTTCAGAATTTTATTGGAAAATCATATTGATTTTTATATACAAGGTTTAGACTATACTTCTGTGATTTAAAAAATCCATTTAAAAATCTTACTGGAATTGAATTAAATTTATAGATCAACTTAGGGAGACTTGATATCTTTCACATATGGAGTCTTCCTAGCTAAGAACATAGTGGATCTTTCTAGGTGATTAGTTTTGTGTCCAAGAGTAAATTATAAAATGTTCTTTATGGCAACTGCACATTTATTGATAAATTTATTTTTAGCTATTTTTATCTTTTTTTGAGACAAGAAATGTCTTTTCTTCCATTATATTTTCCAATTGGCTATGATTAATACACAATTTTTTTCCATTAGCTTCTTAAGTGGAACACATCTGAACTAAACCATTGGCAGGCCAACGTCGTACTATTATTGTTGCTATTTTTTACTTTGTAGATTTCCCAGGCAGTCTTAAAAACAGTAAATTCAGTACTGGAGCTCTTGCAAATTTCTCCCTTAGCCGCTCAGTTCTAAAATTCCTTAGCAAGGTCACAGATGGTGTCCCTCTCTGCTGGTATTTTAGTCAAATCAAGGTTTTTGTTTATGCTTTTTTCCTGCAGGCCAAATAGTAGAGATATTTTTGGTGAAAATTGGAGTTTGATCTCATCAAGCCTCCAAACTGAGCACTCAGGATGCTGGGCAGCAGTGGTGTTATCTGTTCTGAGGACCCCCACTGGAGCAGGGCATTGTGCAAGTCTGTGGAAATTGCTAAGGCCATATTTTTGTACCCTCTTGTGAACTGAGACAAGTTTTCAGTGCTTGGAGTATTAAAATTACTGCACTTTCATCACATTAATTAATTAGAAGTGGTTAGAACAACAAGGGACTTTTGAGATCATGAATGTGGTCTAAAATTTTCATTTTGCAGAAGAAGGCCATGTTGAAGAGACATGTCACCTGTAGTTAAAAAATGAGGAATGAAAACCGAAGACTTCAGGTGCTAGGGCTGGTGCTGTCTCTTCTAACTTAAACTCTCCTTTCTCCTTTAATTTATAACGTCAACATTTCGAAGGAGCCTTCTCCAAACATTTATTGTTTCCCATTGCAAGTACCAGAGAGAAAAACGCCTGCTCAATCACAAACACCCTCATTGATAAGTCAGGCCAAGTGACTGTGCTTGACTTCTGTTTGTCTATCTCTGACTGCTTTGCTAATCTAGCAGTTCTCAAAATGTAGTCCAGGGATCCCTGTAAGACTGCAAGACCCTTTTAGGAAGTCTGCAAGGTCAAAACTATTTTTTTTTTTTTCGAGACGGAGTTTCACTCTTGTTACCCAGGCTGGAGTGCAGTGGCGCGATCTCGGCTCACTACAACCTCCACCTTCCAGTTTCAAGTGATTCTCCTGCCTCAGCCTCCCAGTAGCTGGGATTACAGGTGCCCACCACCAAGCCTGGCTAATTTTTGTATTTTTAGTGGAGACGAGGTTTTACCATGTTGGCCAGGCTGGTCTCGAACTCCTGACCTTGTGATCCTCCCTCCTCAGCCTCCAGAGGTAATAAGGGCTGGGATTATAGGCATGAGCCACCGCGCCTCGCGGTCAAAACTATTTTATAGTAATATTAAAACATTATTTGCCTTCTATACTCTCATTTGCTTAGGAATATTTTCTGGAATTTTCTAAGAAGGTAGGTTTAGGATATAAAGATGAACATTTTCAGAGATGAACTAAGACTGTCTTCACTACTCCTGAGCTCTTGCTACTTCCAGTTATACTTGCTATATTCCCTTCAACCTCATTATTGTTCAATTAATTATTACTTTGAAATCCTGAAGTTTGCCTTAAGCCTACATCTCCCCATTTCCTCCACCTTCATCCATGGTAACCAGCATTTCAGTCTCTATCTCTGTGTATTTGAGCCCTTTTTTAAAAAATTCCACATGTAAGTGAGCTCATGCAATATTATTTCTGTGTCTGGCTTATTTCACTTAGCATAATGTCCTCCAGGTTCGTCTATGTTGTGGCACATCACAGCATCTCCTTTTTTTAAGGCTGAATAATATTCCATCGTTTATATATATCACATTTTACTTATTCATTCACCTGTCAATGGGCATTTAAGTTGTTTGCATATCTTGGGATTGTGAATAACTCTGCAATGAACATGGGAGTGCAGACATCTTTACAAGGTGGTAATTTCACTTCCTTTTTGGTATATGCCGAGAAGAGGGATTGCTGGGTCATATGTTAGTTCTATTTTTAATTGCTTTAGGAACCTCCATACTTTTATCTATAATAGCTGTACCAATCTACTTCCCACCAACAGTGTATTAGGGTTCCTTTTCTGCACACCATTGCCAACATTTGTTATATCTTGGCTTTTTTTGTTTTTTTTTTTTTTGTTTTGTTTTGTTTTGTTTTGTTTTGAGACGGAGTCTCGCTCTGTCGCCCAGGCTGGAGTGCAGTGGCAGGATCTCGGCTCACTGCAAGCTCCGCCTCCCGGGTTCAGGCCATTCTCCTGCCTCAGCCTCCCGAGTGGCTGGGACTACAGGCTCCCGCCACCACGCCCGGCCAGTTTTTTTATATTTTTAGTAGAGACGGGGTTTCACCGTGTTAGCCAGGATGGTCTCGATCTCCTGACCTCGTGATCCGCCCGCCTCGGCCTCCCAAAGTGCTGGGATTACAGGCGTGAGCCACCGCGCCCGGCGTTTTTTGTTTGTTTTTTTGGTAATACCAATCCCTATGGGTGTGAGATGATCTCATAGTGGTTTTAATATGCATTTCCCTTGTGATTAGTGATGTTGAGCACCTTTTCATGTACCTGTTGGCCATTTGTATATCTTCTTTGGAGAAATATCTGTTCAGGTCCTTTGCTTATTTTTTAATCTAGTTATTTATCTGCTATTGAGCTGTAAAGATTCTTTATAAATTTTGGATATTAACTCCTTATCAGATATGTGGTTTGCAATAATTTTTTCCCAGTCTGTAGGTTGCCTTTTCATTTTGTTGATTGTTTCTTTGTCTATGCAGACGCTGTTTAGTTTGATGTAGTCCCATTGATTTATTTTTGTTTTTGTAGCCTGGGCTTTTGGTGTGACATCCAAGAAACCATTGCAGAGGCTAATGTCTGGGAGCTTCTCCCCTGTGTTCTCTTCTAGGAGTTTTATGGTTTCAGGTTTTACATTTAGGCCTTTTATTTATTTTGAGTTGATTTTTGTGTAAGGTGTAAGATAAGGATCCAATTTAATTCTATTCCATGTGG
Source organism: Homo sapiens (assembly GCF_000001405.40). Classification (NCBI taxonomy): domain Eukaryota; kingdom Metazoa; phylum Chordata; class Mammalia; order Primates; family Hominidae; genus Homo; species Homo sapiens. Next base: position 42,606,109 of record NC_000008.11, read on the forward strand.
AAATCCAGTTTTCCCAGAAACATTTCTTGAAGAGTGAGCCGAGATTGTGCCATTGCACTCCAGCCTGGGCAACAGAGCAATACTCTGTCTCCAAAAAAAAAAAAAAAAAAAAATTTTCTTCTGCCTAATCTAATCTTCTGTTGGAACTCTCACATGTATTTTTCATTTCATTCTTTGAATTCTTCAGCTCCAAGATTTCTATTTGGTTATTTTTAAATGATATATATCTTTAAAAATTTTTAAATTTATATTATGAATTGTTTTTCTGGTTTCATTAAATTGTCTATATTCTCGTCTCACTGAGTTTCTTTAAGATCATTACAGTAATATGTCAATTAATGATGGGATATGTTCTGAGAAATGTGTTGTTAGGTGATTTTGTCATTGTATGAACATCATAGAATGTACTTACATAAACCTAGATGGTATAGCCAACTACATACCTAGGCTATATGATATAGCTTATTGCTTCTAGGATACAAACCTGTCCACCGAATACTGTAGGCAATTGTAACACAATGTTAAGTATGTGTATCTAAACATAGAATAAATACAATAAAAATACAGTATAAAAGATAAAAAATGTTACACCTTTATAGGGCACTTACCATGAACGAAACTTGAAGGACTAGGAGTTGCTCTGGATGATTTAATGAATGAGTGAATGATGAGTGAATGTGAAGGTCTGCAGCATTACTGTATACTATTATTGAATTTTTAAACACTGTACACTTAGTCTACACTAAGTTTATTTAAAAATTATTTATTTAATAGTAAATTAACCTTAGCTTACTATAACATGTTCACTGTGTAATCTCTTAAATATTTTAAAATTTTGGACTCTTTTGAAATAACACTTAGCTTAAAACACAAAAAGCTTGTATAGTTATACAAAAACATTTTCTTTCTTTGTATCTTTAGTCTATAAGCTTTTAAATATTTTAAAATTTTTTATTTTTTCACTTCTTAAATTTTTTTGTTAAAAACAAAGACACAAACACACACACTAGCCTAGGCCTATTTATTAAGATCATCAATATCATTGTCTTCCACTTCCACATTTTGTCTGGACTATCTCCTGAAGGACCTGCCTGAGGCTCTCCTTCAGGAAGTGTCACTCTTTTCAGAAATATGTCCATGGTGGTTTGCTTAGTTTCATTTAGTTTCTTTCTTTCTTTCTTTTTCTTTTTCTTTTTCCTTTTTTTTTTTTTGAGATGAGGTGTCACTCTGTTGTCCAGGCTGGAGTACAGTGGTGTGATCTTGGCTCACTACAACCTCCGCCTCCCAGGTTCAACTGATTCTCCTGCCTTAGCCTCCTGAGTAGCTGGGATTACAAGCACCCGCCACCAAGCCCGGCTAATATTTGTATTTGTAGTAGAGATGGAGTTTCACCATGCTGGCCAGGCTGGTCTTGAACTCCTGACCTCAGATGATCCACCTGCCTTGGCCTCCCAAAGTGCAAAGTGCTGGGATTACAGGTGTGAGCCACTGCACTCGGCCTAGTTTCTTTTTTTAATCATAGATTTGCTTGGTGACATCACTCCAAGAACCAAACAAGTTTCTTGATGCAGTCATAGACATTGTAATCCTTCCAGGATTGATCAATGTCTTCTCCATGTCTTCCTCAGTTGCAATAGCCTCGGTAAAGGTCTTCTGAGGTAGTAGCCCTAAAAGTGGCTGTAACTCCTTGACCCATTGTTTGGATAAAAGAGATGGTGTTTGGAGAAACACCACATTGATACTGGATGAAGGTGACAAATAGGAGGATGTGTGGGAACATTATCAACAATAAGCAAATTATTGAAAGGTATGTTATTCTCCAAACAGTACTTCATTGGGATAGCAACCGGGAGGGCATCTTGGAAAATAAGATGTGTAATAGGCAGGAAGATTGCATGAGCCTGGGAGTTGAAGACCAGCCTGGGCAACAGAGCAAGACCTTGTCTCTACTTAAAAAAAAAAAAAGGCTGGGCGCGGTGGCTCACGCCTGTAATCCCAGCACTTTGGGAGGCCGAGGTGGGCAGATCACAAGGTCAGGAGATCGAGACCATCTTGGCTAACACGGTGAAACCCCGTCTCTACTAAAAATACAAAAAATTAGCCGGGCGCGGTGGCGGGCGCCTGTAGTCCCAGCTACTCGGGAGGCTGAGGCAGGAGAATGGCGTGAACCTGGGAGGCGGAGCTTGCAGTGAGCCGAGATTGTGCCACTGCAATCCGGCCTGGGCTAGAGAGCGGGACTCCGTCTCAAAAAAAAAAAAAAAAAAAAAAAAAAAATTAGCCAGGCATGATGGCTCACACTTGTAGTCCCAGCTACTTGGGAGGCTAAGGTGGGATGATTGCTTGAGCCCAGAAGGTCAAGGCTGCAGTGAGCTATGATTGCTCCAGTGAATCTCCAACTTGGGCAACAGAGTGAGACCCTGTGTCTAAACAAACAAAACCTCAAAAGTCAGAAAAAGAGTGGTGGACAAAAATAGGAACAACAGGCAAAGGCAACAAATAGAAAACATTGACAAATACAATATCTACCATATCAGGAATCACTTTAAATGACAATGATCCAAAAACTCCAACTGAAAGAGATTGTCAGAGTGGATCAATAACAAGGTTCAGCTATATGTTGTCTACAAGAAACTCACATTAAATATTAAGACACATAGAGATTGAAAGCAAAGAGAGGAGAAAGACAAGCCATGCTAACAACTAATCTAAAGAAAGCTGGAACAGGCTTCAGAGCAAGGAATTTTATCAGGAATATAAAGGTGGAGTACATAATGACCAAGGGATCAATTCTCCAAGAAGACATAATAATCCTTCATGTGTATGCATGTAACCACAGAGCATCAAAATATGTGAGGCACAAACTGATGGAACTGCAAGGAGAAATAGATGACTCACCATTATACTTGGAGACTCTAGTGCTCCTCTATTAGAAATAGACAGATCCAGCAGGCAGAATATCAGTAAGGGCATCCTTGAAATAAACGGCACCATTAATCAACTGGATATAATTACATTTATAGATTGCTTTATCCAAAAACAACAGATTACACTTTCTTCTCAAGCCCACATGGAACATTCATCAAGATAGAACCACATTCTGGGCCATAAAATGTGTCTTAATACCTTTAAAACAACAGAAATCTTGCAATATCTGCTGTAATACCCAAGTGGAATTAAACTAGAAATCAATAGCAGAAAGAAAACTGGGAAATTCCAAAATACATGGAGATAAAATAACACACTTCTACATAACACATGGTTCAAGGGGAAATCTCAAGAAAAAATAAAAAATGGGCTGGGCACAGTGGCTCACGCTTGTAATCCCAGCACTTTGGGAGGCCAAGCTGGGTGGATCACCTGATGTCAGGAGTTTGAGAACAGCCTGGCCAACATGGTGAAACCCTGTCTCTACTAAAAATACAAAAATTAACCAGGCCTAGTGGCAGGCACCTGTAATCCCAGCCACTTGGGAGGCTGAGGCATGAGAATCACTTGAACCCAGGAGACAGGGGTTGCAGTGAGCCAAGATCCCGCCACTGCCCTCCAGCCTGGGCAACAGAGAGAGACTCCATCTTAAAAAAAAAAAAAAAAAAAAAGACGGCTGAGCACGGTGGCTCCCACTCGTAATCCCAGCACTTTGGGAGGCTGAGGTGAGCTGATCACTTGAGGTCAGGAGTTCAAGACCAGCCTGGCAAAATGGTGAAACTCTGTCTTTACTAAAAATATAAAATAGCCAGGCGTGTTGGTGGGCATCTGTAATCCCAGCTACTCGGGAGGCTGAGGCAGGAGAATCATTTGAACCCAGGAGGCAGAGGTTGCTGTGAGCTGAGATTGCACCATTGCACTCTAGCCTGGGTGACAAGAACAAGACTCCATCTCAAATAAATAAATAAATAAGTAAAAGAAAAAAGAAAAAATATGTTGAACTAAATGAAAATGAAAATACAACTTATCAAATTTGTGGGATACAACAAAAGCCGTGTTTAAGGGGAAATTTATATAATTGTATACATTAGAAAAGAGGAAAGATCTCAAATCAATAATTGAAGTTTCCACTTTAGAAAACTAGAAAGAGAATGTAATCCCAGCACTTTGGGAGGCCGAGGCGGGAGGATCATGAGGTCAGGAGATCGAGACCATCCTGGCTAACACGGTGAAACCCTGTCTGTACTAAAAATACAAAAAATTAGCCGGGCATGGTGGCTGGTGCCTGTAGTCCCAGCCACTCTGGAGGCTGAGGCAGGAGAATGGCATTAACCTGGGATGCGGAGCTTGCAGTGAGCCGAGATCGCGCCACTGCACTCCAGCCTGGGTGACAGAGCGAGACTGCATCTCAAAAAAAAAAAAAAAAAATTCCATTACATACGTATTAGACTGGCTGAAATCCAAAACAGTGACAACACCAAATCCCAGCAAGGATGTGGAGCAACAGGTACTCTCATTCATTGCTGGCAGCAATACAAAATGACACAGCCACTTTGGAAGACAGTTTGGCATTCGCTTACAAAAGAAAACCTATTTTTTACCATATAATCTAGCCGTGGCACTCATTGGTATTTACCCAAAGGAGGTGAAAACTTAGGTCCACACAAAAACCTGTACATGGAGGTTGACAACAGCTTTATTCATAACTGCCAAAACCTGGAAGCAATCAAGATGCCCTTTAGTAGGGCTGTGAAAAAATTAACTTTTATACATTCAGACAATGGAATATTATTTGGTGGTATGAAGAAAGGAGCTTTCAAGTCATGAAATGACATGGAGGAAACTTAAATGCATATTACTAATGGAAAGAAGCCAATCTGAAAAGGCTCCATACTGTATGATTCCAACTATATGACATTCTGGAAAAGGGAAAACTAGGGGGACAGGAAAAAGACCAGTGGTTGCCAGGAATTAGGGAGAGGGGAAGGGATGAACAGACAGAGCACGGAAAATTTTTAGGGCAGTTAAACTGTGTATTATACTACAATGGTAGATGCATGTCATTATACACTTGTCAAAACCCACAGAATGTGCAACACCAAGAGAGAACCCTCATGGAAACTGCAGACTTTGCGTGATACTGATGTGTCACAGTGTAGGTTCACTGACTGTAACAAATGCACCACTGTGGTGTGGGATGTTGATAATGGGGAAGGTTGTGTGTGTCAGGGGACAGTGCGTATGTGGGAATTCTTAGTACTTTTCCTCACTACTGCTGTGAACCTAAAACTTCTCTAATAAATAAAGCTTATTAATAAAAAAAGATAAAGTGTGATGGTGCCAATTAAGTTGTGGCATCACTTGAAGACCACTCACTCAGAATTCAAAGAAAAAAGAATTAAATATTTTATTATTTTTTCCTTTTATTTCCTTTTTCTTTAAAAAATTTTAATTTTGGCCAGGTGTGGTGGCTCACGCATGTAATCCCAGCACTTTGGCAGTCTGAGGCAGGCAGATCACAAGGTCAAGAGATCGAGACCATCCTGGTCAACATGGTGAAACCCATCTCTACTAAAAATACAAAAATTAGCTGGGTGTGGTGGTGCACACCTGTAGCCCCAGCTACTCGGGAGGCGAAGGTGGGAGAATCTCTTGAACCCAGGAGGTGGAGGTTGCAGTGAGCTGAGATCGTGCCACTGCACTCCAGCCTGGTGACAGAGCGAGACTTTGTCTCAAAAAAAAATCTTTTTTTAATTTTAAATTTTTGTGGGTACATAGGAGGTGCATAGTTTTTTGGTTATTTTTTGAGATAGAGTTTTGCTCTTGTTGCCCAGACTGGAGTGCAATGGCGCGATCTCGGCTCACCACAACCTCTGCCTCCTATGTTCAAGCGATTCTCCTGCCTCAACCTCCCAAGTAGCTAGGATTACAGGCATGAGCCACCACACCTGGCTAATTTTGTATTTTTAGTAGAGGTGGGGTTTCACCATGTTGATCAGGCTGGACTCAAACTCCCAATCTCAGGTCATCTGCCCACCTCAGCCACCCAAAGTGCTAAGATTACAGGGGTGAGCCATGGCGCCTGGCCATAGGTGCATAGTTTATGGGGTACATGAGATGTTTTCGTACAGGCATGTAATATGAAATAATCACATCACGGAGAATAAGGTATCCGTCCCCTCAAGCATTTCTCATTTGTGTTACAAACAATCCAATTATACTCTTTTAGTTATTTTTAAATATACAATTAAAATATTTTGACTGTAGTCACCCTGTTGTGCTATCAAATACTAGGTATTAATACTCACATCATGGAGAATGGGATATCTGTCCCCTCAAGCATTTATCCTTTGTGTTACAAACAATCCAATTATACTCTCTTAGTTATTTAAAAATGTACAATGATTATTGACTATAGTCACCCTGTTGTGCTATTAAATAGTAGGTCTTACTCATTTTTTCTAACTATTTTTTGTACCCATTAACCATCCCCACCTCCCTGTCACCCCGTGGATTAAATATTTTAAATATAGATATGATGAGTTCTTTAAAAGCTAAAAGTTGTTTGCCACATCTTTTCCTATGAGAAATGAGACAACCTCCAAAGCTCCTTGCACAGTTAAGCTATTTTGTTACATTGGCTGCAGAAGAGCACATAGAGTTGAAACCTTATAAAGCCTTTTACAGATGACATTGCTGGATGCCTGCTGGATGAAAAGTCAGTAAAGGAAATTACGGTAATGCCACTTTCCAATGACCCAGTAACTTGTTGCATTAAAGATTTGGCTATAAAAGTAATAACTGAATTAATATCTCTTCTGCAGAATTGTACTTTTGCTTACTGCTGGGTTGAATCTACAAATTTGACTGGGCTTGCTCTTGTGCCTGTATTCATCCTGTATCAGCCCCAACTAATGATCACCAAAGATCCTTCATGGGAATTATTTGGCGACAAATGCAAATCGTGGAATAACTCTTTTGACAATGAACCTGTCTCTTAGTAAGAAATACAAAGCTTTGAAAAGCCTCTTATGAATCTCACGTTGTTTCCTGGAACAAGTCTGTTGACATTTACATGCATGATACAAAAGCTACGGTGAGTAAAACTGCTGGCTCCTTAGCATGAATCCAGGCAGTGGCATTCAATTGTACCAGCTGTCTCCATACCAGAAGTATCATGTCCTCCACCATCCCATACATGCAGTTAAAAAAAGGCAAGACAGTTTCAGTTAAAAATGTCCTTGATGAAGCTGTAAAAGTCAATAATTCCATTAAATCTTAACTTTCTTCCTTCCTTCCTTCCTTCCTTCCTTCTTTCTTTTCTTTTCTTCTCTTTTCTTTTCTTTTCTTTTCTTTTTTGGGAACGGAGTTTCGCTCTTGTTGCCCAAGCTGGAGTACAGTAGAATGATCTCGGCTCACTGCAACCTCTGCCTCCTGAGTTCAAGCAATTCTCCTTCCTCAGCCTCACAAGTAGCTGGGACAACCAGTGCCCACCACCACGCCTGGCTAATTTTTTGTATTTTTAGTACAAAAAATTAGTTGGCCAGACTGGTCTGGAACTCCTGGTCTCGGGTGATCCACCCACCTCAGCCTCCCAAAGTGCTGAGATTACAGGCGTGAGCCACCGCACCTGGCCAAATCTTAACATTTTGAACACATACCTTTTTACTATTTCTGCATGACCAAATGGGAAGTGCCCGTGAAGCACTTTTACTACATACTGAAGTATGAAGCTTGTCTCAGGAAAAGCACCCGTGCAACCGTATTAGTCCGTTTTCACGCTGCTCATAAAGACATACCCGAGACTGGGCAATTTACAAAAGAGAGATTTATTGGACTTATAGCTCCACATGCCTGGGGAGGCCTCACAATCATGGCAGAAGGCAAGGAAGAGTAAGTCACATCTTATGTGGATGGCAGCAGGCAAAGTGAGAGCTTGTGCAGGAAAACTCCCATTTTAAAACCATCAGATTTTGTGAGACCCATTAACTATCACAAGAACAGCATGGGAAAGACCTGCCCCCTTGATTCATCATCTCCCACCAGGTGCCTCCTCAACACATGGGAATTATGGGAGCTACAAGAATGAGATTTGGGTGGGGTCACAGTCCAGCCATATCAACAACCATTTGAGTTATGAGCTAAACAGGCTACTTGGATCATGGAACACCATTTTTACTTGAAAGAACAGCAGGTGGGACAAACTATGATTACTTAGATTTGGGTATTTGGTAGATGTTGTGTTCACAATGAACAAAGTGGACATTTTATTTAAGTGAAAGCAATGGATATTTTTCCTTGCCAATGATAAAATTTGAACAGTTCATGGAAAATTAGAATACTGTAAAACTTGGATCCACCACTGTAAGTCTGATGGCTTCTTAATACTTTCCTTTATTAAGATAGGTGGTGATATGAATGAATTTTTTGATATTGTGTGAAATATATCAATATTTTGAAGATCTGTATAACTTAGTAAGCCAATATTTTCCAAGTTAAAAATGTGTGATGTTATAGAAATATTCATAAGTAATCCATTCAAAGTGTAAAATAGATGAATGGATTTTTTTTTGAGATGGAGTCTCGTTCTGTCGCCCAGGCTAGAGTGCAGCGGCGCCATCTTGGCTCATTGCTACCTCTGCCTCCTGGGTTCAAGCAATTCTCCTGCCTCAGCCTCCCGAGTAGCTGAGATTACAGGCTCACACCACCATGCCCAGCTAATTTTTGTATTTTAGTAGAGACAGGGTTTCACCATGTTGGCCAGGCTGGTCTCGAACTCCTGACCTCAAGTGATCCGCCCATCTCGGCCCACCAAAGTGCTGGGATTTCAGGTGTGAGCCACCACGCCCGGCCGATGAATGGATTTTAATAAAATAGTATGAAAACTTCATTATTATGGTTTCTGATTCCACATTGCAACTAACCATTAAATGTTACAGGTTGAGCTTCCATAATCTAAAAATCCAAAATCCAAAATGCTCCAAGATGTGAAATTTTTTGAGAACCAACATGATGCCACACCTGGAAAAATTCCTCACCTGACCTCATGTGATGAGTCACAGTCAATTCAGTGAAAACTCTTTCGTATACAAAACTATCTCAAATATTATATAAAAATTACTTTCAGACTATATGAGTAAGCTGTATATGAAACAAATAAATTTTGTGTTTAGACTTGGATCTCATCCTCGAGGTATCTCATTATGCATATGCAAATATATCAAAATGGAAAATGTTCGAAATCTGAACACTTCTGGTTCCAAGCATCTCAAATAAGGGATACTCAACCTGCACACTAATAGGTAGTGTAGCATCAAAGAAAAATATCCACAATTATCTTGAAAGGCTATTTAAATGATCCTCCCTTTCCCAGCTATTTATCTGTGTGACACTGGGTTTTCTTCATGTTCTTCAACCAAAATAACACATCACCATTGACTGAATACAGAAGCGGATGTGAGGGATATCTTTTATTAGCTCAGACATTGAAGAGATTTGTAAAAATATCAAACAAAGCTACTATTCTAACTAAATTTTCTTTTATTTTAGAAAATATAGTCCCAGAACTTAAGTAAAATTAAAAAATATATATATATATAGTTTAAGGAATGTCATATCTGTTATTGTGCAATGGGTCTATTATTATTTCTTATTTTATTTTATTTTATTTTATTTTATTTTAAGACAGTCTCACTCTGTCACTCAGGCTGGAGTGCATTGGCACAATCTCGGCTCACTGCAACCTCTGCCTCCCGGGTTCAAGCGATTCTCCTGCATCAGCCTCCTTAGTAGCTGGGACTACAGGCACCCGCCACCATGCTTGGCAAATATTTTTGTATTTTTCGTGGAGATGGGGTTTCACCATGTTGGCCAGGCTGGTCTCAAACTCCTGACCTCAAATGATCCTCCCACCTTGGCCTCCCAAAGTGCTGGGATTTCAGGCATGAGCCACCGCACCCGGCCCAGTTCTTTTCTTTTTTTGAAACAGGATCTGTCTCACATTGTCGTCTAGGGTGGAGTGCGGTGGATCACGGCTCACTGCAGCCTTAACCTCCTGGGGGTCAAGTGATCCTGCTACCCCAGCTTCCTAAGTGGCTGAAACTACAGGTAACTGCCACCACACCCAACTAATTTATTTTCCTTCCTTCTTTCTTTCTTTCTGTCTCTTTCTTTCTTCCTTTTTCTCTCTTTTTCTTTTCTTTTCTTTCTCTCTCTCTTTCTCTTCTTTCTTTCTTTTCTTCTCTTTCTCTCTTTCTCTTTTCTTTCTCTCTTTCTTTCTTTCTTCCTTCCTTCCTTTCTCTTTCTTTCTTTTCTTTCTTTCTTTCTTTCTTTCTTTTTTTCTTTCCTTCTTTCTTCAGGGTCTCACCGTGTTGCCCAGGCTGGTCTTGAGCTCCTGGGCTCAAGCAATCTGCCCACCTTGGCCTCCCAAACTGTTGGGAATACAGGCATGAGCCGCTGTACTTGGCCACTAGATTTCTTATTAGGTAACTAATGCATTTCCTATGGCTTAAGCCATTTTTAGTGAGGGTCTGCATTTACCTTTAGATGAAAATATGCAAACCCCTCTGGACATGAATACTAATTAGTTTTCCTTGTCTCCTCCCACTCCCATCTGGCTCTCCATTCTCTGGTTTCCTTAGATGAGAAGCCAAAGCGAAGAAGACAGGCTTCAGGCCTAGACTGCCTGGGCCCAAGGCTGAGCTCAGCCACATCCTCACTGTTGAGACTGGGCAGGGGTGAGTTATTCAACCTCTTTGTGTCTTGGTGTCTTCACTCGTGAACGGTGGCTAACAGGAGGGCTGTTTCATAGGGTGATAGTACAGACTAATGGAGATAATATATTTAAAGCTTTTTTATTTTATTTTATTTTATTTTATTTTTGAGACAGAGTCTCGCTCTATCGCTCAGGCTGGAGTGCAGTGGCACCATGTCAGCTCACTGCAAGCTCCACCTCCCGGGTTCATGCCATTCTCCTGCCTCAGCCTCCCAAGTAGCTGGGACCACAGGCACCTGCCACCGTGCCCAGCTAATTTTTTGTATTTTTAGTAGAGACAGGATTTCATCGTGTTAGTCAGGATGGTCTCAATCTCCTGACCTCGTGATCTGTCCCCCTTGGCCTCCCAAAGTCCTGGGATTACAGGCATGAGCCACTGCACCTGGCCTATTTTTTATTTATTTATTTATTTTTTTTTTGAGAAAGAGTCTTACTCTGTTACCCAGGCTGGAATGCAGTGGCATGATCTCAGCTCACTGCAACCTCTGCCTCCCGGGTTCAAGCAATTCTCCCGCCTTAGCCTCTGAAGTAGCTGGGATTACAGGTGCTCATCACCACGCCTGGCTAATTTTTGTAATTTTAGTAGAGACAGGGTTTTACCATGTTGGCCAGGCTGGTCTTGAACTTTTGACCTCAAGTGATCCTCCTACCTTGGCCTCCCAAAGTGCTGGGATTACAGGTGTGAGCCACTGCGCCCGGCCCATTTAAAGCATTTAGAATCAGTTCCACTTTCCCTGAATCCATAAAAAGAGGATTCAGACAAAACCAATATTCATGGAATGGCATCTTGGGTCACAAACTTTGTTTAGACCAAAATATTAGGTTGGATCATATGAAGTTACCATTAACCAAACATTTTTTACTTAAAAAAATGGCAAGTTCATGTGGTTCAATCTAATCCTCCTGGAGGTTGTACTTCACAGCTGTGAAATGCCAGAAACAAGAGCGGCTAAAGGACCCATTCTGCAAAGCGTGTAGCAACCTGAGATGAAACAGGGCGGACACCCAGGAGTCGCCATCTACGGAGAGAGACTCACCAGCTGGCAGCAAACACTGCAAATCAAAGCAAGCAAATGAGGCTGTGTGTATATGATTAGAAAACCGTAGAATGCTGTCCAAATATTATTCAGAAATTATTATTTGTCATATAAGCAGACTTTAGTGCCTCACCCATGAAAATAATGCATTTCAATAGTAATACACTTTCCTTTCCTTTCCTTTTCCTTTCCTTTCTTTTTTTGTTTTTTTATGGAGTCTTGCTGTGTTGCCCAGGCTGGAGTGCAATGGCACGATCTCAGCTCACTGCAACCTCTGCCTCCAGGGTTCAAGCAATTCTCCTGCCTCAGCCTCCTGAGTAGCTGAGATTACAGGTGTGTGCCACCACGACTGGCTAATTTTTGTATTTTTCATGCAGACAGGGTTTTGCCATGTTGGCCAGGCTGGTCTGGATCTCCTGACCTCAGGTGATCCGCCTGCCTCGGCCTAAGTGCTGGGAATACAGGCGTGAGCCACTGCACCCGGCCACATTTCACCTGTTCACTTTAAAAGACCAAAACCTAAAGGAATTAATTGGCAGCCCCATAGACATTGTGGATTTTTTTTGTCTTATGATCCAGGTTGGACCCCATGGACTGGAATAAAAGGTTTCCTGAAGCTTTGGAGAGTCTGATAACTTAGGTGTCTTTTTCACCAAATTGCTTTAAATTTAAATTAGAGAGTCAGGCACAGTGGCTCATGTCTATAATCCCGGCACTTTGGGAGGCCAGAGAATTGCTTGAGGCCAGGAGTTCAAGACAGGCCTGGACAACATAGCAAGATGCTGTTCTCTATAGAAACAAATAAACAAATTAAAGGATAATTATGTACTAAGAGATGTGTTTTTGACTCCCTCCCATGGAGTAATAACATCAGCTTCTGGCTGAATCCAACTTCATTTTTCCAAACCCCAAGAATTGGGCTAGTCCTGTGCCTGAGGCACTTGCCACCACACTCAGGGCTGGCTGAGGGCTGGGGCACTGCTGGCACCGTCTCATTTTATGAGCTGTAGTGTGACGCATCAGAACTAGACAAGACGGCTCAGAGAAGCACAGTGGTGGCTGCGTGTTACCATACACTCCATTTCCTCTTAGGACAGGACAGGAAACTGAGGTTTCCAGGAGAAATGCCCCTCCCCTTTTGATGTTACATGGGAGGGAAACCAGGCTGCCGAGGTGTGACCCCCACCCCATGCGAGTGAGCAGGGCTGCGGGTGATTAAAAGGTTAAGAGGCATTTCCAAGTGTGAGCCCAGGAGAAGAAATGTGAACACTCAAAGGCTCGCTCTCTGTTCAAGAGGTCACTTTCTGTTAGTAATCCTCGCCTATGCCCTGGAATTCTGATGTGGGCCTTTTCAGGCCCATGGAAACCAGCCCTGCTGGGTCCTGGCACGAGCCTGGGATGCCACCAAGCCAGCTCAGGAGCTCCCTGGTGGTCCTGGTCCCAACCCAGATTTCCTTTTTGTTTCCCAAATGGCTTTTATCCCAAGCTCTGGGAAAATAATGTAAGCAAAGCTAAATGAGAATTGATCACGAGGTCGCAGACCCCGAGCTCTGACTCAAAGCCTGGCCTTCAGCACTGGCACCCTAAGCCTCACCTCAACTCCACTTGCTTGCCTCTGGGAGCAGCCTTGGCTGAGGGGGTGTGATGGGGTGGCCACCTTGGCTTCCTTGTTGGGTGCGTCTGTGTAGGGCCCTGGGCTCACCTTTCTTCTTCCTGCCTCATGCTACCTTTCCCCCACATCCATGATAGTATTAATACTTACCTCTGGGGAGGAGAGAGAATAGGGCTGAAAGCTGGAAGGAAAAATGTGGCTTCAACTTTATTTGCAATATTCTATTGCTTTTATAAAATTAAAGGTCTGCCAGCCTGGGCAGCATGGCGAAACCCTGTCTCTAGAAAAATTTCAAAAATTAGCTAAGAGTGGTGGTGCATGCCTGTGGGCTCAGCTGCTTGGGAGGCTGAGGTGGGAGGATCACTAGCACTCAGGAGGTTGAGGCTATAGTGAACCGTGATCGTGCCACTGCACTCCAGCCTAGGCGACAGAGCAAGAACCTGTCTCAAAAAAAACAAATCTGCTGCCAATCTTTTACGAAAAAAGTATATGAATGATTAATATTGATAATTAATATAAACATTTTGTCACTCAGACTGCAACTCTTGCCTGGGTCTCCAGCCTGTTGCCCATTGCAGATTTTGGGCTTGTACCTCCATGGTTATGTGAGTCAATTACTTAAAATAAATCTCTCTCTCTAATATTAACTATTAAATACTAATAAATTATATTAATGTGATATTTTGGTGGGTGATTTAATTACTATATATTTTCTCAATCTTTAAACTTAATACTGCACTTCCAATATTAACAGTAGTGAAATTAGTAGTGATAGCTCTTTTCTCCTTTTATATATTATTTTACCTCTATTGCAGCTTTACTGAGATATAATTGACAATATGGCATATATTTATAGTGTACATTGTGATGATTTGATACACATACACATTGTGGAATGATTACTGCAATCAAGTTGATTAACACATCCATCACCTCACATGGTCACCTTTATTTTTTGGTGAGAACACTTACACGTTTTATGTATTTCTCATGTTAGTCTTTTTTCTTTCTTTTATTTATTTATTTATTTTTTGACAGAGTCTCGCTCTGTCGCCCAGGCTGGAGTGCAGTGGCATGATCTCTGCCTCCCAGATTCAAGCGATTTTCCTGCCTCAGCCTCCTGAGTAGCTGGGATCACAGGCACCTGCCACCACACCTGGCTAGTTTTTGTATTTTTTTAGTAGAGACGGAATTTCACCGTGTTGGCCAGGCTGGTCTTGAACTCCTGGCCTTAAGCTATCCTCTCTCCTCCGCCTCCGAAAGTGCTGAGATTACAGATGTGAGCCACCATGACTGGCCTCATGTTAGTCTTTTAATGAGCATGTTTTTCTTTTCTGACTGGAAAAAATCTTTTTAAAGCACATATTGAGCGACTGTTTTTACACAAGTAGCTATGGGATTGGTGCCGTGTGCGCTCCTTGGACGTGGGTCTGCTCTGCAAAGACAAGGTGCCAAAGGACACAGATTAGGTGCAGAATAATAACACTGAACCCATAGTGGGGATGGGGCTCTAAGGTGCTGAACTGCCTTAGTGGCATGGGAATGGGGACACCATTTCAGATTGCACTTTTATCAGAAGTGAATCCATCATCCCAAAGGGAATTGCCCTAGCTTCCTCTGTGCAGGGCTGTGAAGGAGGAAGTCCAGCAGTTCTAAGGAACAGCAGGGGATGCAAGCCAATCAGTAAAGGAGGCTGTCCTTTTCCCAAACTGTGTTGGAGGGAAGCAACGCCTCCTTAGCAATTCATTAACAAAGACTAAGACATTTTTGCAAATAAAAAGAAAGCTGGCTCAGAATAAACGGTACACTGGGGAGGATGGTGAGGCATAAACAGAAGACAGGCAGTGTGAGAAGCTGCAGGTCGGATCAGGTTGGAACCAGGATTCTTTTTTTTTTTTTTTTTTTTTTTTTGAGACGGAGTCTTGCTCTGTTGCCCAGGCTGCAGTGCAGTGGCACAATCTCGGCTCACTGCAAGATCCGCCTCCCGGGTTCACGCCATTCTCCTGCCTCAGCCGCCCGAGTAGCTGGGACTACAGGCGCCCGCCACCGCGCCCAGCTAATTTTTTGTATTTTTAGTAGAGACGGGGTTTCACCGTGTTATCCAGGATGGTCTCGATTTCCTGACCTTGTGATCCGCCCACCTCGGCCTCCCAAAGTTCTGGGATTACAGGCGTGAGCCACCGCGCCCGGAACCAGGGTTCTTTGCTTCCCACCTCAGGCTGTTATCATCTGCTGGGTGAGGAGGCCTGGAGGGTCGTAGTGAAGTTTCATGCTATAATGTTTTTATTTTGCTGTGTATAGATACCTGAGGTGTGTACAGGAAAATGTACGTGGTTTGCTAGATCTCAGAGTGTACCTTCATTCTCAGCAAATACTTTAGGACAGTCTCAAGCGAAAGAATTTGGCCCGGTGTTCTTGGTGGCTTTGATTTACCCTGTGAAGTTTCAGCTGCCAAGAATCAATTAAAGCCAGGTAATTAGTGGTGCCTTCCCAACTTACAGAATGATATTTTGATAAAGCTTATTTCTCCCGGCTGTGGTACATATTACAAAGGAGTCCAGTACATCTTCTCATTCCATCAGTCAACAGACAGACTGAGCATGTATCATATACGCCAGACACTGGGTTGTACACTAGGGTACCATGAAGCAGAGACAGCCCCGGCCATCGCGGAGGCACTCCCTCCACCGCACTGCTGTTTTTACCTGCATTCTACACATTCTACTTACCTGCAGCTGGCCTGGGTAGATTTCTAAGCCCTCAAAAGAATCTTGACGTTGCTGCAAACAAATTCTTTTCTCCATTACAATTTTTTTTTTTGAGACGGAGTTTCACTCTTGTTGCCCAGGCTGCAGTGCACTGGCGTGATCTCAGCTCACTGCAACATCTGCCTCCTGGGTTCAAGTCATTCTCCTGCCTCAGCCTTCCGAGTAGCTGAGATTACAGGCATGCGCCACCACGCCTGGTTAATTTTTTGTATTTTTAGTAGAGATGGGGTTTCACCGTGTTGGCCAGGCTGGTCTCGAACTCCTGACCTCAGGTGATCCACCTACCTCAGCCTCCCAAAGTATTGGGATTACAGGCGTGAGCCACCGCGCCCGGTCCATTACAACTTATTTCTAGTCAAACCAACTGACATATGTTTTATGGCTAATTTTATGTGTTAAACTGGCTGGGTCAGGTGCCCAACATTATGCTGTATGTTTCTGTGAAGGTGTTTTTTGGACAACATTAACATTTAAGTTGGTGGACTCTGAATAAAGTAGATTGCTCTTTCTAACAGTGGGTGGACCTCATCGAATCAGTCAAAGGCCTTAACAGAATAAAGACCGGGCAGGGCACAGTGGCTCATGCCTGCAATCCGAGCACTTTGGGAGGCCGAGGCGGGTGGATTGCCTGAGGTCAGGAGTTCGAGACTGGTCTGACCAACATGGTGAAACCCCATCTCTACTAAAAATACAAAAAAAATTAGCTGGGCATGTTGGTATGCGCCTGTAATCCCAGCTACTTGGAAAGCTGAGGCATGAGAATCGCTTGAACCCAGGAGGCAGAGGTTGCAGTAAGCCGAGATCGTGCCACTGCACTCCAGCCTGGGTGACAGAGCAAGACCCTATCTCAAAAACTAAAATAAAATAAAGTCTGACCTCCCCTGAGCAACAAGGAGTTCTGCCAGCAGATGACTTTTGGATTTAGACTGCCCCGGGGTCTCCAGCCTGCTGCCTGTCTTGCAGATTTTGAGCTTGTACCTCCATGATTGTGTGACTCACTTCCTTAACATAAATCTCTCTCTCATAGATATAGATATAGATGATATACATATAGATACACACATCCCATTGGTTGTGTTTCTTTGGAGAACCCTGATTAATACACATGTATATCCACATAACTCCATGTCATACACAGTAAAAAAAGAGAGGCCAGTTGTGGTGGCTCATACTTGTAATCCCAGCACTTTGAGAGGCCGAGATGGGAGGATCAGTTGATGACAGGAGTTTCAGACCAGCTTGGGCAACATAGCAAGACCCTACCTCTAAAAAAATTTTTTAGGCCGGGTGTGGTGGCTCACGCCTGTAATCCCAGCACTTTGGAGGGCCAAGGCAGGCAGATCATGAGGTCAGGAGATCGAGACCATCCTGGCTAACACGGTGAAACCCCGTCTCTAATAAAAATACAAAAAAATTAGCTGCGTGTGGTGGCGGGTGCCTGTAGTCCCAGCTACTCGGGAGGCCGAGGCAGGAGAATGGCGTGAACCCAGGAGGCGGAGCTTGCAGTGAGCCGAGATCGCACCACTGCACTCCAGCCTGGGTGACAAAGTGAGACTCTGTCTAAAAAAAAAAAAAAATTGTTTAAAAAATTATCCAGGTGTGGTGGCAGGTGCCTATAGTCCCAGCTACTTGGGAGGCTGAGGTGGGAGGATTGCTTGAGCCCAGGAGGTCAAGGCTGCAGTGAGCTATGATCGCACCACTGTACTCCAGCCTGGGTGACAGAGTAAGACCCTGTCTAAACTAATAATAATAATAATAATAATAATGAAGAAAAAAAGAGAAAATGAAATGTCAAAGGGCATGGGGATGAAAGATGGTCTGCAGCTACCAGTACTTTCTGTTGTCAGTGAAAATAAATTGGTTTAGTTGCTAAAGATGAATGGATTCATCAAATTAATCTAGACAGGTGATATTCAAACATTTTCCAAACAAAATCCTATATAGAATCTCAATATAACAAAATGGTTATACTTCAACTGCCTGACCCTCTTGAGGCACATCTGAACTTATTCTGGTCCATTGTCTACAAACAAGATGAGTGCAAGTCTCCCCAGTGATATTCTAGCATGATCTCAGTTTTACTTTTATTACAGTGCTGCTCAAGTCTGCACCAACGTTATTATAAATTCCTTATGCTCATAGCTCTTGAACAGGTATAATAAGACAAATTTACAAAGTCAGTAAAAGCATTCCTCCCAAACCACTAAAATTTAATTTAATAATATTAATTTAATTTCCCAAATGATGTTTTGCTTAAATTAAGTGCTACTGGTAACATCAATATGAAAATGACTTCTCTGGAGAAGTTTTTGTGTGCGTTTGACATGCCTTTACTATGTTGCAAATGTATGAAATGAGAAAGAACTCAAATTTCCCACACCCTTTTCCCTTTAAAATTACTGAACAACCTTCATTTATGTGGGGCCTCATGATATTATTTGATGTGGATATTGTGGAGACCTCTTCATTTCCTTTCTGGGTATCTCATGAAAATTAAAGCAGTACTGCCTGACACCAAAGGGAAGGTAGACACAAGCAGACCCCCAAGCCCTAGTGCGGGCAGTAGCCCTCGTTCAGTAGCCCTATGGGTTCAGTGTTATTATTCTATTCTATAATTCAGATAGAAGCTTACATGCATTTATTTAGAGACGCAGTCTCGCTCTATTGCCCAGGCTGGAGTATAGTGGCACGATCTTGGCTCACTGCAACCTCCGCCTCCTAGGTTCAAGCAATTCTCCTGACTCAGCCTCCCGAGTAGTTGGAATTACAGACCTGTGCCACCACGCACGGCTAATTTTTGTATTTTTAGTAGAGATGGGGTTTCACCATGTTGGCCAGGATGGTCTCGATCTCCTGACCTTGTGATCTGCCCATCTCGGCCTCCCAAAGTGCTGGGATTACAGGCATGAGCCACTGCACCTGGCCCATTTTCATGAACATGAAAACACCAATAGATGGCTGGGCGTGGTGGCTCATGCCTGTAATCCCAGCACTCTGGGAGGCCCAGGTGGGTGGATCACAAGGTCAGGAGTTGGAGACCAGCCTGGCCAACATGGTGAAACCCTGTCTCTACTAAAAATACAAAAAATTAGCCAGGCGTGGTGGCACATGCCTGTAGTCCTAGCTACTTGGGAGGCTGAGGCAGAAGACTCGCTTGAACCTGGGAGGCAGAGGTTGCAGTTAGCCGAGATCATGCCACTGCACTCCAGCCTGGGCAACAAAGCTAGACTTCGTCTCAAAAAAAAGAAAACACCAATAGAAGGGAATAGACTTGAGTGGCAAAATGCTATTAGTGAATCCACGTGAAGGGTGTGTAAATGTTCTTGTTTTATTTTTGCAACTATTCTGTAAGTCTGAACTTTTTTGAATTAAAAAGTTGGATTGACCGGGCGTGGTGGCTCACACCTGTAATTCTCAACATTTTGGGAGGCTGAGGCAGGAGGATCACTGGAGGCCAGTAGTTTGGGACCAGCCTGGGCAACATAGGGAGACAGTATATCTAAAAAAAATTAAAATAAAAAAATTAGCTCAGTGTGGTGGCACATGCCTGTAGTCTCATCTACTCGAGAGGCTGAGGCAAGAGTATTGCTTGAGCCCCAGAGTTCAAGGCTGCAGTGAGCTATGATCATGCCACCACATGTCATATGATCCAACCTTGGTGTCAGAGCAAGACCCTGTCTCTAAAAAATAAATAATCCTTCCTGGGGGAGATAGTTGAAAGAAAATAATAAATAAATAAAATTAAAAATTTAGAAAAAAAAGACTGGGCGCGGTGGCTCACACCTATAATCCCAGCACTTAAGGAGGCCAAGGCGGGTGGATCACCTGAGGTCAGGAGTTTGAGACCAGCCTGCCCAACATGGTGAAACCCCATCTCTACTAAAAATACATAAATTAGCCAGGTGTGGTGGCGGGCGCCTGTAATCCCAGCTACTTGGGAGGCTGAGGCAGGAGAATCGCTTGAACCCAGGAGGTGGAGATTGCAGTGAGCTGCACTACAGCCTGGGCAACAGCGACACTCCATCTCAGAAAAATAATTTTTTTTTTAGAAAAAAAAATTCTTATAGAGGAGACCTCACAGCTCACAAAAATATGTCTATACCCTGCAGCGTGAGAAACAGTGATCTACTTCAACCCTTCATTTTATAGATTAGAAAATTGAGACCCAGTGAGCAGAAATGACTTCTGGGAACATTACAGTGCCAATTAGTGGAGAATGAAGATTAAATCTCAGTCTCCTTGTCCAACGCTTCAGCAGACTCACTGTGAATTGCAGGGTTTAGATCCCTACATTTCTCACAGGGTGATACCATGCTGTGAGGAATTGTGGAGGATTTCACAATCAACTTGTGTTTCCAGAATGCTCCTCAGCAACCTTGGAGAAGACACCAGCTTGTGCACCCCAAACACATCACAGTCATAATAAAGAGAGTCCACTGTGGATGGAGGAGAGACTCCACTCTGCCAGGAAGCATTTCGGTTTTTTTGTTTTGTTTTTTGAGACAAAGCGTCTCTCTGTAGTGCAGTGACATAGGTGCGTGCCACCATGCCTGGCTAATTTTTGTATTTTTAATAGAGATGGGATTTCACCATGTTGGCCAGGCTGGTCTCAAACTCCTGACCTCAGTTGATCCACCCGTCTCAGCCTCCCAAAGTGCTGGGATTACAGGTGTGAGCCACAGTGCCCGACTGCATTTCATTCTTAAACAGGAAAAAAACCAAACCTGTTTGTCCTTGTAGTTCAGCTACCACTCAATCCTCCTTTAGGCAGTAATACCTGAGGATGGACAGGGCCAGGGTTTGTGACCTAGGGCCACACCCATGCCCGGACCCACCTGAAGATACTTTCTATGCTCTGGGCCCTGCCACCAGCCCTGCACTTTAATTTCTCTTCAGTAAAAAGGAGACTACAACGCTTTAGGGAAAGAGTAGGAATTTCTATACACAGAAGCACTTGGAAAATTGGAGTAAGAAATAAAATGCAAAATGCTTTAAGAAACGCTCCTCATTGAAACCATCATTTTCCTCTAGGGACAGGCCTCTGAATCTCAGGTTAAATAACTCAGTAGCTGAAAGGTGTGATTACTGTCAGAAGGACTGAAATGTCTAAGGGTTGAAAAGAATTCATGAAGGGTTTGAGCAAATGCTCTTGTCTCTGTCCTACAGAGAGGGTCAAGTTTACGAGAGAAATCCAGGGGGAAACAGCAAGTCCTGGTTCATGAGAAACGGGGACACTGTGGGTATTCATCAGAGGGCATGACACACGGGGAGGGCTGTTCAAAGAGCCTTATTCCCCCTACCACAAACATACAGGACTACAAATATGTGGCAAAAGTGCGCTACCCTTTGGTAGCACACTTTGTAATAAAAGTCAACCTCTTCTGTAAGCTATAATCTAGTTCTTAAGAGTCTACACTTAGATTAGGTTGCAGATGAACCCATCTGACCACAAGCCTTAGAAGTTGTGCAACGTTTTCCACAAATGTTAGGTTCACAGTCCATTAGTAGGGTCCTGAGTCCTCACTGTGGTGCCAGCTCACATTCTGGTGCCTTGGGGAGAGTGTGGTGGTGGGAAATGAAAGTCTTTGAGCTGCCTGAGCAATTGGGAAACAAAGGTTGACGAGCAGTCTGACCAATCCCACTCCGTGTTCAGACTCCAGCTCCCTTTGCAGCACAGAAGAGACCAGCATGGCTGCTCCAGCCAGGGGCTGGAGGGGATGGGGCGGTGAAAGTCTTGCAAGAGCATCTCACCTAACAGAGTGGCTGGGCTGACCAGAAAGTTGGTTTCTGGCGAGGGGGTGCCTCTTTTAGATGTTGCTGTTCCCCAGAAGAGTCGGCTTCCTGCTTTTATTACTTGTGCCCATACCCCAGCCCCTGCCGTGATGTCACCCCATTTCATGGATGCAACCCTGGTCCCTCTGCTCCCCCTGCACCATTCCCAACCTGGATCTCCCATCCTGTCTGTCCCACACACACATGCACTGGGCAGCTCCAAGTGGAGTCTCTCAGACATAACGTGTCCCACGTGGAGGTCCAGAGCTCCCGCTGCACGTCTGCTCCTTTTGTGTGTGCTGTCTCATTTGAAGTCACCACTAGACACCTGAGCATCTGCTTTTGTAGTTTTAAATAGAATTGGGGTCTTGCTACGTTGACTAGGCTGGTCTTGAACTCCTGGCCTCAAGTGATCCTCCCACCTTGGACTCCCAAAGTATTGGGATTGCAGGCTTGAGCCACCGCACCCGGCCCTGAGTGTCATTCTTGACTCTTCCAGGCATCCTCAGAAGCATCCTCAACTCCCCTCCCTCCACCCTGCCTGTGGGTCTCCCACCTCTCCCCACACTGCAGCATTGTCCTACCCACTGCTCCCACCTGACCTTGTGCTCCTTGACTGTATTTCTCAGTGGCTCCTCATTGCCCAAGAAATGAAATGCAAGTTCTTCGGGACAGCAGTCACGGCCTTTCAGTCTGATTTCTGTCTCTTCTGACTCGACTCTTACATCCTGCTGAGGTGGCAGTGCTGGGATTCTGCGCGCCCACCGCATTGTTTCCAGGCAACAAGCTTTTTGGTTTTTTTGAGGCTTTCTCTGTTGCCTAGGCTGGAGTGCAATGGCATGATGTCGGCTCACTGAAACCTCCATCTCCAGAGTTCAAGCAATTCTCCTGCCTCAGCCTCCCGAGTAGCTGGGATTACAGGTGCATACCATCATGCCCGGCTAATTTTTGTACTTTTACTAGAGACAGGGTTTCACCATGTTGGCCAGGCTGGTCTCGAGCTCCTGACTTCAGGTGATCCGCCTGCCTCAGCCTCCCAAAGTGCTGGGATTACAGGCTTGAGCCGGCGCGCCCGACTGGCCACAAGCTTTTGTGTGCTTCCCTTTACACCTTCAGTGCCCTCCTCTGGCCTCGCTTTCTTACTCTGTCTGGCTGACTGCTGAAAACATTCTCTTAGACTTAGCTCAGGGGTTTGCAGCCCCTGAAAGTGGTCCTCGCCTTTCCCATTGGGTTGGATGAGGCCCCTCTGCACCCTCAGCCCCAACAACATGCCTGTTGCCTCACATCTGTCTTTGTTTTAGGATGATCTCTTCATGCCTACTGCATATGCTTATTTCTGAGCAGAGACCTGTGTCCTCAGTAGTCAATAAAAGCACATCAAAAATGTTTCCTGAATGATGAATAAATGACCTAAGTTTACCTTTTGGTCCTCAAAAACTATTTTTAAAACAAATATCCATAGTATGATACACTCATCCCCAGCAAGGGGCCTGCTAGGCACTGCTGGAGGGGAGGGGAGCTGGTGCTCTACCTCCTGCTTTGTGGTAGGGAGCAGCCTTGCAAGGGCTGAGTGGCACATTCTGCAGTGTTTACTCGTTCTATGAACTGAGCTCCCTCCTGGGCCTTAATCTCCTTAAAGAGAGAGCCTTGAATTAGAGGAAGTCTAAGTTCTCTTCATATTTCAAAGAATGCCATCAACGGAAGCAAAGTGGCTTTGCCCGGAGAATACGTGATGAATGATGAGCAGGGTACAGACCCTTTGGCTGTGGACACCCTCTCATGGCACCATAGTGTGGGATCCTGTTTAGAGCTGGGGGGATGTTTGATGCTGCTAGAGACATTGCTGATTGTTGGACTGGGCTGGGGAGGGGTGGGCACTACTGGCACGGATTGGCAGAGGCCAGGGATGCTGCTCAGAACACACAGGGCAGCCCCTGCAACAGAGAATGATCCAGCCCAGTAGTGCCGAGGTGGAGCCGCGCTCGGGGTTTAGCCCCCACCTTCACCTGGGAACTTGCCAATAGGCCCCAGCTCGGGTGACAGTGGCTTCATCTGCTGTACAAAACCTAGAGGCAAGCACACATGTGTATCTCCTGCAGACACTAAGAAAAGTCACTGTCCCTGGGCCACCAGAGAGAATGTGAAGCTGTGTTTGTGTTTAAGCCAAAAACTTCAGGATACTTACCTGTTCAGGATTTACTTGGGTAAATTTGTCCCGACAGCCACACTATGGTATCCTACCTAAATCAGGTGGAGGTAGGCAAGGTTGGTTCTGGACAAAATTCTGATGTAGTCAAATCCACTACCTCCACTCCCAGCAAACCGTCTGTCATTTTACTGGTTCCTGCCCATGAGGAATTCACAGTCCAGGGGAGGATGTACCCCTTTACTGACTATTTCGCTTTTTGCCCTGGAAATGTTTCCATGACGCCCTCTTGGGTGATAGGAATCCCTCTTTGGTCCCTTTCTCGCTCTCTCTCTTTTTCTTTTGAGAGACAGAGTCTCACTCTGTCGCCCAGGCTAGAGTGCAGTGGCACAACCTCAGCTCTCTGCAACCTCCACCTTCTGGGTTCAAGAGATTCTCCTGCCTCAGCCTCCTGAGCAGCTGGGATTACAGGCACACTCAACTAGGCCCAACTAATTTTTGTATTTTTAGTAGAGACGGGTTTCATCACAGGCTGGTCTTGAACTCCTGACATCAAGTGATCCGCCTGCCTTGGCTTCCCAAAGTGCTGGGATTACAGACATGAGCCACCGCGCCCAGCCTTTTTTTTTTTTTTTTTTGAGATGGAGTTTCATTCTTGTCACCCAGGCTGGAGTGCAATGGTGCGGTCTTGGCTCACTGCAACCTCCACCTCCTGGGTTCAAGTGATTCTCCTGCCTCAGCCTCCCAAGTAGCTGGGATTACTGGCACACACCACCATGCCCAGCTAAATTTTGCGATTTTAGTAGAGACGGGGTTTCACCATGTTGTCCAGGCTGGTCTCAAACTCCTGACCTCAGGTGATCTGCCCACCTCAGCCTCCCGAAGTGCTGGGATTACAGGCGTGAGCTGCTCCCAGCCGATCCCTTTCTCTTTAATTCCCTAGTTGTTCTTATGGTTCCCACTGCAGTATGTGGCTTAGTTATATGGTTTGGTGTTATCCATTGAAGCTTTCTGTGCCATATGCATGTCATGTTCTTAACTGCATTGCAAGCCCTTTAGAAGTTTCCGTGGCCCCTCAGTGCCTCCCATACCACTGAGTCTGCAGCAGAAATTCATCAAAAAGTTGTTAAAGAAGCAATTAGCTGGTGACAATAAACTAACGCCTGTTCATGCGACGCCTCGGACGTTCCTCATCAAGTTTATTCCTAGTGATCCCTTTGCTCAGCCCACTCCCCTTCTCCCTGCACCACTGCCATGTTTCAGTAACTCTGACAGTAGGAGTTTCAGACTGGGCAGGAGAAGCTGGGATTGTGGAAAGAGAAAGATGGCATAGGCCACCCAAGGTTTGAGGGCTCCTTTCCTTCATACTGGCCAGGATGGGAGGTTGACACAGGAGCACCTTCTAGACTTCTCCCACAGGCCCACGGGAAGAGGCTGGGCCTCTGCTCTTTCTGAGCCCCTTACACCGTTCTTGAAAGAGTAGCCAAAAGTGTCTGTGGCCAGGGAGAAGTGGTGGCAGGACCAGTTGATGGGAAATGGATTTATGGAATCTTCCTCCTTTCCGTGTCTCTCTGCCCATTTTTATCTTTCCAGGCTGATGTTCCAGTGGTTACTAACGTCTACTTGGACTAAGACTCAGGACTGTAACAGCTGGAAATGTTCATGGTCATGATGTGTGATGCTCCTGTATTTGTGATCTGTTGCTGTCAGATACTCTTACTTCCACAGAATATATACAATTTTCAGGACCACTACCCACTTTCTGAGTCTGTGAACACAGAATGGGAAGTGCTTTCAAAAACCACCTGGGTAGTGCTTTAGGCCTATGCTAGTCGAGATATGGACATTAAAATGACTATTTTCTATAACTGCTTATATTAGATAGTCACTCTTGGATACTGGCTCATCATAATTGAGGGGGTAGCAATTAATGTCAGCTCCCTGCCTTCACATCTTCATTAAGGCACATCTGCTAATTAAGATGCTTCCAATTCTAAGCCCTGATGGAATGAGTCCTTGAGACAACTCCAGAGACCTGGAGCCTGACCCCTGTTTTGCCACCAACTGGGAGCAAATCACTTTACCTCTCCAGTCCCCTTTTTCTAAAATGTGAGTGATTGCACCTGTGCTACCTGCCCCCAGGTGTGCTGTGAGAAGAAGCTGGGTACATGGCAGTGCTCCCTCGCCTGCTTTTTTTTTTTTTTTTTTTTGAGACAGGGTCTCGCTCTGTCACCCCGGCTGGAGTGCGGTGGTGAGATCATAGCTCATGGCAGCCTCGACCACACGGGCTTAAGCGATCCTCCCACCTCAGTCTCCCAAGTAGCTGGGACTACAGGCACATGCCACCACACCTGGCTAATTTTTGTATCTTTTGCAGAGATGGGGTTTTGCCATGTTGCCCAGGCTGCTGGAGAACTGAGCTCAAGCAATCCACTCGCTTCGGCCTCCGAAAGTGCTGGGATTACAGCCTCCTCCTTTAAAAAAGACCTCTTAGAACCACCTGGCTCTTTCCTTCTTGTAAACAGAGGCTTCACATGCATGTGTTCTGCACGTTCACCACAAGAGCCATGGAGAAAAGCACATGGGAGGCCCTGCAGGAAGAGGACGAAGGCCCCAGGCCAGGCTGCAACCCTCACTCCCTCCAGCCCAGCTGCCTTCCACGTGCAGGCTGTCCTCCTAGTCATGGTTCCCCCAGGCTCCCCAGGACGGCAGGCCACAGCTGCTGACTATTAATAGCCAATGTTCCATGTTCTCAAGGTGACAGAGAGAGGCATGGAAATGCCTATCCTGGCCCTCTCCCACCCCTCTACCCCTGCATCTTCCCACTCTGGCGCTTCCATTTTTTGGCTGGCAGCTGGGCCAGCTCACCTGGCCTCCCAGGCTCCCCCTGAGGCTGGGTCTTCTCCCCAACACTGGGCTCTCCCACGGCATTGCCCGCCAGCCTGGCTGGGATCCTGCATTGTGCTGAGGAGCAAGGAACTAAGGATTGGTAGGAAATAATATGCAATCCCTAGGGATTATGATAATGTGTATCTATCCTCAATTTAATCATAAGTATAGACAGTTAAATGCTAGATTATAGGCATCAGAAGTTGTTGATTGTTACTAAAAGCCAAGAGGGCAATACAATGTTATTCAACAGTACATATTCATTAAGGGAGAAAAAGGAAGTGCTTTTGAACATCCCCACTGCATATAATTTACTCTGATGAATACCCACAGAGTATGTATTTCATGTCAAATGCAAGTTAATTTTCCCTCTGGCTCTTTCCCATGAAGTTGCCACTAGGCCATAACTACTTAATCTTGACACCACTGGAGTTTCAGAAGGTCCTTACTAAATTATAGTACTGGAATAATTCCCTCTCACTCGGTCCCTTGCCTCATTCTGTCAGCTCTAGGTGTGGGTACTTTTGGCTCTGTTAGCCTCTCCACCTTTTATTCAGTCTTTCCTAGGGCCTTGCACATTGATGAATTTCTGCTGCAGACTCAGTGGTATGGGAGGCGCTGAGGGGCCACAGAAACTTCTAACTGCTTGCAATGCAGTTAAGAACATGACATGCATCCTCACAGAGTCATCTCTCTGTCCTATTACTTCCTCAACAACTTTTTCTGTGAGTCCCTTGTCTGACCTCCAGAGAATTCATTCTCATATCTACCTTATAGAAAAGCAAGGAAAAATAACCAGCAACGAACCCAGGCATGTTTGCTTAAATGTTTAACATACAAGTTTTAGGATTACCTTTCAACCCTATTCTTCAATATTTTCCCATTGCCTGTGGTCACTCTGGTTTACGTCTTAAACATGAATCATCCTCTTTTACTTGGAGATTCTGAGTCTCATCAATGATATCTACTCTGAAAGAGTACAGAATTTCGCCTTTTAGGAAAAGCAATTAATATTCAAGATGTTTAACTGAATTATTAAAATTTAATGAGATGGCATGGATGCTGGAAAATTATCTGATTATCTAATTGGGTGGGTCCCGCCTCTATCAAAGGCTGACCTCTGCTACCACATGTACTCTGGACCCCTTCTTGCCCTGTCAAGACCTTCCCTCTTGCAGCTTTCCCTTTTACAGCTTCCTCTATTTTGCAAGATTTTCTCTCTCTCCATTGGATCATACACATAAGCAAACATGCTCTAGTATCTATTGTCTTTAAAAATAGCAAAACTGAGCCAAGTGTGGTGGTTTGCACTTGTAATCTCAGCTACTCAGGAGGCTGAGACAGAAGGACTGTTTGAAGCCAGGAGTTCAAGACTAACCTGGGCAACACAGTAAGACCCCATCTAAAAAAAAAAAAAAAAAGCAAAACTGTTTTTGGAATACATGTTCCCCTCCAGCTATTGTCTCCTATTTCTTCTTGGTAGTTTGTCTTTATTCTGTCTCAGATTTCTCCCTTCCCATTCACCCCTTAACCCATAGCAGTTGGGCATTGGAAAATGTAGTCTCCAGCTGTTGGGCCCAGTTAAAATGCAAGGTGGTGTATTCTGTTACTAGAAGGACAAAGAGAAGAGCACACACTGGGAGACAGTCGGCTGTCTGCCATATTGCGTGGCTCCACAACACTCTAAGACCTTGGAATGCTTTAACTTTGAGCTACAGTAAACTATACATACATAGAACAAGGACATATATATGTATATATGGAGAGAGAGAGAAAGAGGAGAGAATATCTTTTTTGTCCTTGTTCTTGAATGATAGGTTATCTAGGTTGACAGTTATTTTTTCTTGCTTGAAAAATATTGTACCTCTGTCTTATGACTGCAAATGAGAAAGTTCTGCTGACACTCTGATTTTTATACCCTCATAGATAAGCTGTCTTTCCTCCCTGGCTGCTCCTAAAACCTTCTCTTTGTTTTGGTGATCTAGGTTCACAATGATGTGACCTGGGCTTCGTTTTTTGTTATTTAGCTTGAGATACACTTAATTCCTAAATCTGGGAATTTGTATCTTTCATCAACTCTGGAGAATTCCCTGCCGTTGAATGTTTGATAATTCTTCTTTCTTATGAAATTCCTTGTCACTGTGCTTCCAATCTTCTCATTCCATCCATCATCATATTTGTTTTTCTCTCCCATTTTTAAAATTTCTTTGTCTCTGTGCTGAATTCTGGGTAAGATCTTTATGTATTTTGCTGTTCATAATTTTTTCTGCCTTCTGTTTTCAACAAAATATTCTGTTAAAGCACAGTAAAGTCTTATTTTAAAATTTACATACACACATATGCACACACACACACACATGCAGACTTCAACGTTAAACATTTGTGCACATCAAGTTTCAGATGTTTATTTATTAATAAGGTCAAACCCGGAAGATACACCAAAGTGATTTTGTTCAGTTAAGGAGAAAATATCTTCTAAGTAGAAAATTGTGTGGATGGCTTCTGAAGACCTTCATTCTAAGCAGCTTTAAATAAAAACAAATTTTCTTTTAGAAGTCCATGGGAACTCTAGGGCTAGGGTCATCCTTTCTGTCCTACTGGACACAGGGTGGACGTTCCTTCTGTCCCACAGACACCCAGTGCCGCTGCAGGACCCCAGCTCCAAAAGGACACAGATCCAGCTGGATGCTTCTTAGCATAAACATTCTCGAAGGCAAAAACCTGAATTTTCCAGGCCTAGGAAATGATTGCCTAATTCTTTCAGTTGTTTTTTTAACCTATCGATTGAGTTTTTAATTTCCATTATTTATTTTATTTTATTTTTAGAAGTACTGTGTTTCTTTTTTCAAGTCTGTTTGATCTTTTTGATACTATCTTCTCTTTTTTGGGGTAGGGGGTGGGTGGGAGACAGAGTCTTGCTCTGTTGCCCAGGCTAGAATGCAGTGGCATGATCTCGGCTCACTGCAATCTCTGCCTCCTGGGTTCAAGCAATTCTCCAGCCTCAGCCTCCCGAGTAGCTGGGATTATAGGTGCCTGCCACCAGGCCCAGCTAATTTTTGTATTTTTAGTAGAGATGGGGTTTCATCATGTTGGCCAGGCTGGTCTTGAACTCCTGACCTTAGGTGATCCGCCCACCTCAGACCCCCAAAGTATTGGGATTACGGGCATGAGCCACTGCGCCTGGCCTGTTTTTTGTTTTTTTTGTTTTTTTTTTTTTTGAGACAGGGTCTCACTCTGTCACCCAGGCTGGAGTGCAGTGGTTTGATCTCTGCTCACCGCAGCCTCAACGTCCCGGGATCAAGCAATTCTTGTGCCTCAGCCTGCCAAGTAGCTGGGACTACAGGTGTATGCCACCATGCATGGCTAACTCTCTTATTTCTTGTTTATGTGTTTTAATCCCTGGTATTTTTTTAAACAGTGTAAACAGGATCATTTTATATTCCATATGGGATAATTCCACTATCTGGTGCCCTGGGGGACCTAGCTCTGTGGTGGTCATTTCTGTTGCCTCTTGCTCATGGTAGCTTGTTCACTTGTATGTTTGTGACTGGGGCTGTGAGCTCATGGCCTTTGGGCTTTGTGTGTGGAATTTTGAGAGGCTTTGGTTGAGTGCGCAAACCTCCAGAAAGGATTTACTTTTAACTTCTGCCAGCTGCCCTCAACCCAAGACCACTCTAAGTTAAAGTTCTCAGCTCTGGGGTTTCTGGACAGCTCAGGTGATTTAAATTCATTCCCCAAATCCATGTGCCAGAAGGCTAACATTATACATTTTCAGGGGCCTTTTTCCCCTGCACCTAGAGCCAAGGCCAAAGCAGATACGCTTCTTTGTCATGATCGTGCTGCGGTGTGGAGTTTTTCGGGCCCAACTTTTCACTGAGCGTGGCAAATATATGTGATGCAGCTCATTTCCAGCTTCCCAAATTATATGGACCCAAGGCCTTACCTCATGAGGCCATTCAAACTCAGGGCCTTGGAAGCTGAGAATGGTAAAAAACTCCTTCATAGGGTCTATGGACAGAGGCTGTCAGACCTGCTTACCACCATGGTTTCCTGGTCTCTTCATTTCCGACTCCTGAGAATTGCCCCTGCTGCCTTGAAAGTGCAGTCAAATATTTTTTTGAAAAAAAAAGCTTAAAAAATTATTGTATTCAGGCTGGGCGCGGTGGCTTATGCCCGTAATCCCAGAAATTTGGGGGGCCAAGGTGGGTGGATCATTTGAGGTCAGAGGTTCCAGACCAGCCTGGCCAACACGATGAAACCCTGTCTCTACTAAAAGTACAAAAATTAGCCGGGCGTCGTTGTGGGTGCCTGTAATCCCAGCTACTCGGCAGGCTGAGGCAGGAGAATCACTGAAACCTGGGAGGTGGAGGTTTCAGTGAGTCGAGATCATGTCAGTGCACCCCAGCCTGGGTGACAGAATGAGACTCCATCTCAAAAAAAAAAAAAAAAAAAAAAAAAAAAAAAAAATATATATATATATATATATATATATATAGTATTCAATATTTTTAGATGTTTTATTTAGCATTGCTTTAGCAGGATATCTACTCCACCTTATTAGTGGAAAAGGTAGTTTTCTCCCATATTCAAAAATCACTTACCCTTAGGAAAAAATATTTTGCAAAAAAAAGAAATATTATCATAACCAGAAAAAAAAATTGGCTGGAAGTTACCAAACCCAGATCTATAAATGTTGCTTACATCTTGGACTGCTCTAGAAACCCAGACGTGGTAACAGGGATGCCTGAATTAGGCTGCATTCTATTTAGGCAACTTTATCTTATATAATTTCACATATGTATCTTTATCTTTGCCTCCCTAATGTGAATTGTATTCTAGCATTGATGTAATTATACGAGCCAAATGGAAGACTAGTTAAGAAATATACATGATCAGGCCAGGCAGGGTGGCTCATGCCTGTAATCCCAGCATTTTCGGAGGCCGACGCAGGTGGATCACTTGAATCTTGGAATTTGAGACCAGCCTGGGCAACATGGCAAGACCCTGTCTCTACAAAAATACAAAAATTAGCTAGGGCTGGGCATGGTGGCTTACACTTGTAATTCCAACACTTTGGGAG
Organism: Homo sapiens; assembly: GCF_000001405.40. Lineage (NCBI taxonomy): Eukaryota > Metazoa > Chordata > Mammalia > Primates > Hominidae > Homo > Homo sapiens. Next base: position 42,638,112 of record NC_000008.11, read on the forward strand.
GCCAAGGCAGGCGGATCACTTGAGGTCAGGAATTCAAGACCAGCCTGACCAACATGGTGAAACGCCATCTCTATTAAAAATACAAAAAGTAGCCTGGCATGGTGGCATGCGCCTGTAATCTCAGCTACTCGGGCGGTTGAGGCACAAGAATCACTTGAACCCAGAAGGCAGAGATTGAAGTGAGCCGAGATCATGCCACTGCACTCCAGCCTGGGTGATAGAGCGAGACTCCGTCTAAAAAAAAATTAGCTGGGCATGGTGGCACATGCCTGTAGTCACAGCTACTCAGGAAGCTGAGGCAGCAGGACCCATTGAGCCCAGGAGGTTGATGCTGCAGTGAGTCAAAAATCACACCACTGCACTTCAGCCTGGTCAACAGAACGAGACTCTGTCTCAAAAAAGAAGAAAGAAAGAAAAGAAAGAAAGAAATATACAGGATGAAAGAAGGAAATGTTATTACTAAGTAAGAGAGTGAGTTGTGTTGGGTGGCTCGAAGATACCTGGTGTGTTTGATGTCACCGTGATGTAAAAGATGGACATCTGGATGGTGAGTGTGCTAAGCAGGTCAGGCCCACTCTTCGCCAAATGTCATTGTCTCCTAGAAGAATGATTTGCATGGAATTGCTGGTGCGTGATTGTCCCACCACAGCACACACCCTGTGACCCTGTGGTCGCCTAGGCATGGAGAGCCACCTCAATAAGCACACCCCTCAATTTCCATAGCACGCATTTACCTAAATAGCTAGTTCTCAAAACCTGGACCACTGACCTTGCAAAACAGAAACTATTCAAGCATAGAAATAGCAGTGGAGTTCTCAAGCACAGCACTAAGTTTTCTGATAAAAAGCTACTTTATTTTGGCTGCTGAGAACTTTTGCTTAAGTGTAGTGGCGGGGCCTTGAGGGAACATTTCCAGTACTTGTGGTTCATTGGATTGGCTCCCTTCTATCTTAAGTGATTCAGTGTGTGTGTGTGTGTGTGTGTGTGGCCATTTTCATGCCATCCTCCCTGTCAGTTTTGGCAAAAATCTTATGCTAAGTAATAGCATAAGATTATGCTTTGATGTCACACATCTTGGGTTAAAATCCCAGTTCTGACACTTACCACCTACATGAACTTCAAAAATTACTTAACCCCTCTGAGCTCAGCTGCCTCAAATAAAAACCATGGATAATAATCGTGCATGCCTCCCGTGAGGACAAGGCAAAACATATAGCACATTTCTTGGCACATGTCAAGTGCTCAGGAAATGTAAGCTCCTGGCTTGATGGGTGTTCGTGTTAGGAAGGGCAGAACAACTGTGGAAAAAATAAGCAAGAGAAAATGCCCCAGGCTTTGGTTTCACTTGGCCTAGCACTGTTTTGTTTTGCTTTTTCTTCCTCCTAATTAATTCCTTATACAAAGCACAGGATGTACGGCTGTCCTGTATCCTGCTTATATCCTGGTTCTGCCATTTACTAGTGACCTTAGAAAAGCAGATTGCTTGGATGGGTATATGGTAACACATCTCTTGGCTTCATGCATGAAAGTTTGTATTCCACTCACATAAAGTTGGTTGTGGGTGCGAGGAAGCTGCCTTCTTTCCAGTGGCTAAGCAGCACGCGTCGTTCACCTTATTCAGCTCCCATCTCCAGGTCCCCAGGATTGCCCTGACAGAGAGGCGCCCACAACCCCTCTCCCTATGTCCATACATCACTTTTTATTTTTTATTTATTTTTTATTCTTTATTTTTTAAGACTGAGTCTTGCTTTGTCGCCCAGGCTGGAGTGCAGTGGCGCGATCTTGGCTCACTGTGACCTCCTCCTCTCAGGTTCAAGTGATTCTCCTGCCTCAGCCTCCTGAGTAGCTGGGATTACAGGCGCGTGCCATCACACCCGGCTAATTTTTGTATTTTTACTAGAGACAGGGTTTCACCATGTTGGTCAGGCTGGTCTTGAACTCCTGACTCATGATCTGCCCACCTCAGCCTCCCAAAGTGCTGGGATTACAGGCATAAGCCACCACACTCGACCCCACTTTTTATTTTTAAATATTTATTATTATTATTATTATTATTATTATTAGAGACAGGGTCTCACTCTCACACAGGCTTGCATGCATGGTGTGATCTTGGCTCACTGCAGCCTTGACTGCCCAGGCTCAAGCAAACCTCCCATCTCAGCCTCCCAACTAGTTGGGACCACAGGCACACACCACCACACCCAGCTAATTAAAAAAATTTTTTGGTAGAGATGGGGGTCTCACTATGTTTCTCAGGCTGATCTCAAACTCCTGGCCTCAAGCAATCCTTTCTCCTTAGCTCTCAAAGTGCTGGGATTATAGGCATGCATTACCACACCCAGCTCATCACTTTTTCTTGTAGCCTATTGGCCAGAATTAGTCATACAGTGCTCCTTCTCTCAGAGCTGGGATGGAGGCATGGGGGCATTGTAACAGGTGAACATTACTGCCTCTACCACGAAAATCTCTTAGCCTGTTTGTGTCTCATTTTCCTTATCTATGAAATGGAAATAATACCTCTCAGGGTTGCTAAGAGGATTGATGGCACATATAGAGTATTAATAATATATTTGTCATGGTCCTGGCAAGAAATAGATGGCACACTGACAAGAATTTATTGTTACTAGAAGATGATGGGACTAGGTACAGAGGTGTGGGCAGAGTTAAGGGAACCATTGCTGGATGGTGTCCAAGGTTGGATTGAAGCCCAGCTGGAAACCAGAGGGCAGGGGAGCCTGGGAGATGTATTTTGTAGAGGTCAGGCCCCCAGGCACAGAGCAGATCTGAGTAGAGTCAGGGAACAATCAGCACAGTACGTAAAACCAACCAGCATGGTCCACGATACTGACCAGCAGGGTACATGATACCAGCACAGTACTTGATACCGTCCAGCACAGCACACGATACCGACCAGCACAGTACATGATGCTGACCAGTGCAGTACACAGTGACAACCAGTGAGGTACATGATGCCAACCAGCATGGGCCATGATACCGACCAGCACAGTACACCTTACTGACCAGCATGGTACATGACATTGACCAGCACAGTACATGGTACTGACCAGCATGGTACATGATACTGACCAGCATGGAACATGATACTGACCAACATGGTCCATGATACTGACCAGCATGGTACATGATATTGGACACGCTCAACTTTTAGTTAAATCTGAAAAGCTCGCCATTTGTTGAGCCTGTAGAGTGTTGGAGACTTGCCCCATCCCACATTGGTCTGGCTTCATTCTTGAACTTTCCTTTGCCCTTCACTGAAGCAGCTAGCAGAAAGGGTTGTTACTGCAGACCTCAAGTTGTAGCATAAATCCGGACGGCCATGTCTGTGACAAATGCCCCAGGAATCACACATTTGTCCAGTGATGACACTTGGGCCCCTCATTCTTATTTGTATCTACAGAGCTATTGCATCTCCACCTTAACACATGTGGCTCCCTGACACTTGTCTGAGAAGGATGAGGCTTGATTAGGAGCTCTAAGAGCTCAGGCCCATGGCTGCGGTCTCCAGCTCCTCTTGCCTGTGCTATTGTAACAGCCTGGTCTTGACTCCATGCTCACTCCATTCTAACAGCATTTCTTTCATTTTAAAGAACATTTAACCCTTTCCTCTTTCACAGAGAAAAAAGTCCAAACTCCTTAGTCTGTTATCCATAGCTACTGTTCCTTCTCACCTCCCCAACACCCTCTATCCAAAACCTATTTAAACCTATTCCAGCCACATCTAGGTATTCATAGCTTCCTGTATCTTCCCTCCTTGAATCTGCAGATGGAAAACAGCTGCTGCCACCTGTAGTTGCTTGCTGAAGTCCTTTCCTTTAGGGCCATGTCAATGCCAACCTGTGTCAAACTCCCTTTCTTGATTCTCCCAGGAGGAAAAGAGAATCCCTTTTTAACCTTTATGTTCTGATAGGATTGTTGTCTGCCTGATGCTCGTAATTTATTTATGTGTTTGTGTCTTTTACAGGTCACAAGCATCACTCAAACCGTCTTCATTTCTGAATCTTTCTCGTGGTGCTTAGCATGGTGTTTTGCAGGCAGTAGATTCTTAATAAGTATTTGTGCAATTGGAGTAAGTCCATTGTGAAATTTTTTCAAAAATAACTCCCATCAGAGTTGGGAAAAGGGAAAGCTCCATTGCTCAGTCTTTAATTTAGATAAACCTCTTTTTTGAATTTCAGAACTTCAAATTTCTACCTGTATAGGGATGTGGAACCATAAGGAGGCATAGCATGGGAGACACAGGACGTTTATGAGGCAGGTAGGTTTCCTTGCTGCCCTTGTGTGAATCCTTAGAAGAATGTGAAGAGAGCTGTGCTGGCTTTACTGTGCATTACAGGTCAGGTGCTGGGATGTGGCCCCTGCCTTTTGCTTTGTACAACAAAGACAACAGATTCTTGCTGATGGCTTTGTGACCTTTGGTGTCAAACTCAGTGTGGGGCATGGAGACTGAAGGTCTGGCTCTCCCTAAGGTGCCTGTCAAGAGGGACTGGTGGAGATTCTCACCAGGAAGTTTACACACACAGAACTCCCAGCAGGAGAGGGTGAGCTGCCAGGATCTCTGCTTACCTCCCATGAGCCTTCCAGTCAACAATTTATTTGCAAAAATGTCATCTTTATTACTTAGTTGCTCAGGAGGCTTTGCTTCCGTCCAATGCAATGTGGAAAATGTGGGTCGCCCCCTTCACTGAGATGGGCTTCAAAGCCTCAGCCCCCAGGGCTCTGCTCTCTCATGGGCTCTGGGAAATCGCTGGTTATTTCCTGTTCCCCTGACCTGCCCCCTGCTGCTGCCCCAGAACACGAGGAGACTGCTCCTCCCTGTCTCTCCCTTCTTTAAGCAGCAGCTTAGAAATAATATCCTGTGTTTGTGAAGCATGCGCCAGCAAGACTCCCAACGCCCTCCACAAACATCAGCTCAACATTACTGCGCTCGCGTTTTTCTCACCATGTCATGGCAAGGAGGTGGCAGAAAGGCTACAGTGTCGGTGGGATGGGGGTAATTGTATTTGGAACATAAAATAGGAGTTAAAAATGGAAAAGGTCAGAAAGCCCAAGCTCCTGGTTTCAGAATAAAGTTCATTCTGGAATTTTTCCTTCTTTTAGATTCTGGTACCTGGGCCACTGTCTTAGTGACATTTCAGTACAGTACAGGGCAGCTTCACTGTGTTTTGTTTGCTGATACAGACTAAGCATGCTTAATCAGAAAATCCAGAATCCAAAACTTCTTGGGCACCAACATGCCACAAGTAGAAAATTCCACACCTGAGTTCATGTGAGGGGTCGCAGTCAAAAGTCAAGTGCACAACACACAGTTTATTTATCATCCCCATCTGGGAGGAAAAAGATCCTTCAGACCCTCCTGGCCCCCTTCTGCTGTAATATATGTCCAGTGTACATACCCGGATTCCCCCACATAGCCATACCCACAAAGGGTGAGAAAATGGCACATGTGCAGGCCGGATGCAGGTTTCCCAAACTGCCCCACATGGTGCCAAGACCTGCATGCATTACTCACTGTGTTTTTTGCTTATTCTCTGGTCTGTGGTGCAAAAGTATTGTTGAAAATGTTAAAAGGGCCTGCAGACACCTCTGTGGGTAACAGTGATAACAGAAAGCATTTATGTTTACCTGTAGCACAGAAAGTCAAGCTGTTGGAGAAACTGGAAGTGGTGTGTGAAGTGTCTTTCAGAAGAGATGGTGTCAGAATGGACACCATATATGACCTGAGGAAACAGAAGGATAAACTGTTGGAGTTCTATGCCGAAAGTGATGAAAATAAGTTAATGATAAAAAGAAAAACAATGCTTAAGGCTAAAAATGAAGATCTCGATTGTGTATTGAAAGAATGAATTGGGAGGCCGGGCGCAGTGGCTCACGCCTGTAATCCCAACACTTTGGGAGGCCGAGGCGGGAGGATCACGAGGTCAGGAGATTGAGACCATCCTGGCTAACATGGTGAAACCCCGTATCTACTAAAAATACAAAAAATTAGCTGGGCGTGGTGGCGGGCACCTGTAGTCCCAGCTACTTGGGAGGCTGAGGCAGGAGAATGGCGTGAACCCAGGAGGCAGAGCTTGCAGTGAGCCGAGATGTCACCACTGCACTCCAGCCTAGGCGACAGAGTGAGACTCTGTCTCAAAAAAAAAAAAAGAAAGAAAGAATGAAATGGGCCGGGTGTGGTGCCTCACGCCTGTAATACCAGCACTTCGGGAGGCCAAGGCGGGCAGATCATGAGGTCAAGAGATTGAGACCATCCTGGCCAACATGGTGAAACCCCGTCTCTACAAAAAATACAAAAATTAGCTGGATGTGGTGGTGCACACCTGTAGTCCCAGCTGCTTGGGAGGCTGAGGCACGAGAATCACTTGAACCTGGGAGGCAGAGGTTGCAGTGAGCCAAGATTATACCGCTGCACTCCAGCTTGGGCAACAGAGTGAGACTTTGTCTCAAAAAAATAAAAGTGGATCCATCAGTGTGGCAATGAACACCCGTCACTTAATGGTATGCTGATTGTGAAACAAGCAAAGATCTATGACTTTGAACTGGCAATTGAAGGGAACTGTGAATATTCAACAGGCTGGTTGCAGAAATTTAAGATACAGCATTAAAGTTTTTGAAGATGTGTGGTGACAGAGCATCTGATGATCACAAAGCGGCAGAGAAATTCATTGATGAGTTTGCCAAGGTCATTGCTGATGAAAGTCTGATGCCAGAACAAGTCTGTAATGCTGATGAAACATCGCTGTTTTGGCATAATTATCCCAGAAAGAGACTGACAAAAGCTGATGAGACAGCCCCCAAGTATTAAGGATGCTAAGGACAGAGCAAGTGTGCTGGGCTGTGCTAATGCAGCAGGTGTGCATAAGGGTCAACTTGCGATGGGCAAAAGCTTCTGTCCTCACTGTTTTCAAGGAGTGAATTTCTTACCAGTCCATTATTATGATGACAAAAAGGCATGGGTCACAGGCACATCTTTTCTAATTGGTTTCACAAACATTTTTTGTACCAGCGGCTCATGCTCACTGCAGGGAAGCTAGACTGGATGACAACTGCAAGACTTTGTAATTCATTGACAACTGTTCTGCTCCTTTCCCAGCTGAAATTCTCATCAAAAATGTTTATGCTGTGTACTTTTCCCCAAATGTGACTTAATTAATTCAGCCGTGTGACCAGGTTATCCTTAGGTCAATGAAGAATAAATATAACAACACTTCCTTGAACAGCATGCTGGCAGCAGTGACTAGAGGTGTGGGTACGGAAGGTCTTCAAAACGAGTTTAGCATGGGGATGCTGTATAAGCTGCTTCCAATGCCTGGAACCCAGCAACTTAGACACAGTTGTGCACACCTGGCAGGAAACCTCTAGCCTGAGACTATGTTCAGTGATGGTGATGAACAAGGTGGTGACTTTGAAGGATTCTGTATGTCAAGTGAGAAAAAATGATGTCTAATCTCCTTACAGGTGAAAAAAATATATATCTTCAGACCCCTTTCATAAGCTGGAAGAAGTGGATATTGAAGGAGTTTTTAACATAAATAATGAGGCTTCCATCACTCATTCATTGACCAATGGTGAAATTGTTGAAATGGTTCTGAATCCAGGTGATCGTGGTAACAGTGATGAGGAAGATGACATTGTTAACACTGCAGAAAAAGTGCCTGTTGATGAGATGATGAAAACATGCACTGGGCTTATTAAAGGACTAGAGCAGTGCAGATTCATAACAGAACAAGAAATCATCATGCAGTTTATAAAATCAAAGGGAGACATCTAAGACAAAAGCTGTTAATGAGGCAGATGACTCTGGAGGAAACATTTTAAAAAGCCACCCAGTAGAACGCCTCCTCATTCCTAAAGAACCCACTTCCTGGTCCCTCAACTGCTTCTGATGTTTCTTCTCACCTGAAAACTAAAATATAGGCCAGGCATGGTGGCTCATGCCTGTAATCCGAGCACTTTGGGAGGCTGAGGTGGGCGGATCACAAGGTCAGGAGTTTGAGACCAGCCTGGCCAATATAGTGAAACGCCGTTTCTACTAAAAATACAAAAATTAGCTGGGCGTTGTGGCGCACCTGTAGTCCCAGCTACTTGGGAGGCTGAGGCAAGAGAATAGCTTGAACCCAGGAGGTGGAGGTTGCAGTGACCCAAGACCACGCCATTGCATTCCAGCCTGGGTAACAAACAAACAAATAAAAAAACAAAAAACAGTAACCTTTGAATCGAACATAGCACAGTAGGGGGAGACTGACACCTGCCTCTGTTTGCCATTGCTGTTGTCTCACAGCTGATGCAGGTGTTCTGTGGATGCTACTGTGCTGCTTAGTTACCTGGAACACATTATTTTTCACTGTATTAATAGTTTATCTTTTTTTTACTAAGTATTTATGTACAGATAAGTGTAAAAACATGATTATTAATCAGTAGCATATAAATTCAGAGTCAGACATGATGGTGATGCTGAACAACCACAGACCGGGGGGGTCCACATGGGGGTAGAGATAGGGACCCCTTTGGTTCTGACGGTTCTGTGTACACAATCTTTGTTTCATGCACAAAATTATTTAAAATATTGTATAAAATGGGCCGGGTGCAGTGGCTCACGCCTGTAATCCCAGCACTTTGGGAGGCCGAGGCGGGCGGATCACCTGAGATTAGGAGTTCGAGACCAGCCTGGCCAACATGGTGAAACCCCGTCTCTACTAAAAATACGAAAATTAGCTGGGCGTGGTGGTGGGTGTCTGTAATCCCACCTACTCAGGAGGCTGAGGTAGGAGAATCGCTTGAACCTGGGAGGCAGAGGTTGCAGTGAGCCAAGATCCTGCCACTGCACTCTAGCCTGGGCAACAGAGTGAGAGTCTGTCTCCAAAAAAAAAAAAGAAAAAAAAAGTGTATAAAATTACCTTCAGGCTATGTGTATAATGTGAATATGAAACAAGTAAATTTCGTGTTTAGAGTTGGGTCCCATCCCCAAGATATGTCATTATGTATATGGAAATATTCCAAAATCTGAAAAATTTCATGTATTAGTCTATTCTCATGCTGCTGACAAAGACATACCTGAGACTGGGTAATTTATAAGGAAAAAGAGGTTTAATGGACTCACAGTTCCATGTGGCTGGGGAGGCCTCACAATCATGGCAGAAGGTGAAAGGCACATCTCATATGGCGGCAGGGAAGAGAGAATGAGAGCCAAGTGAAAGGGGTTTCCCTTTATAAAACCATCAGATCTCGTGAGACTTATTCATTACCATGAGAACAGTATGGGGGAAACTGCCCCCCATGATTCAATTATCTCCCACAGGGTCCCTTCCACAACACATGAGAATCATGGGAGCTAAAATTCAAGATGAGATTTGGGTGAGGACATAGCCAAACCATATCTGTCCGTAATCTGAAACACTCTGGTCCTGTGCATTTTGGATAAGGGATGCTCAACCTGTATTGGTGAAAACATGACCTGATTTTTTGTAGAACAGACTGCATGCAGTTAGGAAATCTGTTGTACTTGTGACTCAGCTGGAGGAATTAAGTGCCTACTAGTTTAAATACATTAACTCATGGGTCTTTCTAATATGCTCCCCATTTTATGGATAAAAACTGAGGTCTGGAAGATCAGCCAGATCTCGCATCCACAGCTCTTTGCCCTGGACCGTGGCTCTGTGTTTTCCTGAATTTGATGGGAATGTGAGAGTTAGGCTTGGAGACCACAAAGGTTTCCATCCATCTCCCCACCTTGATTGCTTGTTTCTGGGCCTGGAAATAGTGGAGTGGATGTGTCCACTCTTGGCCCTGCCACTTTGAGTGTCTCTAAAGATCAAACCAGCCTTGGCACAGTGGCTCATGCCTATAATCCCAGCACTTTGGGAGGATCGCTTGAATCCAGGTGTTAGAGACCAGCCTGGGCAACATAGGAAGACCTCATCTCTACAAAACATTTTTAAAATATTAGCCAGGCATGGTCGCGCACACCTGCAGTCCTAGCTACTTGGGAGGATAAAGTGGGAGGATTGCTTGAGCCCAGCAGGTTAAGGCTGCAGTGAGCTATGATCACACCACTGCACTCCAACCTGGGTGACAGAGTGAGACCCTGTCTCTTAAAAAAAAAAAAATCCCAGACTTTATTTTTTGAGATGAAATCTCACTCTGTCCCCCAGGCTGGGGTGTAGTGGCATGATCTCAGCTGACTGCAACATCTGCCTCCCGGTATCAAGCGATTCTCCTGCTTCAGTCTCCCAAGTAGCTAAGATTACAGGCGCCTGCCAACCACACCCAGCTAATTTTTATATTTTTAGTAGAGACTGGGTTTTGCCATTTTGGCTGGGCTAGTCTTGAACTCCCGACCTCAAGTGATCCACCTGCCTCAGCCTCCCAAAGTGCTGGAATTACAGGCATGAGCTACCACGCCCAGCCCCAGACTTCAATTCTCTTCCTTCAGCCTTCACCCACTATGGGCTCATCCAATCTTAGAACTTAGACCTAGAAGTTCACCTGGATCTTATCTTAAACTCTAATCTGTTCTGCTCAGCAGGGCCAGGTAAATACTATTAAGGGTAAGCACTCAGCCCACCACACACACCTGCACAAAACAGGAGACTGGGCCGGGCGCGGTGGCTCACGCCTGTAATCCCAGCACTTTGGGAGGCCGAGGTGGGTGGATCACGAGGTCAGGAGATCGAGACCATCCTGGCTAACATGGTGAAACCTTCGTCTCTACTAAGAATTAAAAAAAAAATTAGCCGGGCGTGGTGGCGGGCACCTGTACTCCCAGCTACTCAGGAGGCTGAGGCAGGAGAATGGCGTGAACCTGGGAGGCGGAGCTTGCAGTGAGCCGAGATCGCGCCACTGCACTCCAGCCTGGGCAACAGAGCGAGACTCTATCTCAAAAAAAAAAAAAAACAAAAAACAAAAAACAGAAGACTGGCGCCCTCCTAACATGTCCCCAAATAAGGAAACTCTTCAGCCTTCAGCACTGTGTGATATAACCTCTATCTACCCAAAGCTTAATTCCTACTGCTCCTTTATAGCCTGTCCTCACATTCCAACCGGGATTCTAGCTAGTCATGCAAAATGCTGCAAACATTCCCAGTGCAGGTGGATATTCACCTGCAGTTTCCTCTCCATAAAATGCCCTCTCCAGTCCCCCTTTCCACTGAATTAACACTATGCTTTCTTCAAAGCCTATTTCAAGCGCCACTTCCTTCATGAAGTCTCCCTGATGCCACAATTCTATACACTTGCTTCAACCCCCCCCCCCCAAATCACCATGTTTCTCATATGGAATTCATCTTATCCTGTCACATAATTCTTTTTGTCTTATTCAAATGCTACTTCTATTGCAAATTCCTGAAAAATGAGTCTGTGCCTCCTTTCTTTTTTATTTTTCCACAGTACATATTGTGGTATTGACACATAATAGATGCTAAAAGATGTTTGTTGATTGCATGGATGACTATTTATTTGCACTACCGGGTGCTCAATAAATATTTGTTGAATCTGGTTTGCCAATGATCCCCAACGTGACTTCTAGTTGTGGCTTCTCCATCAAACCTCCAGTTTTGTATTCCACATGCCTTCAATAACGTATATGGAAAGGGCTTACCTTTACCTGAAATGGAGCAGATAAAAAACGGATCTACCCTCCCCGACCCCAATCCCAGCTTCATTACTTTTGTCCTTTGCCTCAGAAATCCTGCCAGCCTGTGTCTTCATCAGTTACTTCACACGGAGCTTGATGTGCATCAGAAACCCGACGGGGCAGCCAAATTCCCAGCACCTGACGTTCATGGATTAATCAGTATCACAAAATTATAGTTTGTCAGAGCTAAAAGCGACCTCAGTCCAACCCCTTCATTACAGATGAAGAAACCAAGCTCCCAAGGGATTTGCACAGAACTCGCGGCGGAACTATTAATATGGCAACACTCCAGTCTTCTCCCTCTTGGCCCCCACTGCCCTGTCCTCGTTAGACTTGACGTGGCCTTTCCAGGCTCTGTTGTTTTTCCAGGTGTTCCAGGTGGTTACTTTCCAAGTTGCTGCATGCTTCAATGCCTCTGTTTTCCGGGACTCCCACGGAGTGAGATTTGGCAGCACAGGTCTTTAGAATCTGTGGCACAGGGCTTAGAAAAGGCCACTGCCTTTCCCAAAGAAGTCTGCTATAATGTAAATCTCATTAACCCTGCCCCAGGGTCTGATAAGCTTGTTTCTCTAGAAGCTTCCAGCAGTTTGCTGGTAGGAACTTTCCATTACTAAGCAAGTAGCCAACTCATAGTCTCTTCATCTTCTCTAACATCCCCAACCATGCTAAAGATAACCTAGGATACTTTGGGGCTTTGAATCGTTAATCAATTCAAAAGGATAATTTTAGAGCATGATTAGAAATAAGTGAAAGTCCACAGAACATGGTTTGAACCAGACAATATGCACTTGGGCTAAATCATCTAAGCTCACAGACGGCTCGCAGAGTGATACTGATTGGGAATTACTCATGTACATCTGGTCGGCTGAGCTAAACAGGGCCAGAGAGTCCTTCCGGCTGGCTCTCCTCTCTCCCAGGCCAGGGGATGGGAGAGGAATACCATTTTTAGAGCACTTGCTGTACACTTTAGATATCTGACCTCATTGAATGTAATCCTCTCAAAAACCCTGTGTGGTAGTCTCCTTATTTTTATAAATAAGAGAACCTCCACAAGGCCAGGCATGGTGGCTCACACCTGTAATGCCAGCATTTTGCAAGGCCTAGGCAGGAGGATTGCTTGAGGCCAGGAGTTCAAGACCATTTTGGGCAACATAGCGAGACCCCTGTCTCTACAAAAATTTTAAAAATTTAGCTGAGTGTGGTGGCTCACGTCTGTAATCTTAGCACTTTTTGAGGCCAAGGCGGGAGGATCACTTGAGCCCAGGAGCTTAAGGCTGTAGTGAGCTATGATCACACCACTCACTCCAGCCTGGGTGAAAGAGCAAGACTCCATCTCAGAAAAACAAAAACCAAAAAACAGATACGTAAAAAAATGCAGTTGTTCTTCAGGCTGACTAAACTAGAAGCAGAGCCAGGCGTCCAGCCCAGTTCTGTCTCTGGCTCCAAAGACTTCACCTTTTCTACTTCACCAGTGGTTTTCTTTCTTCCTGCCTGCCTTTCTTCCTCCCTTCTATTTCCTTTCTTTCTTCCATCTTTCCTTCCTCCCTTCTTGCTTCCTTTTCTGAGAAGCCAAATGCTTTCTTTGCAACTGAAATGATGCACAAACCTGAACATATAAAACATGTAAGACCAGAGCTGCTTTGCTTTGTTTACAATAGAGAAAAACTGGAAACACCCAAGTGTCCACCAACAGGTGAATAAATATCTGTGGTCTCTCCATACCATGGAGTACAACTTGGCAATAAAAAGGAATGAAGCATCTCAGAGTAATTATGCTGAGTGAAAGAAGCCAGATATGAAAGAATCCACGCTGTAGAATCCACTTACATGAAAGCCTGGAAGAGGCAAAACCAATCTCTAGTGACAGAAAGCAGGTCAGGAGATGTCTGGGGCAGGGGTTGTGAAGTGACTGAGGGGCCTTTCGGGGGTGATGGAAATGGTTCTGTGTGTTGACTGTTGTGATTGTGTATTCATTTGTCAAAACTCATTGAACTGCACACTTAAAGCGAGTACATTGTGTGTATGTGTGTAAATTACTGCTCCATAATGGTGGTTTTTTTCTTCAAAGGGTGGGAGCCTGGAAAGGGCTGCTTTAATTCAGGAAGGGATGCCCCACTCCACCTCCACCCTCTAATGATCTTTTGACCCCCAAAGGGACCCTGGGACTGCTCTATGAAAATTACATCTTCAGGAACACATTTAATCACACCAAACTGTGTCATGCAGCCATAAATATCGCCCAGACAGTTCAGGCTTTTAAAGGACACAGGATCCGTTTTACAGTAAACTGCTTCAACATTTTTGTTTGTTTGTTTGTTTTTGAGATGGACTTTCTCTCTTGTTGCCCAGGCTGGAGTGCAGTGGTGCCATCTTGGCTCACTGCACCTCTGCCTCCCGGGTTCAAGCAATTCTCCTGCCTCAGCTTCCTGAGTAGCTGGGATTACAGGTGCATGCCACCACGCCCAGCTGATTTTTTGTATTTTTAGTAAAGATGGGGCTTCACCAAGTTGGCCAGGCCAGTCTTGAACTCCTGACCTCAGGTGATCCACCTGCCTCGGCCTCCCAAAGTTCTGGGATTACAGGTGTGAGCCACCACACCCAGCCAAGTAAACTGCTTCAATATGCTTACTGAGAGTGCACATTTTCAACTAAAGCCGCCACAAGCCCTATTGTTGGCAAAAGAAGGCTTCTGGTCCAGTTTTAGTCTCTGTGCTGTAAAAAGAATGATAATGCAATTAGGAGCTGATCAACAAAACCAGGAGCTTTATGACTGTGCATGTGATGTGTGTGATGTGTGTGTGTGTGCATGTGTGCGTGTGTCTCCAGTAGGCATACATTTGCTTTGCAACACCTGGATGCAGGAAATGTCATGTTTTATTTTCCTAAATCAAATAACACCCCTCTGTCAGCCGGCACTGCCCAAAGCAGGGAATGCTCAGTGCGTTTCCATTGCCTCGGCTGTGCAGGAGTCCTAGGGTGTTATTAGTCCAGAGGACATGAGGAAGTGACTCTGCCTTGAGTCTACCCTGGCCACAACTAGACGTGCACTGCTCAACCTCCAGCTGTCCCTTCCAAAGTTCTGCTCTGATCCAGGCTGTGGCATGGAGACTGGGAACCAGACCCCCTACTATGCCACCTCCTTAGGCAACCTTGAAATTGTGTCCCCCATGGTGTGCTGTGTGCAATGGGCTTGGTCACTCTCACCTCCAGTGGTTCACAACACCGCCCCTTCTTTATCTCTCCTGGGGGTGAGGAGTCTCACTTCTTCACTTTCCACCCTCTCCATCTCCCTCCCCCAACCAAGCCACTTTTATCTCCTCTGATCCTTGTCCAGGGCAATCCACCTTAATCGCCCAGTGGGCCTGAAACTGCAGCCCT
This sequence comes from Homo sapiens, assembly GCF_000001405.40. Classification (NCBI taxonomy): domain Eukaryota; kingdom Metazoa; phylum Chordata; class Mammalia; order Primates; family Hominidae; genus Homo; species Homo sapiens. Next base: position 42,653,140 of record NC_000008.11, read on the forward strand.
GGCAAGGTGGGGCAAGGGGCCAGGAGCGGAGTGGAAAGGGTGGGAGCCGGGAGAGGACAGCACAGCTCATTCCTGCTCTCCATGGGGACAGGGAAAGATGTTTTTAATCTTCTTGGGTAAATCCATGGCAGGAAAAGAAAGCTGAGCTAAAAATTAGTTTCTTTCAGTAATAGTTCAACTATTACTGAAGTATGAGAGTTTGTATTTACATTTATGTAAGATCCATGAGTTTAAAAATGGTGTTTATCTCATGCACATCTATATCCCCTTCACTCAGCTTGGAACAGTATAGGTGATTGATTCAATATTGGACAAATGAATTGTGGATGAATGAATGAATGAGTGGATGAATACAGGTGGTAAGACACACACCTCATGGAATCAGTCACCCCCCATTGGGAAGTGGAATTCAGTGGGGGTGATCACTTACTGCTATTTATGTGTCTCTGCTGTTTGCATTGCATAGAACTATTTTTAGTAAATACAATGTTTATATAACTTGCATTGAGAACTTTTTGAGGCCAGGCGTGGTGGCTTATGCCTGTAATCCCAACACTTTGGGAGGCTTGAGGCAGGCAGATGGCTTGAGTCTAGGAGTTTGAGACCAGCTTGGGCAACACGGCAAAAACTCATCTCTATAAAAAATACAAAAAATTAGCTGGGTGTGGTGGTGTGCACCTGTAGTCCCATATAAAATTTTATTATAATATTGCTATGAGAGAAGCTGTCTGGCAGTCATAATTCACATGTGTTAGGGTTATATTATTGGATAAGAATTTTTTTAAAAAAAAAGAAATGGGATCTCACTGTGATTGCCCATGCTGGAGTGTAGTGGGTATTCACAGGCAGATCATAACACACTACAACCTTGAATTCCTGTCCTCAAGCTATCAAACTCCTGGCCTCTGCTTCCCGTGTAGCCGGGACTACAGGCGCACACTACTGTGTCCAGGAATAAAATGTTAAGATAATTAGTATGAGGCCAGATACAGAAAGGTCAGCATGTTTGGTTTCCAGAACCTCCGTGTGTGACTGACAGCTAGTAGGTGACTGCTTTCTCAGGACACATCTTTCTAAATCTAGTGAGAAAATTTCTTAAGCATTTTATCAGGAATAAATGATATTCCCAGAAGGAGATTTGAAGTATATCAAGCAAAAAGACTCCGTCCCAGACCGCTTGAGAACAACTTTCCTTACACATTTGTGAAGTTGTTCTCATCCTGCCAGAGTTCACAAAGAGAAGAGAAGAATAGGCAAACTAAAATTCACACAAATCAAACCATACACAGCATAGGGGCCTCCTGGATGCCATGGGTGCTTAAAAAGGCATTTTCTTGAAAGCACTTTATTTCCTCTTAACTCATTGGACTGTTGTTAAGGGCAGATCTTTGGTTTCTCTGCAAGAAACATAAGCACTAGTTAGGAGTCATGCTGGAGAACCAGGAAGAGAGACTCAGCTGGTCACCAAGACACAGTGGAGCAGCGACTCTCACCCCAGAGATTGGTAGAATGACCCAAGAAACTTTATGTGGGACAGCAGGACTGTAACTCAGCCAATGAGACTGGCATCTCTGGACGTGGATCCAAGCATCCCATTTTTTTAAAGTTCTACATCAGTGGTCCTCAGACCTCAGCAAGCATCGGAATTGCCTGGAGGGCTTTGCAAGCACGGATGGCTGGGCACACTCCCAGAGTTTCTGATTCAGCAGGTTCAGGGCGCAGTCAAGAATCTGCATTTCTAATGAGTTCCCAGGTGATGCTGCCCTAGAAGATTCTAACGTGAGCACAAAGTCAAGAACTGGCTCAAGGGGTGGCTCTTCAGCTTCCACACTGGAATCACCTGGGTGCTTGTCAAAACCATAGGCCCTGACTCATAACTAAAATTTAAGATGTGACATTATTTGTTTACACCCTGAGTAGTTTTCACTGAAACTGAACTGAACTTGTCAAAGAACAAAGAAGAAGAAAAGAAAAGCTTATCCCATTGTTGCTCATGCTTGAACATTGCACACAGGGTGTTTACGGAAATGGGAAGGGCCGGTTTGCAGGGAAGGCGTGTTCCTGGGGGCAGAATTAGCAGGAGGTCTGGGGCAGCCAGATGGGTTTATGGATGGCTCAAGGGTAACTAAGTGTCTGTGCATTGCTGAGCGAGGTGAGAGTCTTGGCTGATGTTCCCCACTGTTTGAGAGCATAACACGCAGGGCCAGGACTAGCAGAGGAAAGTAAGATGCCCACTATGGGCTCAAATTGACCTGGGTGCCCCCAGATTCAGGAATTTATAAAATAAATATATTTTCAATTTTTAAAAAGAGACTGGGTCACCCAAGCTGAAGTGCAGTGGTGCAATCTTGGTTCACTGCAGCCTCGACCTTTTGGGCTCAAGGGATCCTTCTGCCTCAGCCTCCTGATCAGTTGGGACTACAGGTGTGTGACACCCTCCTGCAAAAATTTTAATTTTGAAATAATTATAGACTTACAGGAAATTGCAACATTGGTATACCCAACTTCCCCCAATGATGACATCTTATAGTACAAAATCAAAATCAGGAAATTGACATCAGGACATTACTGTTAACTAGACTGTAGATGGCCAGTTTTTAAACCTGTATTCATTTGTAATGTGTGATGTGTGTGTGTGTATGCATATAGTGAATGCAACTGAAGACAAATATTTTAATGCAGTATTTTTTTTTTTTTGAGACAGAATCTCGCTCTGTCACCCAAGCTGGAGTACAGTGGCATGATCTTGGCTCACTGCAACCTCCACCTCCCAGGTTCAAGCAATTATCCTGCTTCAGCCTCCCAAGTAGCTGAGATTACAGGCACCTGCCACCACGCCCAGCTAATTTTTGTATTTTTAGTAGAGATGGGGTTTCACCATGTTGGCCAGGCTGCTCTCAAACTCCTGACCTTGGGCGATCTGCCTGCCTCCCAAAGTGCTAGGATTGCAGGTGTGAGCCACTGCGCCCAGCCAATGCAGTAATTTTAAAAATAAAAATTAATGCAAAAAAATGATAAAAAATACAATTTTAAATAATGACAGGATCCGTAAAAGCTCTGTGCTAACCACATTGGATCCTGAGGCAAAAGGAAATATCAGAAACATTTTGTTCATCATAGATTTGTTTACATAAATGTAGATTTTAAACAATATTGCATTAAAGGATGATTTATCCTGACTGCTGAGCTGTTGGAGCCCCCTAAGCTTTCATACCCGAGATGAGTGCCCCCTCTCCATGCCCTGGCTCTGGCCCTGCAAATGAGGGCGCCCTGACAGTCTGCTCTGTGTGGCGCCTTCCTGGAGGCAGAGAGGGGCCAATGAACCTCTCCTGCTGCTCTTCTCTGCTGCCATCTGCTCTGCTTTTTGGGCTGAGCAGGGTGGCACTGGCACTGTGACTCAGCCCCAATTACATGCTGCAAGAAGGAAGCAGGGCTTCCTCCTCAAGGTAGATGGACCGCAGCAGTGAGCATCTCTGTCCCCTCCCTCTGCCCCCCGGCTTCTCTGGAGTGGAGCTTGGCACCGAGCTGAGCAGTGGCGGAGCGTGCCACCCCATCTTTGCACCAGGAAGTTCAAAAGAGACACCGATTCACCTCCAGGTTCCTTTCCCAAGACTTCATTTTCTTCTGGGATGCCACTGCATCTGTCCTGGTTTGCTTGAGCTGCCATAACAAAGTACCGCAGGCAGGGGCTTAAACAACGGAAACTTCCTCACAGTGCTGAGGGTGGAAGTCCCTGATCAGGTGACAGAGGGGTTGGTTCTCGGAGGATTCTCTCCTCAGCTTGTAGGCTGTCTCCTCCCTGCATCCTCACGGGGCCATCCCTGCGTTTCTGTGTCCCCACCTCATTTTTGTAAGGACACCAGTCATATTGGATTAGGCTTACCCTAATGACCTCCTTTTATCTGAATTACCTTTTTAAAGGCCTTGTCTCCAAATACAGTCACATTCTGAGGTACTGGGGATTATAATTTTAATATATAAATTGGGGCTGGGCGCAGTGGCTCACGCCTGTAATCCTAGCAGTCTGGGAGGCCGACGGATTACCTGAGCTCAGGAGTTCAAGACCAGTCTGGCCAATATGGTGAAACCCCATCTCTACTAAAAATACAAAAAATTAGTCAGGCATGGTGGTGGGCCCCTGTAGTCCCAGCTACTCGGGAGGCTGAGGCAGGAGAATCGCTTGAAACCGGGAGGTGGATTGCAGTGAGCCGAGATTGTGCCACTGCACTACAGCCTGGGTAGCAGAGCAAGACTCCGTCTCAAAAAAAAAAAAAAAAGAATTTTAACATATAAATTGGGAGGGGACACAATTTAGCTCTGTTAAAGGACAAAACAAACTGTAAAATATTTTAAAGAGGTTTATTCTGAGCCAATATGAGTGACCATCACCTGGGGAAAAACGCAAACCCAAGAAACCTTGAGTAAGGGGTTCCAAGGCTATTAGGCCTCAGCTCTGTTTTTGTTTTGTTTTGTTTTGTTTTGAGATGGAGTTTCACTCTTGTTGCCCAGGCTGGAGTGCAATGGTGCGATCTTGGCTCACCACAAACTCTGCCTCCCAGGTTCAAGCAATGCTCCTGCCTCAGCCTCCCGAGTAGCTGGATTACAGACATGCACCACCACGCCTGGCTAATTTTGTATTTTTAGTAGAGATGGGGTTTCTCCATGTTGGTCAGGCTGGTCTCAAACTCCTGACCTCAGGTGATCCTCCCACCTCAGCCTCCCAAAGTGCTGGGATTACAGGCATGAACCACCACGTCCAGCCTCAACTCTGTTTTATGCATTTTAGGGAAGTACAGGTTACAGGCATAGTCATAAATCAATACATGGAGTTCATGCATTGGTTTGGCCCAAAAAGGTAGGACATCTTGAAGCAGGGGCTTACAGGTCATAGGTCCTTTCAGAGATTTTTTTTTTTGAGACAGGGTCTTACTCTGTCACCCAGGCTGGCATGATCTCTGCTCACTGCAACCTCTGCCTCCCAGGTTCAAGTGATTCTCGTGCCTCAGATTCCCAAGTAGCTGGGACTACAGGCTTGCACAACCACCCCTGGCTAATTTTTATATTTTTTGAACAGACAAGGTTTCACCATGTTGGCCAGGCAGATCTCGAACTCCTGACCTCAGGTGATCTGCCTGTTTTGACCTTCCAAAGTGCTGGGATTGCAAGCATGAGCCACCGTGCCTGGCCCAGAGACTCTTTATTGAAATTAGTTAACAAGTAAGGCTTTGTCTAAAAATTTGGAGTCAGCAGAAAGGAATGTTTAAGTTGAGATAAAGAAGCCTGCTAACCCAGCGGTCCCCAACCTTTTTGGCACTAGGGACTGGTTTCATTGAAGACAACTTTTCCAGGGACTGGGTTGGGGGGATGGTTTTGGGATGATTCAAGTGCATTACATTTATTGTGCACTTTATTTCTATTATTATTACATTGTAATATATAATGAAATAATTATACAACTCACCATAATGTAGAATCAATGGGTGCCCTGAGCTTGTTTTCCTGCAAGTAGATGGTCCCATCTGGGGGTGATGGGAAACAGTGACAGCTCATCAGGCATTAGATTCTCATAAGGAGCACACAACCTAGATCCCTGGAATGCACAATTTACAATAGGGTTCACGCTTCTACGAGAATCTAATGCTCCTGCTGATCTGACAGGAGGTGGAGCTCAGACAGTAATATGAGTGATGGGGAGCGGCTGTAAATACAGAGGAAGCTCACCTGCCACTCACCTCCTGCTGTGCAGCTGGTTCCTAACAGGGTTGGGGGCCCCTGTGTTAACAAATACATTGGCTCAGAGTGACCTGTAGGAGTGTGTGACTTAACCCTTGCCTGGCTCGGCCTTAGAGCCTGTTTATAATTTGGCATCTTATTGGCACAAAGAGTCTGTTTTGTCAGTCAGATCTCTATTTCGACATTAATGCCGGTCAGCCATCGTGTCTAACTCCAAAAGGGAGGAGTATCACCAGGCACGTCCGACCTCCCTTCCCGTCATGGCCAAGAACTCAACTTTGGAGATTTCTCTGGGGTCCCCTTAGCCACGAGGGGGTCTGTTCAGTCGGTGGGGGACTTAGGATTTTAGTTTTAGTTTATGGCTCCTAACAGCATCTCAGTCACTTTCTAGCATAGACACCACCGAGGGAAGTGAAATGGAGGGAGTAAAAGACAGAAAATGTGGCCGGGCATGGTGGCTTATGCCTGTAATCCCAGCACTTTGGGAGGCCGAGGCGGGCGGATCACGAGGTCAAGAGATCGAGACCATCCTGGCTAACGCGGTGAAACCTGTCTCTACTAAAAACACAAAAAATTAGCCAGGCATGGTGGCGGATGCCTGTAGTCCCAGCTACTCAGGAGGCTGAGGCAGGAGAATGGCGTGAACCTGGAAGGCGGAGCTTGCAGTGAGCCAAGATCGCGCCACTGCACTCCAGCCTGGGCGACAGAGCGAGACTCCGTCTCAAAAAAAAAAAAAAAAGACAGAAAAGGTGAGACATCAGTAACGCATCTAGCTGACTACAGCTTTCCTTTCTTCTTAGTGGCAAGGGGCTCCAATGCCTGTAGACTGCTGGAGTGGCCGTTTGTCCCCTGGAGGCCTGGCGTGTGTCTCCCTCCTCCTGTCATCTCAGCTGCTTGCCTGACTTTAGCAAAGCCACTGGCCCCCTTCTCCAGGACTTTTCTCATGGAGCTGCTGAGGAAGGTGACCTCTGGGGTGATGGTACTGTGTGCTCAGGCCATCAGGTGGCTTCTCGCTTCTGGGGTGACAGTGCTAGAAGGGTGTGTTCAGGCCATCAGAAGGTGGCCTCTTGCTTCTGGGGTGACAGTGCTAAATGGGTGTGTTCATAGGTGGCCTCTTCTGGGATGACAGTGCTAGAAGAGTGTGCTTGGGCCATCACAAGCTGCCTGCCCCAGCACATGGAAGATGCCCACCTACAACCAAAGTGAACACGCAGAGGGGAGTGAGGCAAGCTGGGATCCAGTTAGCCTGCGATGAAGTCTACCCCTCTTCCCACTTGCATGTGCCAGTGAGCCAAGATAGCTCTATTGCACTCCAGCCTGGGCAACAAGAGCAAAACTCTGTATTAAAAAAAAAAAAGTACAGTCTAAAAAAAATGTACAGTCTGGGCCATGTGTGGTGGCTCACGTGTGTCATCCCAGCACTTTGGGAGGCCAAGAGGGGAGGATTGCTTGAGGCCAGGAGGTCAAGGCTGCAGTGAGCTATGATTTCGCCGCTGCACTTTGGCCTGGATGACAAAGCCAGACTCTGTCTCTAAATGAACAAATAAAAAAATAAAGAGTTAGCAGAGAAGCCAGAGTTCTGCCCAATTTTCCATTCAAGGGCAAGGATGATCACCTTCCACAAACACATTTAAAAGGACAATAGGAGACGAAAACACATTTGTTTTGAGCACACCCCATGTGTCAGCAGTTAACAGAGGTCATGATGGAATGGATATGTTAAGAACTAAATACCAAAAATAAGTACAATGGAAATAGCTCTTAATGAATGTGAGGCATTTACCGAGTGCTCGCTGTGGGCAAACCACTGCCTGGGAATAGAAATAGTGATATCATGTAGCTTCTGACCCCCTGGGGCTGGCAACCTAAAGAAAGGACACAAACTTGATACACTCTGGCCTGAGATGGGCCAGGGTGACAGCTGTCAGTCAAGCTCCAAGCCTCTCACGAAGGAACGTGCTGGCCGCAAGTGTGTGCCCTGGCAAGGAGTGGAACGCAGCCAGGGAATGCGCTAGCTCAGACTTCTTTCGACTGTTTATTTTCTGTCCTGCTATTTTCAAGTATGCTATGTTTGTGTTTACTTTATCACTTGCTATTGTTTCATAAATAGAAGGCCAATTTCTGATTCTTATAAACAGGATTTTTTTGCAAGCTCATGAACAAGATGAAACTAAAAACTTCCGGAGGCTCAGAGTAGCTGTGACAAGGTCATTGTTAGCCAGCCTCAACATTTTTGAGATGCAACTTATTTTTAAATCCAAACAACGTAGATTGTGGGGAGAGGAATCAGGGAAGAATAGATACTTATGGAGGTCCCATCTTCCTACAGGAGTTTGGCTACATCTGTTGACCAATGTTCATCTAGTAGAAGCAAGAAAGAGGTGTGGGCACCCCCTTGTTCTCCAGTCACCTTGCCTGAGCGCCACCCCCATTCTCCCTCCTCCCCCACCTTCTTTTTTTTTTTTTGAGATGGAGCCTTGCTCTGTCGCCCAGGCTGGAGTGCAGTGGTGCAATCTCGGCTCACTGCAACCTCCACCTCCCAGGTTCAAGAGATTCTCCTGCCTCAGTCTCCCGAGTAGCTGGGATTACAGGCACTCGCCACCATGCCTGGCTAATTTGTGTATTTTTAGTAGAGACGGGGTTTCGCCATGTTGGCCATGCTTGTCTCAAACTCCTGACCTCAAGTGATCCATCTGTCTCGGCCTCCCAAAGTGGTGGGATTACACGCGTGAGTCAGCATGCCTGGCCCACCCCCATCTTCTGAAGGGCATCTATCAGGTGCTCACCCCACATGTGAGCAGAGCAAGAGCATGTGGGCAGGACACTCCCTGCATTCTCAGAGTGGAAGGAAGGAGAACCCAGGTGCCATCAGTAGAAGTTTCCATCTGAGAAACACCAGTGACAGTCTGGTCTGGGAGCGTGTGGCTGGGGAGATTAAGTGAAGACACGGAGCTCTGTAAGAAGGAAAGAACATGCCAGCAGGGTGGGGGCTTTGGCCTGAAGTCCACAGCGGGGGAGGGAGGCCCCAGCTCTGTGCAGGGAGCAGCGGCCATGATCAGCTGGCCAGCGTGTGGTGTCTTGGTGAGTAGAGCCACAAAACAAAGCCAACTAGCTGGGCTTCCAGATAGGAAACCACAAGCCATTTGCAGGGAACAGACTTGCCTTTTCTGCACATTAGTTTACTGTGGCTGCCATAACATCACCACGAACTAGATGGCTTAGAACAACAGAAGTGCATCCTCCAGTTCTGGAGACCGCAAGTTCAAAGTCAAGGTGCTAGCCAGGCTCTGCTCTAGGGTGGGAGCCCTCCTTGCCTCTTCCAGCTTCTGGTGGTTTGAAGGGCTCCTTGGTAGTAGCCACATAACTCTAGTCTCTGCCTCTACCTTCAGATGGCCCCTTCTTTCTCTGTCTGTTTCTCTTGTGTCTTTGCGTGATCTTCCCTCTTCTTATAAGAACACAAAGATTGGATTTAGGACTCACTCTAATCCAATAGGACCTCATCTTAATGTTTAGTTATATCTGCAAATACCCTGTTTCAAATAAGGTCACATTTTGAGGCTCTGGGTAGATATGAATTTGGGAGGTTTTTCATCTTGCATTGCTATAAAGGAATATCTGAGGCTGAAAATTTATAAAGGAAAGAGGCTTGTTTGGTTCATGATTCTGTGGGCTTCACAGGAGGCATGGTGCCAGCATCTTCGTCTGGTGAGGCCTCAGGCCGCTTCTACTTACGGCTGAAGAGGAAGGGGCGCTGGCATGTGCTGACCATATGGAAAAAGGGGAGGGAGGGGCCGGGCTCTTTTCAATAACCAGTTCTTGCTAGAACTAAGAGTGAGAACTTAACTCCCACGAGAATGGCACCAAGCCCCCAAGACCAACACACCTCCCACAAGGCCCCCTCCAACACTGGGGATCAGATTTCAACATGAGATTTGGTGGGGCCTAAAAAACCATGTCAAACCATAACGGGGGAAATTATTGAACCCACTACACCCTGATTCCACATTCACTGAGCAACGTTCCCATAGTGTTTTGTAGAGCTGACTGCATTGATCTGACCCCTATCAAGTTATGTGTCTTGACACAAACTTAAAGTCTCATTCTGACTTTATACAATTGGTGTGCATTTACTAAACCTCCACAGTCATGCCTGCCTAGAACAGGTTTTTTCTGGAGTTTCTCAGATGGGAACCCATTGCGTTTATTATTCCCTTGGCAGCATTAATGACAGCTTCATGAAGACAGGTATACACTGCTAATTTTATTTACCTATGTATGTCCTCACACAGAGCACAGTGCCTGGTATAAAGTAGGTGTTCAATAATTTTGTTGAAAAAAAAATTGTAATATTTATTTATTTATTGAGACTGAATCTCACTTTATCACCCAGGCTGGAGTGCAGTGGTGCCATCTTGGCCCACTGCAGTCTCCACCTCCCGGGTTCAAGAGATTCTTGTGCCTCAGCCTCCTGAGTAGCTTGGATTACAGGAACCTGCCACCAAGCGTGGCTAATTTTTGTATTTTTAGTAGAGACAGGTTTCACTATATTGGCCAGACTGGTCTTGAACTCTTGACCTCAAGTGATCTATCTGCCCACCTTGGCCTCCCAATGTAATAGTTTATTGAGCACTGTGCTTCATAGATTACACGAATGATCAGGTTGGATTATAACAGCAGCCCCTTCAGAAAACTACTACTTTTCATATCATTTTGAAAATAGGGAAACTAAGGCTCAGAAAGGTAGAATGGCTTACCACACTCTGGAAACAGTGCTCAGTCTGAAGCCCAGGAGTGACTGCTTAGGTGAATATAAGACAATCGCTTTCAGTCTACTCAATTCTGCTCACACAGTTGATTTCTGAAACAGAAGGCTGAACTCTGACCCCTTGACCTTGGGGATGCCTCAGGGAGATGCTACCTGTGAGGCCACTGGAGACCAGGCTCTATTTCATCTCCCTGAAACAACAACTCTGCCTTCTGCAGTTGGGTTGAGGTAGAAGGAGGGACTTGGCTCTGGGGGCAGGGCTGGGACTCCAGACCAGATAGAGAACTGGCTGAGACAGGGAAGAGACGAGGGCACCTCCCCATAAGAAATGCCTATCCATGCCATATCAACTGCCATTGCCATGGCAACACCGGAAGCTATCGTCCCTTTCCATGGTAACAACCTGATGACCTGGAAGTTACCACTCTTTTTCTGGAAGTTTCTGGATAATCATCCCCTTAATTTGGATGTCATTAAAAGTGGGTATAAACGTGATGGCAGAGCTGCCTCTGAACTGCTCCTCCAGGTTCCCTGCCTCAAGGGTAGCCCTGCCTTGCAAGGAGCAGTCCCTCTGCTGCCACCGTACACTGTCACTCCAATAAAAGCTGCGTCTAACACCACCAGCTTACCCTTGAATTCCTTCTGGGGTGAAGCCAAGAACCCTCCCAGGCTAAGCCCCAGTTTTGCAGCTTGCCTGTCTGGCATCAGAGTCAGCCAGGAAAATTCTTTGTATATCCTTCCCCTTAGCGTATCTCATATATTCTCTTCTCTTTGCCTATCTTCACGAGAAAAAATACCTTTCCTCTGCATCTCTCCTTTTTTGTGTTTTTAAGTTGATATATCATAGTTGTACATATTTATGGGGTATGTGTGATGTTTTGATCCCTGCATACAATGGGTAATGATGGAATCTGCATAATTGGGATAGCCATCACCTCAAGCGTTTATCTTTTTCTTTGTTTTGGAAACATTACAAATCTAACTATTTCAAAATATATAATAAATTATTGTTAGCTATAATTTCCCTACTGCACCATTGAATACTAGAACTCATTCCTTCTAACTGTGTTTTTATACCCATGAACCAGCCTCTCTTCATCCCCCCATCTCTGGATCTTTCCACCTCCTCCACCTTGCTCCATCAATCACCTGCTTTGCTTCCATTTTTGGTTTCTTGTTTTCTTCAATCCACAGACATGCTCAAGTCTTCCCACTCTAAAAGAAATTCTTTCCTTAATCCTGCTACTTTCTCAGATGCTGCTCCTACCTCCTTTTCCTGGCAAGATCACCTTTTGCTGATGTAAGCAGAGGTGGCCCCGCTCTGCTGGGAGGCACCCTCCGTATTGAGGAAAAAGCGGTTGGGAAGATGGAGCCCAAGAGGGAATACCTATGGTCAAGAGCATTCATTTACCCGCTACCTTCTGGCTCAATCCATACATGGCTTTGACCCTGACTCATCTTTATAGTCTTCATTGGTGGGTGGGAGGAATCCCAGAAGCTGACATTGACCACACATTCACTCCATCAGTCTGGATTCTGCCCACTCCAGTTTTTGCTGCTTTCAAGACTGGTATCATATACATCAACAAGGTCTGTTGGGAGCATTTTGCTGTGTTGCTTCTCCAAGCAATTCATAGTTTGGTAGAGAAGAAACACCACACCAGAGAGTTCACTTTATTCCAAGTAATAGAGTATTCAAATTAATAATGTTTTCAATATAAGAACATTTATCATCGCAGCATTGTTCACAATAGCCAAAACATGGAATCAACCCAGGTGCCCATCAGTGGTGGATTGGACAAAGGAAATGTAGTACCTATACACCATGGAATACTACACAGCCTTTTAAAAGAGTAAAATCATATCCTTTGCAGCAACATGGATGCAGCTAGAGGCCACTATCCTAAGCAAATTAACTCAGGAACAGAAAAACCAAATACTGCATGTTCTCACTCCTAAGTGGGAGGTAAGCATTGGGTACTCATGGACATAAAGATATGAACGATAGACACTGGGGTCACCTGGAGCAGGAAGAAGGAGGGGACAAGGGCTGAAAAAATAACTATTGGGTACTATGCTCACTATCTGGGTGGTGGGATCACTCATACCCCCAAACCTCAATGTCACACAGTATACCCATGTAAGAAACGCCTGAATCTAAAATAAAAGTTGAAATAATTTTTAAAAAATATAAAAGGATTTATTGTTTACTTAACAATGAGTCTAGGCTGCTTAGAGCTTGTTTAGTAGCTCAGCAATGGCATCAAGGATCAGGTGACTTCAAACACCCTGAGTGTGTTGACATCTCGTCCTCATGCTTGCTGACTCCTGGTCACAGAGTGGCTGCAGCTGTTCCAAGCACCACAGCCTCACACTGCACCCACAGCAGGAAGCAGCAAGGAAGGATGTGGGCAGAAAAGGGCTTTCTTTTTAGCAGACAGGAAAAACATCTTCGCAGAAGGTCCCCCATAGTTTCATTGGCCAGAACTCAGACATGGCCCTGAGTCTCAGTTTCACTTTTTTCTCTGGCCTCCCAAACAAGAGCATTTCTCTGAATTCTTCAGTCAAACTTAAGAGGTCTTCTGTGTGTCCTCTCCGCCTCATGTCTACCCCCATCACAAAACCTAATGCTTTTCATAGCACCAGATGCCTTCCATTTATTCTTTTTTTTTGTAGAAGGAGTCTCGCTCTGTCGCCCAGGCTGGAGTGCAGTGGCACGATCTCGGCTCACTGAAACCTCTGCTTCCCAGGTTCAAGCGATTCTTCTGCATCAGCCTCCCGAGTATCTGGGACTACAGGCACGCCCAGCTAATGTTTTGTATTTTTAGTAGAGATGGGGTTTCACCATGTTAGCCAGGATGGTCTCGATTTCCTGACCTCATGATCCGCCCGCCTCAGCCTCCCAAAATGCTGGGATTACAGGCTTGAGCCACCACGCCTGGCACACCTAATGCCTTTCTTCCTCAATAAATGCCACCTTTTCATCTTTTTATCTCCCTGGTTCTTGTAGCTTATAGGCACTTACACATGCATTTCTGAATGAATGAGTAAGAAAGGAAGGGAGGAGGGGAAAGACTCTATCCCAAGTGCTCCTCTTTTTCTTTTTCTTCTGTTTCTGTTCTGCCGGGGACATTATCTGTTTTCACAGCTTCAGCCCTGACATGCCTTCCAGTCTGAAGTCTTGCGTTTTTGACTCCTGCTGGAGTTGGGAAGCTCAAATTCAACACATGTAAAATGGAACTTATCATCTTCCATCAAAAATAAAGCTTCTGAAATGGAAATAATATTTTTGGAAATATGTCAGTTGCTTTTCTCTATTGCAGTCCCGTGTTTGATTTCTGGCCGTTCCTCTGCCTCTGGGAGGGTTAGGATTGTTGCAGAAGGAATGCAAGGAGGAGGAGGAGAATGTTCAGCTTTGGATACGCAGAGTAGGTTTTCAATAACAATCGCTTATCATGGAAAATTCCAAATATATCCAAAAATAGACAGAAGGGTACAATGATTTCTCATGTACTCACCACCCAGCTTCACTAGTTATCAAGCCATGATGAATTCATCCATATAACTCACCTACTACTACTATAAAGAAATCATTTAATATCCAACCTGTGTTCAAATTTTCCTTATTTCCTTATTGTTTTACAATTTGTTTGAATCGTGATCCAATTAAGATTTTTTTTAATTTTTTTTTTTTAATGGAGTCTCCCTCTGTTACCCAGGCTGGAGTGCAGTGGTGCAATCTCAGCTCACTGCAACATCCACCTCCCGGGTTCAAGCAATTCTCCTGCCTCAGCCTCTGAAGTAGCTGGGATTACAGGTATGCACCACCAGGCCTGGCTAATTTTTGTATTTTTAGTTGAGATGGGGTTTCACCATGTTGGTCAGGCTGGTCTTGAACTCCTGACCTCAGGTGATTCCCCCACCTCGGCCTCCCAAAATGCTGGGATTACAGGCAAGAGCCACTGAGCTTGGCTAATCTGATTAAGAGCTATACGTTGAAATTTGTTGATATGTTTCCTGTTTTTCAAAAAACTATTGGTTCCCTTTTATTACTCTTTTTCCTTGCAATTGATTGTTGAAGAAACCTGGAGTTTCTCACAGGCTGGTTTTTGCAGATCACGCCCCTAAGGGGTGGTTTACGTATCACTCTGTCCACTGTATTTTCTGTTAGTTGGTGGTTAAATTTAGAGCTGTTCAGATTCAGGTTTGAAGTTTTTGGCAAAGAGGCACATAATGTTTGGTGATGTTAGCAGCTGTTTGTGACCATTGCCTAGAACGATAAAGTAGACGTTGCAAATTTATGATATTTTATTATTCCTTCTTCATTTATTAGATAGCCTACTTCTTTTTTGTTTTTTCTTTTTTTGAGATGGAGTCTTGCTCTGTCACCCAAGCTGGAGTGCAGTGGCACGATCTCTGCTCACTGCAACCTCCGCCTCCCGGGTTCAAGCGATTCTCCTGCCTCAGCTTCCTGAGTAGCTGAGATTATAGGTGCGCGCCACCACACCCAGCTAATTTTTGTATTTTTAGTAGAGATGAGGTTTCACTGTGTTGGTCAGGCTGGTCTCGAACTGCTGACCTTGTGATCCGCCTGCCACGGCCTCCCAAAGTGCTGGGATTACAGGTGTGAGCCACCGCGCCCTGCCTAGGTAGACTAATTCTTTAAATAAAAAACTTCTCTCATCAACTCTTTGGTTATGATCAGGTATAATTTTATGAGGGAAGCTGGGCAAATGAATTCCACCCCCTGCTCCATGGTTCTTTCTAGTAGGAAATGATACCATGGTTCCTTTTAGTAGTAAATTATATTTATTTGTTTATTTATTTAGAGACGGAGTTTCACTCTTGTCGCCGAGGCTGGAGTGCAGTGGCGTGATCTTGGCTCACTGCAACCTCCACCTCCTGGGTTCAAGTGATTCTCCTGCCTCAGCCTCCTGAGTAGATGGGATTACAGGCACACACCATCACATCCCGCTAATCTTTGAATTTTTAGTAGAGACGGGGTTTCACCATGTTGGTCAGGCTAGTCTCAAACTCCTGACCTCACGTGATTCGCCTGCCTCGGCCTCCTAAAGTGCTGGGACTACAGGCATGAGCAACCGCGCCTGCCTGGAAATGCTATTTAAATATTACAGTCTGGATGGTAGGACAGCTTAGGGATGGTTGCTGTTTGTAGGGCTTTTCAGTGGATGGTATTAAGAAACACATTTTTCAAAGATAAAATACGCAATGAATTCATTCATTAATAGATTCAGATAAGTTGAAGTCAAATTCAGGACTACATTGTCCTTCCTTAGGCCTTTCAGTCTCACACCTGTGTCTCCTTTCTCCCATGCCCAAATCCTGGTTCTCAATGACACTGTGATAATTACTAGTTTGCTTCATCTCACACCCCGTATACACCAATCTCAAAATAATAATACCAACACTATTATCAAGATGAAGACTGAAAAGTTTTTTTTTTTTCATTTTTGTAGTTCTTTTTGTCCTTAGGATCTATTTCACTATGGATATATGATCAAATTTCTATGAATTAACATCTCCTGAACTATCTCACCTCTGTGGGTTATGTCACCGACTTAACATATAGATCCATTTGTTTCATTGTTTGCTATTTTTAGGGATCGCTTTTATCCTTTTTAAATTTAATTTTGTTTTATAATTATGCAGAATATTTACCTGCTTTCAAAAATTAAATCTACCAGACAAAGTAGGGTCAGAGAAGTCTCTCCTTTATACCTATTCTCTCAACTCTACTCTTGTTTTCTCCATTTGAGTAGGCCTTTTCCTCTTAATGGTGGGTTGTTGTTGTTGTTTTTTAAATAGTCTGTTGCCCAGGCTGGAGTGCAGTGGTGTGATCTTGGCTCACTGCAACCTCCACCTCTCGGGTTCAATGGATTCTCCCACCTCAGCCTCCCAAGTAGCTGGGATTACAGGCATGTGCCACCACACCTGGCTATTTTTTGTATTTTTAGTAGAGACAGGGTTTCTCCATTTTGGCCAGGCTGGTCTCGAACTCCTGAACTCAAGCCTCCACCTGCCTCAGCCTCCCAAAGTGCTGGGATTACAGGCATGAGCCACAACGCCCAGCCCCACTTTATGGTTTTTCTATTTTTAAAAATATGAGTTCAGATGTATTTAAAGAAAAATGTGTGTGTGTGTGTGTGTGTGTGTGTGTGCGTGTGTGCATATTCATATCCCTCCTTTTAATCATATAAATCACATAGGTCTATCACCTAAATGGTATACACATTTATATGCTATATATGTTTTTCCATTTGCTTTTTCCGTTTATAGATATAACCCAGAAATAACTACATAGTAATAATATGTAGAAATATCTTCTTTTTCAGTTGAATGGCTCTCCATTTTGTAAATGTACCATAAGTCATCCACCAGACCTTCTACTGAGGGACAGCTAAGCGGTTGCCTCTTAGTGAAGTAGTGCTGTAATAATAGCCAAGCGCACGCATCTTTTCATATTTTTGCCACATTATCTTTGGTATAAATACCTAAAAGCAGGAAAGCCAGCTCAGTGAATGACTGCATATGTAGTTTTGCTAGATATTGCCAAATTCCCCTCCATAGCAATTCTACCATTTCACATTCCTACCAGCAGTGTATAAGAATGCCTGCTTCCCACAGCTTGGTCAAGAATATGTTAAACATTTTTTACTTTTGCCAATCTGCTGGGTGAGATATGATATCTTGGTGAGTTATTTATTTATTTATTTATTTTTTTATTTTTATTTTTTTTTATTTTATTTTTTTGAGATGGAATTTCACTCTTGTTGCCCACGCTGGAGTGCAATGGTGTGATCTCAGCTCACTGTAACCTCTGCCTTCTGGGTTCAAGCGATTCTCCTGCCTTAGCCTCCCTAGTAGCTGGGATTACAGGCGCCTGCCACCATGCCCAGATAATTTTTTGTATTTTTAGTAGAGACGGGGTTTCACTATGTTGCCCAGGCTGGTCTTGAACTCCTGAGCTCAAGCAATCCACCCGTCTCAGCCTCCCAAAGGGCTGGGATTACAGGCGTGAGCCACCGCGCCCGGCTGTATCTTTGTGAGTTTTAATTTACAGTTTTCTTATTATAGGGAAGACTGGGAATTTTTTCATATGGTTAAGGGCCATTTGGATTTCATTTTCTATGACTTGTCTATTTCTCTAGTCCAATTTTCTATCAACTTGTTGGCCTTTTTCTTCTTTAATTTAGAAGCTACTCATATATTTAGGGATGATAACCCTTTGTCTAGAATATTTTTCCCAGTATGTGATATGTTGCTTATGGGTTTTTGGCCATGCACAGTTGTTTTAATGTCAACAAATTTATCAATCTTTTTCTCTCATTGCTTCAGGATTTTAAGCCTTAGGAAAGTTTTCTCTGTGCAAAAGTTTCAAAGGATTACACTCATGTTTTCTTCTATTAGTTGTAGGGCTTAATTTTGCACACGTAAGTCTCTGATTTGGAATTTATCCCAGTGTACCATGTGAAGAATGGAGTCCATGTTATATTGTTCTGCATGACTATCCAGATACCCTAAAACCACTTTTTTCTTTTTTATCTTTTGGAGACAGAGTCTCACTCTGTTGCCAAAGCTGGTGTGCAGTGGCGGGTCATAGCTCACTACGTCCTTGAACTTCTAGGCTCTTGCCTCAGCCTCCTGAGTAGCTGGAGCTGCAGGTGTGCACCGCCAGGTTTGGCTAATTTTTATGTTTTATTTTTGTAGAGATGGAGTCTCACTATGTTACTCAGGCTGGTCTCCAATTCCTGTTCTCAAGGATCCTCCTGCCTCAGCCTCTTCAAAGTGCTGGGATTACAGGCATAAGACCACCTTGCCTGGCCCTAAAACCACTTTAAAAAATGTCCTTCTTTCTCCACTGATTTGAGTTGGCTCTTTTATTATATACTAAGTTTCCATAAGCAATTGCATCTTGTTCTAGATGTTCTAGTCTGTTTCTTGGTCTGTGTGTCTATTTATGTGCCAACACCACACTGGTTTAACCACAGAGGCTTTGTAATATTTTTCCGTTTCTCCCATTCCTGTTACACATGTTTAGCAGAGGCTTCCTGGCTATTCTTGCTTTTATGATCTTCTAAATAAGCTGCTCGTTATTTTACAATTTATACATTACAAACTTCATAATCAACTTTACCTCCATGAGGTCATCAAGAGCCCTGGTGATCCAGCCAATTCCAACTCTGCATACCTAGATGCCTCTTGGAGAAAGACTAGAGGGCTGGGAGGTACCAGTGGGGTCTGGGTGGAGACTGAGCATTTGTTCAAGAAATCAAAGCATCCAGAGACTGAGGTACCAATCTTTGGCAAACTTTTTTTTTTTTTTTTGAGGTGGAGTTTTGCTCTTGTCACCCAGGCTGGAGTGCAATGGCGCGATCTCAGCTCACTGCAAATTCCGCCTACCATGTTCAAGCGATTCTCCTGCCTCAGCCTCCCAAGTAGCTGGGATTACAGGCACGCACCACCACACCCAGCTAATTTTTGTATTTTTAGTAGAGATGGGGTTTTGCTGTGTCAGCCAGGCTAGTCTCCAACCTCAGGTGATCCGCCCACCTCAGCCTCCCAAAGTGCTGGGATTACAGGTGTGAGCCACTGCACCTGGCCAATCTTTGGCAAACTTAAAGCCCAAGTACAGTTTCCTGTTACCCAGAAAATGGGATCTCACTTGAAAATTTTGGTTGGTTATGGAGAAATAAAGAAATTACATTTTCTTTACATATCAGCATAGGAATGTGAGTATATTTGTGATGCAACTCCTCTTTCTCTTGATTTTCTTTTTCTTTTCTTTTCTTTTTTTTAATAGGGTTTCACTCTGTCACCCAGGCTGGAGTGCAGTGGTGAGATCATAGCTTACTGCAGCCTGGAACTCCTAGACTCAAGTGATCCTCTTGCCTCAGCCTCCTGAGTAGCTAGGACTACAGGTATGTGCCACCACGCCTGGCTTTTTTTTTTTTTTTTTTTTTTTTGTTGTAGAGGGTCTCGCTTTGTTGTCCAGGCTGGCCTCTAACTCCTGGGCTCAAATGATCTCCTGCCTGGACTTTCTCTTGGTTTTCTTATTTATCTTAGTAGCATGACCATTTTCCTTGTCATCCAGTCAAGAAACCTCAGGGTTATCTCTGCACCCTCTCCTTCACACTTCTCATCCAATCAGTCATCCAGGGCTATAAGCTTCCGCCTTCACAATGTCCTCATGGTTTTCAGGATAGATGCTCCTCAGGACTTCAAGGCTTTCACCATACTGTTCAGCTGTAATTTTTAAAAATTTATTTATTATTATTATTATTGAAGACAGAGTCTCCCTCTGTTGCCCAAGCTGGTGTGCAGTGATGTGATCAGGGCTCACTGCAACCTCTGCTTCCTGGGATCAAGAAATCCTTCCACCTCAGCTTCCTGAGTAGCTGGACCACAGGCGCACGCCCCCACTCCTGGCTATTTTTTAATATTTTTTGTAGAGACGGAGTCTTGCTGTGTTGCCCCAGCTGGTCTTGAACTCCTGACCTCAAGGCATCCTCCCTCCTTGGTCTCCCAAAGTGTTGGGATTACTGGCATGAGCCATCACAACCAGCCTCACTGCAATTTTTAAAAGAAATGCATTATTTCCAGAGCCAACTCCATGTATACATACACACATACTCTTCTAATCAATTTTAATTTTAATCAATTAGCTTTAAGGAGCAAAGTACACCAAACTCCCTTCATGGCCTCATCTGCTCGCTGTGTAGCATAAATGTTGATGGTGTTCATTGTGTGACTTCAGAGCAAAACAGCATGCCTTCTGCAAACTGGTGCCAGTCACAATTAAAAATCAATTTTCTGTGGGCTGCAGATAGATCTCTGTAATAAATATCAGTACACATATCCAGAGATTGAAAAAAATGTATCTTCAGGAACAAAGATTTTAGAATCGAAAAATACTATCAGATTCTAGTCCTGAGTATTTAGCAAGGGTAATAAGCACACATGTCCACCAAAAGACATGCAGAAGAACTCTCATAGCAGCTTTAGTCACAATAACCCCAAATGGCAAACAACCCAAATATCCACCAACAAGAGAATAGATAAATACATTGGAGTGTGTTCCTTCAATGGCAACACAGCAATAAAAAGAATGAACTGCTGCTAAATGCAACAATACGGTGATTCACAGACATTAAGATGGGCAAAAGGAGCAGACCAGTGGGAGGGTCCATGCTGTATGGTTCCATTTTTATGAAGTTCAAGCCATCAAAAGCAACTTATGTGACAAAGTCAGAATAACGGTTATGGGAGGGGGTATAGTCAGGGAATCAGCATGAAGGAACCTCCTGGGGGTGGAGATGTTCTATATCTTCATTTACAGGGAGGGCACATGAGTGTATAGCTATGCAAAACTTTACTGAGTTGTATATTTAAGATTTGTACACTTTCCTCAATGTATATTATACATTAATAATAAAAAATAAAATCTCAGATAACCTATCCTCCTGAATCCCCAAAGACAGAAAACTTCTCTAAAATCTCCCTGTTCCCAAATACCTGGCACACTAAAAACCAATATCGTTGCCCAACACCGAAGTCAGAGAATATTCTATGTAAGGGTGCCCCCTGGAGCATAAGTGGATGCACGTTTTACATTCCAGTTGAAATGGAATCTCTCAGCCTCTCATTTCCCACCTTCCCCAGTCACCATGTGAGTGAAGAAAATCTGGCTCAATTTTTGGATATGCAACATGATAGAATGCTACTAGAATTTCCATAAAGGAAAATAGAAACTATCCTGCAAATACATAGCTGGATGCACAGGCAATTGTAAATTCCCTGAAGGTACAGAAACATCATCCTATTAATTGTTTTGTCCTTAGAGCTTTTTGCACTGTGTCTTTCCTGAACACAGTAGAAAATCAGAATGGATGGATGGATAAATGGATGGATGGATGGATGGATGGATGGATGGATGGATGGATGGATGGATAAATGGATGGATAAATGAATGGATGGATGGGTGGATAAATGGATGGATTGGATGAATGTATGGATAAATGGAAGGATAGATGGATAAATGGAAGGATAGATGGATAAATGGAAGGATAGATGGATAAATGGATGGATGGATGGATGGATGGATGGATGGATGGATGGATGGATAAATTGATGGATTGGATGAATGGATGGATAAATGAATGGATGGATGGATTGATAAATGGGTGAATGGGTGGATGAATGAATAAATGAATGAATGGATGGATGGATAGATGGATGGATTGGATGGATGGATGGATGGATGGATGGATGGATGGATGGATGAGTGGATAAATGAATGTAACTTTACATTCTCAGTGAAACAAAGTCTAGTCTTTCCTAAATGCATGTTTGCTTTGTGGCAAGTCCTCTGCAGGGCTTTATAATTAAACAAGCCTCCCTCATATTCTCCCATCCAGTTCTATTGTGTCTTTGATTAAATCGAATTATACCTAAATAGTTTTCTCAGTGTTCTTCCTTGTTGAAATACATCCTGTTTTCATGATTTATGTCATGCGGTGAAATTTTCCGGTGATAAGAGCTTGCATCTATTCTCTCATTTTCTTTCCTGGGAACTGGCGACACCCACAGTTAGAGTTAAGTTGGTTTAACATACACAAGCTATATAGATATTGAGATTTCTTGTTGACATCTTAATCAAACCATCAAGCATTTCAACCTAAGAAGAGTGAATTTCTCTTTGGGAACCAGCCACATCAGCTGGGGCCCAGGGCAACTCAAGGCCCTTTCACGCTGTGAAGGGGTTGAGTTAACTGGGACTTGTCCCTAGTGCTGGTCTCCCAGCCTTTCTGAGCCCGGATATTTAGCTCCTTGTTTGACTTCACACACCCCTCCCCCTGGGATCCCTCCTATAAGACCCCTTCCACCTTTTATTATTCTAAGCGAGCATGGGTTGGAGTTTATCCATTGGAACCAAGAAAGTGCTGGTTATCACAAACTGTAGACTTCACAAGGCCAGGATTCTGTCTTGCCGTTTTTTGTGTATCACTGATGGTTTCTATGACAGGTGGCCTCAAAATTGGTTTTTGAAGAGATACCTGTCGGCCAGGGGTGGTAGCTCATGCCTGTAATCCCAGCATTTTGGGAGGCTGAGGCAGGAGGATCGCTTGAGCCTGGGAGTTTGAGACAAGCCTGGGCAACATGGGGGCAAAACCCCATCTCTACAAAAAATACAAAAATTGGCTTGGCATGGTGGCACGAGCCTGTGATCCCAGCTACTTGGGAGGCTGGTGTAGGAGGATTGAGCCCGGGAGGTTGAGGCCGCAGTGAGCTGTGATCGTGCCCCCACTCCATTCCAGCCTGGATGACAGAGTAAGACCCTATCTCAGAAAAGATATATATCTATCTATATCTATATCGATATCTATATCTATATCTATATAAATTCTTTTTTTGGTGGGAGATTGGGGGTGGGGGAGACAGGATCTTGCTCTGTCACCCAAACTGGAGTGCAGTGGTGCAATCATGGCTCACTGCAGCCGTGACTTCTTGGGCTCAAGTGATCCTGCCACCTCAGCCTCCCGAGTAGCTGGAACTACCACCACACCTGGCTAATTTTAAACTTTTTATAGAGACACAGTCTTGCTATGTTGCCCAGGCTGGTCTCAAACTCATAGTGATTGGTTCTTAATATTGACATCCAAAGAGCAGCAGTTCTTAGGTGGCTTCCTGTTGTTGCCTCAAACCTCCATGCCTTTGTCTTGCCTGCAAGAGATGGTGCTGATACATCAAAGGACGGCCTATCTGGGACAGGTCAACTGCTTTTCTCCAGGGTGGCGTAGAGGATCTCCTTGGGACATGGTGTCTTCCCGCCTTGCTTGACTGTCACATAGGAGGCTGTCTAGTCTAAGAGGATAATCTTTGATGTGTGGAAAGACTGTTCTGTCGTAGCTGTGTTTGGAGTAACCTGTTAGAGCCTATATTAGATGGATAATGGTATCTTTTTTTACTTTAGATGGAGTCTCACTCTGTCACCCATGCTGGAGTGCAGTGGCGCAACCAGCCTGGCTCACTGCAACCTCCCCATCCCGGGTTCAAGCGATTCTCCTGCCTCAGCCTCCTGAGTAGCTGGAATTACAGGCATGCACCACCACGCCTGGCTAATTTTTGTATTTTTAATAGAGATGGGGTTTCACCATGTTAATTAGGATGGTCTCGAACTCCTGACCTCAGGTGATCTGCCCGCCTCAGCCTCCCAAAGTGCTGGGATTACAGGTGTGAGCCACCGACCCCTGCCTGGTATCATTTTTAACACCTATGTTAGTATTTAGTTTACAACTAATAAATGCATATATACATACATAATTGTGTCAATAGGTGGCATGTGGAATTGAAAACTCATTCCATGCTCCTCAAATTCCAGGTTTTGAATGTTCCTCACATCACTCATAAGGACCAAAAAGTGTGTGGGGGTGGAGAGGGGTCTCTGTGGTGGCTTCCTTATCTGCTCAGGGCTCCTGAGGTGGCTGCCCTAGGCCGATCCTTCTCTCCACTGTCGAGATCTTTGCCTCTAGCCCTTTAGGGATAGAAAACTCGACATTCCCAGTCATTGATTGGGTCCTCTGAATAACTAAAATCCATAACTCGAAAAACCCTGTCTTACCAGTGAGGAAAAGGACAACCTGGATCCCCTTTCTTTGGGGCCACCACGTTTGTTTTTGTGATGTTCACAACTCACCCTCTCCATGTTCAGTATCTGCATCCCACGTATCTGCTGGCCGCAGGCGATCTCCTGTGCTGCTGCATCAACCTATCAACCTGTCTCCCAGCAACAGAGGCCAGGACCCACAACTCCAAAGCTGTCTGCTGTTCAGGCATTTATCATACCTTGATCACTTACCCTACTATCCCAATCAATGAAATGGTGTGTTTAATCAATACCACTTATTTGTCATGGATCCATGCTGAATCTCAGTGGTAACCTTCATTTGTCTAGGAAGACTGTGTAGATTTTGTTAGGGATTGATATCCATGTGTAAGTCTCTAGTTTCTAGACTGTGTCTGCCTTTCCTTATTCAAATATTTCAGTTCAGGCCAGGCACTGTGGTTCACGCCTGTAATCCCAGCACTTTGGGAGGCTGAGGCGGGCAGATCACCTGAGGTCAGGAGTTCGAGACCAGTCTGGCCAACATAGTAAAACCCTGTCTCTACTAAAAATACAAAAATTAGCCAGGCATGGTGGCAGGCGCCTCTAATCCCAGCCACTTGGGAGGCTGAGGCAGGAGAATCACTTGAACTCGGGAGGCCGAGGTTGCAATGAGCCGAGATTGTGCCATTGCATTCCAGCCTGGGCAACAAGGGCAAAACTCTGTCTCAAAAAAAAAAAAAAAAAAAAAAATCAGTTCAGAACTGTTGGCCAGGACCCATCACCCCCGGAAACTGGAGTAAGGTAACAAATTGGCTGAAAGATTCTTTCCTTGATTTTCAATGAAATTTCTGTGGTTCTAGTCATGGCCAAAGAGAAGTAGCAGGTGGGAACATACTTGGTTATTCCTACTTCATGTTTTCTAAGAAAAATCCCTTTACTCAACCACTACACGTGAAGTTTTATACTTGCCAACTTAGTATTGCTTCAGGTAAGAACTCACAAAAATGAACTCAAACTAAAGCTTAGCACAAGCTGAAACAACAGAGAAAGGAAGTGAGTTCCTTACTTTCTGATGTTTGACACTTTCCCCAGAGAATTGAAAATCATCTCTAATAGGTCTGATGAGCTGTTTCAAAGAACACACCTCCCTGCCACTTATAAAACCTGAAAGCTACTTTCCTTAATACAGAGAGTTAACTGAGAGCCAGAGGGAAGAGCAGGGCAAAAAGTCCTGCCGGGTCATCAGCAACCCTCTCAGAATTTGTCTGTTTCCTTCCAGGATCAAATCCAGCATGCAGGTGACTACAGTCCCATCCCCCGGCGTTATCTCACAGTGGTACAGAAGGTCTGTGAGCTGCTGGAGACCCCATGAGCTGGGACAAAGGAGCCGAGGGGCAGCAAAGGCTGCTTCCCCAGCCCCACCCTCACTTCCACTCCAGTTCCCCCAGGCAGAAAAGTGAAGCCACCGGAGCCTGCTTTGTAATTCCCTACTCACTAAAGAAGCAAAAGGAAATGAAAAGTCCACAATTATCTTTCTGTCTCCCTCTATCAGCCCATAAACTTGGGTAAGGGGCACATTGTTCTTGGAATGGACTCAGAACAGAGTAGTTATAATATCAGAATGACTTTCTTTTAGGTAACCCTTAGCAATAAAGAGATACCCACACACCTTAAAAAGGTGACTAAAATCCTAAGTAGATGTATAGCAGGCTTAGATTTGCCTCATTCTCATTCAACAAAAGTTTTAAGAGATTTTCAATCCAGGTGCAGTGGTTTATGCCGGTAATCCCAGCACTTTGGGAGGCTGAGGCAGGAGGATCACTTGAGCTCAGGAGTTTGAGACCAGCCTGGCCAACAGAGTGAGACCCCCATCTCTATAAAAAAATGTAAAAATTAGCAGGTGTTGTGGTGCACACTTGTAGTCTCACCTACTAAGGAGACTGAGGTGGGAGGACTGCTTGAACCTGGGATGTCAAGGCTGTGGCGTGCTCAGCCCTGTCTGAAATAAAATAATAAAATTCTATGATTTACAGAACTGTGCTAAGGGGAGGCTCATGCACCTCACTAACTAGAAGCTTAATTTGTGCAGCTTATAGGCCCCTGCCAGGTTAGGGGTGTAATGACCAAACAAAAGAGGGCTGAAGTTTATGCTAGCAGCAAATGAACACTTAAAACACAAAAACAAAGAAAAAACTTTTATGTCAGAAAAAAACTTTAAGTCATAATTGCATCCAAACAACGTAATTGCACTCAAACAACAGCTATGTGGGGTTTTGTCTTTGTTTTTGTTTTTTGAGACAGAATCTCCCTCTGTCACTCTGGCTGGAGTGCCGTGGTGCAATCTTGGCTCACTGCCAACTCTGCCTCCTGGGTTCAAGCGATTTTCCTGCCTCAGCCTCCTGAGTAGCTGGGATTACAGGCATGCACACCATGCCAGGCTAATTTTTTGTATTTTCAGTAGAGATGGGGTTTCACCATGTTGACTAGGCCGGTCTTGAACTCTTGACCTCAAGTGATCCACCTGCCTCGGCCTCCCAAAGTGCTGGGATTACAGGTGTGAACTACCGTGCCCAGCCTCAAACAACAGCTATTTGGATAAGACAAAGTATTCCAATAGTCCTCAGCAGTCGCAAAAACAAAAACAAAAACCCAACACTTTGGATTCCCATATTATTATGCCTTATTGCTCCTTGACATCATTTGGATATTTGTCCCCACCCAGTTTTCATGCTGTGGGGCCTGCTGGGAGGTGATTGGATCATGGGGGTGGATTTCTCATGAATGGTTTAGCACCTTCCCCTTGGTGCTGTCCTTGCAATAGTGAGTGAGTTCCTGTGAGATCTGGTTGTTTAAAAGCGTGTGGCCCCGGCCGGGCGCGGTGGCTCACGCCTGTAATCCCAGCACTCTGGGAGGCTGAGGCAGGCAGATCACGAGGTCAGGAGTTCAAGACCAGCCTGGCTAACATTGTGAAACCCTGTCTCTACTAAAAATACAAAAATTAGCCGGGCATGGTGGCGCGAGCCTGTAATCCCAGTTACTTAGGAGGCTGAGGTAGACAACTGCTTGAATCCAAGAGGCAGAGGTTGCAGTGAGCCGAGATCATGCTGCTGCACTCCAGCCTGGGCAACAGAGTGAGACTCCGTCTCAAAAAAAATAAAAAGTGCGTGGCCTCTCCCCACTCGCTCTCTTGCCCCCCCTCTGCCATGTGGGATACCAGCTCCTGCTTCACCTCCTTCTTGGAGTAAAAGCCCCCTGAGGCCTTATAGGAAGCTGAACAGATGCTGGAGCCATGCTTGTACAACCCGCAGAACCCTGAGCAAATTAAACCTCTTTTCTCTATAAATCACCCAGTCTCGGGTATTTCTTTATAGCATCTCAACAGTGGCTTTACACATTCCTTCAACCAAGGTACATTTACTCTGTCATTTTGGAAAATGATGGGTGAGATTTCAGAAGCACCCAAGAACTCACCTAGAGGTCTACCCTTAAAACCTGATTGAGAATGTAGTTCATTCTGGTTCTTGGCTCAAGAAAGATCCTGGTAGTTTTAAGAAGGAAACAGCTTGCCACATGGGTAAGATGATTGTTCTATATGATGGAGGATTGGATAAGAGCAAACGAGGAAGGCACAGATATGTCAGCTGAATAAAAGAAGAAAAAGTGAAAAAGGAGAGTGCAGAAAAGCTGGAGGGTGAAAGAAATCTCCTCAAAGCATAGGTCAGGTTTCTGTTTACAAGTGCATTTTTCTCCTCTCCCCCACTCAGCTCCCATTAAAAGAGTTTTATTTATTTATTTATTATTTATTTATTTTTTTGAGATGGAGTTTCACTCTGTCGCCCAGGCTGCAGTGCAATGGGAATGGCACGATCTCGACTCACTGCAAGCTCTGCCTCCCAGGTTCAAGCGATTCTCCTGTCTCAGTCTCCTAAGTAGCTAGGATTACAGGCGCCTGCCACCACACCTGGCTAATTTTTGTATTTTTAGTAGAGACAGGGTTTCACCATGTTGGTCAGGCTGGTCTGGAACTCGACCTCAGGTGATCTGCCCGCCTCGGCCTCCCAAAGTGCTGGGATTACAGGCATGAGCCACCGCACCTGGCCAAGAGAGTTTTAAAAACTGCATTTGCACAAATTTCCTTAATCATACAGCTTAAAAGCCCCATGGCCTAGGAAGGCTACTGTCAAAATAATAATAATAATAATAATAATAATGTGTTGGTGAGGATGTGGAGAAACTGGAACTCTTGTGGGCCTCTGGTGGATATGTGAAATGGTGCGGCCGCTGTGGAAAACATTATGGTGGTTCCTGAAAACATTAAGAATAGAATTACTATGGGATATGGTCCAGCCGTTCCCCTTCTGAATATAGAAAATAATCAAAAGAGGTTTTATATGTCCATCGTCAGTCTGTTTTGTATTGCTATAAGGGAATGCTGAGACTGGGTAATTTATGAAAAAAAATGTATTTGGCTCACAGTTCTGTGGGCTGTACAGGAAGCACAGTGCCCCATCTGCTTCTGGGGCAGCTTCAGGAAGCTTCCAATCAGGGAGGAAAGGGAAGAAGGGGCAGCGTCTCTCATGGTGACAGAGGGAGCTAGGGAGAAGGAGGAGGTGCCAGCGCTTTTAAATTACCAGATTTTGTCTGAATTCACAGAGCGTGAACTCACTCATTACTGTGAGGACAGCACCAAGCCATTCACAAGGGACCTGCCTCCGTGTCCCAAATACCTCCCACCAAGCCCCACCTTCAACACTGGAGGTCACTTTTCAACATGAGATTTGGAGGGGACAGAACATCCAAACCAAGTCACCCATTGCAGCATTATTCAATAGCCAAAAGATGGAAGCAACCCACATGTCCATCTACAGATAAATGGATAAACAAAATGTGGCCTGCACATTCAACGGAATAGTATTCAGGTGGCTCACGCCTATAATCCAGCACTTTGGGAGGCCGAGGTGGGTAGATCATGAGGTCAGGAGTTCAAGACCAGCCTGGCCAAGATGGTGAAACCTCGTCTCTACTAAAAATACAAAAAATTAGCTGGACATGGTGGTGGGCACCTGTAATCCCAGCTACTCAGGAGGCTGAGGCAGAGAACTGCTTGAACCTGGGAGGTGGAGGTTGCAGTGAGCCGAGATCACACCCTGCACTCCAGCCTGGGTAACAGAGCAAGACTCCATCTAAAAAAAAAAAAAAAAAAGGAAGGAGGTTCTGGCACAGGCTGGCAAGTGCCTGTAATCCCAGCTACTTGGGAGGCTGAGGCTGGGCGCGGTGGCCCATGCCTGTAATCCCAGCACTCTGGGAGGCCGAGGCGGGCAAATCACCTGAGGTTAGGAGTTCGAGACCAGTCTGGCCAATATGGTGAAACCCTGTCTCTACTAAAAATACAAAAATTAGCCAGACGTGGTGGCAGGTGCCTGTAGTCCCAGCTACTCAGAAGGCTGAGGCAGGAGAATCGCTTGAACCCAGGAAGCAGAGGTTGCAGTGAGCTGAGATCACGCCACTGCACTCCAGCCTAGGGTATGGAGCAGGACTGTATCTCCAAAAAAATAAAAAATGAAAAAAAAATTAAAAACCTGGATGAACCTTAAGGACATTTTGCTAAGTGAAATAAGCCAGTCACAAAAAGAAAAGCAATGTATGGTTCTACTTAGATGAGGTCCCTAGAGTACTCAAATTCACAGAAACAGAAAGTAGAAGGTCTTTGCCAGGGGAAGAGAGAAGGGGAAGGTGGGGAATTATTGATTCATGGGTATAGAGTTTCAGTTTTGAAAGATGAAGAGGTCTGGAGATGGATGGCAGTGAAGGTTGAATAACAATGTGAATATATTTAATACCACAGAACTATACGCTTATAAATGGTTAAGATGGGAAATTTCGTTCTGTTTATTTTACCACAATTGAAAAGGAAGCCCCACAGCCCACAAGACAGGTTCCTCTCCTGGAGTTCGATGTCCCAGCTGCCCTATCTCCATGCATTGCCCTGGAATGTGATGGGTAACACATGAACCTTGCTGGAAACACAAATTATCAGTCCCACCCAGACCTCCTGAATCAGAAACTCGACCCTTGGGCCAGGCGCGGTGGGTCTCACCTGTAATCCCAGCACTTTGAGAGGCCGAGGCGGGTGGATCACCTGAGGTCAGGAGTTTGAGACAAGCCTGGCCAACATGGTGAAACCCTGTCTCTCCTAAAAACACAAAAAATTAGCCAGGCATGGTGACGGGTGCCTGTGATCCCAGCTACTCAAGAGGCTGAGGCAGGAGAATAGCTTAAACCCAGGAAGCAGAGGTTGCAGTGAGCCAAGATGACACCATTGCACTCCAGCCTGGGCAATAAGAGAAACTCCATCAAAAAAAAAAAGAAGGAAGGAAGGAAGAAAGGAAGGAAGGAAGAAAGAAAGAAAAATAAAGAAAAAGAAAGAAAGAGGGAGGGAGGGAGGGAAGGAAGGAAGGAAGGAAGGAAGAGAGAGAGAGAAAGAAATTCAGGCCCCAGAAATTAGGATGTTAACATACCCACCAGGCGATTCTGATGTCCCTCAAGACTGAGAAGCACAGCACTTGGGTGATAGAAGTGGAACAGTTAGAAGGGGTATGTTTTGAGAGCCAGGGTATGTTTTGAAGACGGAGAAAATGTGTCTTGGAAGTGGATTGGAAGTGGGGTAGACAATGAAAGAAATCAAGAGATGAGGTTGAACAGATACTTGCTGAATGAATGAATGAATGAATGTCTTTTAAAGCTGTTCTGCTCTTAATTTTTCTTTGTTTTCCTCTTGAGTCAGGAAAAAAAAAAAAAAGCATGCCTTCTCAAGCATCAGGTTGGAGAATGGGAAACAGGCCAGGATGGTTGACGTATAATCTTTAGAAATCTGGGAACAAAGATCAAAAGAGACAAAGAAGGCCATTACATAATGGTAAAGGGATCAATTCAACAAGAAGATATAATTATCCTAAATATATATGCACCCAATACAGGAGCACCCAGATTCATAAAGCAAGTCCTTAAAAACCTACAAAGAGACTTAGACTCCCACACAGTAATAATGTGAGATTTTAACACCACACTGTCAACATTAGACAGATCAATGAGACAGAAGGTTAACAAGGATATCCAGGACTTGAACTCAGCTCTGCACCAAGTGGATCTAATAGACATCTACAGAGCTCTCCACCTCAAATCAACAGAATATACATTCTTCTCAGCACCACATCGTACTTATTCCAGAATTGACCACATAGTTGGAAGTAAAGCACTCCCCAGTAAATGTAAAAGAACAAAAATTATAACAAACTGTCTATCAGACCACAGTGCAATCAAACTAGAACTCAGGATTAAGAAACTCACTCAAAACCGCACAACTATATGGAAAGTGAACAACCTGCTCCTGAATGACTACTGGGTAAATAACTAAATGAAGGCAGAAACAAAGATGTTCTTTGAAACCAATGAGAACAAAGACACAATGTACCAGAATCTCTGGGACATATTTAAAGCAGTGTGTAGGGGGAAATTTATAGCACTAAATGCCCACAAGAAAAAGCAGGAAGGATCTAAAATCGACACCCTAACATCACAATTAAAAGAACTAGAGAAGTGGCTGGGCGCGGTGGCTCACGCCTGTAATCCCAGCACTTTAGGAGGCTGAGGTGGGCAGATCACGAGATCAAGAGTTCGAGACCAACCTGGCCAACATGGTGAAACCCCGTCTCTACTAAAAATACAAAAATTAACCAGGCATGCTGGCAAGTGCCTGTAATCCCAGCTACTCGGGAGGCTGAGGCAGGAGAATCGCTTGAACCTGGGAGGTGGAGGTTGCAGTGAGCCGAGATCATGCCATTGCACTTCAGCCTGGGCAAAGAAGTGAGACTCTGTCTCAAAAAAAAAAAAAAAAAAAAAAAAAGGACTAGAGAAGCAAGAGCAAACAAATTCAAAGCTAGCAGAAGGCAAAAAATAACTAAGATCAGAGCAGCACTGAAGCAGATAGAGACAAAAAAAACCCTTCAAAAAATCAAGGAATCCAGGAGCTGGTTTTTTGAAAAGATCAACAAAATTGATAGACCGCTAGCAAGACTAATAAAGAAGAAAAGAGAGAAGAATCAAATAGACACAATGAAAAATGATAAAGGGGATATCACCACCGATCCCACAGAGATACAAACTACCATCAGAGAATACTATAAACACCTCTACGCAAATAAACTAGAAAACCTAGAAGAAATGGATAAATTCCTGGACACATACACCCTCCCAAGACTAAACCAGGAAGAAGTTGAATCTCTGAATAGACCAATAACAGGCTCTGAAATTCAGGCAATAATTAATAGCCTATCAACCAAAAAAACTCCAGGACCAGACGGATTCACAGCCAAATGATACAAGAGGTACAAAGAGGAGCTGGTATCATTCCTTCTGAAAATATTCCAATTAATAGAAAAAGAGAGAATCCTCCCTAACTCATTTTATGAGGCCAGTATCATCCTGATACCAAAGCCTGGCAGAGACACAATAAAAAAAGAGAATTTTAGACCAACATCCCTGATAAACATTGATGTGAAAATCCTCAATAAAATACTGGCAAACCGAATCCAGCAGGACATCAAAAAGCTTATCCACCACAATTAAGTAGCCTTCATCTCTGGGATGCAAGGCTGGTTCAACATATGCAAATCGATAAACGTAATCCATTATATAAACAGAACCAATGACAAAAACCACATGAATATCTCAATAGATAAAGAAAAGGCCTTTGACAAAATTCAACAGCACTTCTCGCTAAAAACTCTCAATAAACTAGGTATTGATGGAACGTATCTCAAAATAATAAGAGCTATTAGGCTGGGCATGGTGGCTCATGCCTGTAATCCCAGCACTTTGGGAGGCCGAGGCGGGCAGATCACAAGGTCAGGAGATCGAGACCATCCTGGCTAACACGGTGAAACTCCGTCTCTACTAAAAATGCAAAAATTAGCCAGGTGTGGTGGCGCATGCCTGTAATCCCAGCTACTCAGGAGGCTGAGGCAGGAGAATCACTTGAACTCAGGAGGCGGAGGTTGCAGTGAGCCAAGATTGCGTCATTGCACTCCAGCTTGGACAACAAGAGAGAAACTCTGTCTCAAATAATAATAGTAATAATAATAATAATAATGAGCTATTTAAGACAAACCCACAGCCAATATCATACTGAATTGGGCAAAAACTGGAAGCGTTCCCTTTAAAAACTGGCACAAGACAGGGATGCCCTCTCTCACCACTCCTATTCAACATAGTGTTGGAAGTTCTGGCTAGGGCAATCAGGCAAGAGAAAGAAATAAAGGGTATGCAATTAGGAAAAGAGGAAGTCAAATTGTCCCTGTTTGCAGATGACATGATTGTATATTTAGAAAACCCCATCGTCTCAGCCCAAAATCTCCTTAAGCTGACAAGCAACTTCAGCAAAGTCTCAGGATACAAAATCAATGCGCAAAAATCACAAGCATTCCTATACACCAATAACAGACAAATAGCCAAATCATAAGTGAACTCCCATTCACAATTGCTACAAAGAGAATAAAATACGTAGGAATCCAAATTAAAAGGGATGTGAAGGACCTCTTCAAGGAGAACTACAAACCGCTGCTCAACGAAATAAAGGAGGACACAAACAAACATTCCATGCTCATGGATAGGAAGAATCAATATTGTGAAAATGGCCATACTGCCCAAGGTAATTTATAGATTCAATGCCATTCCCATCAAGCTGCCAATTTCTTCACAGAATTGGAAGAAACTACTTTAAAGTTCACATGGAACCAAAAAAGAGCCTGCATTGCCAAGTCAATCCTAAGCCAAAAGAACAAAGCTGGAGGCGACACACTACCTGACTTCAAACTATACTACAAGGCTACAGTAATCAAAACAGCATGGTACTGGTACCAAAACAGAGAGATAGACCAATGGAACAGAACAGAGGCCTCAGAAATAACACCACACATCTACAACCATCTGATCTTTGATAAACCTGACAAAAACAAGAAATGGGGAAAGGATTCCCTATTTAATAAATGGTGCTGGGAAAACTGGCTAGCCATATGTAGAAAGCTGAAATTGTATCCCTTCCTTACACCTTATACAAAAATTAATTCAAGATGGATTACAGACTTAAATGTTAGACCTAAAACCATAAAAACCCTAGAAGAAAACCTAGGCAATACCATTCGGGACATAGGCATGGGCAAGGACTTCATGACTGAAACACCAAAAGCAATGGCAACAAAAGCCAAAATTGACAAACGGGATCTAATTAAACTAAAGCTTCTGCACAGCAAAAGAAACTACCATCAGAGTGAACAGGCAACCTACAGAATGGGAGAAAATTTTTGCAATCTACCCATCTGACAAAGGGCAAATATCCAGAATCTACAAAGAACTTAAACAAATTTACAAGAAAAAAACAAACAACCCCATCAAAAAATGGGCAAAAGATATGAACAGACACTTCTCGAAAGACATTTATGCAGCCAACATACACATTAAAAAATGCTCATCACCATTGGTCATCAGAGAAATGCAAATCAAAACCACAATGAGATGCCATCTCACACCAGTTAGAATGGTGATCATTAAAAAGTCAGGAAACAACAGATGCTGGAGAGGATGTTCAGAAATGGGAATGCTTGTACACTGTTGGTGGGAGTGTAAACTAGTTCAACCATTGTGGAAAACAGTGTGGCGATTCCTCAAGGATCCAGAACTAGAAATACCATTTGATCCAGCGATCCCATTACTGGGTATATACCCAAAGGATTATAAATCATGCTGCTATAAAGACACATGCACATGTATGTTTATTGTGGCACTATTCACAATAGCAAAAGCTTGGAACCAACCCAAATGTCCATCAATGATAGACTGGATTAAGAAAATGCGGCACATATGCACCATGGAATACTATGAGTTCATGTCCTTTGCCAGGGACATGGATGAAGCTGGAAACCATCATTCTGAGCAAACTATCACAAGGACAGAAAACCAAACACCACATGTTCTCACTCATGGGTGGGAATTGAAAAATGAGAACACTTGGACACAGGGTAGAGAACATCACACATTGGGGCCTGTCGCGGGGTGGGGGGCAGGGGGAGGGATAGCATTAGGAGAAATACCTAACGTAAATGATGAGTTACTGGGTGCAGCAAACCAACATGGCACATGTATACCTATGTAACAAACCTGCACGTTGTGCCCATGTACGGGTACCTAGAAGTTAAAGTATAATAGAAAATAATAATAAAGAAAAAAAATAAAAAATAATTTAAAAAAAAAGACATCTGGGCAAGGTAGGTTTCACACAAATGTGTACTTCCAAGACTAGCAGTGTTGAGCAGGTGGGCAGTGGAATCATACATTTGCTTCCTGGTGTCCTGATGGTCACCCACAAAGCCCACACACATGAACACACACCCCAGAGTGTTCTAAGGATGCCTCTTCTTTCTTACATACTGATGTCAGAGGGGGAATGATGTGGAATGTGGCCAGGGACTGAGGGGATTACTGGGACAAGGGACTTTCTATTTCAAAACTGGGGAAGTCCTAGGCAAACCAGGAAGCTGGGCCGCCCTACCTGTAACACGAACTTGTGGAATTTTCAAACCTAAAGAGAGCTTCGAGCTCATCTATTCTGTGGGTTCACCACTCTGGCTATGGATGAGAATTACCTGAGGAGCTTAAAAAAACAAAAAGGCCAGGCACAGTGGCTCACGCCTGTAATCCCAGCACTTTGGGATGCTGAGGCAGGCAGATCAGGAGATCAGGAGATCAGGAGATCGAGACCATCCTGGCTAACATCGTGAAACCCTGTCTCTACTAAAAATACAAAAAAAATTAGCCGGGCGTGGTGGCACCTGTAGTCCCAGCAACTCGGGAGGCTGAGGCAGGAGAATGGCGTGAACCTGGGAGGCAGAGGTTGCAGTGAGCCGAGATCACGCCA
Organism: Homo sapiens; assembly: GCF_000001405.40. NCBI lineage: Eukaryota > Metazoa > Chordata > Mammalia > Primates > Hominidae > Homo > Homo sapiens. The sequence goes on from NC_000008.11 coordinate 42,689,230, forward strand.
CTGCACTCCAGCCTGGGCAACAGAGCAAGACTCCATCTCAAAAAAAAAAAAAAAAAAAAAGAAGTTCCTGGGTCTCTCATCATGAGAGGTGACAGCGTGCTGGCAGTCCTCACAGCCCTGGCTCACTCTGGGCGCCTCCTCTGCCTGGGCTCCCACTTTGGCGGCACTTGAGGAGCCCTTCAGCCTGCTGCTGCACTGTGGGAGCCCATTTCTGTGCTGGTCAAGGCCGGAGCCGGCTCCCTCAGCTTGCCGGGAGGTTTGGAGGGAGAAGCGCGGGCGGGAACCGGGGCTGCCTGCAGTGCTTGTGGGCCAGCGCGAGTTCCGGATGGGCGTGGGCTCGGAGGACCCCGCACTGGGAGCGGCCGGCTGGCCCCACTGGCCCCGGGCAGTGAGGGGCTTAGCACCTGGGCCAGCAGCTGCTGTGCTCAATTTCTCGCCGGGCCTTAGCTGCCTTCCCGCTGGGCAGGGCTCGGGAGGTGCAGCCCACCATACCTGAGCCTCCCCTGCCTCCCCCCACCCAGCCTCCCCCCCACCCCGCCTCCCCCCCACCCCGCCTCCCCCCCACCCCGCCTCCGTGGGCTCCTGTGCAGCCTGAGCCTCCTCGACCAGCGCTGCCCCCTGCTCCACAGCACCCAGTCCCATAGACCACCCAAGGGCTGAAGTGTGCAGGCGCCCGGTGCGGGACTGGCAGGCAGCTCCACCTGCAGCCCTGGTGTGGCATCCACCGGGTGAAGCCAGCTGGGCTCCTGAGTCTGGTGGGGATGTGGAGAACCTTTCTGTCTAGCTCAGGGATTGCAAATACACCAATCGGCACTCTGTATCTAGCTCAAGGTTTGTAAACACAGCAGTCAGCTCCCTGTGTCTAGCTCAGGGTTTGTGAATGCACCAATCGACACTCTGTATCTAGCTACTCTGGTGGGGACTTGGAGAACCTTTGTGTCCACACTCTGTATCTAGCTACTCTGGTGGGGAGGTGGAGAACCTCTGTGTCTAGCTCAGGGATTGTAAACGCACCAATCAGCACCCTGCCAAAACAGACCCCTGGGCTCTACCAATCAGCAGGACGTGGGTGGGGCCAGATAAGAGAATAAAAGCAGGCTGCCCCAACCAGCTGCGGTAACCCGCTGAGGTCTCCTTCCACACTGTGGAAGCTTTATTCTTTCCCTCTTTGCAATAAACCTTGCTGCTGCTCACTCTTTGGATCCACACTGCCTTTATGAGCTGTAACACTCACTGTGAAGGTCTGTAGCTTCACTCCTGAAGCCAGCGAGACCACGAACCCACCGGGAGTGAACGAACAACTCCAGACGCCCCACCTTAAGAGTTGTAACACTCACCGTGAAGGTCCTCAGCTTCACTCCTGAGCCAGTGAGACCACAAACCCACCAGAAGGAAGAAACTCCAGACGCGCCACTTTAAGAGCTGTAACACTCACCGCGAGGGTCTGCGGCTTCGGTCTTGAAGTCAGTGAGAGCAAGAACCCACCAATTCCGGACACAATCAGACCAATGAAATCAGTATGTCCAGGTGCAAGGCCCAGACATTAGTACTTTCTAGAAGCTTCCCAAGAGCAGTGAGCAGCCAGGATGAAGAACAGCGGATCTAATCCAGCTTCTCTCCACGATAGGCGAGGAGTCTGATGCCACAAAAGGTTGTCTAAGGTCACACAATTATTAAGAGGCAAGCTCAGAGTTCCGGATTCTTAGGCCAGTGTCCTTTGCATAGGACACAGTCTTTTTATAGATGTTAATTACTGACTCATTACCTGCAGTCGACCCCAGTGCTGTTAATCAGGGCAAGGCACCCACACACCACCAGTCTGGCCTTCAATAAAGCAGCGCTTTGAGCTTCCAGCAGGGTTTGTTGGGGGGTGGGGGGATCCCAGGCCTGTCCTTCTCTGCTCCCTCCTGATCTTCCTCCCCACACTGTTCTTAGTTCAGCAGTCCCGAGGCTGATCTTTCAAATTCAGCCCTTACTCCTTGCTCAGGGATCAGATTCAGCCCCTACTCCTTGCCCAGGGATTGCCTTTGCTCTGATTTACAGACGTGGCCCCAGCAGTTTGATGGCAGCCCTCTGTCCCCTCAGCTCTGGGCGTCCATCTGCTGTGGACACTGGGGTGGCTGACCGGGGCCAGAAGCCCAATACACCCGCAGCCTGTTTGGCCCATCCGCACCCAGAGTTGCTGGGACAAAGCTTCTTCAAACCCAAAGCCTATCGTGGTGGAAAAGCAGACTTTAGTGCCTGGCCAGTCTGAGCAGGACACTTCCTGGTCCTCCGACCAGGCTGCAGCCCTGAGGAACGGTGGCGGCGGCGAGGACAAAGTGTGGACGCTCCTGTCAGTCAGACAAGATGAGGGGAAGCCTCAAAAAAGAAACAACGACTGAAGGATGAAAGGAGAGGCGAGGCGCCCCTCTTCAACCAGGGGTCCCGTGCTGCACTCCGCGCCCCTCCCAGTGCCCCCCATATCTCCGGGATCTTCCTGGTCACGGGCACCCTCCTGGCACATGGTGCTTCAGTGTGATCGGGCCCTGCGGCCACTAAGCCTTTCCTCCTGGTCTTTGCGGAGGTTTCACTTGGAAAAGGCGGCCAGCGCGGTCAGGGTCTGGGACCCTGGCTGCTCTCAGAGAGCCCAGGCCCTGTTCCAGACCACCGGATCAGAATTGCAGTGGAAAACAACCAGGAATTCGTCTTTTTCTCTTTCTTTCCTTCCTTCCCTCCCTCCTTTCTTTCTTTCCTTTCTTCTTTCTTGAGACGTACTCTCGCTCTGTCGCCAGTGGTGCGATCTCGGCTCACCTGCAACCTCCGCCTCCCGGGTTCAAGCGATTCTCCTGCCTCGGCCTCCCGAGTAGCTGGGATTACAGGCGCCCACCACCATGCCCGGCTAATTTTCGTATTTTTAGTAGAGACGGGGTTTCACCATGTCGGCCAGGCTGGTCTCGAACTCCTGACCTCAGGTAATCTGCCTGCCTCGGCCTCCCAAAGTGCTGCGATTACAGGTGTGAGCCACCGCGCCCAGCCGAATTCGTGTTTCTTGAAAGCTCGCCAGATGGTTGGGAAGCACAGGGAGGTTTGGGAAACGCTGCTCATGTGATCCATTTAGACGGTTTCTTTCTGTTCGAACGCTTCTTCCCGCGCACACCTGGGTTCCCCCGGGCTGCGGCCCAGCGATTGATTCCAGCTGGGTCCCGGGCACCAACTCTCCCCTTTGAGGAACGCGCGGGCCTTCTCGGCTACAGCTCTTCTGGGTTTGTGCTGCCCTCCTGGCAAGCGGTACGTGGAAGGGCAGAGCTGTTAAACCAACAGCCCATTGCCTTCCAGTGCTTAGTTTGTGATTTACTCGGGCTGTTACTACCTTTTTATTTAAAATTTGAGGAGCAAATACCGTCTGAAGCACACACCCTTTAAAGGTTAAAGGCCTGCAGTGTGAGGAGTGAGCCACCAGAGGGCACCCGAGCCCCACAACTCACCCTGGTCTAAGGCCCCCGCAAGGCCCAGCCCAGGGAGGCCGTGCAGCGCGTCCAGGAGCCTGCGGCTTCTGAGGTCTGATCCCAGGAAAGAATTGGACACTTATTTAAAAGCCGGGTACGGTAGCTCACGCCTGTAATCCCAGCACTTTGGGAGGGCGAGGTGGAAGGATCTCTTGAGCTCAGGAGTTCAAGACCAGCCTGGGCAACATGGCAAGGCCCTGTCTCTGCCTAAAAAATAAAAGCCATGGTTTTCCCATCTCTACCAATAGTGAGAGGTGTGGCTATTGAAAAAATGTCATTTGTGTGGATAGAGCCCAGGAAGAAAAAGGGTTGGCTGATTGGATTAAAGTGTTATCCTGCCCAGTGGTGGATGTAATAAGATTTAAACCAAAACAATTACCTCTAGAGTGAAATTTTAGGCATCAAGAGATGAGAGGTTATTTAGGAGGGCAGTGAGAATTTCAAATTCAGATACTTTGGATCCTGAATCCAGACCTTCTGAATCCTGTGAACGCTGACAGCATCCCTGCTCCCTCCCACAAAACCTCCCTACTGGTAGTGAGAAGAGGATCGGAGTATTTGAAATGCTGGCTGGCTTAGAGCCAGGCAGGCTACAGCAGGAATGACTGAGGTTAGACATAAGGAAGGCCCCGAGGAAGGGAGCACTGGTAAACCCTGATGGGTGACTGAGGAAGGGGGAGCTCATGGACCTCCAGAAGGCAGGGAGTGTGTTCTCTCCATGATAAACTGGCACACTCTGGTTAGTGGGATTGCTTATTAAGTATCATGGTACAGAGACGGTGAGAGCACTGGGCTGTGGGAGGTGTGGTCCCAGCCCCAATCCCGCCCCCACCTCACTGTGACTTCACCTCCCCAGGTGTTGGTGAGGAGCAGGTAACTCACAAGTAAGCTTTTTATAGAGGAAAGACAGTTCCCTTAGACTTGTTTTTTTTTGTTTTTTGTTTTTGTTTTGTTTTGAGACAGAGTTTCGCTCTTGTCCCCCAGGCTGGAGTGCAAATGGCGCTATCTTGGCTCACTGCAACCTCCACCTCCCGGGTTCAAGCGATTCTCCTGCCTTAGCTTCCCAAGTAGCGTAGCTGGGATTACAGGCACGGGTTGCCACGCCCAGCTAAGTTTTGTATTTGTAATAGAGATAGGGTTTCACCATGTCGGCCAGGCTGGTCTCAAACTCCTGACCTCCTGTGATCTGCCTGCCTCGGCCTCCCAAAGTGCTGGGATTATAGGCGTGAGCCACCGTGCACAGCCAGGCTTCTTTTTTTCTCATCTAAACTCCTTGCTTTTTAATCTTTTCTCATAAGTCTTCCTTTCTAGATCCCGGGTCTCTCGATGTCCCCACAATAAACATATTTAACTTCCTAACTGTGTTGTCCTAAACAAAACAGTGCCCTAAGACGGCTCCAGACAGGCTGGGGTGCTGCTAGGAGTGCCATTCGTAGGGTGACCAAGTGACTGTCAGTATCATGTAGTTGTATTCTTTGCAGTTAAGGCAATTAATTAAATAAATACCTCAATGTGATTTTGTTTTTCTAACTGTAAAAAGATATAGAAATAAAATAATAAAGCAAAAAGACATTTTGTCCCAATTCACATAAATGTGGCCAAGAACTAAGCCAATCTATCTTACCAGCATGGGCCCAGCACCCCACACTTCTGAGGTCGCTGGGTATTGTGATTCTGTCCTGCATGGTAGATAAGCGGGTACGGTTTCACACTGGAAGGGACCTTGGCAATTGGGCTGGCTCTCTTATTTTTGTTATTTGCAAATCCACTAAGTGTATCTTCCATGCCTTCAAGATGTTAAATGTGTTAGATCCACGCAGCCCACCACTAAAGACCCTCTTCCAGGCTTGACATCCGTTTGTTAATCCACACCCTTGTTTACAGTTGCTTAATTAGTTCTGAGTCCCCTTACATGTACTACAGAACCAACCACAATGCTCCTTTTTGTCCCCTTAGAGGTCATGAAATAATTTCTCAAAGTTTCTCCTTTTCTCATCATTAATACCAAAATGTCCTTTTCTTTAAAAAATCTTTTGTCTTTCCTGCCTTAATAACCTTTTTAATGGTGTTGTTTTATATTCTAAAAAGTAAAAGTTATAAAAAGCTCAGTTGAAGGGTGTTGACTCATACATCAACTGGGTGACCACAATGCTATCATGCATGTTAGTGTGTGTGCTTGTGTGTGTGCACTGGAAGGAAGTAAAGCATTGATGGTGATTGGATTAGAATCATGGACTGTAAGTGGTCTTGAAATGTAGTATTAGGATTACACTGCTTTCATGATTACTAAATGCCAATCAGAACTTACATCTTCAATTGAAAGCACACCTGGCCGGGCTCGCACAGTGGCTCACACCTGTAATCCCAGCTCTTTGGGAGGATGAGGCAGTTGGATCACTGGAGGTTGGGAGTTCGAGACTAGCCTGGCCAATATGGTGAAACCCTGTTTCTACTAAAAATATAAAAATTACCTGCACGTGCTGGTGGACACCTGTAATCCCAGCTACTCAGGAGGCTGAGGCAGGAGAATTGCTTGAACCTGGGAGGTGAAGGTTGTAGTGAGGCGAGATTGCGCCACTGCACTCCAGCCTGGGCAACAGAGCAAGACAGCCTCTTTTCCTGTGTCTATTTGATGTCCGCTTTTCCCCCCAAAGTCTAAACTCAATGGAGAGATGATTTGAGGTTTCTACAGTGGGATGGTGAAGAGTTGAGTATCTTTGCAGGGAGAAAGGTGGCTGTAAAGTGAGACAGAAAAGAACTTCCCAAGGCATAGGAAGGGGCTGGCAGGTCCTTCTGGCAGCAGGACCGTGCCCTGCTCAGGGTTGCACTCAAGGGGTGCAGTCCTCAGCAGGCCAGGGTTGTGTGGGACCCAGGGAGGCAGGGTCCTGTTACCAAGGCCTCCGGTATTGGCAGAATCCTGGGTCTTGGCAGAATCCTTGGCATCGGAGAAGGCAAAGAGCAACCGAGCTGTTGGCTCCATGGGACCGTGTGGGTGGGGCATGGACCCCAGCTGTGGTCAAGGCAGCCTGGAGGATACAAGACTGTGCCATATTTTGGGGACCACAAAAGGCTTCCAGATTCAGTTGCTCCCCTAGGGAGAAGGCTGCAGGGCCTGCAATGACTGAGATTGGATTTCCAGCCAGTTCCATGGAAGGCTAGCTTCATTTTATTCAATTTCTTGAAAATAAAGGTGAAACTTCCTGCACACTTGGATTGGCGGTGGCTGATTTACTCCTGAGACCATTACAAATTCTCAGCAGGCTGGGAGCACAGTTGAGATGGATAGGAGGAAATCAGTGCATGGCTCCTTCCTTCCTCCTTGCATTCCCACAACGTTCTCAAGCATTTGCAGGTGTCAGGCCCTGGACACAGAGAGATACAGAGGAGACTCCAGAGGGCTGGAGACCAAGCCCTCCTGCAGGAGCTGGTGGTCTAGGAAGGGAGGCCAGGCAGGGCAGCGACATTGTGATGTGAGGGGCTCTGAGACAGGGGCCCTGAGGAACAGACAGGGCTCAAGAGCTCAGGGTCCCGGGGTCCTGGGCTAGACCTCTTTTCCACACATGATGCCTCCTTACCGAGCACCCTCTGGGTGTCTCAAACTCACTAATGGCACACAGAGGAGGGTTAAATTAAGAAATTTAAAAATTGGACTAAATCACTGCCGCTAAGACAGAATTCCTCCATGCCCTGGAGTGGGTTCCTCCAGCACTCAGTTCCCAACCAGATAGGTCTTGGCTCCCACCTGGCCCTCTTGTCTGTCTAGCCCTGACTTTGTACTTGCCATTCATTTGATGTATCATGCATTTATCAAGGGCCCTCTGGGTGTGCACAGCACTGAACTAGATGAAATCTGATCAACTGTGAAGAAGAAAGGATGGTGTTATTAGTGTCCAAGTCTCATACATAAAACACCACTAACCTCCCACCCTACTGTCCCCTGCAGTGACCAGAAGGTGGGCCTGGTGGGGTCAAGGGAGCCACAGAGAATGTGCTGATATTAACACATGTGGGAACCAGCAGAATAGGGAGGCTCCAGGACATACTCATGACTTCAGGTCCAACTGGAAAAGAGAATAGAGAGGCTGGGCGCAGTGGTTCATGCCTGTAATCCCACCACTTTGGGAGGCCAAGGCGGGCGGATCTCCTGAGGTCAGGAGTTCAAGACCAACCTGGCCAACATGGTGAAACCCTGTCTCTACAAAAATACAAAAATTAGCTGGGCATGATGGCAGGTGCCTATAATCCCAGCTACTCAGGAGGCTGAGGTGGGAGAATGGCTTGAACCTGGGAGACGGAGGTTGCAGTGAGCCGAGATTGCACCATTGCACTCCAGCCTGGGTGACAGAGTGAGACTCCATATCAAAAAAAAAAAAAAAAGAATAAAAAGAAAAAGAAAAGAGAATAGAGAAATAACGGGGATGAGAAACTTTTCACTATGGATGTGGTAAAGTGTGGTTCTTCTGTACGCAGATCTCCAACTGTAAGAAAAATAGCACAGAACATTCAGAAGTTGTCTAGTTTCATCCTTTCTCCAGTGCCCCGCATCTCTTGCAAGGGAGTAAATTAATAAGTCAGGAGTTAGGACCCAGAGATATGTTTTAGACTTACACGATCTGACAGCTGACTGCAAATCAATGAAGTGCACTTTGAGAAGCGGCACACTCGGCGAGAGGGGTTGAGATTGTTTTATTCCACTCCAGGTGTTGCTGTCCTCTTGGGTTCCACTTCGGATTTTGAACCCCTGTATTTTCTTTTCAAAACCCCCTTTTCCAGTGGAAATGCTCTGTTGTTAAAAAGGAAGAAACTGTCTTTCTGAAACTGACATCACGATGCTCCCAGATTTTATGCTGGTTCTCATCGTCCTTGGCATCCCTTCCTCAGGTAAGCACAAGTCACAGTAAATTAAAACTACAGTTGCAGAATTATTTAAGCAGAGGAGGCAAAACTATGGTGTTGATAATGTTAGAATTACAATATGTAATGCACAAGATACATTTAGGATAACCTTTAAAATGTGGCCCAAATGAGTAATTCTGTGAGATGTGGGGTTTTTTTTGCTGAAGAAATCATATCTATGATTTTCATAATGTTTATGTTTTTGTCATTTGCTGCGTTTCTCCTTCTGAATCACTATGAGCTTGGTAAGAAAATACAAAAGCAGGAAAAACATTATTGAATGCACTGAGCATTACTCAGAGAATTGTTCAAATATTTGGCACAGAAATTTACTATATCAACATTTTTCTATCATATTTACCAATAATTTCTATATCTGCATGTAGATATTTAATTTTGTCCAATATGCCCTGTAGGCCTATATATTTTAATAAATCTGTGTATGTAGGTAGATTTAGCATGTTTATATATCACAATTAAACACCAATGTATCAAAACTCTATGTGTTTTATGTGACTATTATCAACTGAAAATAGAGGAATTTTTGATAAGGATAAAGGACAAATAAAAGGAAAAAGTGAAAGATAGAGACAGAGATGCAGAGAAAGAACAAAAAGAGAAAAAGAAAGGGGAATAAAGTACTGAAAGGCTTTGGGGATTGGTCATTTGCACCTGCCAATTTCCTGGGTTTGGGAATCTTTTCACTTTTTGTGTAACTTGAGAACAGAAAGTTTTCCCCCATTGAATCAGAAACCATCTGAAACCGCAGCCAGATGGTGAGAAAAGTGTCAGTTCACTAGCAATTTGTATTAATTTCTCAGTAGTATTTTTGCCACGTTTGATTATTGTAATTTTCAAATGGAGAACTGGAGACACTAAGGGAGATTTGCCCAAATCCAGAAATAAATTCTACATTTCAAGTTCCCAAGGCTGCGAGGCACCTGAACATTATCCTGTTGTCAAAAACGCCTTTTCTCAGACCAAGGACTCAAAGTCAAACAGGAATTTCTAAATGCAGAAAGCCTCAAACTCACTTTCAAATATCATGAAATTTGGACTTTTCAAAGTCTTGAATGCAGTTTGCCAATCACAAAAATGATAAGAAAATTCTGTGTGTTTGAGCTTACCATTAATGTACGTGTGTCTGATGTTTTTCTGTCTTTATTATTCTATTTATTATAAGACAATTGATTCTTACCACTCTTTTCCCAAGGAATGATTTCTCTCAATGGTTAGCGAGGGTGTTTAGCATAAACTCTCTTGGTTCAGCTAAGTCTCGTCCTCTGTGTACAATCATGATTACATAAGAAAACTGGAATTGCTTGGCCTCTGGCATTGGTCTCCATTGTGTGGGCTGGAAGAGTTTGGGAAGATTGTGTAATCTTTCACAGATCTATAATAAATCTAATAACCTGTGATAAATCTTACATCTGTATTTCTAGATCCATCAGCATCTGCTCATATTTTTAAATCTGTCCCATATTTCCTTACATTTTTTAACTTTACTATTCATTGTAAACAAAATAGTTTCTTTTTGTTATGCAAAACTACTTTTTTCAAATTACAAGAGGCAACCCCTTCATTTTTATATTTCTGGCTTTGGTAAAAAGGAGCCTTGGGTGTGGCCATGGGTTGTCTCTCATATTGCTATTTCATATTTTGTGTGTGCTATCTGCTCTCAAAAAGCAGGAGGTGTATCTTATTTATCTTCCCATCTCTCTTACAACATGATGATATGATAAGACACAATGTGTTTATTCATTCAATAAATACTTATTGAGCATCTACTGTATCCTAGGAATGGTTCCAGTGTCTAGGAATGCAAGAGGAAATAAAAACAAAGCCATTTTCTAATAAGCTCTCAGCTGGGCATCATGGCTCACACCTGTAATCCCAACACTTTGGGAGGCCAAGGTAGGCAGATCACCTGAGGTCAGGAGTTTGAGGCCAGCCTGACCAACATGGTGAAACTCCGTTTCTACTAAAAATACAAAAAATTAGCCAGGCGTGGTGGCACACGCCTGTAATCCCAGCTGCTCGGGAGACTGAGGCAGAAGAATCGAATCGCTTGAACCTGGGAGGCAGAGGTTGCAGAAAGCCGAGATCACACCACTGCACTCCAGCTTGGGCAACAAGAGCGAAACTCGGTCTCAAAAAAAGAAGAAAAAGGTCTCATGCTATCAAGAATCCATTGAATATGCATTCTTTGATTTCACCATGAGGGCTAGCTCCATGGGTGACGGAAGAGGCTGCCATATTTGTGGTATGCTTTTTTTTTTTTTTTTTTTGACGAGGCGGCAATAGTGGAAGGAAGAAACAAAATATACCAAAAGGCATCAAAGCAAAAAAATCCACATTTCACAATCGTCTTTGCTGAGATTTGGAATTCTTCAATAATTTCTTTTCTTTTTTTTTTTTGAGATGGAGTCTCGCTCTGTCGCCCAGGCTGGAGTACAGTGGCGCGATCTCTGCTCACTGCAAGCTCCGCCTCCCGGGTTCACGCCATTCTCCTACCTCAGCCTCCAGAGGAGCTGGGACTACAGGTGCCCACCACCACGCCCAGCTAATATTTTTTGTATTTTTAGTAGAGATGCGGTTTCACCGTGTTAGCCAGGATGGTCTCAATCTCCTGACCTCGTGATCCACCCACCTCGGCCTCCCAAAGTGCTGGGATTACAGGTGTGAGCCACTGCGCCCGGCCTTGTTTTTTGTTTTTTGTGGTTTTTTTGAGACGGAATCTCGCTCTGTCACCCAGGCTGGAGTGCAGTGGCAATCTTGGCTCACTGCAACCTTTGCCTCCTGGATTGAAGGGATTCTCCTGCCTCAGCCTCCCGAGTAGCTGAGATTACGGGTGCCCACCATCACACCTAATTCTTTTTTATTTTTAGTAGAGATGAGGTTTCACCATGTTGGCCAGGCTGGTCTCAAACTCCTGACCTTAGGAGATCCACCCGCTCCGGCCTCCCAAAGTGCTGGGATTACAGGCATGAGCCACCATGCCCGGCCCAATTATTTCTTTTCTGTCCTGGCTGAGGATAAAAAAATGGCATTATCAGTAAAACCATAAATAATCCTGAAGATTTTTATGAAATCCTGTTCATAAAATTATGGACAGATGTTGATGGATCTAGAAATACAGATCTGAGATTTATAACAGGTTATTGGATTTAGTATAGATCTGTGAGAGAGAAAAGTTTTATCTGTTAAGTCTTATCAGTTGTTTGTACCTCAGTGTGAGTTTGTCAAATTTTGCTAAAAGTGGATGTTGATATGGAGGTGGGAAGAGAGCAGGGGCGTCTGAGAGACTGAGGAAACAGAATCAAGAATAAAGAGACTGGTCGGGTGTGGGGCTTACGTCTGTAATCCAGCACTTTGGGAGGCTGAGGCATGCAGATCATGAAGTCAGGAGGTGGAGACCATCCTGGCCAACATGGTGAAACCCCGTCTCTACTAAAAACACAAAAATTAGCTGGGCGTGGTGGCACATGCCTGTAATCCCAGCTACTTGGGAGGCTGAGGCAGGAGAATTGCTTGAACCAGGGAGTCGGAGGTTGCAGTGAGCCGAGATCACGCCACTGCACTCCAGCCTGGCGACAGAGCGAGACTCTGTCTCAAAAAAAAAAAAAAAAAAAGAATAAAGAGACCAAGGATGCTGCAATGGTTCACGTCTGTAATCCAACATTTTGGGAGGCCAAAGCAGGAGGATTACTTGAGCCCAGGAGCTCAAGACCAGCCTGGACAACATAGTGAGAGACATACGTCTCTACAAAAAATTTAAAAATTAGCCAGGCATGGTGGCATGCTCCTGTAGTCGCAGCTACTCGGGAGGCTGAGGCAGGACGATCACATGAGCCCAGGAGGTTGAGGCTGCAGTGACCCATGATCATGCCACTGCACCCCAGCTGGCAACAGAGCAAGGCCCTGTCTCTATTAAAAAATAAAAAGAATAAAGAGACCAGAAGGTCAGGTCTTCAATTCCAAAGGAAAATTTCTTTGTCTTAAAGTGTTACTAGGGACCTTATCAATATCTTTCATGATTTCATTCAGTGAGGCTGAGAGAGCCCCAACCCCCTCACAGAGGTGTCTCTCCAATCCCCTGGTAGCTGTGTTACTTTTACCTGACTGCTCTGTTGAGATAAACAGCAGCTTGAGTGAAGGGCTGCTCCCCAGTCATATGCACATCTTAAACTCTGACAGTCTTTTGTATCTTGAAAACAGCAAATATCTGGGGTTAATAGGCCACAGTTTGTGGATGTTTCATAGACACAAAGACCCTAAAAGCCTGGAAGGTGTGAGCTGCTGGAGGCCTCAGCCATCACCCATTTCCTTTTCTTATTGGGAGATGTTAACTGCTTGGAATCAAGACCAGAACCCATGGTCTCTAAATCAGAGTCCAATGCCTCTCATTATTAAATAAATATTTGTTGGATTCTCCTCCTAATGAGTGATGACTTCGGAAAGGGAATCAGCCTTCTGAGCCAGCAGCAGCACACTCTCCCAGAGCCTGTCCCAGCCTGAGCTCAGTGCACAGGAGATGACCAGCATCAGGCCAAGTGCACGCCATCCCTGTCTCTGCCTCCGAACTGAAGCCTTCACATTCGCTCTCTGCCTCTCCATCTTCCTTCCTCTGCCCATGGAGTTGTCTGTCTGGCCCTAAAGGAAATATATATATATTTATTTAAAATAGAAATAAACATTTATTTATTTATCAGAGCTTCTCTGCACCACCCAGGCTGGTCTCAAACTCCTGGCCTCAAGCAATCCTCCTGCCTCAGGCTCCCAAGTAACTGGGATTTACAGGTGTGAACCACCACACCCAGCCCCACAGGAAATATTTTGACAAAGAAAAATGAGACAAAGATTAAGCAAGGAGGCCAGGCACGATGGCTCACGCCTGTAAACCCAGCACTTTGGGAGGCCAAGGTGGGATCACCAGGTCCAGAGATCGAGACCATCCTGGCCAACATATTGAAACCCTGTCTCTACTAAAAATACAAAAATTAGCTGGGCATGGTGGCACGTGCCTGTAATCCCAGCTACTTGGGAGGCTGAGGAAGGAGAATTGCTTGAACCCGGGAAGCAGAGGTTGCAGTGAACCAAGATTGCGCCACTGCACTCCAGCCTGGCAACAGAGTGAGACTCTGTCTCAAAAAAAATAAAAAGAATATAATTCTTCCAGGTAGTAGATTGCTCTAAATAACAGTAAAGCATTCTGGAAAATACAATGCTAACAGCAAAACATCAAAAATAGCAATAACAGCAAATATATGTATATCGAATTGAATTTTTGCAATAAGGGAAGATGGCTGGCCTGGCCGCCAGAAGACCACGCAGGCCACCATCAGCTGGATGGCCCTGGGCAAGGCTCCTCTCGATGCCCCAGTATCTTCACCTGTAAAACAAGGGGCTGGGATGGTCCTGGAGGTACTTCTTGGCTTTATTGTCTTAGCTTCATTATCAGTTCACTTTTCCTTCCTCTTTCATTGAGGCTGAAATTGGGTCCAAGCTTCTGTAAGAGATTCATCCATGTCCGGGAGTGGTGGCTCATGCCTGTAATCCCAGCACTTTGGGAGGCCAAGGCGGGCAGATCACTTGAGGTCGGGAGTTCAAGACCAGCCTGACCAATGTAGCGAAACCCTGTCTCTACTAAAAATACAAAAATTAGCTGGGCATGTTGGTGCACGCCTGTAATCCCAGCTACTCAGGAAGCTGAGGCATGAGAATTGCTTGAACCCAGGAGGCAGAGGTTGCCGTGAGCCAAGATCATGCCACTGCCCTTCAGCCGGGGTGACAGAGCAAGACTTCGTCTAAAAAAAAAAAAAATATTTATATATATATATATATATATGTATCCACAATGGGGGACACTCATCTTCTGAGAAAAAATTCTTGGTTTTTCAATGGATTACTGAGATGGATCTTAGAATATAGTGATTAATTTAAAATATAAGTTATTTTGCAAATTTTGGTCTATGCACAACTTTCCAGGAATCCTTTTATTCCATAATACAAAGACCACTTGTCCTGGAAACCTTGAGCGCATCTGTGATTTTACATCTTCGGGAGCAGTGAGCCATGCTGGCTCTACCTCATTCCCCTGGGTCACAGAAAGCCCCGTTATGGCCTTTTGTTCATGTGTTCATTTGTTCATTCATCAAACATCATCAAATATTTATGGAGGCCCTGGTCTCAAAGGATCAACTGTGAGAAGCACTTGGCCTTTCTCATAATGTTCTATTTCACAAGAAGGACAAACCAGAAACATTTCCAGGCTTGTCCTCTAAGTCTGCTCCAATAATGCCAATGACTTCAGCTTCTATTTTGGAAAGGTTCTGGAAATTTGAAGATATTAGGCAGAAATCATTTAATCTTTGGCTTTTTTTATTAGGGGGATAAAGTCTGTTTTGGTCAGAACAGATTTGCATTAGTCAGGCTGCCATCACAAAATACCATAGACTGATTAAAAACAGACATTTATTTTCTCACAGTTCTGGAGGCTGGAAGTCTGTGATCACGTGCTAGAAAGTCAGTTTCTGGTGAGGGCTCTGTTCCTGGCTTACAAACAGCTGCCTTCTTGCTGTGTCCTCACATGGTGTGTCCTCTGCGCCTCCTCCTTATAGGCTCTGTTTTTAAATATAGTCACGTTGGGGGTTAGGGCTTAAACATTTGATTTTTGAGGGATATAAACATTCAGTCCCTAACAGCCAGTATGGTTCATGCTTTTTGTTAATTCAGACGGAAAGTGCACCTTCTGACAGTGGTAACACAGGTGGAGATGTATGCTGTGCGTGAAAGAGCAGAGCTGCTTGCTGCCCCTGGATCTTGGTGAGGAGCAGGATTCCTGTACCTTCACAGGGAGCACAGCTGCGTAAGTGCAAACGCTAAGCATGTCAGGTCAGAATTCTAGATTTCCCCTCCCAACGTGCAACTCCACCTCCTTTCAGAATGACTGGACAGTTTTTCTTTTGGGAAAGGAAGTTCATGGTTACAGTCCCTGCTCATCTTCAAGAACCCTCTCTCTTATGTGTCCAAAATTCTCCCGGCTCACAGTTGTCTGAGCTAATAGGTGTGTGTGTGTGTGTGTGTGCTTGCATGTGTTGGTTCAGGCATCATTCAGTTGTTCTCGGCCTCCCTGGAGTGCCTCCATCCATTGTGAGATGGTGTCTTCAGTAATTTGTGCTAATTTGGCTGACCTGGGACTCAGGGACTCTGTAAGAACTTCAGCATCTCAGCAGCTAGTCAGGTGGTGCAAGCAGCCATCAGGGCTGTGTTCAGATGCCTGTCAGTGGCTACAGTGGCTTAACCAAATAGGAGATTGCTTTTCTCACATACCAAGAAATTTGGAGACCAATAGTACAGGGCTATCAGAAACCCAGGTTCTGTGTGTCTTTCCATTCTGCCCTCCTATGTGTGTAGCTTTCATCAGGTTTTCAAGACAGATAAGTGGCCAAATCTCCAGTTTCAGACAAAAAGAAGGAGGCAGACATGTCAGATCAAGTCCATCCTTTTTAACAACCTTTCCTCTAACCACCCCAATCCCAACAGCTTCTGTTTGTATCTAACTGGCTACATGTGCCATAGGCCATTCCCAGATGCAAGGGAGCCCAGAGCTGAGCTTTTTAAGCTGGCACCATGCAACCCTGAATAAATTTAGCATCTGTTGCCAAGGAAAAGGGGGAATGCCTGTTGGGCAGGGAACTGGCAGTGTCTGCCACAGTGCTGCTGTGGTTTGAATGGGTTCCCCAAAGTTCAAGTGCTGGAAATTTGACCCCCAACGCAGTAGTGTTGGGAGGTGGGGCCTAATGGTAGGTGTTTGGGTCATGGGGGCACCACCCTCATGAATGGATTTATGCCATTATCATGGGAGGGGTTGGCACCCTCTTGTCTCTCTCACCCCCTCTTTGCCCTTCCATCATGTTTGATGCAGCAAGAAGGCCCTGACCAGATGTCAGTGATCTCACCAGATGCTCATGATCTTGGACTTCCCAGTCTCTAGAACCATAAGCCAATAAATTTCTGTTCATTATAAATTCCTCAGGTTGTGGTATCCTGTTGTAGCAGCACAAAATAAGTGAAGACAAGTGCCTTTCAAACAATATTCTCTGCCTTAGAGGAGGGGGCTGCCTGACCTGGGGATAGATGGAGGAGGACAGCTGTGTCCTCACTGCTTCCCTCTTCTCTTGAGCAATTCACCTCTGGTCCCAACTCTCCAGATGCCCCTCAGTAAAACAAAGTCCACGAAGCTGACTGCATTGTTGCTCGAGTGGTTGTCCACTCAATAGCCATTAGCTCAACAGCTGCTGGGTGACAGTCACTGTTCTAGGAGCCGGGAATACAGGAGTGAGGAAGACAATCCCCAACTTCCTGGAGCTGGCATCATCTAGGGAGGGGAGACAACAATAAACAGATAAATGTGATATGATTAGGTTCTCTACTGGAAGATGAAGTACCCTAAGAGGATAGAGAGGAGAGGGACTTTAAATAGTGTAACCTGAAATGACTTACTCAAGGAAATGACATTTGAGCAAAGACTGGACAAGTGAAGGGATGGCTGTGGGCTCTCCGGGTAAGGGTAAGAACTTTCCCCAAGCAGATGCATTCTGGCTTGTTCTGGGAATCGCAGACTGGCCCGAGGGCTGGGGAGGAGAATGTGGGCAGTATGGTGGGGGTGGTGCACAGTTAGGGCCATATGGGGTCAGGGAGACTGTGGAGGGACTTAGGATGATTCTTTCTGAGTGTGATGGGAAACCATCTGGAGCGCTTAGCAGGGAACTGACATAATCCTCTAGCTGCTGTGTGGGGAATGGACTGCAGAAAGGTCAAGAGTGAAAACAATTAGGAAGCAGTGCAGGAGCCCAAGAGAGAGAGCATCTGTGCCCTCAGCGTGGCCCCGGTGGAGACAGTGGGGAACAATCAGGGCTGGGATGTATTCTCAAGGACATTAAGACCCGACGTAGGGTGGGAGAAAAAGAGAGGAGTCAAGGATGACTTCAAGAATGTCCCTCTGAGCAAATGCCCCCTAGAGCCTGTGGGGTTCCAGGAAGGTTTCCTGGCTCTTTACAGACTGACACCCTGGTGGCTGCCCAGCTGGCTGCTCCCAGTGCTGCTCTTGGTACTAATAGTAATCAACAGATCAGTTTTTGTTTATTAAAAAAAATTTTTTTTGAGACAGGGTCTTGCTCTGTCACCTAGGCTGGAGTGCAGTGGTGCTACCACCACTCACTGCAGCCTTGACTTCCGGGACTCAAGCCATCCTCCTGCCCCAGCCTCCCAAGTAGCTGGGACTATAGGGGTGTGCCACCATGCCCGGCTAATTTTTTTATTTTTGTAATACAGGGTCTTCCTATGTTGCCTAGGCTGGTCTCCAACTCCTGGGCTCAAAAGATCCTCCCACCTTAGCCTCCCAAAGTGCTAGGATTACAGGTGTGAGCCACCATGCCTGGCCCACAGTTTTTAAGTAAATAAGCACAAATGTAAGGTTGCGTCTCTCCCTATCACTCATTTGCATTTTATGTGGAGGAAAATGGGGCTGGGAACCGTCAGAGGACACAGCCCACTTCACCCATGCCTCTGAGGTGCTGGGACAGAGGCACCTGGAATTGCTCCTCTCTTAGGAAAGTGCCTACAGAAGCCTCCTGCACACAGGGGGATGGTGCACTGTTGTGCTTTTCTTCCTAAAAGAATCCCTGGATTTTGAGTGGGCAAACCTGGAGGGTATGTCTCTCATGAGATCATTACCCAGCATGTGGATATCTCAGTGGGAAGAAAAAGGTTTTCTATGGTCAGGACATGGTGCAGAATGAGTTGCTGTAGGATATTAATCGGGTGCTGAACAGACAAGGAGGGGCAGGTTAAAACTCCCATGCTGATCAGTAATGGGACTGCACCTGTGAATGGCCACTGCACTCTAGCCTGGGCAACATAGTGAGACCCTGTCTTCTTTTTTTAAAAGTAGGGGCTTCCTTGTTTTAAATGTGATAGCACGGCATTGTAAGGAAATAGAACTCTACTTTGGGACTGGATTCCTAAGCCATTTCCCCAACTGGAGGGTTAAAGCTTAACACTGGGTGTTTCTGAGGTTCTCACATAGTGAGGCACTGGGCAGAGTGTGACATCCTGGCTGCTGACCAAGGAAGGACTTTGTAAGGAAAGACTCTTCCTTGGGAAAAGACAAGAGGACCGTGAGGGGCACACGGCTGGTGTTCAGTGACCATGTGCCGACTCTGACATCTACTAACACACATAAAATGAACACCCACTATGGGCCAGGCACTGTTCTAGGTGCTGGGTAAACATGATCAAATATAACGCCCATTGCTCCCATCGTCAGGGAGCTCCAGAGGAAGACAGGTGTGACAAATGACAAGAGACTTCCAAAGGGAGATGCTGGAGGCTCAGGGACGGAGAACAGCTTGGGGACAGGGCCCATCTCTGTGAAGAGGGAGCGTTGCAGATGGGACCAGAGGTAGGGGTCGGGGTGGCTGCAGATGGAGCTTTTGGGACCTGGGTGTTGACCCCATGATGGGAAAATCTCATGAGAGAGTGCAGCTCTGGGTAAAATGTGGATTCTGGGCCGGGCGTGGTGGCTCACGCCTGTAATCCCAGCACTTTGGGAGGCTGAGGCGGACAGACCACGAGGTCAGGAGATCGAGACCATCCTGGCTAACATGAGGAAACCCCTTCTCTACTAAAAATACAAAAAATTAGCCGGGTGTGGTGGCAGGCACCTGTAGTCCCAGGTACTCGAGAGGCTGAGGCAGGAGAATGGCATGAACCCTGGAGGCGGAGCTTGCAGTGAGCCGAGATCGCGCCAATGCACTCCAGCCTGAGCAACAGAGTGAGACTCTGTCTCAAAAAAAATACACACACACACACACACACACAAACAAAATGTGGATTCTGTTTTCAGCTGTGTGTGTTTGGAGGGAGGTGGGAGTGGACGTGGAGACTCTTGCATGCTCCAAGTTGCCTTTCAGGAACTGGGCTGTTTAGAAACAGACACAGCCTATGGTGCAGGAGGCCAAGGCCACAGGAGCCATGGGACACTCATCCAGGCATCGTGCCCCTCCCATTAACCCAGGTCCACCCATGATTCTTTTACAGCCACCACAGGTTTCAACTCAATCGCCGAAAATGAAGATGCCCTCCTCAGACATTTGTTCCAAGGTTATCAGAAATGGGTCCGCCCTGTATTACATTCTAATGACACCATAAAAGTATATTTTGGATTGAAAATATCCCAGCTTGTAGATGTGGTGAGTAATCCTTGGCACTTGGCTAAAAAGAACATGCATTCCTTAACCTGTTTATGAGTCTAAAATATATATTTTTCCCTATGTCTGCCATTTCAATTTTAAAAATAATTTACTGTGAGAGAAAATCTGCCCCCAAGAAGCCACTAAAATGACCCAAGGAAAGAACGAGAAGTTGTCACAGGGTAAATTTTCATTGCAGCACTGTTAGTGTGGGACGATTCGCTGCGGGGAGGATGTGGTTGCTAAGATAGTCATTGCTCCTGGCCCCGGTTTGCTGAACACCCAGGGAGGAGGGCTGGGAACTGCAGAGAAGAGGGGCTGAGCCTGGGGCTGACGTGCTGTGATCTTCGATCCTCCCTGGCTGTGCCCTGGGCTGGTAGGGGGCTCTGCAGGGAGACAGGGTGGTAACAACAGTGCCCAGAGCAAGGCCCATTCCTGCTGTCCCTAGGCAGCCCCGTCACCTCTTCTGAACTCACCCATGCCTTCACATTCTAATTTTCCTTTTGAGCTTGCCTTTCTGTCATGATTGTGTTCTTAGAAGAAACCAGTGAACTTTAACTCCCTAAATGCAACAAAATTGTCCTTCTATGATCCCCAAAGCCCCAGAAGAATCCTCCTATGTTGTCCATATTCTCCACCCTACTACACACATGTGCGCACACTCACCTGCCTGGCTGGCTCAATACCCCAGGATTCCTTCTAGGAAGTCATGCAAAGCCCGTCTCCAGTTTAGCTATTATTTCCCTCTACTTTGTACCTTCATTATTATTATTGTTGTTGTTGAGACAGAGACTCTGTTTCACACAGGCTGGAATGCAGAAGGGTGATCTTGGCTCACTTGCAACCTCCGTTTCCCAGGTTCAAGTGAATCTCCTGCCTCAGCTTCCTGAGTAGCTGGGATTACAGGCATGTGCCATGATGCCCAGCTAATTTTTGTATTTTTAGTAGAGACGGGGTTTCGCCATGTTGGACAGGCTGGTCTCGAACTCCTGACCTCAGGTGATCCACCCGCCTCGGCCTCCCAAAGTACTGGGATTATAGGTGTGAGCCACTGCACCCAGCCTACTTTGTACCTTTAAAGTGCCTTCTGGGTCATCCAATTTTATGTAAATATAGCCACAATGAACTGCTACTTGTTTCAGTTGTTTTTCATTTTAAGCAAAATCCGCATGCCATTTGACTATTTATATGCCATTTGACTGTTTACATGCCATTTGACTATTGTAAATTGAGAATCTTTTGCACTTTTAACACCTCAAAGGTAAGATTCAGATAGATTTTTCTGATCGAAACCAAACAAAAAACAACTGGGTGTGGTGGCGTGCACTTATAGTCAGCTCCTTGGGGGCTGGGGTGTGAGAATGGCTTGAGCCCCGGAGGTTGAGGGTGCAGTGAGCTATGGTGGCACCACTGCACTCCAGCCTGGGCAACATCTTGAGATCCCATTTCTAAAACAACAACAAAAATCACAACTTATTTTCACTTCAACTTACAGTATTTTTTAAATTTTCATTTTCTTAGGATGAAAAGAATCAGCTGATGACAACCAATGTGTGGCTCAAACAGGTAAATTTCAATCCAAGGATTGTGTCTGCTAACCCAGTCACTTATTTTCTATTTATAAAGGCTCCTATCTGAAAAACAATTATTTAAGAGGGCATATTGTGTTCCTCAGGGAGATTTGTGGGAAGGGTCTATGGCTTTTATTTTCTGTTGTGAGTGTTGGGGAGCTGATCCTGGCAAGCCCCTGGGTACACACTGTTGTGCGTGGTTGCTCTCAGCAGTAGAGCTGCTCGTGGAGCAGGCAGAGGTGACTCTACTGCCATAAGGCCTGGGGATGGGCCCTGGGACCACTTAGAGGAAACAACAAAGAGCCTCCAAGATGCACCACTTTCTCCCAGGTAGGGAACTGCAGCTAGGTAGGAAAATCAGGGCTACATCCTCCCTAGCCTTCTCTGGTCCTCTGTGGGTAGAATCTACCTCTAATACCTCTTGTTGCTTCCAAGGAAGAACTGAGCCCTGAATGGAGGAATAACGGGGCTGCCCATTATTAATTTCAGAACAGAGTGAAGCCCAAAACAAAATGATGAATACGTGTTTTCCTGACATCACTGAAAATGCATTTTGAATCGTTTTCAGCTTTCTTCTTAGATAATTGCTTTTAGCTTGGCTAGAGCTTATTTCCTAAAGTCAGGGGAGTGTGCCCAAAGGAGTTTGTTCTAGGATTGTCAGTAAATAATTACCATTCAAATCCCAGTTTCGCATATGTTATCTACAAAGAGAAAATATTGACATTTGATAGCAGGTAAGAAGTTTGGTTTATCCCAGCTATTCGGGAGGCTGAGGCAGGAGAATTGCTTGAACCCAGGTGGCAGAGGCTGCAGTGAGCCAAGATCATGCCACTGCATTCCAGCCTGGGTGACAGAGCAAGAGCCTGTGTCAAAATAAATAAATAAATAAACTTGGTTTAATTGCTTGTGTTTTTATTTTACCAGTGGTTTTTTTTTTAATTTAGTTTTCTCATATTCATTTACATATTTATCTGAGACACAGTCTCATTCTGCCGCCCAGGCTGGAGTGCAGTGGCATGATCTCTGCTCA
Source organism: Homo sapiens (assembly GCF_000001405.40). NCBI lineage: Eukaryota > Metazoa > Chordata > Mammalia > Primates > Hominidae > Homo > Homo sapiens. Next base: position 42,711,470 of record NC_000008.11, read on the forward strand.
CTGCAACCTCTGCCTCCCAGGTTCAAGTGATTCTTGTGCCTCAGCCTCCTAAGTAGCTGGGATTACAGGTGCCCGCCACCACGCCCAGCTGATTTTTGTACTTTTAGTAGAAACAGGGTTTCACCATGTTGGCCAGGCTGGCCTCAAACTCCTGGCCTCAAGTGATCCGCCCACCCCAGCCTCCCAAAGTGCTGGGATTACAGACTTGAGCCACTGTATGTATTTATTTATTTTTTAGATTCAGGAGTTACATGTGCAGGTTTGTTTCATGGATATATTGTGTGATGCTGGGGTTTGGGCTTCTAGTGAACCCATCACCCAAATAGTGAACATCATACCCAATAGGTAGTTTTTCAACTTATTCCCCTCCCTTCCTCCTTCCCTCCCTTCCCCTTCATCTCTTTTGGAGTCCCCAGTGTGTTTTGTTCCCATCTTTGTGTCCATGGGTACCAGTTGTTTAGCTCCCACTTCTAAGCGAGAACATGTAATATTTGATTTTCTAAAGTTTTTTGTTTGTTTGTTTTTCTTTTTCTTTTTTTTTGAGACCGAATCTCACTCTGTCACCCAGGCTGGAGTGCAATGGCGCAATCTCGGCTCACTGCAACCTCCGCCTCCCGGGTTCAAGCTATCCTCTTGCCTCAGCCTCCCGAGTAGCAGGGACTACAGGCACATGCCACCACGCCCGGCTAATTTTTGTATTTTTAGTAGAGATGGGGTTTCACCATGTTGGCCAAATTGGTCTTGAACTCCTGGCCTCAGGTGATCTGCTCACCTCGGCCTCCAAAAGTGCTGGGATTACAGGTGTGAGCCACCGCACCCACCCTAAGTATTTTGTCCAGATATTGCCTAATTTGCCCCATTGTTTTAAAATATTCCTGGTGGGATATCTTTCTGCTAATGCTTTATAAGGAGCAATGGATACAAGAAACAGCAAGGAGCTTCCCCCAGCTTCATTTCATGTCATCAAATGTCTCCCACCCAACAACTTTAGTGAGATTTAGAGAACTATCATGATTTTCAGTGCTTTCTACTTATCTGATTCTCTAATCAGTAGAAACGGTCTGAATATTGTTTTACTTGCAAATAAAAATACCCAAAAGAAAATAATAAGCTTGGAATGTATATATAAAAATACCATTTAAATAAACATATCTTGCTATACACCCATCTCATTCCCCAGTGACTTACCCACTTTTGCAATTCAGAGGCCTGAGAATTGGGAAGTATTTTGAGTTGATAAAGGCCAAGAAGAAATCCTATATTCAAGTTTGCAGGGGAGAAAAGAACCCACACTTTCCTCTTAAGGTGAAAACAGGCTTAGAAGTTAACAAAAAATCAAACAAACACACAAACCTTTACTTCCTGCACACCTCCTTCCCCCACTGCTCTCTTTTTTTTTTTTTTTTTTTTGAGTCTGTGTCTCACTCTGTCGCCCAGGCTAGAGTACAGTGGCTCAATCTCAGCTCGCTGCAGCCTCTGCCTCCTGGGTTCAAGAGATTCTTCTGCCTCAGCCTCCTGAGTAGCTGGGACTACAGGCACGTGCCACCATACCTGGCTAATTTTTGTATTTTTAGTAGAGACGGGGTTTCAGCATGTTGGCCAGGCTGGTCTCGAACTCCTGATGTCAGCCCAAAGTGCTGGGATTACAGGCATGAGCCACTTTGCCTGGCCGAGATTAAGCTCTAATCTCTCACATAAAGCAGGGGTCCAGGGACTCTGGGCCTTCACATGGGTATAGTAGGTCTTTTCACTTTTCTTGTGCTTTTGAAAATTAGGAGTCGTTTTGGCCAAAGAGAACAGCATTAGACACAAAAGAGTGGGCGCCGAGGACCCTGAGGGCCTCAGCTACAGCTTTGGAAAGGACTTCCCACAAAGTGTGCCACCAGAATCCCAGAAGACTGGTGGGTGTCTTCAAGCCAAGGTGGAATTAAATCCTAAAAGTCAATTCAATACCCAAAACCAAGCAGGAGAAATCCACAGGCATGGAGCACACTGACACTTGGAAAAGTCAGCCCACTGACTGAAGTTCCCATTTAATAGAAGCAATGAGAATAATCGACTTTTTTGGGTATAAATATGTAAGGTACAAGTGCAGTTTTGTTACACAGATACATTTGTAGTGGTGAAGTCTAGGCTTCTAGTGTATCTAAATACTGATGTACATTGTAACCATTAGGTAATTTCTCATCCCTCATCCACCTCCCACCCTCCCACTCTTCCGAGTCTCCAATATCTATTGAGATTAATATACTTTAATTGTGTTTAATTCACAAATGCATAAATGAGGTTTATCTCATTTAAACCTCTCTACCACCTGACTTAGGAAAAGAGACATCATTACCCCTGTTTTATAGAGATAGAAGAGTCCAGTCCTCATCCAGCAGGAATCTGGGTTTCCTAACCCCTGGCCAGGATCTTTCTGGCCATATGCAGCCTCCTTCCTGAACACTAAGCCCTGCTTCTAGATCACAGGAGGAGCCAAAGCAGGAGAAACGAAGCTTCACATTCCAGAAAACTACAGAGGATATAGTCATTGCGACGTCCATTTGCACAGATTGAGTTTGGAGTGGGAAATGTTACAGTGGATATTAGTTAATACGCGCTGTTATGGCACAGACAATGTTGGGGCAGAAAAGAAAGGTCATTTTTATAACAGTGGGTGGCAAGAAGGGAAGGCTGCCTGTAACAGGAGGCATTGAGCTCTGCCATGATGTTATTTTTATGCTTTTTAAAAAGAGCTTTTTGGCCGGGCGTGGTGGCTCACGCCTGTAATCCCAGCACTTTGGGAGGCTGAGGCAGGTGGATCACAAGGTCAGGAGATTGAGACCATCCTGGCTAACACGGTGAAACCCCATCTCTACTAAAAATAAAAAATAAAAAAAATTAGCCAGGCGTGGTGGTGGGCACCTGCAGTCCCAGCTACTCGGGAGGCTGAGGCAGGAGAATCGGTTGTACCTGGGAGCCGAGATCGTGTTACTGCACTCCAGCCTGGACGACAGAGCAAGACTCTGTCTCAAAACAAAACAAAACAAAACAAAACAAAACTTTTTAAAGCTATATGGATTAAAGAAAGCTGAATGATTAAAAAAAAAACCATGAAAAGAAAACCAAGATAAAACAGATATTTATAAAAAGCTATCATTGGTTTTACACAGATCTTAGTTCCAGAGCAGCTAATAATAATATTTAAGATTTACTGAGTACTTATTAAGTGCCCAGGCACTATGCTAACTGTGTAACGGGAATAATCCCATTGAATTTTCACAACCATCCTATAAGGGAGGTTCTATTATAATCCTAACTTTGCAGATGAGGAAACAGAACTGGAGAGTGGAAGTGACTTGCCCAGGGTTAAGCACTGTTAGGGAAGTCGACTTATGTAGAGAAATCTTTCACTTGCCTTAGACTGGAGGGAGAGTTTGGAGAGTGTCCTGTTCTCCTGTTAGTCCTGTTGCTGTATAATTTCCTAACCCTGGTCTTCTAAGGCTTTGATTCCTCAGTCTCCGGAACATCTGATGGAGTTGGTCTAGAAAGAATTCAGGAGAGAATGAAGTTAGGATCCACTCCATCTTCCATCCCTTCACCAGGATTTATTGACATCCTATGTGCCAGGCGCCCTGCTAGATCCTGGATGTATAAAGAGCAACACACACCACCGCCTGAAAGAAGAGGACATAGCGTTAGTTACTAAAAAATAATTACCATGATAAATAGCACAAAGAAAGTACATATAAACCACTGTGGAGCTTAAAAAATGACAATGAGACAGGAAGAAAGTCAGGGAAAGCTCCCAGGAGGAGGGGATATTTAATTTGAGTCTTACAGGACTAACAGAAGTTCTACAAGCCAAAAAGGTGGGGAAGTTGTGAACCACCTGAATAGTGAATAGTAGTCCAATAACACCACTATCCAAAAGCTCTCACATTTGAGCAAACCCATTGGTAACTCTTTGCAATCATCTCTGTGTCCCTCAGTCAAAATGAAAACAAAAATGCCCAATTCCCCCTCTTTCCTCATTTGCCTCCCAGACACTGAAAAATGTTCTCTAATTCATATCCACATGGAGAAGAAAATTCTACATACTTGGAACAAAAGCATGTTCCATGGTAGCGCATGCAAATGAGATACTTGTGGGGTTTTTTAAGTCAATTCTCCTGTCTTATCCTGTTTCCATAGCTCTCCTCTGGTATATTTAGACACTCTTCTTCTATCCTCTCAACCAAAGAAAGAACTTTATAAAGCACAAATCTAGTGACATCCAGAGGAAGTCTTCTACATGGTGCTATTTTTATTTTATTGATTTTATTTTGCAAACTAGTTTGTCTTCCTCCTTTGTACTTCCAGACAGTAATCAAAACCCTATAAACTATAAATATATTGTTAACATTGACTCACTGGAACTATGTGAGAAAGTACTTACTGCTCCAGTCCCTCAGATCCTGCTCCATCATATCAAGGTTAGGAAAACGTGGAAAGCACCTTAGAGACAATGAAAATTAAACTGACCTTTTTTTTTTTTTTTTTTTTGAGATGGAGTCTTGCTCTGTCACCCAGGCTGGAGCGCAGTGGCATGATCTCGGCTCAGTGCAACCTCCGCTTCCTGGGTTCAAGTAATTCTGCTTCAGCCTCCCGAGTAGCTGGGATTAAAGGCGCCGGCCACCATGCCCAGCTAATTTTTGTATTTTTCGTAGAGACGAGGGTTTCATCATGTTGGCCAGGCTGGCCTCGAACTCCTGACTTCAGATTATCCACCCGCCTTGGCCTCCCAGAGTGCTGGGATTACAGGCGTGAGCCACTGTGCTGGGCGAAACTGACCTTTTTTGAAATGACACAAGGGTTGGCCGTTTTGCCTAGATGTTACAATAGAAATAATCACTATGACAACAAATGCCAAATTTACTCAATCCGTATTTCCTGAGAGCCTGCTCTGCACTGTGTAAGTGATGCAGGGCAGATGAACCCCAAAACTGGGGCTTAGTCTGGCTTCACCGAGGAAAGAACTCAAGGACAGCGGCAGCAGAGATACTGCTCCCTACAGACCATGGCTACCCACCAGCAGTGCGCCCAGGCTAGGGCTGCAGGCATATTTATACCCACCTTTAATTATATGCAAATTAAGAGGCAGTTTATGCAGAAATGTCTAGGTGGGTGGTAACTTCCAGGTCATTGCCATGGAAAGGGGTGGTAACTTCCGGGTATTGCCATGGCGATGGTAAACTGACATGGTGCCGTGGTGGCCCTGTCTTATGGAAAGCCGCCTCTGCCCGACCCTGTTTAGCTAGTTCTCAATCTGGTCCGGTACCCGAGTCCCCGCCTCCAGAGTCAGTTTCACCTTCTGCCTCATAAGGCCCTGAGCTGGGCGCTGTTGCATATAAAAATAAGGCAATGAGAGGACTAAATGACCCGGCTTCACTGTAGCTGAGACAGTTTGTTCTCCTCTCCCCATGACAATCCTGAGGAAAATAAAACTGCTGGAATATCTGCCCAGGCCAACATCTTAAAGTAGCAGTGTCTTTCCAACAGCTGATGTCTGTTTTAGATCAACAAAAAGTTCAGCAAACATGAAGGTCTTATTGGATAGACCCCTGGAGCTGATTTCCCAGGAAAAATAAGAAGCAGACTGGCCGGGCGCGGTGGCTCACGCCTGTAATCCCAGCACTTTGGGAGGCCGAGGCGGGCGGATCACGAGGTCAGGAGATCGAGACCATCCCGGCTAAAACGGTGAAACCCCGTCTCTACTAAAAATACAAAAAAATTAGCCGGGCGTAGTGGCGGGCGCCTGTAGTCCCAGCTACTTGGGAGGCTGAGGCAGGAGAATGGCGTGAACCCGGGAGGCGGAGCTTGCAGTGAGCCGAGATCCCGCCACTGCACTCCAGCCTGGGTGACAGAGCGAGACTCCGTCTCAAAAAAAAAAAAAAAAAAAAAAAAAAAAAAAAGCCGACCTGTTGTGGAAAGGTCAGGCTAGTACTAGAGGTCTGGGTGATCTCCCCAAAAGTCTACCATCCGCAACCTGGAATGGCACTTACAAGTTCATGAATTCATCTCAGATCTTTACTCATGATCTGATTTTCCTTCCTTTTCTACAACCTTACTCTGACCTTAGCAAAGGAGGCCAAGTTTGGACTTCTTACTCAAGTGGACCCTGGTAAGAATTGCGTAGGGGTCAAAAGGCCTACTGTATAAACTTGGGCAAGTCACTTCACCTCTCTGACCCTCAGTCTCTTCATCTATTAAATAGAGCTGATGCCTAGCTCACAGTGTTGTCTGGGGGGTTACATGAGATAATGTATGTGAATGTGACTAGCTCAATAAATGTCACTTTCTGTTGCCACCTTTGAGCTTTCTCATCCTTTTTTTTTTTTTTTTTTTTTTTTGAGGCAGAGTCTCACTCTGTCGCCCAGGCTGGAGTATGGAGTACAGTGGCACAATCTCGGCTCACCACAACCTCCGCCTCCCGGATTCAAGTGATTCTCCCACCTCATCCTCCTGAGTAGCTGTGATTACAGGCATGTGCCACCATGCCTGGCTAATTTTTGTATTTTTAGTAAAGACAGTTTCGCCATGTTGGCTAGGCTGGTCTGGAACTCCTGACCTCATGTGATCGCCTACCTGGGCCTCCAAAAGTGCTAGGATTATAGGGGTGAGCCACCACGCCTGGCCTTCATCCTTAATAACAAATGACATTTCTTGGCCTTAACAACTCATGAATTTAACAGGAATATGAAACATATAATATGTCATGTTGGTGCCTTTAAGATTAATATGAATCAACAAGAATTTGGCTTTAAGAATTTCACATCTAAGATGACTAGAGATCCCAGGGATGTCCCAGAGACTGCAAATCAAGACAACAGCAAAGGATATTTGTTCCTTATTATCTTTTGGTCCTATTAGCATTGAAGTAAGAATAATTTGGGGACTTGGCCGAGCATGGTGGCTCACACCTGTAATCCCAGCACTTTGGGAGGCTGAGGCAGGCAGATCACGAGGTCAGGAGATTGAGACCATCCTAGCTAACACAGTGAAACCCCATTTCTACTAAAAATACAAAAAATTAGCCGGGCATGGTGGCAGGTGCCTGTAGTCCCAGCTACTCGGGAGGCTGAGGCAGGAGAATGGCGTGAACCTGGGAGGCAGAGCTTGCAGTGAGCCGAGATGGCGCCACTGCGCTCCAGCCTGGGTGACAGAGCAAGACTCTGTCTCAAAAAAAAAAAAAAAAAAAAAAAAAAAAGAATAATTCGGGGACTTTTTTTATAGTTTTTTTAAAAAGCCTTACAATTTAGGTTTAAATAAAATTTGGCTCTGGGTTGTGGTTTAGCTAGACATTTATGAGTGATCGTTCAGGTAATACATCTAAGAAAAGACAATTTTAAGGGATTATATATATTTGATATGGATTTGAAATTGCAATTTTCTGAATGAGGAAGCCTAGAGTTGGAGTGTTTTTCCATTTTTTTCTTAGTCATAGATTAACTTTGATATTTGGCTCTGACATATCCTGTGCGATCCTGTTTCCTGCAAAAACACAGCTCTCAAGTCGGGAACTGCTGTGATGTGGAGCTGGTGTTTGACGACGGCTTTGAGCATCTCAGCTAGAACACACTATGCAAACATGGAATATTATTTCTCATCTCTTACCCTAAGAAGGGAGAGACAGGAGCTTAATCCCCAGATGCCACCAGGGTTTCAGAGAGAACAAAGAAGTGACCAGAAAACCTCGCAGCCCCTTAGAGAACGAGATAGAGGTTTGGGCTCTGGCTGCTCAGCTGGGCACTGCTGACTCTGCCACTTGCAAATGTCCTGTGGCTTGTGCCATTCTAAACCCACAGAGGTCCTGGTCTACAGGGCACAGCCAGCTCTGTGGTGAACACACATCCTGGCAGGAATTGGGTGGGCTGGGCATGGTGGCTCCTGCCTGTAATCCCAACACTTTGGGAGGCCAAAGCAGGAGGATCATTTGAGGCTAGGAGTTTGAAACCAGCCCGATCAACATAGGGAGTCCCCTGTCTGTACAAAAAATAAGAAAAATTAGCCAGGCATGGTGGTGCATACCTGTAGTCATAGCTACTAGGGAGGCTGAGGTTGGAAGATGGTTTGAGCCCAGGAGGTTGAAACTGCAATGAGCTATGATCACACCACGGCACTCCAGCCTGGGCGACAGAGTGAGACCCTGTCTAAAAACAACAGAAAAGAAACTGGATGAGCCCTCTGATGGGAATCTCAGGGAGAACGCTCTGTGATTCCCTGTCTGATAGCAGAAGGACACTAAGGTTGTGAAGAATGCTCTCTCACCCTTGCAAAGCAATGCAGCAGCTGGAGATCAGTGACTCGTCCAAGTTGTACAGCTAGTAAAGCACAGTCCTAGTGTGGAGCTCAGGGCTTGTGAGTGGAGTCCAGTGTGCTTTCTCTTTTGAGGCCACCAGTGTTAGCAGTATTGACCACAAGTCCCACCTAGCCTCTTTTTCTTTACTGGTTAGGAGCAACTGAGTCTGCTCTAGATCCCTTTAAAATCCTCCTCAAGGATCTGAAGGCAGCCCGCATTCATGATCTCCTTCCTTCCTGCCCCAGCACCTTTCCACAGGCAGTTCCATCTTTGGCCAGCCTTCCTTCCCCACGCAACCCTGCCCCACTCAGAAGCCTTCTTTTTTTTTTTTTTTTTTTTTTTTTTTTTTTTTTGAGATGGAGTCTTGCTCTGTCACCAGGCTGGAGTGCAGCGGCACGATCTCGGCTCCGCCTCCCAGGTTCAAGAGATTCTCCTGCCTCAGCCTCCTGAGTAGCTGGGACTACAGGCGTGTGCCACCATGCCCAGCTAATTTTTGTATTTTTAGTAGAGACGGGGTTTCACCATGTTGGCCAGGATGGTCTCGATCTCTTGACCTCGTGATCTGCCCGCCTTGGCCTCCCAAAGTGCTGGAATTACAGGCATGAGCCACCGCGCCCAGCCCTCAGACTGCTTCTTACCCTGCATGTTTAGTCTAAATGTCGTCTCCATGGAAATGCCTTCCCTGTCTACTCCACTGTTCTGTATCCCATACCCAAACTGTCTCCTTTACAGCAACTGTCAGGAGGTGTGGGTATTTGTTAGTTTACTGGTTTATCATCTGAGTCAGCCCCAGGATAAGAGGTTGAGGCAGCTGTGCTCAGTGCTAGTACATGCCTTGCATATTTGATGAATGAATGAACTCTTTGAAAACAGTGAGCCCCATAAACCACTATCTCTGTTTTATCTCTGGTCACAGCTGTTAATCCTGCTGTTGAAGGTCAGGTAAGCAACACAAATCTTTCTGACTTAAAAATACCTCCCCCTGAGGCTTGCCCTAGTTCTCTTAGAACAATTTATAAAGCTGGTATTTGTTTGCTGCAGTTTTGCAATTTGCAACAAGACAGAAGTGCTAGAATTTTAGTCATCCCCCATCCTCCTTTGCAGGATAGAACTGGGTGTAGGTAAAGACCTTCGGTGCCTGTAGAAGGAAGGAAACTGGATCCAAGAAGCAGGTGATTTCATTTCCATCAATCTTTAGGTTCCAGATGGAGGAGCTGTGCATTTGGGCTCATTAGCTGTGCTCACTAAAGATGGACCTGGAGCATGACAGCACAGCCCTAGCTGGTCTGCCCAAGTCTGTGCCTGTCCCCAGTGCTCTTAGCTATGTGCTTGCAGCGTGCTGCAGCTGCATAGCCACCCAGGTTCTTCCCAGGATCAGCTGAGAACATTTTAGTTGCAAGTGACAGAAAACCTCACATAAACTAACACTAGCAAAAAGAGAACTTATTAGCTTTCACAATCGGAAAAGTCCAGGGACAGGGCTGGCTTTACCTGCAGCTTCATGCTGGGCCCCTGCTATATTCCCAGGACCTGGTTCCTCTCTGGGAGTCTCTGGGCTTCCTGTCCTCTGTGTTGATTCCATTCTCATCCATACCCTCCCCCGGAAGCAGGATGTCTACATCAACTCCAGACTCAAAATGCTTCCTATAAGCCAGGCGCAGTGGCTCACACCTGTAATCTCAGCACTTTGGGAGACTGAGGCAGGTGGATCACTTGACCTCAGGAGCTGCAGACCAGCCTGGGCAATGTGGCAAAACTCTGTCTCTACAAAAAATACAATAATTAGCTGGGCATGGTGGTGCACTCCTGTAGTCCCAGATACTTGGGAGGCTGAGGTGGGAGGATCACTTGAGCCTGGGAGGCAGAGATGCAGTGAGCCGAGATCACACTACTGCACCCCAGCCTGGACAAAAGAGCGAGACTCTGTCTCAAACAAAACAAAACAAAACAAAACAAAACAAAACAAAACATTTCCTGTGTGCAAGTTCATCAGGGTAAGAGTGTCCCACCTCTTTTCCAGTGGTCTCAGAAGCCCTGTGGTGTCTTGCCAACTCTGATTTGGTTGCCTGTTGTCCCTGAAAATCACAGTGGGCAGGTCTGAGAGGCAGGCCTGGAGCAGAAGGATGCATCAGCTCCCCCAAAAGCTGATGGACTGAGAGTGGAGTGAGGTTGTTCCACAAAAGGAAACTGGGGTTCTGTTACCAAGAGAAAGGCAGGTGAATTCAAGGCAACAGACATAGCACGTGTCCTTTTTATCTCCTAATCTGATTTCCTCCTCTTTACATAAAGATCTCTTGGTGGCCAGGCGTGGTGGCTCACGCCTGTAATCCTAGCACTTTGGGAAGCCGAGGCGGGTGGATCACTTGAGGTCAGGAATTCGAGACCAGCCTGACCGACATGGCAAAACCCCATCTGTACTAAAAATACAAAAATTAGCCAGGCTTGGTGGCACATCCCATCTACCGGAGAGGCTGGGGCAGGAGAATGGCTTGAACCCAGGAAGCGGAGGTTGCAGTGAGCAGAGATCGCGCCACTGCACTCCAGCCTGGGCGACAGAGTGAGACTCCATTAAAAAGAAAAAAAAGAAAAGAAAAAAAAAAGATCTCTTGGTGTGCCCCTCCTTCCCGTGGCCTTGCCGAAGCAGAGGATGACCAAAGGCCTGTGTCCCTGTGGCGCATTCCTCATCTCATAATTCTCCCATTGTTCATCACGGCACTTGGACACAGTACAGTATGATTTTTTGTATAATTCCCCCGACTTTTATTCATGTATTTACTTATTTATTTTGAAACAGGGCCTTGCTCTGTCTCCAAGGCTGGAATGCAGTGGTGCAATCACAGGTGCCTGCAGCCTTGAACACCCAGGCTCAAGTGATCCTCCCACTTCAGCCTCCAAAGTAGTTGGGACCACAGACACACAACTACACCCAGCTAATTTTTGTTGTTGTTTAATTTTTGAAGAGATGGGGTTTCCCTGTGTTGCCCAGGCTGGTCTCAAACTCTTGGGCTGAAGCGACCCACCTGCCTCAGCCTTCCAGAGTGCAGGGGGTTACAGATGTGAGCCACCTTGCCCAGCTCCCTCTTGGGGGAGGGATGGCTTTAACAGATATTTTACTGTTACTTATATATTTTACTATTTAGATATTTACTCATTTATTTTACTGTTTAGATATTTACTAACATATTGTAAGTAATAGGATATCCTATTACTTAGATATTTACTAAAATATCGTAATAAGATATCCTATTACTTAGATATTTACTAAAATATCGTAATAGGATATCCTATTACTTAGATATTTACTAAAATATCGAATAGGATATCCTATTACTTAGATATTTACTAAAATATCGTAAGTAATAGGATACCTATTACCTAGATATTTACTAAAATATAGCAATAAGATATCGTATTACTTAGATATTTTACTATTGCTTATATTTTATTATTACTTTTAACAGATATTTCACTGTATTTTACTGTTTGCCTTTTAACAGGTGTTTTGCTATTAAGGCCAAACAGTTTTTCTGTTCTATCATTGTTTTTTTTGTTTTCTCTCTTTGATGGAGAGGAGATGAAATGAGCTGCTGTTTAGCCTGAGTACACCATTGTGCTTTATATCTATCAGCACCAGAAATACCCCTGAGAGCTGAACCGTAGAAAGCTTTCTAGAAACAAATGAACTTATGAAGCATTTTAAGCTACAGGTTTTCCCACTGCAGTGCATCATGGGGAGAGGTAAAAGCGTGGAGGATCTGGCTTCAGGCAGACCTTAGCTTAAAGCCCATTAAGGCCACCAGGCTGCACATCTCCTGGGGGCCCCCTTCACAGCAGACTCAGTGTGCAGGGCACCTCTGGAGTAGTGGCTGCATGGATGACCCAGCCATGTGCAGCAGCCTTGAATCCCGTTTCCCTCACTGACTAGCTGTGTGGCCTTGGACAGGTATTTGAACTCTCTAAGCGCTGGTTGCCTCATCTAATACAGCATTAATAAATATTTATTATATTTTAGTCCGGTTGTGGTGGCTCACGCCTGTAATCCCAACACTTTGGGAGGCTAAGGCAGGTGGATTACCTGAAGTCAGGAGTTCAAGACCAGCCTGGCCAAAACGGTGAAACCCCGTCTCTATTAAAAATACAAAAATTAGCTGGGCGTGATGGTGGATGCCTGTAATACCAGCTACTAAGGAGGCTGAGGCAGGAGAATCGCTTGAACCCTGGAGGCAGAGGTTGCAGTGAGCCAAGATTGCGCCACTGTACTCCAGCCTGGGCAACAAGAGCGAAACTCCATCTCAAAAAAAAAGAAAAAGAAAAGAAACCTAGGCTGGGCGCAGTGGCTCATGCCTGTAATCCCAGCACATTGGGAGGCTGAGGCGGGCAGATCACCTGGTCAGGAGTTCGAGACCAGCCTGACCAACATGACAAAACCCCAAACAAACCTCAGGAAACTAGTAATAGAAGGAATCCTCCTTAATCTAATAAAGGATATTTACAAAAACCCCCAACACCTAACATAAACACTTAATGGTGAACAACTAAATGCTTTCCCCCAAAGTTCAAGAACAAGGCAAGGATATCCTACTTAACATAATACTACTCAGTAATTTTTTTTTTGGAACATAGACTCACAGCAGAGACAAGTGAACATTTATTTTTGTGCCTTTCTTCCTATGTGTATTTCAAGTCTTTTTCAAACAAAGGCCCCAGGAATCTCCAGATTCAATTATGTCCCTGGGGTTGGTCGACTGCTACAGGAGTCTTAGGGAGCCTTGGACAAATGCTAGAGTTACTCATTTACCACCATTAAACTCTAGGATAGAAGATGCAGCAAAGCAGGACTCCTTCCTCCATGGAATGTGCTGATTTCAGACGAGGCGGCAGCCAATGTAGAAAACGCTGGAATTGGCCGGGCGCGGTGGCTCACGCCTGTAATCCCAGTACTTTGGGAGGCCGAGGCGGGCGGATCACCTGAGGTCAGGAGGTCGAGACCATCCTGGCCAACACGGTGAAACCCCATCTCTACTAAAAATACAAAAAAAATTAGCTGGGCATGGTGGCAGGCGCCTGTAGTCCCAGCTACTTGGGAGACTGAGGTGGGAGAACTGGCTTGAACCCGGGAGGCGGAGGTTGCAGTGAGCCAAGACTGTGCCACTGCACTTCCAGCCTGGGCAACAGAGTGAGACTCCGTCTCAAAAAACAAAAAAAGAAAACACTGGAATTTTTTCCTTGGAACTGGACTGTGATGAGAGGTGCTTGCCATGAACATAAGCTACTGTCTTTTCTTTTTTCTTTCTTTCTTTTTTTTTTTTTTTTTGAGACAGAGTTTTGCTCTTATTGCCCAGGCTGGAGTGCAATGGCGCAATCTTGGCTCACCGCAACCTCCACCTCCAGGGTTCTAGCAATTCTCCTGCCTCAGCCTCCCTAGTAGCTGGGATTACAAGCATGTGCCACCATGCCCGGCTAATTTTTGTATTTTTAGTAGAGATGGGGTTTCTCCATGTTGGTCAGGCTGGTCTCAAACTCCTGACCTCAGGTGATCTGCCCACCTCGGCCTCCCAAAGTGCTGGGATTACAGGCGTGAGCCACCGCACCCGGCCAGCTACTGTCTTTTCTTTGACCCTTCCTTTCCATTTTTTGAAGATAAAGCAGGAAATAATCTTCTCTGAAGATACTTGATAAAAATTCCCCAAAATACAAAAACACATGCTTCCACTTCATTGATAAAAATTTACTGCAGTTTGGCACCTGGGTCTAGTTCAGCTGGCAGATGAGCTGATTGATGCATTCACCCTGATAGCCAGGTATGCCCATCTCCTTGAGGAAGCCCACTCTATTTTTGGTAGCATGACGGGCCACTGAGAGGTGGAAAGGGCACAAGAACCACGAGATCTCCTGGAAATGCTTCTCCAGGTGCTCCTCAATCACTGTGTTGTCTGTCAGAGGGATGGTCTTATTCGTGACCTTGACTTGTCCACGTTTCAAAATGAGTTCCCAGACAGACTTCAGATTTGGAAATCCCTAGGTCACATAAGTTTCCACTATACGCAGCATTTTTAGGTTCTGGGGGGTGACTTTTACAAAGACACCACTAAAAATTTTCTTTGGGCAAAGTCTCGCAATGGTTCTCTGCACCAGTAAACTCACGCCATCAATCCTTTCGATGCGTACAACAAAGGCCAAGGAATGTTTATCTGGCAATTCCAAGGTGTGGTTTCACTTCTAGTCGTCTGAGACGTACCTTGTCACGTTTCTGTCACCAGGAATCTTGTAGGAATGATTCCAGTTGTTTAAACCTGAGCCCTTTTCTTTTTCTCTGCTCCTTCTTTGCCAAAAGTGCCTGCTTTGCCTGGGTGGCTTTGAGGGCTTGATAAGCTGTCCTCATTTTCAGGAGATTTTCTGGAACCAAAGGGATTTATCTTTGCTCTTGCTCTGCCATCTTTCTAGTGTTGCAGCTACTACTACTCAGTAATTAAGGCAAGGAAAAGCAGTCAAAGTTATTCAGATTGGAAAGGAAGAAATAAAACGCTCCACTTGCAAATGACATAATTGTCTATGTAGAAAATCTACAGAAAAGATCCCAAAATTAAGTGAGGTAAGCCAGGTCACAGGACATACGGTCAAAATGCAAAAGTAGATTGTATATTTAGATACTAACAATGAACGACTGGAATTTTAAAAATTAAATGACTTTTTTTTTTTTTTTTTGAGATACAGTCTAGCTCTGTCATCCAGAGCCAAGCTCTGTCATCCAGGCTGGAGTGCAGTGGCGCGATCTCAGCTCACTGCAACCTCCGCCCCCAAGTTCAAGCGGTTCTCCTACCTCAGCCTCCTGAGTAGCTGGGATTACAGGCACCCACCATCATGCCCGGCTAATTTTTGTAGAGACAGGGTTTCACCATGTTGGCCAGGCTGATCATGAACTCCTGACTTCAGGTGATCCACCCGCCTTGGCCTGCCAAAGTGCTGGGATTACAGGCGTGAGCCACTGCCCCTGGCCTATTTAGGTATAAATCTAACTAAATATGTGCAATGCCTGTAAGCCTAAAACTGCAAAACACTAACAAAACAACAACAACAAAAAATCAAGACCTAAGTAAATGGAGACATAAATAATATTCCTGGGCCAGGAGAATCTATATTATGATGCCAGTTCTCACCAAACTAATCTGTATATTCAAATCAATCACAATTAAAATCTTGGCAGGATATCTTATAGATAGCCACAAGCAGATTCAAAAATTTGCCTAAAGCTATAATAACCAAGACAGTGTGATATTGTCAAAAAGACAGATGCACAGGGCCGGGCGCCGTGGCTCACACCTGTAGTCCCAGCATTTTGGGAGGCCAAGGTGGCTGGATCACTTGAGGTCAGGAGTTCGAGACCAGCCTGGCCAACATAGTGAAACCCTGTCTCTACTAAAAACACAAAAATTAGCCGGGCGTGGTGGCACATGCCTATAATCCCAGCTACTTGGGAGGCTGAAGCATGAGAATTACTTGAACCTGGGAGGTGGAAGTTGCAGTGAGACGAGATCCCACCACTGCACTCCAGCCTGGGCGATAGAGTGAGACTCTGTCTCGAAAAAAAAAAAAAAAAAGAAAGAAAAAAGAAAGACAGATACACAGATCAGTGAAACAGAACAGTCCAGAATGGACCCATGCACATACACAGTTAACTACATTTTGACAAATGTACAAAGGAAGTTCCGTGGATAATGTTTAGTCTTCTCCACAAAAGGTGCTGACAATTGGACACTCACATGCAAAAGAAAATGAACTTCAACCCATTCCTGCACCTTTATAAAAGATTAATGGAAAATGGATCTTAGACTTAAGTCGAGGCTGGTGGGCCACGAGGTCAAGAGATCGAGACCATCCTGGCCAACATGGTGAAACCCCATCTCTACTAAAAATACAAAAATCAGCTGGGCATGGTGGTGTGCACCTGTAGTCTCAGCTACTCGGGAGCCTGAGCCAGGGGAATCGCTTGAACCCAGGAGGCAGAGGTTGCAGTGAGCCGAGACTGTGCGACTGCACTCCAGCCTGGCGACAGAGCAAGACTCTGTCTCAAAAAACAAACAAACAAAAAACTACAAAATTTCTAGCAGAAAGCATACGAGAAAATCTTCGTGACCCTGTGTTAAGCAAAGATTTCTTAGATATGACACAATCCATAAACAATAAAACTGATAAAATGAACTTTTAGAATTTCTGACTTGTGAAAGACATTAGTAAAAGGAAAAAAAGACTGAGAGAAGATGTTTGTAAATCAAATATTTGACAAACCACTTTTATTCAGAATGTATAAAGAACTCTAAAAACTCAGTAAGAAAACAAACAACTTGATTAAACATTATGCACTTCACCAGATAAGATACATGGATGGCAGATAAACACATGAAGATATTCATGATTAGTCATTAGGAAAATGCATATTAAAAAGCACAATGAATCTGGGCTCAATGGCTCATACCTGTAATTCCTACACTTTGGGAGGTGAGGCAGGAGAATTGCTTGAGCCTAGGGGTTCAAGACCAGTCTGGGCAACATAGGCAGACTTCATTTCTACAAAGCAAAACAATTAGCCGGGTGTGGTGGTATACACCTGTGGTCCCAGCTACTTGGGAGCCTGAGGCAGGAGCAGAAGGATCACTTGAGCCCAGGAGGTTGAGGCTGTAGTGAATCATGATGTCACCATAGCACTCCAGCCTGGGAAAAAGAACAAGATCCTGTCTCAAATTAAAAAAACAAAACAAAACAAAAAACAAACATGAAGAATCTAAATGCATTGCTAAGTAAAGAAGTCAGAATTGAAATGTTATGTTGATTCCATTTACATGACATTCTAGAAAAGCTGAAATTATAGAAACAGAACAAATCAGGGATTTCCAAGGGCTGGAAATGCAGGAGGGGTTGATTACAAAAGGGCAGCACCTGGGAAATATTTTGGGCAAAAAAACTGTTTTGGCATCTTAATGCCTGCAGTTATTATACAGCTATTTGCATTAATAACTGTAAACCAAAGAGTGAATTTTATTGTAAGTAAATTTTTACGAAGTGCATAAAGTGGAATTGAAACAAACCACAAATGCTACTGTAAGTGAGTTCCCTCCAAGATCTCTGAGACTCAGACCTACCAATGATAGTAAGAGTCTCCTTAGCAGGAGACAAATTATTCCTAGGAAGGAGATTATATTTGTTCTTCGAAATTGGAAGAGGAGGAAGAAAAAAAGAGAAGCCCATGAGCACCAAGTAAACATGGTGAATACTTTATTATTGGGCTCTTAAATTGTCAGTTTCATATGCGTGATTTCCCATAAATATCATGCCATTGGCCGGGCACGGTGGCTCACACCTGTAATCCCAGCACTTTGGGAGGCCGAGGCGGGCAGATCATGAGGTCAGGAGATCGAGAGCATCCTGGCTAACACGGTGAAACCCCGTCTCCACTAAAAAATACAAAAAAAATTAGCCGGGCGTGGTGGCGGGAACCTGTAGTCCCAGCTACTCAGGAGGCTGAGGCAGGAGAATGGCGTGAACCTGGGAGGCAGAGCTTGCAGTGAGCCGAGATCACACCACTGCACTCCAGCCTGGGCAACAGAGCGAGACTCTGTCTCAAAAACATAAATAAATAAATAAATATCATGCCATTTTGTTATACTTCAGATTCTAGCTTTTTAAAGGCCCATACATCTTAAACTTTGTTTTTTGGGGATCAAGTCTCAAAAATGTTGTCTAAGATAGACAATGTTTCCTCTGGGGTGTGGAGTTCCATCATTTGTCAGGCATCATGCATATTTCAGTATTTTACCATCTAGTGACATCATCCATCTGCTGACTCCTGATGTTTTAATGACAAAGTTGGCATCACTGGGCTCCGGGAAGCGTCATGCTGGGCATGCCCTTCTAACTCTCTGAACTCCCGCATCCTTACTCACCTATCCACACGAGGGGCTGTAGAATAGAAAATTTTAATTTTCAGGTCAGATTTCCTATGATTCTGGACCCTAAAATCTTTGTAATAGAGTCCACTCTGCTGTGATTGGGTCATCCATACATCATCCTCTTGACCTTCACAGTCTGATCAATTCATGGTCAGGTTTATTTATCTGGATTCATCAGCCCCTGTAAAACATGCCATGTGATTTCATCCTTATGAAGAAAAATGTGTAAGCGCCTGGAGGCTAACGATATTAGGAATGCAATTTAAAATTATAATTGGGAGCTCCAAAAATAAATTCAGATTAAAACTTAAAAGAAAATGCTGGGAAAACATTTTTTTATTGGATACAAGTTCTAATGTGATCAAGAAGAATTCATGGAAAATGGATGTCTCATATTAACATAGCAGGTGGATGTTCATCTAAGCCTCTTGAGTGGTGTTTAAAATCACTTGTACCAGTTAGCATGTGATTTAAGTATCACTGGACCCACCCTCCTAGAATAAACTGAATTAGACACATCATTGCTTTTCTTTTGTTTGTTTGTTAAGAGAAAATAGGATGAAAAGATAGATCATGAATTAGTGGCGTTTGTTGTAGAGCCTCTTCATGGTGAGGCAGATACAGTAATTTTGGAAATATGTAACATGCAAAGTGTGTGGGCCTGGGTGAGATCAGAGGCCAGGCTGGCTCAAGGTGAATCCTGTACTGAGTCCCCAGTAGGGTCACGCAGTCCAACCGGGACAATTTCCTTTTCTTAATAAAACAGTGGCTTGGTAAAGCTAACAGAAACTTGAAGATTTCAAGATCTAATACATTGAACTTTCGGAATAAAATCACAGTGTACTAATTTCATGCAGGAATGGACAGACCACAAGTTACGCTGGAATCCTGATGATTATGGTGGGATCCATTCCATTAAAGTTCCATCAGAATCTCTGTGGCTTCCTGACATAGTTCTCTTTGAAAAGTAAGTATCACATTGTTTCTTACTTATGGGGAAAAAAATAAATTTTTTAAAAAGTGAAAAAAAGGCTGGGCGCGGTGGCTCACGCCTGTAATCCCAGCACTTTGGGAGGCCGAGGCGGGTGGATCATGAGGTCAGGAGATCGAGACCATCCTGGCTAACAAGGTGAAACCCCGTCTCTACTAAAAATACAAAAAATTAGCCGGGCGCGGTGGCGGGCGCCTGTAGTCCCAGCTACTCGGGAGGCTGAGGCAGGAGAATGGCGTGAACCCGGGAAGCGGAGCTTGCAGTGAGCCGAGATTGCGCCACTGCAGTCCGCAGTCCGGCCTGGGCGACAGAGCGAGACTCCGTCTCAAAAAATAAATAAATAAATAAATAAATAAATAAATAAAAAATAAAAAGTGAAAAAAAGGAAAGTAAGTATCACAGAAGAAAACTATTTTGGTCAGATTAACACTAGGAATAGAAAATTCTGATTCAGGCAAAATACTTAAAAGAAATATTCAATTTTAAATAAAAAAATTGTTTATTAAAACAGTTACCTGGCGTTGTGGTAGAAAAGTCCTAAAATAGGGCAGGGTGTGGTGGCTCATGCCTGTAATCCCAGCACTTTGGGAGGCCGAGGCGGGCAATTCATGAGGTCAGGAGTTCGGGACCAGCCTGGCCAACATGGCGAAACCCTGTCTCTACTAAAAATACAAAAACTTAGCTGCGCATGGTGGCCGGTGCCTGTAATCCCAGCTACTCAGGAGGCTGAAGCAGGCAAATTGCTTGAACCCGGGAGGCGGAGGTTGCAGTGAGCCGAGATGGCGCCACCGCACTCCAGCCCGGGCGATAGAGTGAGACTCCATCTCAAAAAAGAAAAGAAAAGAAAAGTCATAAAACAGAAATAGTCAATGCTGGGAAAAAGAACAAAAACTAGCAGGTGCTCCACCGACTGCTAAGGTGAAACTGCTTTGATTGCAGTGCTGACGGCCGCTTCGAAGGCTCCCTGATGACCAAGGTCATCGTGAAATCAAACGGAACTGTTGTCTGGACCCCTCCCGCCAGCTACAAAAGCTCCTGCACCATGGACGTCACGTTTTTCCCGTTCGACCGACAGAACTGCTCCATGAAGTTTGGATCCTGGACTTATGATGGCACCATGGTTGACCTCATTTTGATCAATGAAAATGTCGACAGAAAAGACTTCTTCGATAACGGAGAATGGGAAATACTGAACGCAAAGGGGATGAAGGGGAACAGAAGGGACGGCGTGTACTCCTATCCCTTTATCACGTATTCCTTCGTCCTGAGACGCCTGCCTTTATTCTATACCCTCTTTCTCATCATCCCCTGCCTGGGGCTGTCTTTCCTAACAGTTCTTGTGTTCTATTTACCTTCGGATGAAGGAGAAAAACTTTCATTATCCACATCGGTCTTGGTTTCTCTGACAGTTTTCCTTTTAGTGATTGAAGAAATCATCCCATCGTCTTCCAAAGTCATTCCTCTCATTGGAGAGTACCTGCTGTTCATCATGATTTTTGTGACCCTGTCCATCATTGTTACCGTGTTTGTCATTAACGTTCACCACAGATCTTCTTCCACGTACCACCCCATGGCCCCCTGGGTTAAGAGGCTCTTTCTGCAGAAACTTCCAAAATTACTTTGCATGAAAGATCATGTGGATCGCTACTCATCCCCAGAGAAAGAGGAGAGTCAACCAGTAGTGAAAGGCAAAGTCCTCGAAAAAAAGAAACAGAAACAGCTTAGTGATGGAGAAAAAGTTCTAGTTGCTTTTTTGGAAAAAGCTGCTGATTCCATTAGATACATTTCGAGACATGTGAAGAAAGAACATTTTATCAGCCAGGTGAGTAAACTGGTATTCCTGATAATGCTGCCGTAAAGGTAGGCCAAAGACAAATATTTTGACATCTGTTTACAATAAAATATTGTCATGGTTTAAATGTGACGTTATATAAGACATGCTTTTTATACATATAACATTTAAAGCAAGCCCTGACATAACATAGCGACATTAGTATGAATTTTTAGGAAGTAGTTCACAAAAACATAAGGAGCAAAAGTGAAGCAACTGTTGATTAAGCAACTGTTGATTAAGCATTGTTTCTTATAATTCTATATTAAATAATTCAATTACACATTTTAAGTTGGTTAGCCTGGTTTCTGGTAATTTATCTTTCATTTTTCATTGGATGATAAATATGTTCAACCACAGTATTTAGAAATAAAAGATCAGAAAGAATGAGATTTTTAAATTAATATAAAATGTAGTGTTACAACAGATATTTTGGTGAGGAAAGAGGATGTGGTTATTTAGTTTACAGATTTTTTTTTTTTAAGTGTGAGCCAGGCACAGTGGCTCATACCTGTAATCCCAGCACTTTGGGAGGCCAAAGCGGGTGTATCACTTGAGTGCAGGAGATCGAGACCAGCCTGGACAACATAGTGAGACCCTGTCTCTACAAAAAATTTAAAAATTAACTGGGTGTGGGTGGGCGTGCTTGTCCTAGCACTTTGGGAGGCTGAGGCAGGAGGATGACTTGAGGCCAGAATTGAGACCAGCCTGGGCAATAAAGCAAGACCCTCATCTCAGAAAAAAGAAAAAGAAGATAAAAGAGAAGGAGAAAGAAAAGAAGTAGCGTGGGAAGAGTGTGAATTTCAGACTGAAAACAGTCCTGGGTTCAGATCATAATCTGAATGACTTAAGACAAGTTACTTAACCTGAGCCTCAGTTTTCTGAATCCTACCTTGAAAAGTTTGTGTGAGGATTAAATGACATAAAATACAAACATGCACAGTGTACCCAGCACACAGGGGCTCAGCTCCGTTGTATAAGCAGTCAACAAGTGTGAATTCTCGCCTTTCTAATTATCATCCTCATCCTTCTTCTTTTTTTTTTTTTTTTTTTTTGAGAGGAGTCTTGCTGTCACCCAGGTTGGAGTGCGGTGGTGTGATCTCAGCTTACTGCAACCTCCGCCTGCTGGGTTCAAGCGATTCTGCTGTCTCAGCCTCCCAAGTAGCTGGGACTACAGGTACACACCACCACACCTGGCTAATTTTTCTTGAATTTTCATTAGAGATGGGGTTTTGCCATGTTGGCCAGAATGGTCTCGAACTCCTGACCTCGGGTGATCCACTGCCTCAGCCTCCCAAAGTGCTGGGATTACAGGCATGAGCCACCGTGACCAGCCCATTCTTCTAAACAGTCCTTCCCCAGTGGAATGAAAATATTATTTGACGTGCAGATATTAAGCGTAAAAAGTGATCTGTTGGGCCAGGCACGGTGGCTCATGCCTGTAATCCCAGCACTTTGGGAGGCCAAGGTGAGTGGATCACGAGGTCAACAGATCAAGACCATCCTGGCCAACGTGGTGAAACCTGATCTCTACTAAAAATACAAAAATTAGCCAGGCGTGGTGGTGGGAGCCTGTAGTCCCAGCTACTTGGGAGGCTGAGGCAGGAGAATCACTTAAACCTGGGAGGCAGAGGTTGCAGTGAGCTGAGAGTGCACCACTGCACTCCACTCCAGCCTGGCGACAGAGCGAGACTCCATCTCAAAAAAAAAAAAAAAAAAAAAAAAGTGATCTGTTGCCTAAAGCAAGTTACATATTTTCAATTTATATGAGAACTTCAATTTATAGGGTTCAAATATTTTACTCTAAAATTGATGAAAATTAGTGCCAAGAGCCTGATCCCGTAAACAAACTGATGAAAGAATTTTTTTTTTTTTTTTTGAGATGGAGTCTCGCTCTGTCACCGAGGCTGTAGTGCAATAGCTCGATCTCAGCTCACTGCAAGCTCCACCTTCCGGGTTCGTGCCATTCTCTAGCCTCAGCCTCCCGAGTAGCTGGGACTACAGGCACCCGCCACCACGCCTGGCCAATTTTTTGTGTTTTTAGTAGAGACAGGGTTTCACTGTGTTAACCAGGATGGTGTCGATTTCCTGACCTCGTGATCCGCCCACCTCGGCCTCCCAAAGTGCTGGGATTACAGGCCTGAGCCACTGCACCTGGCCAAGAATTTTTTTTAGAAATATCCTTCTACATTTTCTCTTGCGTTCACAGACACTGCCTCATATGTCCTCTCTCTTAACAATCTGTCATGTTTTTCATCCACTTAAAATTGTTTTTAAAAGCACTAGAAAAGTGACTGCTGCTAGACAAGAAACATTCAGCTGTCAAGTTGGGAGAATTTTTTTGTTTGTTTCTTAACATCTTTTAAAAACACTAATACAGGGCCAGGCGCGGTAGCTCACGCCTGTAATCCCAGCACTTTGGGAGGCCGAGGCGGGCGGATCACGAGGTCAGGAGACGGAGACCATCCTGGCTAACAGGGTGAAACCCTGTCTCTACAAAAAATACAAAAAATTAGCCGGGCGTGGTGGCCGGCGCCTGTAGTCCCAGCTACTCGGGAGGCTGAGGCAGGAGAATGGTGTGAACCCGGGAGACGGAGCTTGCAGTGAGCCAAGATCATGCCACTGCACTCCAGCCTGGGCGACAGAGCAAGACTCCGTCTCAAAAAACAAACAAACAAACAAAAAAACACTAATACAGGCCGGGTGTGGTGGCTCACGCCTGTAATCCTAGAACTTTGGGAGGCCGAGGCGGGTGGATCACCTGAGGTCAGCAGCTCGAGACCAGCCTGGCTAACACGTTGAAACCCTGTCTCTACTAAAAATACAAAAATTAGCTGGGCATGGTGACGAGTGCCTGTAATCCCAGTTACTCGGGAGGCTGAGGCAGGAGAACCACTTAAACCCAGGAGGTGGAGGTTGCAGTGAGCCAAGATTGCACCACTGCAGCCTGGGTGGCAGAGTGAGACTATGTCTCAAAAAAGCAAAACAAAACAAAACAAAACAAAAACCTAATACAAAGATTTCTTTTTTTTCCCCAAGACGGAGGACATTTATTTACTCTAGAGGGATGAGGACTCCCCTTCCTTTCAGACTTCCCCAGCCAGTCGTGCCTTGACTTTGTGTTTATGGACCTGTTGCCCACTCTCTGCACCTCCCCTTCCTAATAAAGGGGACTCAGTTTCTTGTCTCCTTCATGAATTCCTGTCTTGTCCTGGTCGGTTCTTCTCCTTGGCAGCACCCTTCCTTCTGGAGCTGCAGCACAGGTGGAGTGGAAGAAAAGAAAGCCTGTGACATTTGGCCACAAAAACTCTTAAATTATAAACTTGTGATTCTTTTCATACGTGTATCAGGAAGCACCCTAGTAAGATATACTGGCTTCCTAAGATATGCTCTGTCTCCTGGGTTCAAGCAATTCTCCTGCCTCAGCCTCCCAAGTAGCTGAGATTACAGGTGCCCGCCACCATGCCCAGCTAATTTTTGTATTTTTAGTAGAGAGGGAGTTTCACCATGTTGGCCAGCTCGTCTCGAACTCCTGACCTCAGGTGATCCCCCCACCCCCAGGCCTCCCAAAGTGCTGGGATTACAGGCGTGAGCCACCGCACCTGGCCTATAGTGGCTCTTTATTCATGTAAAAATCAGACTTTTCCTATTCTGATCAGGAATGTTGACATATGCATACAGAATTCTATTGTTTCTATTTTCCTTCTTCAGTGCTGATGAGAGTGTTCCAAGCTGCTTCTTTTGGGCACAATTAGCGAAGTCCCTGAAAGAACCTGAGCCTGTAGTGTGGTTGGGACATTAGATGCATTTTGAAAACTTAAGTAAATGCTATAAATCTGAATGTTACTCTTTTTTAATCCCTTGAGATGAATACAGAACAGTTGCTCAGTGTCTTGAGTGAAAGGCATCTTTTTCTCTTTTGCAGGTAGTACAAGACTGGAAATTTGTAGCTCAAGTTCTTGACCGAATCTTCCTGTGGCTCTTTCTGATAGTGTCAGTAACAGGCTCGGTTCTGATTTTTACCCCTGCTTTGAAGATGTGGCTACATAGTTACCATTAGGAATTTAAAAGACATAAGACTAAATTACACCTTAGACCTGACATCTGGCTATCACACAGACAGAATCCAAATGCATGTGCTTGTTCTACGAACCCCGAATGCGTTGTCTTTGTGGAAATGGAACATCTCCTCATGGGAGAAACTCTGGTAAATGTGCTCATTTGTGGTTGCCATGAGAGTGAGCTGCTTTTAAAGAAAGTGGAGCCTCCTCAGACCCCTGCCTTGGCTTTCCCAGACATTCAGGGAGGGATCATAGGTCCAGGCTTGAGCTCACATGTGGCCAGAGTGCACAAAAAGCTGTTGCTACTTGGTGGAGGAACACCTCCTAGAAGCAGCAGGCCTCGGTGGTGGGGGAGGGGGGATTCACCTGGAATTAAGGAAGTCTCGGTGTCGAGCTATCTGTGTGGGCAGAGCCTGGATCTCCCACCCTGCACTGGCCTCCTTGGTGGTTTTGTCTGAGCTGCAAACTGGGGCCGTGTTATGCTTGTTAGCAATGGGCCAGGCAAATCTCAACAAGGGTTTGGGGATTACACTGGCAGGATAGCTGGCACTGCACACTTAACAATAACACAGATTCCAAGTTGCCTGGCCTACCGAAGCAGGTGTTATTCATGGTTTATTCCCAGCATGATAAGGCTTTCAGATGGTGAAACTGGAGCCCACTGTGAGCTGTGACTTCCTTTAAGGTCATGCATACCAAAATAACTCACAATAGAAACAAAGCCCTTTGCTACCAGAAGTGGATTCATTAATACCCATTATCTTTTCCTAGTAAACTAGTGTACAGAACATTCTCTGATTAATGGTTTTTGATGTCACCTCGTCTAATCGGATCCATACCAACACTATCCCCTAGGCTCCACCTGCTGTTTCCCTGTCTCCTGGCACCTGGGTGGGCTTCACCCCCACCCACCATCATTCCTTCTCTAAGACTCCGAGGGGAGTCTGCTCAGGTTCTTCTTGCCCTCCAAAATTGCTGCCTCTGCCCAATCCTTCCTGAATTTTAGCTTAAAGCAATTTTTCTCTCTGCCCAGTTATAAATCCAAATCCCTTTCTGGAGTACTTTTAGGCATGGCTCTTGCAAGCAGTTTGCAATCTAGGCTGGGTGGAGTGGCTCACACCCATAATCCTAGCACTTTGGGAGGTCAAATCAGGAGGATTGCTTGAGGCCAGGAGTTTGAGACCAGCCTGCTCTCTACAGCAAGACCCTGTCTCTACAAAAAATTTAAAAAATTAAAATTTTAACAATTTTAGTGATGTGTGCCTACAGTCTCAGTTACTCAGGAGGCTGAAATGGGAGGATCACTTGAACCCAGTAGTTGGAGGCTGCAGTGAGCCATGATTGCTCCACTGCACTCCAGCCTGGGCGACAGAGCAAGACGCAGTCTCTTAAAAAAAAATCTAAGTGGCTGGGCGTAGTGGCTCACGCCTGTAATCCCAGCACTTTGGGAGGCCAAGGTGGATGGATCGCAAGGTCAGGAGATCGAGACCATCCTGGCTAACACAGTGAAACCCCATCTCTACTAAAAATACAAAAAATTAGCCAGGTCCATGCCTATACTCCCATCTACTTGAGAGGCTGAGGCAGGAGAATCACTTGAACCCGGGAGGCAGAGCTTGCAATGAGCCGAGATTGCGTCACTGCACTCCAGCCTAGGCAACAGAACAAGATTCCATTTAAAAAAAAAAAAATCTAAGCATGAAACACCTTCACATATTGTTACCACTGATGTATTTCGTCTTATTAATGCCATTTAGTTTGTGCTTTCTGTATAACATTCTCTTGTTCCTTCACCTTTTTCCCTTCACCTTTTCCCCCACTTTTTCAGCCTTGGCCGAGTTTGTAGTTTGTCCATTCCTTCTTTGCCTTTAATGGCTTGAAAGTTACATGTCCGCTTCTATTAATTTATTAATAAACATTCAACTTTTTAAATCAATGTTGAGAATTAGTGTTTGTGGCTGCCACTTTCTACACAAAATAATTTCTTTAGGACCCTCACTTCCCCTCACCTTCATTTCACTTTTATCACTTTCCACATTTTCTTTAAATCATCCAGAATTTTAGTTCTACATGATTAATTTTTATATTATGTGTTCCTTTCCCTAAGAACCATGTATTCACCACACATTTTGTCCATAACCACATGACAAACAATTTCATTTATTTGTTCATCACTGTTTTTTATCTTAAGCATTCCTCTTTTCCTGCTTCATTTCTTCCATTATTTCAGAAGAGCATGTCTTCAAGTAATTCTTTCAGGAAATATTTGAGTGTGGTAACCTTCTTGAACCCTTGCTTTTCTGAAATTGTAATTTATTTTGCCTTCACATTTAAATAATGGATTGGCTGGGTGTGGAATTCTGGTTCAAAATCATTTTCCCTCGGAGCTTTGAAAACATTATTGTATAATATCCCGTGCTCTAGATGGGAAGCATGCTGGGGTTGATTATTATTCCTCACTCGATAGGTCCCTCTAGGGTTTCAGTTTCCCAGTCAGTAATAAGAAGTATCGACGAAAAGAGTCAAACTCTGCAAAATATTTGAGGAGATGTATTCTGAGCCAAATATGAGTGATCATGACCTGTGACACAGCCCTCAGGAGATCCTGAGGACATGTGCCTAAGGTGGTCAGGGCACAGCCTAGTTTTATACATTAGGGAGACAGGAGACATCAATCAAATACATGTAAGGTTTACAGTGGTTCTTTTTTTTTTTTTTTTTTTTTTGAGATGAAGTCTCGCTCTGTCACCCAGGCTGGAGTGCAGTGGCTCCATCTCGGCTCACTGCAAGCTCCGCCTCCCGGGTTCACGCCATTCTCCTGCCTCAGCCTCCGTAGTAGCTGGGACTACAGGCGCCTGCCAGCATGCCCAGCTAATTTTTTGTATTTTTAGTAGAGATGGGGTTTCACCGTGTTAGCCAGGATGGTCTCAATCTCCTGACCTCGTGATCTGCCCACCTTGGCCTCCCAAAGTGCTGGAATTACAGTCGTGAGCCACCGCGCCCGGTCTACAATGGTTCTATCTGGAAGGGCAGGACAACTCAAAGCAGGGGGGTTGGAGGGGGTTTCCAAGTCATAGGTAGATTTTAAAATTTTCTGATTAGCAATTGGTTGAAATAGTTATTATCAATAGAAAGGAGTGTCTGGTTGACAATGAGGGGTTGTGGAGATCAAGGTTTTATCATGCAGATGAAGCCTCCAAGTAGCAGGCTTCAGAGAGAAGAGATTGCAAATGTTCCTTATCAGACTTCTGATCAGTGTTGATGTTAATTCTGGTTGGCTTTTCCTGAATTCCAAAAAGGAGGAGGGTATAGTGAGGCATGTCTGAGCCCCACTTCCATCATGGCCTGAATAGGTTTTTCAGATTAATTTTGGGCTGCCCTGGCCAAAAGGAGGGGACCATTCAGATGGTTGGGAGGCCTTAGAATTTTAGTTTTGGTTTATAGGAGTTATGATTCATGCATGACCTTTGAAGCTCTCCCCTGCTCTAAATTTCTATATTTTGGATAATTTTACTGGAGCTTTCACAGTTTTTAAACCACACAACTCAGTGTAACTTTGTTCCTTTGGGAAAATTGAACCTGCTTTATCAGTACTTCAGGATGGGATTTGCAGGAATACATTGTGATGAAAATCAAGGATTCTTTGCCTTAAATTATTGATGGGATTGTGGATTCAAAGGGCAAGCCACTATTCCTCTCCTTTTTATTGAGAATACTATTGACTTTAACACACCACTTAACTTTAACTCTTAGTTTGCTAGGTAAATGATGTCAATCTAAAATAATCAAAAGGGTCAGAATCTAGTTTAAGCAGTTTATTCAAGTGCAAAGTTTGAGGACAACCCTCCCAGGAACCACAGATTCCAAAGAATGGAAGTCAGCGTTCCAAAGTTAGAAATTTGGGATCACTTTTATAGACAAAGCTTAGGGAAGTTTAACAGAATTTTAGCCTCTTTCTATATAAGGCTTAATGCATAGTCACAATGTTCTCATTAGTCAAGGTGGTTCTTTTCTTTTGGAAAAGGTATATTTAACATTCTACACTGAAGATGGAACTGTCATGGGGTCCCCGTTTGGGACACCATCTGGCCTGAGTTAGGTACAGGATAACAAAGGAGGCAGTTAATCTATCACAATGATCAGTGTTTGGAAGAGGGAGGTCTGGTCTTTCCTAGTTAATGACAGAACAAGGACAATGAGAAAGAGAGTTAAGCTATAATCTAAGAAACAGACGTGACAACAACATGCCATATAACTCAGATCACAGCCACATCTCTCTCAAAGCTTAAAGCGTTTGGGGGTTTCCAACAGCTTTTAAGTTTTATTTATTTTCACAATGATTATACTAATTTCAGAAAAATGTGTTTAGATATGAATTCAGTTTCAAAGTTTGAAAAAATGCCAGTATGAGCCGGGGGGGTGGCTCATGCCTGTAATTCCAGCCACATGGAAGGCTGAAACAGGAGGTTCACTTGAGCCCAGGAGTTGAAAGTTTCAGTGACCTATGATTGTGCTGCTGCACTCCAGCCAGGAGCGGCAGAGTGAGCCCTCATGTCTAAAGCAAAAACAAAACAAAGTTAAAGGAAAAAAAAAAAGGAAATACCAGCATGAAACACCTTCTACAGGAAGCTTCTTACTGATCAGACACAGATTCAGAAAAGATTAAGCCTTCACATGTGTACATGTAGCCAAGGTGGGAGATAATAACAGCTTCAAACACAGAAAAGAACAAGTATTTATATAACATAATAATCCTAAGGAAGTAACCACAAATGATCACTCTAAGGCAAAGAAATTTTAATTCCAAATGTATAGCAAGAAAAATCTATGTGCAAAATCTGCCAATTAATCCAAGAAGTGGAAGTTGCAAGAACGATTTCTCTCTGTATCACACTGCAGCAGGATGAGCCGCAGACAAAACCTCTCAGACACCGAGATGTAGAAGCAAAGGCTTTATTCAGCTGGGAGCATCGGCAAGCTACTGCCTTAAAATCCAAGCTCCCCGAGTGCACAATTTCTGTCCCTTTTAAAGGCTCACAACACTAAAGATTTCACGTGAAAGGGTCATGATTGATTTGAGCAAGCAAGGGGTACGTGACAGGGGCTGCATGCACTGGTGGTCAGAGAGAAACAGAACAGGGCAGGGAGTTTCACAGCGTTCTTCTATACAATGTCTGGAATCTATGAATAACATCGGTTTCTAAATTATGAGTTGATTTTTAACTACTGGGTTTAGGCCAGGCAGGCCCAGGCCTAGTTTCAGGCCTGGCGCCAGGCTGCCTGTCTTTGGTTTTACTTCCTTGTTGTTTTTTTTTTAAAACAGGTACTGAGTATAAAACAATGTGAGAGGATCTCTCTCTTCCCTCAACACGTGTGAGTGTGGGACACACGTGTGCAGGCACACACACGGGGGGCCACAGAGAGCTGTCCACATTATGTGCAGCCTTCAGATTTCTGCTCACACACCCCCGCCACTGCTCCTCCTGAAGCCTTCATAGAACACATGGCCCCCACTGGGCTCCCTGTGTTGGAAAGCCAGTGGCATTTCCAGTGTATGCTGTATGGTTTAGAATATCATTTCTATTATTAAGTGAACCTCATTTTCTTAGCTATACCAGTATATTCTCCATCATACCCCCAACAATATCTAATAGAGCGTAGTCCACAGTCAAGGCTTACTTGATATTTGTTGATTAATTAAACCAGATACCAGGAATTTTGGATGAAGTTGTCTAAAATGGGGACAAATGTGTACTCTTGCTCAGCCCCTCCAAATATTTCTAGCTCTGTGTGTGTAATTTTCAGTATTCTCCTTAGAAAAACATTTTCTTACATTAAAACAATCTCCAAAATACTATTATCATACTTAGCAAAATTAGTAATTCTACATTCAAGTTCCCTGCCTCAAAAATATCCCAATTTGATATTTAGCTTGTCTCAAATAGGATTTGACCCAAGACCATTTGTTATGCCTGTTAAATCTTTTTTTTTTTTTTTTTTGAGACGGAGTCTTGCTCTGTCGCCCAGGCTGGCACGATCTTAGCTCACTGCAAGCTTTGCCTCCCGGGTTCATGCTATTCTCCCGCCTCAGCCTCCCGAGTAGCTGGGACTACAGGCACCTACCACCACGCCCAGCTAATTTTGTTTTTGTATTTTTAGTAGAGATGGGGTTTCACTGTGTTAGCCAGGATGGTCTCGATCTCCTGACCTTGTGATCTGCCCACCTCAGCCTCCCAAAGTGCTGGGATTACAGGTGTGATCTTAAATCTATTTTAATCTCTTTCTTGGCACTGATTTGTTGAAAGGACCAGATCCGTTTTCCCCAAGTATATCTCCCTATTTGGAGTTTGTCTGGTTGCTTGCTTCTGGTGGCATTTACCTTATTCCTTTGTCTCCTGTATTTTCCTGTAAACTGAAAGTTACATCTGTATCCCTAAACATATTTCCCCTGGGACAGAGTCTCACTCTGTCACCAGGCTGCAGTGCAGTGGCATGATCTCGGCTCACTGAAACCTCCACCTCCCAGGTTCAAGCAATTCTCCTGCCTCAGTCTCTTGAGTAGCTGGGATTATAGGCTTGTGCCACCACGCCAGGCTAATTTTTGTATTTTGAGTAGATATGGGGTTTCCCCATATTGGCCAGCTGATCTTGAACTCCTGGCCTGAAGCAGTCCTCCCCCCTCAGCCTCTCAAAGAGCTGGGATTACAGGCATGAGCTACCGCACCCAGCTCAATCTTTTTGTTAGGGATGTGCTATAGATGATAACATGGTGTTCATATTATACCATAGTGAGGAGGGAGGCTACTTGGCTATCTGATCATTAGAGTTAAGATTAATCCCTAGATTAAGGTAATGCAAGTCTGATCTCTCCACTGTATCCAGTGGTAAATCTTGTGGTCTAGCCTGAGGCCACAACACACAGCAAGGTTACAAAAACTCTTAGCTATGATCTTGGTCCCTTTGGAGATGGTGTATAGCCAGCCAACATTGGAACATAGTAATTTCCAGAGAGTAACATTCTTATGTTGGAATGGACCTTTCGGTTGTGTCAAAATTCTTTCTCTGAAGCACCTACTGTTATCTACTTAAATTAATTCATTTAATTAACACAGTGATTACCATATATGTTTAACCTGACATGTATTTCTTCTTTGTATTAAAACTTTCTGTTCAGTATGTCAATCAAGTACCAGTGACCATAAAAGTAACACTATGTCACTGGCTCATGGACATAATCTTGGGTTTGGGAAAACTAGGTGAGAGCAGCAATCCGTGCCCAGATGTGGACTGTCACCCCTCCAGGCAGTGTTGATGGCCATGGGACAGGGCAGCCCGGCCTGCTGTGGAATTAGACATGCTCGTCTGAATGCTCAAGGACAGTCTCAGCTCTGGGCATCAAGAGGAGAGTCAGCCAGGCCAGAAGATCACAGTGTTCAAAAGGAAACAATAGAAGGATGAAAACTGTGACATTAACTCAGGCAAACTTAAAGAAACAGCCCTGTGAGGAAAGCGCTATTATCATTCTTGTTTTACAGATGAAGGTTCTCTTCATCTGCAAAATTCCATGAGGTGGGAGTGGGGAAGGATTCACCCTACTTTACTCGGGCACCCCCAGTCATTGTGGCAGCCAAAACACCCCTTTATACATTTCCAAACACCAATGGGAAATTGTATGAGAGTGTGTGTGCGTGTGTGTGTGTGTGTGTGTGTGTGTGTAGAATGGGTGCGATGGCATCTCCAGTTGAGAATAACTGGTATCTAAATGTATTCAGGATGCTATATAAAAATACCATAGATTGGGTGGCTTCTAAACTGCAGAAATTTATTGCTGACAGTTCTGGAGACTGGGAAGCCCAAGGAAAGGTGCTGGCAGGTCTGGTGTGTGGTAAGGGTTGCTTCCTGGTTTATAGACAGCCCTCCTCTCCCTGAGTCCTCACATGGTGGACGGGGTGAGGGAACTCTCTGGGGTCTCTTTTATAACGGCACTAATCCCATTCACGGAGTCTCCACCCTCATGACCTAATCACCTTCCAAAGGCCCCACCTCCTAACATCATCATATTGGAGTTTAGGATTTAAACTTCTGTGTTTGAGCCAGGCACTGTGGCTCACGCTTGTAATCCCAGCACTTTGGGACACCGAGGTAGGTGGATCACTTGAGGTCAGGAGTTCAAGGCCAGCCTGGCCTACATGGTGAAACCCCACCTCTACTAAAAAATTTTTAAAAATTAGCCAGGCATCGTGGCAGGTGCCTGTAGTCCTAGCTACTCAGGAGGCTGAGGCAGGAGAATCGCTTGAACCTGGGAGGCGGAGGTTGCAGTGAGCCGAGATCGCACCACTGCACTCCAGCCTGGGCAACAGAGTGAGACTCTGTCTCCAAAAATAAAATAAAATAAAATACACGTATGGGTTTAGGGAGAGCACACATTCAGTCTACAGCAGCTGGATATGCTGAAGTACTGAAACGATCGCTCCAAAGTCTAAAGGGGATGGAAGAGGGGAGATGTGCACATGTGTGCCCCCGTTCTTATTGCCTTGTTCCTGAAACCGCCTTTGTAAAAATTATAACAGTGAGAAAAGAGATCTGACCTAACCCACTCCATCTTGCCTTTAACCTCCAAGCTGCCATTGTTCATCCCTGGACGTAGGCCAAACTAACTGGGAGAAATTTAGTTTATAGTTTTAACTTTGTTGTTGTAGTTGTTGTTGTTGATCTATTTTTATTTTTCTTTGAGACAGGGTCTTACTCTGTCACCCAGGCTGGAGTGCAGTGGTGGGATCACAACTCACTGCAGCCTTGACTTCCCAAGCTCAGGTGATCCTCCCGTTTCAGCCTCTCCAAGTGGCTGGGACCACAGCGAGGCACCATCACGCCCGGCTAATTTTTGTATTTTTTTATGGAGATGCGGGTCTCCCTGTGTTGCCCAGGCTGGTCTCGAACTCCTGGGCTCAAGCACCCACCTGCCTCGGCTTCCCAAAGTGCTGGGATTACAGGTGTAAGCCACCACGCCCAGCTTGATTCTTTCCCTTTTTCCTCTCCAGATGTTCACCTTCTCTTATGTAAAATGCACCATTCGCAGCCGGCCTGTCCCTCTCCCTACTCGCCCCACCCCCACCTCTAAGGACGTATATAAATGTTAAACCTCCTGAAATCCTCTTATGAAAAACAGCCACAGGTGTGTCCCACAGGTGCGGTGTTTTTCCCAGACCCGCCCTCAAGTGGCTTAATAAACCTCGATGATCAAGACACGCCTCAGTCCTTCATTTTGGTCATCATTCTTTCTCTGAAAAATCAGATGATCAAGCACCTGAGGCCACATCCAGCACATGGCTTTGAGGGCTCCCGAATGGAGCTGGGTGAGGGCACAGAGGTGTCTGCGTGTCTTTCCCAGCCAACTCCAATCTGGTTCATGAGCCCCCAGGATGACCTACCCTGGGCATCGCCCCTCTGCACTCAGCATCTGCTGATGTCAGTGGTTTTTCCTCTGCCCACTTTCTGCTGCCTCTGCCATGGGAAGTGTGACAGGGTGGGTGGGGCAGAGCAGTGGGAAGAGGAAACCTGGGATGCTTCCATCTGGCCTGTGACTTGTCTTTCTCCAAATGTCGACCACGCAACTCAGCTTGCCACCTCCATGACTGGTCTCATTGTGAAAACTTGTATACATTAGATATTTTTATCCTTTATGCTCATTAAAATAAACTTTCTCAGGTTTTGTTTTGGTTTTTTTTTTGGTTTTTTTTTTTTTGTTTTTTGCCAACTGATAGTCCTGATCTTCCTTTTTTCTTTTTACTTATTTATTTATTTTTTGAGACGGAGTCTTGCTCTGTCGCCTAGTCTGGAGTGCAGTGGTGCCATCTAAGCTCACTGCAAGCTCCGCCACCTGGGTTCACACCATTCTCCTGCCTCAGCCTCCCAAGTAGCTGGGACTACAGGTGCCCGCCACCACGCCTTAGACATGAAATGAAACTCATAGATTATTTAACCCAAGTCTTATTTTATCTCAAAAGATAGAGTAGTTTGCCCACAATCATACAGCTAATTAATAACAAATCCAGCACTAGAAAACAAATCTCCTGACTCTTTAACCATGTCTCTACCTCCTGTACAATTCATCCTCTTCCATGAGATGAGAGTAGAAAAAGAAGTAAATCAATTGAGATGGTTCATCCTGTCCCCGCCCCAACTCCAGGCTCACCACCACAGGACAGGGGTGGCAGGGGGACGCCCGAATTAGGGAGAGTGGCTTGGGGGGCAACTTTCGGTGTCAGTAGTCAGTAGGGAGAAGAAGGCTTTGAAATGTAAACCGTGTCAGGAAGAAGAAGAAGCAAACTGCCCACTTATTTTAGGAAGATCAGGGGCCAGGCGCGGTGACTCACGCCTGTAATCCCAGCACTTTGGGAGGCCGAAGCGGGCGGATCTGAGGTCAGGTGATCGAGACCATCCTGGCTAACACGGTGAAACCCTGTCTCTACTATCATTGATTCTATAGTTCAGATACACAGACAACCCCGAATGCATGTGCACACATGTGAACACACACACACAGAGACATTAATGATGAAATCATAATCAAGAGTATTTCAAGTCAATTCTAAAAGTTAAAAATCTCAGGCCAGGCGTGGTAACTCATGCCTGTAATCCCAGCACTTTGGGAGGCCAAGGCCGGTGGATCACCTGAGATCAGGAGTTCGAGACCAGCCTGGCCAACTTGATGAAACCCCATCTCTACTAAAAATGCAAAAATTAGCTGGGCATGGTGGCATGCATCTGTAATGCCAGCTGCTCGGGAGGCTGAGGCAGGAGAATCGCTTGAACACAGGAGGCGGATGTTACGGTGAGCTGAGATCGCACCACTGCACTCCAGCCTGCGTGACAAGAACAAAACTCCAGCTCAAAAAAAAATTTAAAAAAAAATAAAAGTTAAAAATCTCAATTAACAAAGAGATCTTTAATGTTTTACTCCCTTCATGCCCCTTTATGCATTTTCAATCCATGCTTTCCTTTGGTTCTTCTGAACAAATGCTGTGATTCCCTTTTTTTTTTCCCCAATGCTTAGTTCATTTCTTCTTAAAAGTATGTTGCTAGTTTGTTTACTTGTAAGTACAAGATCCTCTCTCCCCTAAGGCTCACTGAGCAACTTCTGGAAAGCTGAACTGGGCAGTCTAAGGCATGCTCAAGTAGAAAGGTATGTGTTAAGAAGTCAGAATGGGGTTTCCTTGACCCTGGCTGGGAGCACTCTCCTCCCATCTTCCTGGGATGCAGTTCCTTTTTCTATTTTATTTGTTTTATTTTGTGACAAGGTCTCATTCTGTTGCCCAGGCTGGAATGCAATAGCATAATCATAGCTCACTGCTACCTTGATCTCCTGGCCTCAAGTAATCCTCCCACTTCAGCCTCACAAGTAGCTGGGACTGCAGGTGCCAGCACACCCAGCTAATTTTTGTATTTTTTGTAGAGACAGGGTTTCACCATATTGCCCATGCTGGTCTCAAACTCCTGGACTCAAGCCATCCCTCCGCTTCAGCCTCCCATAGTGCTGGGATTACAGGCATCAGACACTGCACCTGGCTGCAATGCAATTCTTCTTTCTTTTTTTTTTTTTTTTTTGAGACGGAGTCTCGCTCTGTCGCCCAGGCTGGAGTGCAGTGGCGTGATCTTGGCTCACTGCAAGCTCCACCTCCCAGGTTCACGCCGTTCTCCTGCCTCAGCTTCCCTAGTAGCTGGGACTACAGGCGTCCGCCACCACACCTGGCTAATTTTTTGTATTTTTAGTAAAGACAGGGTTTCATCGTGTTAGCCAGGATGGTCTCAATCTCCTGACCTCGTGATCCGCCCACCTTGGCCTCCCAAAGTGCTGGGATTACAGGCGTGAGCCACTGCACCCGGCCAATGCAATTCTTAAAAGTCTCGTTTTTATATCTGATGGGCGATTAATATACAGAACATATCAAGAACTCCTACAACTCAACAATTCAAAAAACAAATAACCTGATTTTCTTTTTCTTTAGATGGAGTCTCACTCTGTCGCCAGGCTGGAGTGCAGTGGCACAATCTCCGCTCACTGCAACCTCCACCTCCCGGGTTCAAGTGATTCTCCTGCCTCAACCTCCCAAGTAGCTGGGACTACGGGTGCACACCACCACGCCCAGCTAATTTTTGTATTTTTAGTAGAGACGGGGTTTCACCATGTTGGCCAGGATGGTCTCGATCTCTTGACGTCGTGATCTGCCTGCCTCGGCCTCCCAAAGTGCTGGGATTACAGGCGTGTGCCACCACGCTAGGCCACAAATAACCTGATTTTTAAAATGGGTGAAGGACTTAAATAGACATTTCTCCAAAGAAGATATACAAATGGCCGGTAAGCACATGAAAAGATGCTCAACATTGCTAATCATTAGGGAAACACAAACCAAAACCACCACAAGACACCACCTCTCACCCATTAGGATGGCAACTGCCAAAAACCCCAGAAAATAACAAGTGTTGGTGAGCATGCCGAGAAATCAAAACCTTTGT
This sequence comes from Homo sapiens, assembly GCF_000001405.40. Classification (NCBI taxonomy): domain Eukaryota; kingdom Metazoa; phylum Chordata; class Mammalia; order Primates; family Hominidae; genus Homo; species Homo sapiens. The sequence goes on from NC_000008.11 coordinate 42,749,136, forward strand.
GCGCTGCTGGTGGGAATACGTAAAATGGTACAGCACTGTGGAAAACAGTATAATGATTCCTCAGAAAATTAAAAATAGAATAACCATGGGTACAAAAAAATAGAAAGAATGAATAAGATCTAGTATTTGCTAACACAACAGGGTGACTAGTAAAAAATAATTGTACATTTAAAAATAACTAAAAATATAATTAGATTGTAACACAAAGGACAAATACTTGAGGTAACAGACACCCCATTTATAATAATCACCAATGTGATTATTACACACTGCATGCCTATATCAAAATATCTCACATAACCCATCAATATATACAAGTCCTATGTACCCACAAAAATTAAATATTAAAAAATAGAATAACTGTCTGATCCAGCAATTTCACTTCTAAGTATATACCCAAAATAACTGAAAGCAGGGACTCAGAATTATTTGTAAGCCCAAGTTCATGGCAGCAGGCAAAAGGTAGAAGCAACCCAAGTGTCCATTGACAGGTGAATGGATACATAAAGGGCAGTAAATACAGACAACGGAATATTATTCAGCCTTGAAAATGAAAGAAATGTTGACACATGCTACGATACAGATGCACCTTGAAGCTGTTACATTATGTGAAATAAGCCAGTCACAAAAGGACAAACACAATATGATCCCCCTTATATGAGGTACCCAGAGTGGTCAAATTCATAGAGACAGAAAGTAGAATGGGGGGTTGCCTGTGAGGTAGGGGAGAAGGAGCAGTAACTGCTTACTGGGTACAGGGTTTCAGTGTTGCAGGACAAAGAGTTCTGGAGATGGATGGTGCTGAAGGTTGTACAACAACATGAAGGCATTATGGGCTGGGCACGGTGGCTCACGCCTGTAACCCCAGCACTTTGGGAGGCCGAGGCGGGCAGATCACGAGGTCAGGAGATCGAGACCATTCTGGCCAACATGGTGAAACCCTGTCTCTACTAAAATACAAAAAATTAGCCTGGCATGGTGGTGTGTGCTTGTAGTCCCAGCTACTTGGGAGGCTGAGGCAGGGGAATAGCTTCAATCCAGAGGCAGAGGTTGCAGTGAGTGGAGATTGTGCCACTGCACTCCAGCCTGGCGACAGAGCAAGACTCCGTCTCAAAAAAAAAAAAAGGAGGGATTTAATGTCATTGAACTGGATGCTTAAAAATGGTTAAGATGGGAAATTTTACGTTATGTGATTTTACCACAGTTAAACAAATTTTAAATGAAATTAAACATTGATTGGGCTTAATAATAAAAAATAAAGTATTGCGTAACAACCAACCCTCTATAAAGACAGGAAGATAAAAGGTAGGTACTACAATCACCAATATTATAGGGAATAAAAATGCTCTAAAATAGAGTCATTCAGGCTGGGTGCGGTGGCTCATGCCTGTAATCCCAGCACTTTGGGAGGTTGAGGCAGGTGGATCACTTGAGGTCAGGAGTTCGTGACCAGCCTGGCCAACATGGCAAAACCCCGTCTCTACTAAAAGTACAAAAATTAGCCAGGCATGGTGGCGGGCCCCTGTAATCCCAGCTACTTGGGAGCCCGAGGCAGGAAAATCGCTTGAACCCGAGAGGCAGAGGTTGCAGTGAGCCGGCATCATGCCACTGCACTGCAGCCCAGGCGACAGGGAGAGTCTGTCTCAAAAAAATAAAGAAAGAATAAAAAATAAAATACAATCATTCAAATTCAAGACCTCTGCCTAATGTCCCACAGAGAACCTCATGCTCCAGCAGAAAAAAGACAAAGAAGAATTCACATGGTAATTATAAAAATTACGAGAACCAACACAATGGTAATTATACCATCACAAAAATTATACTTCAAGACTCTGTAAAAGAGAATGTTGCTAATATTATGTTTTAAGGAAACAGCATTGCAAGGTAAAATTGAAGTGTTTACATACGGACAAAGACTAGAAGGGAAAAGGCACACATGAAATTATTTCCTTTGTTAGATTTGATTTATTGTTTTCTGCCTTAAAATACATGTTTAAAATTGTTATAATATTTATACGACAAATAAGAAGATAATCAGAGTACGATAAAACAGAATTCCCAAGCTTCTCCCTCTCAGAAAAGGAATTGCTCCAAAAGCTCCAAGATTATAATTCCTTATATAAGAAATATGCACGTGGCATTGGACCCAACTTAAAACTAAAAACCTAAATGAAATTTAAAAAAAAGAAATAACTGAGGCCGGGCACTGTGGCTCACGCCTGTAATCCCAGCATTTTGGGAGGCCGAGGCAGGCAGATCACCTGGGGTCAGAAGTTCGAGACCAGCCTGATCAACATGGAGAAACCCCATCTCTATTAAAAATACAAAATTAGCTGGGCATGATGGCACATGCCTGTAATCCCAGCTACTTGGGAGGCTGAGGCAGGAGAATCGCTTGAACCCCCGAGGCGGAGGTTGCAGTGAGCCGAGATCGCACCATTGCACTCCAGCCTGGGCAACAAGAATGATACTCTGTCTCAAAAAGAAAAAAAAAAGAAAAAAGAAAAGAAAAGAAATAACTTTATTTTCAGTATCAGTACAATGAAGAAATGAAAACTGTTGATGAAAAAAGACTAGACTGCCGGGCACGGTGGCTCACGCCTGTAATCCTGGTACTTTGGGAGGCTGAGGCAGGTGGATCACTTGAGGTCAGGAGTTCGAGACCAGCCTGGCCAACATGGTGAAACCCCGTCTCTACTAAAAATACAAAAATTAGCCGGGCGTGGTGGCACACACCTGTAGTCCCAGCTACTTGGGAGGCTGAGGCAGGAGAATCACTTGAACCGGGGGAATCAGAGGTTGCAGTGAGCCGAGAATGCGCCATCACATGCCAGCCTGGGCGTCACAGCAAGACTCTGTCTCAAAAATAAAAATAAAAATAAATTAAAAAGACTAGAAAGACAACTTTTTCCAACCCACAACAAAGGGGTTGCTTTAGGCTTGCCTGGACACGTCACGTCATGTTCTCCTATTCTGGTTGCTCTAGTGACATTCCCCAGATGACATCTGGCCTGCAGTCTTCATAGCTACGACTTTTCCTAAGAAGCTACAAGCACTTGTGGGAAAGAACCCATTGCTTGTCACCCTTGCAATGCCTAGCACAGTGCTGAGTTTCCACTTAAGCTTCTTGCCAGATGAATGCTAAGCAAATACAGCCTGTTGAGAAAGACCCTATCTGGTAGTTTTTATTTATTTATTTATTTTTGAGACAGGGTCTCACTCTGTCACCCAGGCTGGAGTGCAGTGGTGTGATCATGGCTCACTGTAGCCTCAGCCTCCCAAGCTCAAGCAATCCTCCCCATGTCAGCCTCCCAAGTAGCTAGGACCACAGGTGCAAAACACTACAGTGGCTAATGTTTTTATTTTTGTAACACAGGGTCTCCCTATGTTGCCCAGGCTGGTCTTGAATTCCAGGGCTCAAGCAATCCTTCTTCCTCAGCCTCCAAAGTGCTGGGATTACAGGCCACCACACCTGACCAAACTGTTTTTTTTTTTTTTTTTTTAAAACTAACAATCAGTGTATCAAATAATGCTGAGGAGGGTGAGTTACATTACAGAGACATGCACAAGAAATCAAGGATGCAATAGTTCACAAAGTGTTGCAAACAGTTCACAAATGTTGCATGGTCCAATTCCCAGAGTTCACCTGTCACATGTCATAATACTGAGAAACAGCATCCACTGGAGGTACAGCAGAACTTTTTAGTGTGGCTTGATGTTAATTACATAATTAGGCTGTATTGTAAGTCATTCTTGTCTTTAGAAGCCAAACACACAGACACGAGAAACCTGACCTGATACTGTAGCCGTGGGTGCTGCCCAATCAGGGCACTAATGTCATAACACTTCTCACTTCTCCCCCTGTGCTACACTGGAGGATATTCTGCTTCCTAATGTGCAAGAAAGTCCTCTTTTTCCATGTAGCCATCAGTTTTAGCAGATGGGGGACTTGGGTGGGAAGCCTTTGCTTTCCTTTCCTTGTGGCAGGGAATGCAGAACAAATATGGTGTCTGTAAATTTCTGAACATAAAAGAAAATACATTTTAAGATTTTCCTGTGTTCCCAAGTAGTGGCTGTAGAAATAGCCCTGCAGTTCCAAATACACAGACAATTATAAATACCCAAAGAAATACTCTGTCCACCACCATGGCCACGTATTTCCAGTCATCTTCTACCTGAAATGCAAACAAAAATTAAGAGCTGTTTTAAAAAACCAAAACCATAAGAAACATGCCTTGTTTCATCAATAAGCTGCTTCTTTTTTGAAGAAGATTTCTCCGGCACGTTTTAAAGCAAATATCAGCTGGGTGGGAGGATCATCTGAGGTCTGGAGTTCAAGACCAGCCTGGGCAACATGGTGAAACCCTGTCTCTACTAAAAATACAAAAGATAGCCAGGAATGGTGGCATGTGCCTGTAGTCCTAGCTACTCAGGAGTCTGAGGCAAGAGAATCGCTTAAACCTGGGAGGTGGAGGTTGCAGTGAGCCACGATCACACCACTGCACTCCAGCCTGGGTGACAGAGTAAGACTCCATTTCGAAAAATAAATAAAAATGAAAATAAAGCAAATATTGGTATTTGGTGAATCCAGGTCTCCTGTACAGGACACATAAGAAATTTTGTTTCGTTTGCAGAGGGCAGATGCACAGCCTCTGTGAGTGCCTCAGACAGCAGAGTCTGCGGCAAAGCCCTGACTCCGTGGGTCACCAGGGACTTTCCCAACTGCAAGAAACGCTCCAGAGAAGCAACTGCTCAGAGAGCTAGACTCATTCTTTGCAACGGTGGGTAGTCTGGCTCCATGGCAAGTCTGGGGAATGAGTTTGAGGCAGGGGGTGCCACTGGGGGCGGAGGACATGGAGGGGTATGATTGAGAACCACTTTATCAGGAATAGGCAGCCCTCCAGCCCTCAAAGGGATGCTGGCCATGGAGAGCTGGTTGTGTTTCTCCCAGTTCCTGACCCTCCAGCCTTCTGCCACTGTATCTGTACTTGTGTCTTGAGAGCCCTAACTGGTAGTGATTAAGTCAACAGCAGCTGTTTCTTCGATTAAAAAAAAAATGTTAGGGACAGGATTTTGCTGTGTTGCCCAGGCTGAAGTGCAGTGGTGCGATTGTGGCTCACTGGAACTTGGAACTCCTGAGCTCAAGCAATCCTCCCGCCTTAGCCTCCCACATAGCTGGGACAACAGGCTTGGCAAATTTTTTTAAATTTGTTTTTTAGAAATAAGGTCTCAATATGTTGCCCAGGCTGGTCTCAAACTCCTGGCCTTACTTAAACAATTCTCCCGTCTTGGCCTCCGAAAGTGCTGCAATTACAGCCATGTGCCACCATGCCCTACTAATTTTTGTTTTTTTTGTAGAGAGAGGGTCTTCTTTTAAATTTTATGAAGGTGAATTTTTCTGGGCTCTCTTGTCCGGTGACACATCTGCATGACAGCCATTCACAGCATCTTCCTTCTACACCAACAGGGCGGACTTTCGGTTTCACAGTATCCTTTCACTAGGAGCGATGGCTGCCAGCAGCTGCAGTCCGAGGTCAAACCTAGACACCAGGCCTGAGTTTCAGATGCCTTCCGCTAGTCACCCACATGGTGTGGGAAATTGGCATGATTCTCTTGAGCTCTGTCTTTGGAAGCTGAGGGAGGTACATGCTGCTATAGTTAGACTCTGGACAGCAGGAACAGAGTACGTGAACGCTAAAAATATCCCTGGGGCTCATTTCACCAGCACCTAAATCCCTCAAGTAGGACAAGTGGGGCCAGAGCTGCCGGAACGAATGCACTCTCGCCCTCTCCCACATCTCCCAGCACCCCCAGGCTGCACGCTGCTCCGAACTCATTTCTCCTTCCCTCTGGGGCAGCTTTTCTCTTTCTACCTTTTTATTTGCTGCTGTTTCTTGTGCAGGGGCTTTTTTTTTTTTTTCCTGAGACAGGGCCCTGATCTGTCGTCTATCTCCCAGGCTGTAGCCTCAACCTCCTGGGCTCAAGCAATCCTCCCACCTCAGCCCCTTGAGTGGCTGGGACTACAGGTATGCACCAACACGCCTGCTAATTTTTTTTTTTTTTTTGGTAGTTCAGGGTCTCACTATGTTGCCCAGGCTGAGGCTCTTAGTTTCATTAACTGAGGTTGCCCTGAATGTTTGTTTGTTTGTTTTTATTTTTGAGATGGAGTCTCTCTCTGTCACCCAGGCTGGAGTGCAGGGGCGCCATGTCAGCTCACTGTAACCTCCACCTCCTGGGTTCAAGCGATTCTCCTGCCTCAACCTCCCAAGTAGTTGGGATTACAGGCCTGTGCCACTATGCCTGGCTAATTTTTGTATTTTTAGTAGAGATGGGGTTTCCCCATGTTGGCCATGCTGGTCTCAAACTCCTGACTTCAGGTGATCCGCCTGCCTTGGCCTCCCAAAGTGCTAGGATTACAGGCGTGAGCCACCACGCCCGGCCCTGAATGTTCATTTTAAGCAAATTTTACTTGAGTTCACATTTCTGGAGGTGGAGATTTGCTCTGGGGCTATTGCACCTGACCCCGCTCCACTGGCAGGTCTGACCCTGTCAGTCCACCCATAACCACATAATAACAGAGCCAGGTCTCAGAGCAAGGCCGCCTGACCCTCTCAGGAACAAAAGTCACACTGAAGGTCTGACTGTGCATCCAGAGTGCCCATAGGCTGCAAAGGGTGCAAGCTGGCTGGGTGGAGGGAACACACATTTACCTCCTTGGTTTCATTGTGGCTCTTCATGTTTTCTGCTATGAACTGAACACTGTTAATCACATCTTCAACTTCAGGCGAGTGCTCCGAATTTTCCACCACCCACTGTAATGGCTGATGACTTAATCTTCTCTTGCTTGTGGCAAGCTCATTTGATTTGTGACAATGGAAGCATTCTTTAAGATGTCTGGGTTCCCCATGGCTTGCAAGCTTGCCTTTGGCAGGCCTCCTGGCAAGGCCTCTGGGCACTGCATCAGAGCCTGTGCCCCTTGTCTTGTCCAGAGGCCACCTCATCAGCAGGACCTGGGGCAGCAGCTTCAGGAAAACTGTCTTCACCCACCTGGGCATTGTGTGCGTGGTTGGGGTGCGGTAGTGTATGTTCAACACAAACACAGTCACCACGATGGACAGTGTGACAAAGATCATGGTGAACAGCAGGTACTCACCCACCAGTGGGACCACCAGAGATGTGGATGGGATGGTTTCTGTGATGACCAGCAAAAACACAGTCAGAGAAAGCAGGACTGAAATACAAAGCGTCACTTTTTCACCACAGTCCGAAGGAAGGTAAAAGACCAACACGGTTAGAAATGAAATAAAGAGACAAGGGATGATCAGATTAATCGTGTAAAACATCGGCAATCTTCTAATGTAGAAAGAATAGGTTATATCTGTGTATATCTCTTCACAACAGTTGTATTTGATGTCATGTTTGTAGCCAGAGGCATCAATGATTTCCCATTCACTGTTTTCCCAAAAATCATTCATATCCACTTTTGATCCAATGATTAGAAGATCAATTTCAGCTTTGTCATACGTCCAGGAACCAAATTTTAGGGAACAGTTTTGATGATCAAAAGGGAAAAAGGTGATATCCATAGGGCAGGAACTCTTAAAAATAGCTGGTGGAGTCCAGGTTATCATGCCATTGTATTTAAGAAGAGCTTTTGTTTTGCCTTCTACTTGGAAGTCACCAACAGCACTGCAAAGCAAGTCAGACACCATTAGTAACACTCCCTTTGCTATAGGCCAGAATACACCAACAGCAGCTTTGGAAAGAGGCTACGGTGGTCAGAGACCCATACTTGTTATAGAGAACAATGTCGGGCTTCCAAATCTTATCTGCAGGAACGCGAAGAGTCTCAATGCCATCATATTCCATTGGATCCCAGCGCAATTTATAATCATTCCAGATCTAAAATAAATAGAAATCAGCTTTTAAAATTTCTTAATAACTTTCGGGCCAGGCATGGTGGCTCACGCCTGTAATCCCAGCACTTTGGGAGGCCGAGGCAGGCAGGTCACTTGAGGTCAGGAGGTCGAGACCAGCCTGGCCAGCATAGTGAAACCCCGTCTCTACTAAAAATACAAAAATTAGCCGGGTGTGGTGGCCAGCGCCTGTAGTCCCAACTACTCGGGAGGCTGAGGCAGGAGAATCTCTTGAACGTGGGGGGCAGAGTTTGCAGTGAGCTGAGATCATGTCACTGTACTACAGCCTGGGTGACTCTATCTGGAAAAAAAAAATGTGTTTCTTAATAACTTTCTTCCAATGTTAACTTTATGATGGTTCAACAGTTGTTGTTGAAAAAAGAATACATTTGGCCAGGCGTGGTGGCTCACGCCTGTAATCCCAGCACTTTGGGAGGCCGAGGTGAGCGGATCACTAGGTCAGAAGATTGAGACCATCCTGGCTAACACGGTGAAACCCCATTTTTACTAAAAATACAAAAAAAAAAAAAAATTAGCCAGGCATGGTGGTGGTTGCCTGTAGTCCCAGCTACTCCGGAGGCTGAGGCAGGAGAATGGCATGAACCCAGGAGGCGGAGCTTGCAGTGAGCCGAGATCGTGCCACTGCACTCCAGCCTAGGCGACGGACCGGGACTCTGTCTCAAAAAAAAAAAAAAAAAGTGGCCCGGCGCGATGGCTCACGCCTGTAATCCCAGCACGTTGGGAGGCCGAGGCGTGCAGATCACGATGTCAGGAGATCGAGACCATCCTGCCTAACACGGTGAAACCCCGTCTCTACTAAAAATACAAAAAAAATTAGCCGGGCGTGGTGGCGGGCCCCTGTAGTCCCAGCTACTCAGGAGACTGAGGCAGGAGAATGGTGTGAACCTGGGAGGCGGAGCTTGCAGTGAGCCGAGATCGCGCCACTGGACTCCAGCCTGGGCGACAGAGCGAGACTCCGTCTCAAAAAAAACCAAAAAACAAAAAAAAAAAGTAAAAATAATACATTCTTATTTGAAGAATGCATTGGTTGCTATCAAAATCTGGACAATTATATCCATGGGGAACAGGGAGCTAAATAGCTGAGCTGATTTAGGCAAATATTTCATTAGATAATTATGTATTGATTATTAGTTAGCTGGTTAAAGTTTTAGGCTCAACTTCCATATTCCGTGAGCTATACTCACACTGGAGTATAGCTCTAATATCAAAAAGTTCAAGGGTATGATGATAAGCTTTGAATTAAAAAAAAATCTGTATAAACGATTAAGACTTCCTTTCTGTTTTTTTTTTGTTTTGTTTTGTTTTCAAGACAGAGTCTCGCTCTGTTGCCCATGCTGGAATGTAGTGGTGCAATCTCAGCTCACTGCAACCTCTGCCTACTGGTTCAAGCGATTCTCCTGCCTCAGCCTCCCGAGTAGCTGGGATTACGGGCACCCACCACCACGCCGGGCTAATTTTGTATCTTTATTAGAGACAGGGTTTCATTTCACCATGTTGGCCAAGTTGGTCTCGAACTCCTGACCTCAGGTGATCCGCCCACCTTGGGCTCTCAAAGTGCTGGGATTACAGGCATGAGCCACTGCACCCCTCCAAGACTTTCTTAAGGAAGAAAGGTATAACTGATAAAACCAGCTGCTGGGAATCTCATGTACATGCTCCCAAGCTCAGCTACTGACTTCTCCAAGCCTGGTCAAGCAGGGATCAAAGAGCAGGCAAGCATCAGACCCTGGAGCTCAAGTTACAGAAAAGTGGAAGATCTGAGAGCAGCAACCAGGAAGGATGGAAACCTCTATGTCAGAGGGACCTTTGTCACTAAGTGTCTGCACCTGTGAAGCATGCATCAAGTCAGCTATTACCAGAGCTGAACTTTAGGCTTTGGAGATGACCTAGTGGATAATATTTTATATTCTATAACCAGTTGGAGATGGAACAAGGTAGTGCTTGTGGGTTTTATCCATTCAACATCATTAAGCCAACACATGATATAGGCACATACGTGACGCAGCCACAAATTGGTTTCCATGATCTGGTTTACTTCATCCTGGGAAGAAGAAATAATACTTTTAGCCTCAAATGTGCTTGCCATAGAGGTGAGACTTAGAGCAAAAATTACAACTAAAAAGAACCAAATCTGACTTATTCATGCCAATAGAAGAAGACTTCAAGGCAATGTGTGAAAGCATTCAGCATGCAAGCAGAAATGCCGCATTTTCACATCTGGCTCCAGCCCTGTGGATTTTGAGAGGCAATGTGGCTTTAAACTCTTTCATAGCTGATTTAAGCCTCACCTCTTCTGTGAAGTGCTTCCGATCTCTGCAGCCCATAAAGGTTTCTAGTTCCATGAAAGGAAGGAAAGAAAAGAAGAGCGACAGCAGGTAGGAGGGAGGGAGATGCTGCAGAAAGTGGTGAGGATTCCAACCCCGCACAGTGTTTTTGCCTGTTCCCTAAACGCCTCCCATCCTCGACTGTGCCTCAGGGCTCTCTGGGCTCTGAGTCCTGAGACCCCTGCCCTGGGATCCTATCTTGAAATGCCAGCCTCAGCCAGCTGGGCGCGGTGGCTCACACCTGTAATCCCAGCATTCTGGGAGGCCGAGGCGGGTGGATCACCTGAGGTTAGGAGTTCGAGACCACCCTGGCCAATATGGTGAAACCCCGTCTCTACTAAAAAATACAAAAAAATAGTCAGGTGTGGTGGCGGGCGCCTGTAATCCCAGCTACTTGGGAGGCTGAGGCAGGAGAATTGCTTGAACCAGGGAGGTGGAGGTTGCAGTGAGCGGAGATCGTGCCACTGTACTCCAGCCCAGGCGACAAAGACTCCATCTCAAAAAAAAAAAAAAAAAAAGTCAGCCTTGGCCACCATGGGGTTTCCAGCTGGCAGCTGCTACTCACCCCCAGCGAAGCCACCACTTCGATCGTTCACTACACAAATATTTATTGAGTAACCACTATGTGCTCTATAAATATTGGGAATACAGCAATAAGAAGTTGGGAAAAGGTCCTGCCTTCATGTGTCTTAGCTGTTAGATGGGGAGACATAAAATTACTAATACATCTATACTATAACATAAGACAGCGTTAAGTCCTATGAGGACAAATAAAGAGGGATGGAATGGTCCATGTGTGGACACACACACACATATGCACACACACGCACACTCATACACACGCACACTCATGCACACTCACACACTCATGCACACACATTCATACACACATGCATATACACGGTACTCTCATACACACTCATGCACACTCACACTCATGCGCACACACACTCGTGAACACACAATCATGCAAACTCATATACCCACTCATGAATTCTCATACACATTCGTACTCTTATACGTATACTCTCATACACACACTCGTACGTGTGCACTCACACTCATACACACACACTGGTGCATACTCACTCATGCACATGCACTCACTCATGCACATGCACACGCTCATGCACACACTCATACCCACTCACACTCAGGCACACTCACACAGTCATACACAGGCTCACACACTGGTGCACATGCACACACACTCAAACACACTCATGCACACACACTCACAGTCATGCACACACACGCTAGCACACATGTGCACATGATCTCAGTCACACACACACATCTATTTTAGATGGGATGGGCAAAGAAGGCTTCTTTGAGGAGGTAATGTTTAAGCAGATACTTAAATGACCAGAAGACAGTCAGGGCTGTGTGGAGGAAGACCATTCCAGGTGACATCCCAAATGTAATGAGTTCCTAAGCTACCACCTCTCAGTGGGAGAACTACCAAAGACACACCTGGCACCTTGAGTGGCCTTACAGCCCAGCAGCCTGGTGGCTGTTTATGTCCCCAGTGGCCAGCAGCAGATTCACAAGTCTTCCTCAGCCAACCTTGCTTCCCAAGACACCCAGGCACCCTCCAGAGTAAATGAGCTCCATGGTGGTGGCTGAGGGAGTCGTGGTCAGACTCAGACACCAGCTTCCCCTGGGCCACGTGGCTGCCCTGCAGTTCTCTTCTCCCCTACTCCATCCCCACTGCTGCCCCTTCTGGAAAACTCTAAACAGAAACCCTGCTGGGCTTCCTCTTTCAAATGGGCCTGTGACAAGACAGGGTAAGCCCCGGGATTTGAAAGGTCAGCAAAGGAGTTACAGTCATGGGTTCCTGTAGTCCCAGGAAGCAAAGAAATTATCTGTGCTTATCTATTGGTCAACCAATTCATGGCTTTACGATTACACAAGCCTGCGGTCATGCCTTCTGGTAATGAGCGTCCCCTTGCAATCTGCAGAGTCCAGCAGGGGCCATGTCCATAAATCCACTCACTGTTGGTCAGGAATGGACTAGCCCTGCAGTCTCGGTTCCAGGAAGGCCTTGGGGGTGAGGGCATAAGCCCTAACTGCCCTTCAAAGCCTGCTTTGTCTCTGAATAAGCACACTGTGTTCAGAAGGCTGAGATCAGTTGGCAATAGCCAACTCCACAGCCTCACTTCCGCAGGCTCGGAGAAGCTCCAGGTGGTATGGACATGGCCCATGGGGATGTGGACACCTTCAGAGATGTCAGCTGACCCTATGGAGCAGGACCTGTCTGGCAAGTCATACTCTCTCTCCATCCAATTCCAGATCCCACCAATGGGCATGGCACTGCTATCAGACATCTCTGCCGGAGGAGTCCAAAGACCCACAGCATCAACTCCATTCCTGGTGCCATCACCCTGTACCTCCTTCTTGGAAAAATCAATTAATTGACACAGCAGCTGCATCAAAGGCTTTGAGTTATGATTTCAAATGGACTCATTTCTGGAGCAGCAGCAGACTTGGAGACTCGGATCAAAAAGACCAAGTGGGCTGCATTACACCAAGGCTTTATCTTTGTCATTTCAGATATGCCAGGCCAGCACAAACACTGGATCCCTCCGAGGGGCACTTGGCCTTGCTCCTGTACTGAAAGAAACCAGAAAATTTTCTGGCCAAGGTCATTTTGCATGACACAAACACACTTCCAGGTAGAGCCCTGGTGCTCCAGAGCCAAGCTGGGGATCAGACAGCGGGCCTTTTCCAAGGCCTTCCAGAAGGGAGGGGCAACAAAGCTTCCTGGCTGTGCCACTTCTCTCGGCCACCCCAAGTTCACCTGACAACACACAGCTATTGCACTCCTGGGCATTTATCCCAGAGACATGGAGGTTTATATTTACACTAAAACCTGTACACAAATATTCACAACAGCTTTATTTGTAATAGACCAAAAACTGGAATCAGCTCAAATGTCCTTTAGCAAGTTAATGGTTAAACAAAGCGCCATGGTCCAGGTGTGGTGGCTCACACCTGTAATCCCCACTTTGAGAGGCCAAGGTGGGCAGATCACTTGAGGTCAGGAGTTCGAGACCAGCCTGGCCAACATGGTGAAACCCCGTCTCTACTAAAAATACAAAAATTAGCCGGGCATAGTGGCACATGCCTGCAATCCCAGCTACTTGGGAGTCTGAGGGAGTAGAATCGCTTGAGCCCGGGAGGCGTAGGTTGCAGTGAGCCAAGATCACGCCACTGCACCCCAGCCTGGGTGACAGAGTGAGACTCCATCTCAAAAGCAAAACAAAACAAACAAACAAAAAACAAAGCACCCTGGAGTACTACTCAGCAACAAGAAGGAATGAACTACTGATAACACTCAGTGACTCGGAGGAATCTCTAAAGGATGATGCTGAGGGAAAAACCCAGTCCCACAAGTTTACCTGCTCTATGATTCCAGTTACGTATAACATCGTTGAAATGAGAAAATTTCAGAATTGGAGGGCAGATTAGTGGGAGAAACAGGCAGAGTCTACAAGGGATCCCTCCGTTATTTCTTACAACTGCATGTCAATCTATAATGATCTCAAGAAATAAAAATTCAATTTTAAAAACCTGCAGTTCCAAGTCTGCCTTGCAGCTGGAGGTAGTCAATGAGATGGAAAGCAGCAGCTCTTACGGAAATCACAGAAGTCTAGGATGTACACTTTGCTCTTTTTCTCCCTTCCTTATGTTTCTTGCCAAGAATGTGAATGTGAGGATGGGAATACAGCAGTTATCTTGAACCATGAAGCAACACTGAGGGAAGAAGCCACGTGAAAAGGGTGGTGAAATATGAAAGAAGGAAGGAATCTTGGTCACTGCTGCCTCATCTGGTTTATGCCTTTAGAATCACAGTCCGTTGGAGTGACATCCCCTGGAGTTGTGCGGTGCATAACCTGGGCAACTAAACATACATGTGCAACCACTAACACCGTGAAACTGACTGATATTAATCTCCTGGACTGTTAACCTTTAGATTTCTGTTGCATAAGACAGGAATAAACTTGTTTTGTAAAGGCTGTGGGTTTTCTCTTAATCTCTGATACTTGCAACCAAATGTAAATGTCAAAATCTGCATTTACCAGCCCTTTCACCCCCATCTTCAGAATAACCTCCTGCAAAGGTGTGTCCAGCAGGGTTATGGAGAGACGCCATGCAGTGAGGTAGCCCTCACAGACTTCAGAGGAAACTCAGTTCAGCTCTTGGTTCACAACAACCCAGTCCACAGCAAGAACTTCCAGCCCAGCAGGAGACCAGGAACCAGGACAAAGCTACTGGAGTTGGGAAGGGGATTAGAACAGGCACCAAATAAATACTCACTAAAGGATGGGAGAGCGCATCCAGGTGAGGGGAAACATCTGGCTTTATTTTTTTCAGCCAGTGCATGCACACTTTCAGCCTGGGTCACAGACAGAGGACTGGACCAGGGTTGGCTTCATCCACTGAGAAGCATGGACTGGAGAATGTGGTGGGGTCTGACTCATGCCTGTCATTAGGGTCTTTCCTCAGGTGTACCCAGAAGGGCCACCGCCGCCTCACCCACAGAGCAAAGTCTGGGAGGAAGGAGATCCCTTCCCCATCCATGGCTGGGGCTGACTTGAGCAGGGCTCCCCCTCTGTGTCCTGTAGTCTCAGGAATGCTCTAGCGCCCCTCTCTGGAGACACTTCAGACCTTCCTTGCTTCCTAAGCCTGCATCTTCCTAGAATTTGGTCTGAGCCCTGGAGCCCAGACCTTGCTGTACCCAAGAGTACGGGCCTCGCCACTTCCTCTCCCTGCAATGGGGGGGCGCAAAGATTATCCAAAACAAAGAGCTCCAGTCCTACTTGCCCTTGAACATGGTAGCAAGGAATGAAATTAAGATCCTCAAATTCCCAACCTCTTTTTTTTCCCAAGGCTGAATGGAATTGCATTTTTTTCATTCTCACATAACATAGAAGACTTCATGCAATTCTTTTTTTTTTTCCTCTGTCACCCAGGCTGGAGTGCAGTGGTGCAATCTCGGCTCACTGCAGCCTTGACCTCCTGGGCTCAAGCAATCCTCCCACCTCAGCCTCCCTAGTAGCAGGAGCTACAGGCATGTGCCACTACACCTGGCTAATTTTTGCATTTTTATAGAGACAAGATCTTGCTATGTCGTTCAGGCTGGTCTCGAACTCTTGAGCTCAAGGGATCCGCCTGCTTCAGCCTCCCAAAGTGCTGGGATTACAGGAGTGAGCCACCACGCCCGGCCTTAAAGCAATTTTTAAACTGTGGAGTGAAAAGGGCATGAGCTTTGGAGTTAAATCTCAATTTTGCCATTTTGTAGTTGTATGACCCTGGGAAAGTCACTTAACTGAGCTTCCATTTCCTCAGCAGTGAGATGAAGATGTTGGCCACACAGTGTAAACAGGCGTCTGGTGCATAATGGGTGCCCCGTGAAGTTAGCTCCCTTTCACTCCCCTGCAACTCTTTGTTTCGTAAACTGGTTCTCAAAGCACTTCCAGGAAAAACACTGCCTCACACAGACAGTTACAGCATTGGTGGGAAAACTGCCTGCCTCCCAAATGGATGGCTTTGAAGGGCCAGATCTCGTGTAGATTTGCATCTATCTGTATTTCTAAAATTCCTTCATTTACCACCTGCAAAAGTGTAACAATGCTGGGGAAAGCTCTGATCAGAGGGCACTCACCACGTTGGCCAGCTGGGTGATGGCCACTTCAAAGTGTACCGTGACAGGGTCGGAAACGTTTTCCACAGGCCTGATGAACTGGTTGTAATGAGAAAACAGTTTGTGGAAGAGCCTCTCCTCAGTTGCACAGCCCACACAGCCTGTGAGGCCAAACAAAGGGGAGAGTTAGAGCCAGCCCGGCCACTGGCCACTGCAGCGATTCTAGGCAATTCTTCCCGGGCCCTGTGGGGAGCGAATGTCCCAGCCCATGACTGCATCCTGGTATTGTTACCACCTGTGCGTGCTCCACCAGTGCCCATCTCACCCCACCCTCTGTGCCTCAGCTGTTCACCTTTACAATGGAGATAAAAACAGCAATGTCTGCATTTCAGGACTAGAGCAGTATCAAAGAAAATGATGTCGGTCAGAGCATTTCTTAAAGTCTAAGGCACTGCAGATATAAAGGAGTAGACACAAGGCTTGGAATCTTCACTTATGTCACTGAAGTAACTCGCAGTCTTACTGATGGCACTAGACCCTTTCCAGTAATTCAGGAAAATCCTGTCCTTTCTTGTCTAAAATACTGAATCAACTAAAATCTGTATCTACACCAGCAAGGTGCTTAGCTGGGGAAACTTCACTAAGGAAACTGAAATAACTAGTAATTTCATGATGGTCTTCGCAAGTCATGTTCTTTTAAAAAATCAACTTTGAGGACATGAACAGACACTTCTCAAAAGTAGACATTTATGTGGCCAAGAAACAAGAAAAAAAGCTCAACAACACTGATCATTAGAGAAACGCAAATCAAAACCACAATGAGATATCATCTCAAGCCAGTCAGAATGGCAGTTATTAAAAAGTGAAGAAATAACAGATGCTGGAGAGACTATGGAGAAATAGGAATGCTTTTACACTGTTAGTGAGAGTGTAAATTAGTTCAACCATTGTGGGAGATGATGTGGGGATTCCTCAAACACCTAGAACCCGAAATACCATTTTACCCAGCAATCCCATTACTGGGTATATACCCAAAGGAATATAAATCATTCTATTATAAAGATACATGCATGCGTATGTTCACTGCAGCACTATTCACAATAGCAAAGACATGGAATCAACCCAAATGCCCATCAATGATAGACTGGATAAAGAAAATGTGGTATAAGCCAGGTGCGGTGGCTCACGCCTGTAATCTCAGCACTTTGGAAGGCTGAGGCGGTTGGATCACAAGGTCAGGAGATCGAGACCATCCTGGCTAACACGGTGAAACCCCGTCCCTACCAAAAATACAAAAACTTAGTCGGGCATGGTGGTGGGCGCCTGTAGTCCCAGCTACTTGGGAGGCTTAGGCAGGAGAATGGCATGAACCTGGGAGGCGGAGCTTGCAGTGAGCCAACATCGTGCCACTGCACTCCAGCCTGGGCGACAGAGTGAGACTCCGTCTCAAAAAAGAAAGAAAGAAAGAAAGAAAGAAAATGTGGTATATATGCACCATGCAATACTATGCAACCATAAAAATGAACAAGATCGTGCCCTTTGCAGGGACATGGATGGTGCTTGAAGCCGTTATCCTCAGCAAACTAACACAGGAACAAAAAACCAAACACTGCATGTTCTCACTTGAAACGGGGAGCTGAACAATGAGGACACATGGACACAGGGAGGGGAACACCACACACTAGAGCCTCTTGAGGGGGTCCAGGGAAGAAGAGCATTGGGAAAAATACCTGATGCATGCTGGGCTTAATACCTAGGTGATGGGTTGATCTGTGCACACCATGGCACACGTTTACCTATGTAACAAAGCTGCACATCCTGCCCATGTACCCCAGACTTAAAATAAAACAAAAATCAACTTTGAAATTCAGTTATTGTGGAGATTTCTGAGAATGCAAGATTTTTAAGGCAAATTTATTTGAAACTTCCTTTTTGTTGTTGAGATGGAGTCTCGCTCTGTTGCCCAGGCATGGTCATGCAGTGGCATGATCTCGGCTCACTGCAAGCTCCGCCTCCCAGGTTCATGCCATTCTCCTGCCTCAGCCTCCCTAGTAGCTGGGACTACAGGTGACTGCCACCACGCCCAGCTAATTTTTTATATTTTTAGTAGAGACGGGGTTTCACCGTGTTAGCCAGGATGGTCTCCATCTCCTGACCTTGTGATCCGCCTGCCTCTGCCTCCCAAAGTGCTGGGATTACAGGCATGAGCCACCGCGCCCTGCCACTTGAAACATTTTTAAAAGTTGAAATTGGTTCTTAAATAATAGCACTTTCAGTCACTAAATTCTAGACAATAACTTTATGCATATCTCTTTGTATTTTTCCAAGAAAACCTTAAATGTGGGGTTACTTTTCCTCATTTGACATAATTCATTTCATTACTACCTCCTCTACAATTTCCTCACAGAATTTAAATTTGATATCTAACATAGGACTCCACAAATTTCTCAAAGGGATTTACACATTGAAAGAAAAAAAATGGAAAGGGATTGAAAAGCTCATCAGGCAACATAAATGGAAAGATCTCTGTTAAATTACTAAATGGAAAGAGTTGCCTGACGAATACCTTAGGAAACACTGAGACACTAGAGTTTTAGCAGGAAGGACAAATTTAAGGTAAAACATCATTCTTGCCATCATAATTAATCATGATGAACATATTTCTCCATGACAGACAATAAATAATCCTCCTCATTACCCATTTTCTTCCTCTTTAAGACATTTTATAGCAGATAAACCCTCCATCAGCCTTGAAAAGCAAGTCCCCTGCAAACCTAACAGCATAGAAATGTGATTTTGTTCAGCAGAACAGCAGTGGTCCGTTTCTAAGTTGTAACTTTTAAAATGAATGATCTTACTCATGGGATAGTTTCAGCATAATCACGTGATGTTTCCCCAAACAAACATGATTACCTACAAAATGGAAGGGTTCATTGACTGAGTAATAGTATCAGCTAACAAATAAATTACCACTTTGAAAAAATATTAAACATAACTACAAATAAATAAGCTCAATACAGCCACAGGGGAGATGAATAGAAAACTGTATCATTCTCCTTATTATATTTTAATTGGGTTTGCACTATGTTTCCTGGTCCTCTCCTCCCCACCCTACCCCTCAGATTTCATCTTTTGTATTACACCTAACAAATAAAAACCAAATAGATTAATTAGCAGTTGTAACAGTGGTGGCTCCTATGCAGACCATAGAAACTTTTATTAATATATCTTCTCAAGCACAACTAGAAAAGAGAGTAAACACATGTAGCTAAAAAGGGAATAGAAGATAAAGCAGAAATGAAACCTACCTTTAAAGAAAGGTGTGAACACACACAGCCAGAGACACAAGCCCCCATGAAGGAATCCCTGCCCCTTGCTGGTCAGCATGGTTAAAACACACTTGGATTCCTTTTTCCTAGGCAAAGGATTGTGGAAAACAAAGAGCTATCAGTCAGCCACATGCATCCAACCTTGACATCATCAGAAGCCCACTGCAATCCGTGTGTGTCTTCTCAGAAATCAAAACATCCCCGGGACTTCACACGGTTATTACCAGGATCAGAGACTGAGGCAGACATGAAGGGCGAATAAAAAAGATTCGATCTGATGTCAGATGAGTCATCACATTTCCTGACAGCCTAGATGTCTCTTCATGCAAGAAAGGGGAAGAAAAGCAGAAAAGAAATGCTGGGGCAGACAGGACCCCGGGAGGATGAACACCTGTGAGTGGCTGAGATCTTTCTGTGGTGCAATCTCAACCGTAATCTTAGGGGAATTCACTGAGCTCCAACTACAGGTAAAGCTCATGCTAGGTCCCAACAAGTTTGTTCTGACTCATGGAGTTCTCCAGTTAATCAAGGCTCAACCTTGTTAGAAAACTTTCTAAAATATGAATCCTCATTTCTGTCTTAATGAGTGCAGCTTGGAGAGAACAGAAATTTGTTTTTGTTTTGCTTTTTTCTGACTCCAGGGTTTCCAGTGCCTTCTCTTTTTTGAGTTCAGTGATGATCCATGACTAGAGACTAGATGTCAGAGAATGAGAGGAATGGATACCACCTGGATATTTTCACATTTATTTAAATATTCTTATTGCAAAGCATGGTGGATCATGCATTAATCCCAGCACTTTGGGAGGACAAGGCAGAGGATCTCTTAAGGCCAGGAGTTTGAGACCAGCCTGGGCAACATAGTGAAACCTCATCTCTACAAAAAATAGAAAATTAGCTGGGCGTGGTGGGCATGCCTGTGGCCCCAGCTACTTGGGAGGCTAAGGTGAGAGGATCACTTGAGCCCGGTAGATCAAAGCTGCAGTGAGCTGAGATCACACCACAGCACTCCAGCCTGGAAGACAGAGCAAGACCCTGTCTCAAAAATAAATAAATGGGCTAGGCGAAGTGGCTCATGCCTGTAATCCCAGCACTTTGGGAGGCCGAGGCAGGCAGATCACGAGGTCAGGAGCTCGAGACCATCCTGGCTAACACAGTGAAACCCCATCTCTACTAAAAATACACAAATTATCCAGGCATGGTGGTGCACACCTGTAGTCCCAGCTACCCAGGAGGCTGAGGCAGGAGAATCACTTGAACGCGAGAGACAGAGGCTGCAGTGAGCTCAGATGTCATCACTGCACTCCAGCCTGGGTGGCAGAGTGAGACCCTGTCTCAAAAATAAATAAATAAATAAATAAATATCCCTGTTAAACTGGTTTTCTTATAATTTTCCTCTTTTCTGTATAAGTTTAATGTCAGTGGGTTTCTTTTTTTTTTTTTTTTTTTGAGACGAAGTCTCGCTCTGTCGCCCAGGCTGGAGTTCACTGGCATGACCTCTGCTCACTACAAGCTCCGCCTCCCGGGTTCACGCCATTCTCCTGCCTCAGCCTCTCGAGTACCTGGGACTACAGGCGCCCACCACCACGCCCTACTGATTTTTTGTATTTTTAGTAGAGATGGGGTTTCACCCAGTTAGCCAGGATGGCCTAGATCTCCTGACCTCGTGATCTGCCTGCCTCAGCCTCCCAAAGTGCTGAGATTACAGGCGTGAGCCACCGCACCCGGCCATGTCAGGGGGTTTCTAATTAATTGGGCCTCTGACCAGATATCAGTGTTGGTTAAACAGGAGTTAGAACTCAAGAAAGACCAGGCGTGGTGGCTCACGCCTATAATCCCAACACTTTGGGAGGCCAAGGCGGGCAGATCCCTTGAGCTCAGTTCAAGACCAGCCTGAGCAACATGGTGAAACCCTGTCTCTACAAAAATTACACAAAACAATTAGCTGGGCATGGTGGCATGCACTTGTAGTTCCACCTACTTGAGAGGCTGAGGTAGGAGGATCACCTGAGCTCAGGAGTTCGAGGCTACAGACAGCCTTGATCGTGTCACTGTACTCCAGACTGGGTGACAGAGACCCATTCTCAAAAAAAAAAAAAAAAAAAAAGCCACTCTAGAGGAGGAGTCCTTTGGAATACGCCAAAAGTCAGCGCTTGCTCCATTCTAGGAGTAGGTGAACTGCGTCCCCGTATACCAAGGGTGCAGAGCAGGAGGATGGGGGGCTTCATGTCTGGAGGTTGCAGAAGAGCTCTGCAGAGGCGAGGAATGCAGGAGAGAGAATATGGACTCTGGAGTCAGACAAACCCAGAGCTGGACTCTGGTCCTGAGACTCGCCTGGGGGACACTGGGCAACTCACTGAAGCTACCTCAGCCTGTCCTCATCAGAAAAATGTGATTAAATTTAGTAATCATTGAATCTCTCTCTACCAATTTTGCATGTAATTATTATTCACTCTCTTGCCAGTTCAAATAGGTAACACAATATTTAAGTTATTCTTGGAGCCTGAGCTTATAAGGATACAGTTTAAGTGCTTATAAAGAAAATACATTCTCCATTCAAAGAAAACATTTAAACTATGCCCCCATCATCAGAAAAATGCTCGAGATTTGTCATTGAATTATGTGTTTTTATCCTGCTCCAAACTCTTTTTGAAAATTGCAAAAATCAGGCCAGACACAGTGACTCACGCCTGTAATCCCAGCATTTTGGGAGGCCGAGGACCGAGGATCACTTGAGGTCAGGAGTTTGAGACCAGCCTGACCAACATGGTGAAACCCCGTTGCTATTAAAAATACAAAAATTAGCCGGGTGTGGTGACACTCGCCTGTAATCCTGGCTACTCAGGAGGCTCAGGCAGGAGAATCGCTTGAACCCGGGAGGTGGAAGCTGCAGTGAGCTGAGACCACACCACTGGGCTCCAGCCTGGTGACAAAGTGAGACGGAGTCTCAAAAGAAAAGAAAAGAAGAGAAAATTGCAGAGATAGAAGTTAAAAGCAAACACATGGATAGGGAGAAAATAAATATGTTTTCAAAAAAGAAAAAAAAAAGAAAAAAGATTTAAAGACATTCTATCTTTTCCTGATGTTGCTTGATACTGCTTCATGTTCATATTCCAGGAATTAGTTTTTGTTCAGCTATATTGTTGAAACAGTCTAAACTTTAGAGTGCTGTCCATGGTTTAGTGAGGTGGAAAGGATGAAGGGAGGTGGAGGGATACATGGAGCCTTGGACGGAAAGAGGCTAATTAATACTGGAAGAGCTTTGGTGTCTCCTGCCCCTTATTTCCCACTCCATGTTACCCCTAATTCCTCGTAGCCATTTTTAAAGAGAAATAAGAAGCAGCAGTGGATCTTAACTTTTTCAGGTCCATGAGTCAGATTGAAACTATGGATCCTGCCGGGTGTGGTGGCTCACGCCTCTAATCACAGCACTTTGGGAGGCCGAGGTGGGCGGATCACCTGAGGTAAGGAGCTCGACACCAGCCTGGCCAACATGGTGAAACCCCATCTCTACTAAAAATACAAAAAAATTAGCCAGGTGTGGTGGTGCACACCTGTAGTTCCAGCTACTCTGAAGGCTGAGGCAGGAGAATCACTTGAGCCCAGGAGGTGGAGGTTGCAGTGAACCAAGATCACACCACTATATTCCATACTGGGTGACAGAATGAGACTCTGTCACAAAAAAAAAAAAAAAAAGAAAGAAATACCTCCCCATATACGTATGAGGATTAAACAGAATTTTGCATATGACTTCTGGGAACTCACAGATCCATAAAAAGCCAGCCCTGCATGGAGGGTAATTATAGTTGGTTTCACAGTTTCCCCCAGTATCTGTCCCCAATCACTCTATACTATCCCTATTAAAAAATTATACATTCTTGGGGCTGGACGCAGTGGCTCACACCTGTAATCCCAGCACTTTGGGAGGCCGAGGTGGATGGATCACGAGGTCAGGAGATCGAGACCATCCTGGCTAACATGGTGAAACCCCATCTCTACTAAAAAATACAAAAAAATTAGCCGGGCGTGGTGGCGGGTGCCTGTAGTCCCAGATACTTGGGAGGCTGAGGCAGGAGAATGGCATGAACCTGAGAGGTGGAGCTAGCAGCAAGCCCAGATCGCGCCAGTGCACTCTAGCCTGTGTGACAGAGCAAGACTGCATCTCAAAAAAAAAAAAAAAAAAAAAAATCCTACATTCTTGGCTGGCTGTGGTGGTGCATGCCTGTAGTCCCAGTTACTTGGGAGGCTGAGGTGAGAGGATCACTTGAGTGCAGGAGGTCAAGGCTGCAGTGAGCTGTGATTGCATCACTGTACTCCAGCCTGGGCAACAGAGTGAGATGAGACCCTGCCTCAAAAAAATAAATAAATAAATAAATAAACAATACATTCTAAAGAGCTAATGTGTTAGGAAACTGATAGACTTCAGGGAATAATTGTTGGGTTTCTTTTTCTGTTTTATTCATAGAAGCTCATTTCAATTTGGAGGTTTTCTGAAAAAAAAAGAGGTTGATACTGTTTAATATGAAACTTTTTTTTTTTTCTTTTTGAGACAGAGTCTCACTCTGTCACCCCAGGCTGGAGTGCAGTGGTGCAATCTCGGCTCACTACAACCTCCCCCTCCCAGGTTCAAGCGATTCTCCTGCCTCAGCCTCCTTAGTAGCTGGGACTACAGGCACCTGCCACCATGCCTGGCTAATTTTTATATTTTTAGTACAGACAGGATTTCACCATGTTGGCCAGGCTGGTCTCGAACTCCTGACCTCATGATCCGCCCACCTCGGCCTCCCAAAGTGCTGGGATCACAGAGATGAGGCACCGTGCCCGGCCAAAACTTTTATTA
Source organism: Homo sapiens (assembly GCF_000001405.40). Lineage (NCBI taxonomy): Eukaryota > Metazoa > Chordata > Mammalia > Primates > Hominidae > Homo > Homo sapiens. Next base: position 42,773,210 of record NC_000008.11, read on the forward strand.
TAAAAATTATTTCAAGCTTCCCCTCCAGCCCCATTTGCTAAATTAAATCCAGTGGCTCATTCTGCTCTGAAAATAAAGATGATTTGATATGGTTCTATAAAATTGGCTATGCTCTTGTTTGAAGTTTGAGGGTTTTTTGGCATAGAAACTGCACGAATGAACATTTTTGTTGACCTTTATCCAACTGTCAGTTCTCTTTAAACTCAAAATGAGAACATTCTTTAGTTGTCCATAAAGAAATAGAAAGGAAATAGCCCTTTAAACATGTATTATTTATAACTCCACTGCAGCAAAAACATCATCAATAATTTAATGATCCCATCTGCTTTTTTAAAATATCCACTGTCATTAACTCTCACATGTTCCACATCCCTAGTCGGTAGTATTTCACATCCACCACTCTTGACATGTCCAAATCACGCAGGGAAAATGAAACAGCAGTAGGGTAAGTATTCAAATTAAATGCTAATTTTAAACCACAAAGAAACATTTAATAAATCACTAATTATAAGGCAGGCTCAAATGAACTCTACAATGCCCAGTTTTTGTCCATCTAAATTTTAAGAAAAAAAGAGAGGCTTAGAACCTGGGATGGAGTCAAGCAGTGAAAGTTAAAACTGTGTTGAAAATGTTGAGATATTGAATAATAATTAGAGCTTCCTCTGAGCACGTGCTGTATGTCAATCACCATGCTAGAGTCTCGAAATTCTCTCTTTTAATCTTCACAGCAGCTCTGTGAAGCAAGACTCGATTTTTCAGGTTAGGAGATGGACACTCAGGGAGCAAGGTGACTTGCTTAAAGGTCCATCACAGCTGATCAGTGGCTGAGTTGGAATTCCAATCTAGGTCTGTCTATATCAAACCTATGCTTTAACCTTAAGGTGATCCAAAAGTGCTGTTTGATCCATAAATACTTTATAAGTTCAATATATTTGTAGAAAGCTGTTACTGACATGGGCCACGCTTAGCTCCACCTGCGTCATTATTCACCACTGACCCCTTGTTCCACTCCACAAGGTGAGGAAGCCAAGGCTAATTAATAGAGGGAGTTGAAATGGCAGACATAATGTGAGACAGAAGTGGGAGCTGGGGAGAGTGCCCTCTTAGGCCACAAACTAACATCAGGCAAGTTCCCAACCCTGGGAGAGTGGCCAATGACAGCCACACACATCCAGGCCGTGCTCTTGCTAGCTGTGCCATGAACATCTTGAAGCTAAGAGCTGGTGAAGAGCACATGGGCCACACCCCTGCAGCCAGAATGACTCCTGTACAGACCTTTGAGAGCCTTCTATCAATAATAACCTTCTATTATTTCCCTCCAGCCTTTAACAAACATCTCTGGGCCTTTCAAGGTAGAATGAAATGTGCCTAAATTTTAAGTCCCTTAAAACAATCAATTTAGTTATCATTGTCCTAGAACACAGCAGTTATTATAATAAAATTTATTCTACTATAGTAGATCCAGCTCTGTGATTGTAAATGAAAATCACAATACGAATGTGTGTTTGTTTCCTAGGACCACTGTAACAAATTACCACCAACCTGGTGACTTCATAGAGCAAAAAGTCATTCTTTCACAGTTCTGAGGCTAAAAGTCTTTTTTTTTCTTTGAGATGGAGTCTTGCTCTGTCGCCCAGGCTGGAGTGCAGTAGTGCAATCTTGGCTCACTGCAGCCTCTGCCTCCCAGGTTCAAGTGATTCTCTTGCCTCAGCCTCCCGAGTAGCTGGGATTACAGGCAGGCACCACCACGTCCAGCTAATTTTTGTATTTTTAGTAGAGACGGGGTTTCACCATGTTGGTCAGGCTGGTCTTGAACTCCTGACCTCCCACAGTGCTGGGATTACAGGCATGGGCCACCACGCCTGGCTAAGGCTAAAAGTCTTAAATCAAGGTGCTAGGGCAAGGCCACACTCCCTGTGGAGGCTCTAGGGGAGGATCCTTCCCTGCCTCTTCCAGCTCCTGGCTGGAATCGCCCCAGCCTCTGACTCTGTGGTTGCACTGCTTTCCCTGTGCCTGTGCCTTCTCCTCTTCTGTCTCTTACAAGCAAACTGGTTATTCTGGGGCCTCCCAGCTAATCTCAGATAATCTCATCTCTAGATTCTTAATTAAATTACATCTGCAAAGATCCTTTTTCTAAAGAAGGTCACATTCACAGGTACCAGGGGTTAGGACGTGAACATATTTTTTTGGAAGGCCACCCTTCAGCTCACTACACCATGTCCCAGGAGTGTGGTGAGTATTTCATTAGAAAATGTAAGTAACAGCAGCTACTGAAATACACAGAGGCAATGCACATTAATTTTCTTCTTCCAGAGAACAACATTTTGATGGGTATAATGACAGGCTTTTGGAGCCAGTGGGGAGACCCAGAAACTATAACTGCTTTTACAGGAAAATTATACCAATTTCTTGTTCATTTGAAGAAAAAAACCCCTGAAAATCTGTGGATATGATGGTTCCTGATTAGCAGTTCTCAAATTTTAATGTGCATCAGAATCAAAGGTGTGGGCAATCTTATTTATTTATTTGTTTATTTATTTTTTGAGATGGAGTTTCACTCTTGTTGCCCAGGCTGGAGTGCAATGGCAGGATCTTGGCATACTGCAACTTCCGCCTCCCAGATTCAAGAGATTTTCCTGCCTCAGCCTCCCAAGTAGCTGGGATTACAGGCATGCACCACCATGCCCGGCCAATTTTGTATTTTTAGTAGAGATGGGGTTTCTCCGTGTTGGTCAAGCTGGTCTTGAACTCCCGACCTCAGGTGATCTGCCTGCCTTGGCCTCCCAAAGTGCTGGGATTACAGGCGTGAGCCACCACGCCTGGCCTCTTTTTTATTTTTTAGCTTTTTGTAGAAACAGAGTCTCCCTGTGTCACCTGGGCTGGGATGCAGTGGCACGATTATAGCTCACTGCAGCCTCAAACTCCTGTGCTGAAGAAATCCTCTCACCTCAGCCTCCCAAGTAGCTGAAACTATAGGTGTGAGCCACCATGCCTGGATAATTTTTTTACTTTTTGTAGAAACAGTCTCAATATGTTGCCCAGGCTGGGTCTTGAACTCCTGACCTCAAGTGATCCTCCTGCCCCAGCTTCCTATAGCACTGAGATTACAGGAGTGAGTTACCACACCCAGCTGGGCAATCTTAAAAGATCAGTTTACAGGACCCATCCTTAGAAATTCTGATTTAGTGGATCTGGCGTGGGGAACCAGATTTAATTGCAGTCTTTAAAAGCTTCAGAGTGACCCTGATGCAGGTGGCCAGCACTACGCATCTGAGGAGCACTCCTCCAGACAGTTGCAGGAAGATTTCCATGCAGTCCACTTATGGTGTGGTTCTGTGATATTATAGAGTTAGACGTTTCTGGGACATCTGTGTCCCCATAAATTTGTATGTCACAAAGCAAAAAGGTTAGAGATATTCCAAAGTTACTATATAAGGCACTGTGTTTCACGTGAAAAAGCTAACTCAACATTAGGATAAACTCTACTATGTTCTGGGCACAGTGATAGATGCTGAAATATAGTTACACAAAATGCACATTTATTTTTTTCAGGTACCCATGGATTTATAAAAATTGACCTCTTGTTAAGGCACAAAAAAGTCTCAACAAGCAACAAATAATCTATATCATATAGAATATTCTCTGTCCACAAAAAGCAAAATTAAAAATCAATTGCAAGATAATAAGCCAAACTTCCCTTTGTTGCAGTTATTAAAATATTACACCAGTTTTCTATTTTTAAGAGGCAGTTAAACTAATTATGGATAAAATATGGCTTCGGTCTCTCCAGTCTGTGAATACAACTGGGATATTAATCACAAGGTCATAACTGCACCAGTTCTAACCCCCTACAGTCATGCTGAATGCAGCCCCCTCCCAAAATTGCCCAGTTATTTAGGAATCTGTGAGAGCTTGACTCTGCCCCAGGCTTCCCTGCTACCTTGCTGGGCACAGCGGTCTTCCCAAATGCCAAAGCCACCCTAGAGTCTGGGTTAGTGGGAGAAGAATGAGAAATGGGGCTGGGAGGGGGATCCAGGCAGGTGTGCCAGAAAGAACCTACGCCCAGCCAGAAGACAATGGAGCAATATTTTTAAGGTATGAAAAGGAAAATAGAATTCTATTCCCAGCAAAAATTTGTTTTGCAAGCAGAAGTGGAATAAATATTTTTGCAGCTATGTAAAAGCAGGAAAATGTCATCACCAGCAAACCTATGCTATAATAAATGCTTTAAAGCTACTCAAGGAGAAGAGAAAATACCAGATAAAAATGTGGATCTAAACAAAGAAATGAAGAGCTTAGTGAATGACACATATGTGTGTAAATATAAAAGATAGTTTTTCTTATTTTAAAAATCTCAGCTGGAGGCAAAGCACAGTGGCTCACACCTGCAATCTCAGCACTTTGGGAGGCTGAGGTGGGCGGATCATTTGAGCCTAGGAGTTCAAGACCAGCCTTAGCAATGTGGCAAAACCCCATCTCCAAAAAAAAAAAAAAAAAAAAAAAAATCTCAGTTGGGTGCAGTGGCTCATGTATGTAATCCCAGCACTTTAGGAGGCTGAGGCAGGAGGATAGCTTGAGCCCAGGAAGTCATGGCTGCAGGGAGCCATGTTCACACCACTGCACTCCAGCCTTGGTGACAGAGCAAGACCCTGTCTGAAAATAAATAAATAAATAAATAAATAAATAAATAAATAAATATCTCTTTAAAAGACAATCACCTTTTAAAAACAAGTGTTAAATGTACTGTGGGGTTAGAAAAATGTATGATAATAATAGCACAAAAGCAGGAGAGGAAAAATGGAAGTCTATTGTTATAATGTTCTTATACTACATGTAAAATGGTATAATATTACCTGAAGATAGACTGTGATATGTTAAAGGTGTTTACTACAGATCCTAAGGCAACCACTAGACTTGCATAACAAAAAAAGCATAGCTTTGTGTTCACAAGAAGTAGGAAAAAAGCAAAGAAAAACATAGCTAATAAGCCGAGAAAAGAGATAAAATGGAATAATAAAAGATATTTATTTAACACAAAACAAAGGGGAAAAGGAGAGCAAGCAAACAAATAAAAAATAGGACAAATAGGAAAAAGTAGTAAAATGGTAATATAAACCTATCGGGGAACCTGCCTTGATATTCACATAGGTTCTTTTCTATTTTCCTTAAAGCATTGGCCAGCTTAAGAAATAAAGGGACAGAGTACAAAAGAGGGAAATCTTAAAGCTGGGCATCCGGGGAAGACATCACATGTTGGTAGGTTTCGTGATGCCCCACAAGCTGCAAAAACCAGCAAGTTTTTATTAGGGATTTTCAAAAGGGGAGGGAGTGTGCGAATAGGTGTAGGTCACAGACATCAAGTACTTCACAAGGCAATAGAATATGACAAGGCAAGTGGAGGCAGGGCTAGATCACAGGACCACAGGATGGGGCGAAATTAAAATTGCTAATGAAGTTTCAGGCACCATTGTCATTGATAACATCTTATCAGGAGACAGGGTTTTGAGAGTAACCGGTCTGACCAAAATTATTAGGTGGGAATCTCCTCTTCCTAATAAGCCTGGGAGTGCTATGGGAGACTGGGGTCTATTTCACCCCTGCAATATCGACCATAAGAGACAGGCATACCTGGGGGGGCCGTTTATAGGCCTATACCTCCAGGCGTGTATTCTCTTTCCCAGGGATGTTCCTTGCTGAGAAAAAGAATTCAGTGATATTTCTCCCATTTGCTTTTGAAAGAAGAGAAATATGGCTCTGTTCTGCACGGCTCATCGGCGGTCAGAGTTTAAGGTTATCTCTTATTCCCTGAACAATTGCTGTTATCCTGTTCTTTTTTCAAGGTGCCCAGATTTCATATTGCTCAAACACACATGCTGTACAATTTGTGCAGTTAATGCAATTATTACAGGGTCCTGAGGCGACATACATCTTCCTCAGCTGACAGGATTAAGAGATTAAAGTAAAGACAGGCATAGGAAATCACAAGGGTATTGACTGGGGAAGTGATAAGTGTCCATGAAATCTTCACAATTTATGTTTAGAGACTGCAGTAAAGACAGGCATAAGAAATTATAAATATTAATTTGGGGAACTAATAAATGTCCATGAAATCTTCACAATCCATGTTCTTCTGCCATGGCTTCAGCTGGTCCCTCCGTTTGGGGTCCCTGACTTCCCGCAACATAAACCAAATCATATTTTAAGAACTCATTAAATGCAAATGGGGTCTTCCACCAGTGGCTCATGTCTGTAATCCCAGCACTTTGGGAGGCCAAGGAAGGTGAATCACCTGAGGTCAGGGGTTCAAGACCAACCTGGCCAACACGGTGAAATGCTGTCTCTACTAAAAATACAATAAATTAGCTGGACATGGTGGCACATGCCTGTAATCCCAGCTACTCAGGAGGCTGAGGCAGGAGAATTGTTTGAACCTGGGAGGCGGAGGTTGCAGTGAGCAGAGGTCTCACCATTGTGTTCCAGCCTGGGCAACAAGAGAGAAACTCCATCTCAAAAAAAAATGTAAATGGATAAAACACATCCATTAAAAGACAGTAAACATTTGTTAGGCAGTGAAGCTATTTGATCCTGGTCTTTTCTTTGTTGGAAGCTTTTTGATTACTAATTGCCCTGGTTCATTTTGTGATGCTATAACAGAATATCACAGGTTAGGTAATTGATGAGGAAAAGAAATTTATTTCTTACAGTTCTTGAGGCTGGTAAGTCCAAGGATGAGGAGTTGACATCTAGCAAGAGCCTTCATGTTGTGTCATATAATGGCAGAAGGCAAAAGAGCAAAGAGGGCAGGGGAGAGAGAGCAAGAGTGGGCCAAATTTGCTTCTATTACAGATCAACTCTGGCAATAACTAACCCAATTGTGTAATAATGACATTAACCTATTCATGAGGCATCAGTGACCTAATCACCTCCTATTAGGTTCCACCTCTCAACGCTGTTGCATTGGGGATTAACTTTTGAACACATGAACTTTGGAGGACATATTCAAAACATAGCACTTAATCTTTTAATTCTTATAGGTCTATTTGTGTCTGTCTAGGAAGTTGTCTTTTCAACTAAGTCATCTACTTTTTGGCATACAGGCATTCAAAATACTCGATTTTAGTTATTTAAGATAAGCAGAGATTGTTTTCCTCTTTCATTCTTGATTTTAGTAATTGCATTCTTCTCTTTTCTTCTTGGTCAGTCTAGCTAAAAGTTGGCCAATTTTGTTGATTGTTTTCAAAGCCCAAACTTTTGGTTTCATTGATTATTTTCCTCTTTTTTTCCTATTCTGTATTTTACTAATTTCTACCTTAATCTGTATTATTTCCTTCTGCTTGCCTTAGGCTTTTACAGTTTCTAAAGTAGAAGACTAGGCTATTAGTTTGAGATCTTTTCTTTTTTTTTTTTTGAGAAGGAGTCTCACTCTTGTCACCCAGGCTGGAGTGCAGTGGCGCCATCTTGGCTCACTGCAACTTCTGCCTCCCAGGTTCAAGCAATTCTCCTGCCTCAGCCTCCTGAGTAGCTGGGATTACAGGCGCCCGCCACCATGCCTGGCTAATTTTGGTACTTTTAGTAGAGACAGAGTTTCATCACTTTGGCCAGGCTGGTGTCGAACTCCTGACCTCAGGCCATCCGCCCACCTCGGCCTCCCAAAGTACTGGGATTACAGGCATGAGCCACTGTGCCTGGCCATCTTTTCTTCTTTTTTAAATATAGGTACTTGCAGCTATAAATTTCCCTCTGTGCACTGCTTTAACTGCATCCGATAAGTTTTTATAAGTTGTAATTTTATTTTCTGTTATCTCAAAGTATTTTCTAATTTCTCTTGTGATTTCTTCTTTGGCCTATTGATTATTTAAGAGTGTGTTGATTAATTTCCGCATATTCATGAATTTCCCAGATTATCTTCTCTTATTCATTTCTAATTTAATTCCATTGTGATCAGAGAATAATATACTTATTCCCAGCCTGGGAAATATAGGAAAATCCCATCTTTACAAAAATCAAAAACTTAGCCAGGCATGGTGGTGCTTGCTTGTAGCCCCTGTTACTCAGGTGGCTGAGGTAGGAGGATCACTTGAGCCTGGGAGTTCAAGTCTGCAGTGATGGGAGTTCAAGTCAGCCATGATCATGCCACTGCACTCCAGCCTGGGCAACAGAGTGAGACCTCAACTCTATAAACAAACAAACAAATAAATAAATACATTTATTGAGACTTTTTCATGGCCTAGCATATGGTGTATTCTGGAGAATGTTCTGTGTACACTTGAGAAAAATATATATTCTTATGCTTTTGAGTGGGAAGCACTATAGATGTCTGTTAAGTCTCATCGGTTTATATTGTTCAAGTCTTTTATTTCCTTACTGTTCTTCTGCCTTGTTGTTCTAACCATTATTGAAAGTGAGGCATTGAGGCCAGGCATGGTTGCTTACACCTGTAATCCCAGCACTTTGGGAGGCTGAGGCAGGTGGATCATGAGGTCAGGAGATCGAGACCATCCTGGCTAACACGGTGAAACCCCATCTCTACTGAAACTACAAAAAATTAGCCAGGCGTGGTGGTGGGTGCCTGTAGTCCCAGCTACTTGGGAGGCTGAGGCAGGAGAATGGCGTGAACCTGGGAGGCGGAGCTTGCAGTGAGCTGAGATCGCACCACTGCACTCCGGCGTGGGTGACAGAGCGAGACTCCGTCTCAAAAAAAAAAAAAAGAAAAGAAACCTCCAACTATTGTTAATTGTCTGTTTCTCCCTTCACTTCTAACTGGTTTTGTTTCATGTATTTTGGTGCTCTGTTATGAGGTGTATATGTGGTTATAATTATTATTTTTCCTGATGAGTTAGCAAGTTTGTTTATAAAATACCCCACTTTAGCTGAATTAACATTTTTGTTTTAAAGTATAGTTTGTCTGATATTGGTATAGTCACTCAAGCTCTGTTTTGATCATTTCTTGCATAGTATATCTTTTTTATTCTTTTACTTTCAATCTATTTATATCTTTCAATCTAAAGTATGCCTCCTGTAGAGAGTATACAGTTGGATCATGTTTTTAAATCCAGTCTCATAATATCTGCCTTTTATTGGATTATTTAATCCATTCACATTTACTGTTATTATTGATATGATTGGATTTACATCTGCCATTTTGTTTTATGTTGTCTGTGTCTCATGTCCCTTTTGCTCCTTTGTTTCTCCTTATAGTCTTATTTTGCACTAAGTGAATTTTTCCAGTGTAGTTTTTTTTTTTTTGAGACAGAGTCTCGCACTGTTGCCTGGGCTGGAGTGCAGTGGCACAATCTCAACTCACTGCAACCTCCACCTCCTGGGTTCAAGAGATTCTCCTGCCTCAGCCTCCCAACTAGCTGGGATTACAGGTGCACGTCACCATGCCCAGCTAATTTTTTGTATTTTTAGTAGAGACGGAGTTTTACCATGTTGACCAGGCTGGTCTCAAACTCCTGACCTCGTGATCCATCCACCTCGGGCTCCCAAAGAAGTGCTGGGATTACAGGCATGAGACACTGCGCCCGGCCTCCAGTGTATTTTTAATGAATTTTAAGCTACATTTTTCACTTATTTTCATTACAGTTGATCTAGGGTTTACAATATACATCTTATAATCTATCTACTTCAGAACCTTAACTAGCTTATTTCAAGTGAGACACAGAAACTTTACTTCTATATAGCTCTGTTCCTTTCTCCTCATACACTTATAAAAACACCTTTATTGAGATATAATTTATATTTTATAAATGCACATGTCCAGTGTAAAGAATTTGATGATTTGGGACATATACATACACCCATGATACCACCACCACAATCAAGGTAGTAAACATATTCATCCTCTCCAAAAGTTTTCTTGTGTCCTTTTGTGGGTTTTTTCTTGCTTGTTAGTGTGTGTGTGTGCAAGTGTGTGTGTGTGTAGAACATTTAACACAAGATCAATCCTCTTAGCAAAAAGGTTTTTTTTGTTTTGAGACGAAGTCTCTCTCTGTGGCCCAGGCTGGAGTGCAGTGGCACGATCTCGGCTCACTGCAACCTCTGCCTCCCAGGTTCAAGTGATTCTCCTGCCTCAGCCTCCTGAGTAGCTGGGATTACAGGCACGTACCACCACGCCCAGCTAATTTTTGTATTTTTAGTAGAGACAGTTTTGCCCCATGTTGGCCAGGCTGGTCTTGAACTCCTGACCTCAAGTGATTCACCCACCTCGGCCTCTCCAAGTACTGAGATTACAGGCGTGAGCCACCACACCCGGCCTCTTAGCAAAGTTTTAAGAGCACAACATCATATTTTTAACTATGGGCACTATGCTGTAGAGCAAATATCTAGAACGTCTTCCTTCCCTTTATATGTGCTATGACTGGTATGCATATGATGTGTATATATGTTACAAACCTGACAATGCATTATTATAATTATTTTATATAATTTTATGTCTTTTATGGAAACCAAAAGGAGAAAGTAAAGTGTACATTTATAGTTTGTTATATTAACCTTCTGATTTATCATTTCTGTTCCTCTCCATTTGTTTCTGTGAGTCCAGTGACCATCTGGAATCCTAGCCTTACTTTAGTACAGCTTTGTCCTCACCAGCCTCTTTGTGCTATTAATGTCAAATATATTATATTTCTATCTGTTGCAGGACCAACAATGCAATTATGTACATACACTTTTGCAACTGTTTTAAAAATCAGTTAAGAGAAGAAAAGGCTGTCTATTCCCCTGATCTCACAGTTAACCTCTGGCTGGTCACGCACTCAGCAAGAATGACACCCAGATGTTAGCATGCACTAGTTGCTGGCTAATTCATATATTGTTTTTGACAGTACAGTGGGGCAAAAGTTGCTCTATAGTATGATTTAATTTAATTAAAGTCAGGGTGATGCCAGGCTTTGAAGCTTGCTTTGACCTTAGCAGGGCTCTTCTTAGCTATCTCTTTTTCTGGTTCTCCCTGGTAAACTTCTAGCTGGTCTGCTGTTTCATTTCCTCTTAGTTGCTTATCATGTAAATCTCTAGTGGTTTGGACAATGCTCTTAGATACCTGTAATAAGCTCTGTTCCAAATAAAGGCAATTTTCTTAGGAAGGGCTGCGTAGCTATCTGCTAGAAACTGCCCCTCTTGAGACAAGGCAGGGACTCTTCTTAGGGGCCTACCGAGACCTCCCCAACCAAGACATTAAAATAAAGAATCTGGCTGGTCATGGTGGCTCACGCCTGTAATCCCAGCACTTTGGGAGGCCAAGGTGGGCAGATCACTTGAGGTTGGGAGTTCGAGACCAGCCTGACCAACATGGAAAAACTCCATCTCTACTAAAAATACAAAATTAGCCAAGAGCAGTGGTGCATGCCTGTAATCCTAGCTACTCAGGAGGCTGAGCAGGAGAATTGCGTGAACCAGGGAGGTGGAGGTTCCAGTGAGTCAAGATCGCGCCATTGCACTACAGCCTGGGCAACAAGAGCAAAACTCCATCAAAAAAAAAAAAAGAAAGAAAGAAAGAAGGAAAGGAAAAAGGAAAGAGGAGGGGAGGGGAGGGGAGGGAAGGGAAGGGAAGGGAGAACATTCCTAAAATTTATGAGACCAAAAAAGAGCCTGAATAGCCAAAGAAATCCTAAGCAAAAAGGACAAATCTGGAGGCATCACATTACCTGACCTCAAATTACTACAAGGTTGTAGTAACCAAAACACCGTGGTATAAAAATAGACACAAGGGCTGGGCACGGTGGCTCATGCCTGTAATCCCAGCACTTAGGGAGGCCAAGGCGGGCAGATCACGAGGTCAGGAGATCGAGACCATCCTGGCTAACACAGTGAAACCCCGTCTCTACTAAATATTTTAAAAATTAGCCAGGAGTGGTGGTAGGCGCCTGTAGTCCCAGCTACTCGGGAGGCTGAGGCAGGAGAATGGCATAGGCAGGAGAATGGCGTGAACCCGGGGGGTGGAGATTGCACTGAGCAGAGATTGCTCCACTGCACTCCAGCCCAGGCAATAGAGTAAGACCCCGTCTCAAAAAAAGTCACGTAAGTCAATAGAACAGAATATAGAACCCAGAAATAAAGCCATATATTAATACCTACAGCCAGCTGATCTTCAAGAAAACTGACAAAAACATCCACTGGAGAAAGGACACCCTATTCAATAAGTAGTGCTGGGAAAATTGGATTTCTATGTGCAGAAGAATGAAACTGGACCCATACCTCTCACTATTTACAAAAATTAGCTGAGGATGGATTACAGATTTAAATGTAAGACCTCAAAATAGAAAAATCCTACAAGAAAATGTAAGGAGCCCGGCACGGTAGCTCACACCTGTAATCCCAGCACTTCGGGAGGCTGAGGCAGACAGATCGTGAGACCAGCCTGGCTAACATGGTGAAACTCCACCTCTACTAAAAATACAAGAATTAGCCGGGTGTGGTGGCCAGCGCCTATAATCCCAGCCACTCCAGAGGCTGAGGCAGGAGAATCGCTTGAACCCGGGAGGCACAAGTTGCAGTGAACCAAGATCGTGCCACTGCACTCCAGCCTGGGTGACAGAGCAAGACTCCATCAAAAAAACTAAAGAAGAAGGAAGGAAAGGAAGGAAGGAAGGAAGGAAGGAAGGAAGGAAGGAAAAGAAAGAAAGAAAGAAAGAAAAAGACAGGCCGGGCGCAGTGGCTCACGCCTGTAATCCCAGTACTTTGGGAAGCCGAGGCAGGTGGATCACGAGGTCAGGAGATCAAGACCATCCTGGCTAACATGGTGAAACCCCATCTCTACTAAAAACACAAAAAAATTAGTGGGGCCTGGTGGGAGGCGCCTGTAGTCCCAGCTACTCCGGAGGCTGAGACAGGAGAATCGCTTGGACCCAGGAGGCGGAGCTTGCAGTGAGCCGAGATTGCGCCACTGTACTCCAGCCTGGGTGACAGCAAGACTCCACCAAGGAAAGGAAAGGAAAAGAGAGGGGAGAGGAGGGGAGGAAAGGAGGAAAAGGAGGAGAGGGGAGGGGATGGGAGGGGAGGAAAGGGAAGGGAGGAGGGAAGGAAGGAAGGAAAGAAGGAAGGAAGGAAATGGGCCGGGTGCAGTGGCTCACACCTGTAATCCCAGTACTTTGAGAGGCTGAGGCGGCAGATCACGAGGTCAGGAGATCGAGACCATCCTGGCTAACATGGTGAAACCCCGTCTCTACTAAAAATACAAAAAAAAAATTAGCCGGGCTTGGTCGTGGGTGCCTGTAGTCCCATCTATTGGGGAGGCTGAGGCAGGAGAATGGCGTGAACCCTGCAGGCGGAGCTTGCAGTAAGCCAAGATCGTGCCAGTGCACTCCAGCCTGGGAGACAGAGTGAGACTCTGTCTCAAAGAAAAAAAAAAAATGCTGGGCATGGTGACAGGTGCCTGTAATCCCATTAAGAGGTGACAGCGTGCTGGCAGCCCTCACAGCCCTTGCTCCCTCTCGGCACCTCCTCGGCCTTGGCACCCACTCTGGCTGGGCTTGAGGAGCCCTTCAGCCCACCGCTGCACTGTGGGAGCCCCTTTCTGGGCTGGCCAAGGCCGGAGCCGGCTCCCTCAGCTTGCAAGGAGGTGTGGAGGGAGAGGTGTGGGCGGGAACCGGGGCTGCTCGGGACGCTTGCAGGCCAGCGTGAGTTCCAGGTGGGCGTGGGCTCAGCGGCCCCGCACTCGGAGCACCTGGGCCAGCAATGAGGGGCTTAGCACCCCAGCCAGTGGCGCAGAGGGTGTGCTGGGTCCCCTAGTGGTGCTGGCCCACCAGCGCTGCGCTGGATTTCTCACCGGGCCTTAGCTGCCTCGCCTTGGCAGGGCTCCGGACCTGCAACCCGCCATGCCTGAGCCTCCCCCACTCCATGGGCTCCTGTGTGGCCCAAGCCTCCAGAACGAGCAGCAGCCCCCTGCTCCAAGGCGCCCAGTCCCATCGACCACCCAAGGGCTGAGGAGTGCGGGCGCACCTCGCAGAACTGGCAGGCAGCTCCACCTGCGGCCCTGGTGCGGGATCCACCAGGTAAAGCCAGCTGGGCTCCTGAGTCTGGTGGAGACTTGCAGAACCTTTATGTCTAGCTAAGGGATTGTAAATACACCAATTGGCACTCTGTATCTAGCTCAAGGTTTGTAAACACACCAATCAGCACCCTGTGTCTAGCTCAGGGTTTGTGAATGCACCAATCGACACTGTATCTAGCTACTCTGGTGGGGAGGTGGAGAATCTTTGTGTCCACACTCTGTATCTAGCTAATCTAGTGGGGATGTGGAGAACCTTTGTGTCTAGCTCAGGGATTGTAAATGCACCAATCAGCGCCCTGTCAAAACAGACCACTCGGCTGTACCAATCAGCAGGATGTGGGTGGGGCCAGATAAGAGAATAAAAGCAGGCTGCCCAAGCCAGCAGTGGCAACACGCTGGGGTCCCCTTCTGCACTGCGGAAGCTTTGTTCTTTTGCTCTTTGCAATAAAACTTGCTGCTGCTCACTGGGTCCACACTGCCTTTATGAGCTGTAACACTCACCACGAAGGTCTGTAGCTTCACTCCTGAAGCCAGTGAGACCACGAACCCACCAGGAAGAATGAACAACTCCAGACGCCCCGCCTTAAGAGCTGTAACACTCACAGTGAGGGTCAGCAGCTTCACTCCTGAGCCAGCGAGACCACGAACCCCACTAGAAGGAAGAAACTCCCAGCATGTCCGAACATCAGAAGGAACAAACTGCTGGCACACCATCTGTAAGAACTGTAACACTCACCGTGAGGGTCCGCGGCTTCATTCTTAAAGTCAGTGAGACCAAGAACCCACCAATTCCGGACACACCATCTACTTGGGAGGCTGGGGCAGGAGAATCGCTTGAACCCGGGAGACGGAGGTTGCAGTGAGCCGAGATCACACCACTGCACTCCAGCCTGGGCGACAGTGTGAGAGACTCAATCTCAGAAAACAAAAGAAAATGTAGGGAAAACTCTTCTTGACATTAGCCTAGGCAAAGAACTTATGAGCTCAAAACCAAATGCAACAAAAACAAAAAATAGACAAATGGGACTTAATGAAACTAAAAAGCTTCTGCACAGCAAAAGAAATAATCAACAGAGTGAACAGACAACCTACAGAATGGGAGAAAATATTTGCAAACTATGCATCCAACAAAGAACTAATATCCAGAATCTACAGGAAACTAAAACAAGTCAACAAGAAAAAAAACTCCATTAAAAAATGGGCAGTATTTGAAAGGAGACATGCAAGTAGCCGAGAAGCATATGAAAAAATGCCTAACATCACTAATTGTGAGAGAAATGCACCTTAAAACCACAATGAGATACTATCTCACACCAGTCAGAATGGCTATTATTGAAAAGTTAAAAAATAACAGATGTTAGCAAGGATGCAGAGAAAAATGAATGCTTATACAATGTTACTGGGAATGTAAATTAGTACAACCTCTATGGAAAAGAAAATGGAGATTTCTCAAGGAACTAAAAATAGGACTACCATTTGATCCAGCAATCCCAACACTGAATGAAATACTGAGTATCTAGCCAAAGAGAAAAAAAAATCATTATATCAAAAAGAGATAACTGTACTTACATGTTTATTGCAGCACTATTTACAAGTGAAATAACTCAGAAACAGAAAGTGAAATACCACAAGTTCTCACTTTTAAGTGAGAGCTAAATAATGTGTACACATGGACATAGAGATTGGAATAATAGAAATAGGCAATGGAAAATCGGAAAGGTAGGAGGTTGGGAGAATAGTGAGGGATGAAAAATCACCTAATGGGTACAGTATACGCTATTCGGGTGATGGTTAAACTTAAAGCTCAGACTTCATCACTATGCGATATATTCATGTAACAAAACTGCACTTGTAACCCTAAATCTATTTTTAATTTGTTTAAGTATTTTATTTTTCTTCTTCTTTTTTTTTTTTTAGATGGAGTCTCACTGTCACCCGGGCTGGAGAGCAATGGCATGATCTTGGCTGACTGCAACCACTATGTCCCGAGTTCAAGTGATTCTCCTGCCTCAGTCTCCCTGAGTAGCTGGGACTACAGGCATGCACCACTACGCCCAGCTAATTTATATATATATATATATATATATATATATATATATTTTTTTTTTTTTTTTTTTTTTTTTTTGAGATGGAGTCTCACCCTATCACCCAGGCTGGAGTGCATTGGCCGGATTTCGGCTCACTTCAAGCTCCACCTCCCAGGTTCAAGCAATTCTCCTGCCCCAGCCTCCCGAGTAGCTGGGACTAAAGACATGTGCCACCAAGCCCAGCTAATTTTTTGTATTTTTAGTAGAGAAAGGGTTTCACTCTGTTAGCCAGGATGGTCTCTATCCCCTGAGCTCGTGATCTGCCTGCCTAGGTCTCCCAAAGTGCTGGGATTGCAGGCATGAGCCACCATGCCCAGCCTAATGTATTTTCTTCAGAATATTTTGAAGAATTGAAAAGTATTGAAATGCATTAAATTAATCCACTCCAGACATCTGTTACCAAAACACCAAGGTTTGGTCTAGGTCTTGCTGCTTGCTGCACAGAAAGCCGATTATTCAGAGGACAAGTATTGCCAAGGAAGTGCAGCAGGATAATTTAGGAATCAGAGAGACAGAGGGGTTGAGGAGGGTGCTTATTATTTATTATTTAGGTGCACTGGCCCAGTCAGATTAACATCCAAAAAGACTGAGCCCTGAACAAAGAGTCCGGTTACCTTTTAAGCATTTTGTGGGGCAGGGGGAGATCTGTGCAGGGGGAAGCATATTACAGAAGTGAGAAACAGACAGTTATTCAATTGAGACATGCATTACATCATTTCTTACTTTTCAAGGAAAAACATGTTTTACGACTTGAGTTTATCTGCCTAGTGACCTTGCAGTTGCACAGCTAGAGAAACAGGGTCTTCACAATGCCTGGGAAAGGGAGAGATAAGGCTCACTAGCCACAGAAAAACAGGCAATTAATTTTTAAAGGACTTCAGCTCTTTCTTTTCCTCAGGGGGAATTGGTTTTTTTTTACATACAACTGAGTTTTTGCTTACACATTCTTTAATTTCTTTTAATTCCTGTTTCAGAAGAAGGCTTTAATTGTGTGCTGCAGCCAAGGAGATGTGAGCTCAATCTCAAATCCATCGCCCTGACCAACTAAAACTAGGAGTTTCTATAGCAGGTAAGAAATGTAACAATGTGTAGGAAACAGGAAGTAGGGAGCCACAAGAAAGCAATCACGATGAATTGGGGGCTGGGCATCTCATTGTCTGAATATGGTGATCTGGTGAGTTTCAGTTCTGTTATACTTTTTTTGAGAGGCCTGAAGGTCCATCCCTGAGGAAGAAACTGAGATAAAATAAATGTAAGCTTCATGCTTTAAGACCAGAAGGGTCAATTTCTATATTTATCCAAAAAACTGTCTATGGGACTATTGAGTCAGTTTCACCTCCTACTTCTTCTTTTTTTTTTTTTTTTGAGACGGAGTCGCCCTCTGTCACCCAGGCTGGAATGCAGTGGTGTGATCTGCGTTCACTGCAACCTCTGCCTCCTGGGTTCAAGTGATTCTCCTGCCTCAGCCTCCTGAGTAGCTGGGACTACAGGGGTGTGCCACCATGCCCAGCTAATTTTTGTAGTTTTAGTAGAGACAGGGTTTCACCATGTTGGCCAGGATGGTCTCGATCTGTTGACCTCGTGATCCACTCGCCTCAACCTCCCAAAGTGCTGGAATTATAGGCGTGAGCCACCATGCCCAGCCCACCTCCTACCTCTTTTGTGCTTTTATTAATATTTTAAATTGGCACATAGTAATTACACATATTTATAGAGTACAGTGTGATATGCTGATACAAGTATACAATGTGTACTGATCAAATTGAGGTAATTAGCATATTCTTTACCTCAAATATTTATCATTTTTGGGGGTTGGAAACATTCAAACTTTGCTCCTCTAGCTATTTGAAAATATACAATAAATTGTTGTCAATTTGACTCATCCTACAGTGCTATAGAACACTGGAACTTACTCCTATCTAACTGTAATTTTATATATTAATCAACCTCTCACTAGCTCACCCTCATCCCCTCCAGTAACCACTATTCTATTCTACTCTCTACTTTTTTTTTTTTTTTTTTTTTTGAGATGGAGTTTCGCTCTTGTCGGCCAGGCTGGAGTGCAATGGTGCAATCTCGGCTCACTGCAATGTCTGCCTCCTGGGTTCAAGCGATTCTCCTGCCTCAGCCTCCTGAGCAGCTGGGATTACAGGTGCCCACCACCATGCCTAGCTTATTTTTTATATTTTTAGTAGAGACGAGGTTTCACCATGTTGACCAGGCTGGTCTCAAACTCCTGACCTCAGGTGATCCACCCTGCTTGGCCTCCCAGAGTGCTGGGATTACAGCTGTGAGCCACTGCACCTAGCCTCTACTCTCTACTTCTAATTCACACTATTCTACTCTCTCTTTCTATGAGATCAACTTTTTTAGTTTTGACATATGAATGAGAGCATGCAGTATTTATCTTTCTGTGCCTGGCTTATTTCACTTAAATAAAGACCTCCTGTTTCATCCATGTTGCTGTGAAGGACAGGATTTCATTCCTTTTATGGCTGAATAGTATTCCATTGTGTATATCTTTCTTTTTCCCTCATCTGTTGATTGACACTTATGATGATTCTAGACCTTGGCTATCATGAGAGAGCTGCAATAAACATGGAGGTACAGGTATCTCTTCAACACATTGAAAGCAACCCAATAGTCCCATAGACAGTTTTGGGGGATAAACATAGAAATTGACTCTTCTGGTGTTAAAGCTTGAAACTTACCTTTGTTTTATTTGAGTTCCTTCCTCAGGAAAGGACCCCAGGCCTCTCAGAAGGTATCAAAAAACTGAAACTCACCATGTCACCATATTCATACAATCAGATGCCAGGCCCTTCATTCATCATGATTGCTTCCTCACCCCTCCCAAGTTCCTGTCTTCCCATACATCGTTACATTTCTTCTCTGCTCTGTACACCCCTAATTTTAGTCAGTGGGGGAGATGAATTTGAGACTGATTTCCCTTCTTCTTTGCTGCACCACTCAATTAAAGCCTTCTTTGACAATAATTGTTGTCTCAGTGATTGGCTTTCTTTGCAGTAAGCAGCAGGATCAAGACTGAATCCCCGGTGTTTTGGTAACAATATTGGTTTCCCTTCTTTTGGTTGTATACTGACTAGTGAAATTCCTGGATCATATTGAAGCAGTGTCGATCATCTGGAGTAATACCGAGGTTTGTTGCCTCATGCCAAGGAAATTAAGGACGTAGATACACAAGGAGTGAGATTAAGAGCAGAGGTTTAATAGGCAAAAAAAAAAGAGAAAAGTTGTCTCTCCTGCAGAGAGGTTAGGGCTCCCAGTCTTCCAGTTCCATGGGTCTTCCAGTTCCATGGTGAAATGTACAGGGTTTTATAGGTGAACTTGAGGAGGCAGTGTCTGATTTACATAGAGCCTGAGAGATTGGTTGTACCAGGTTTTCCATTTGCATAGTGCACAAAGAAGCTGGCCACCCCACCCTAATATTTTATTATGCAGATGGGGTCTCTACCTGGCTGGCCATTGTTGCCTGTTCCTTTACCGTACACGTGGTTGACAAAGAAAAGGGAAGGTGGGCCAGGCGCGGTGGCTCACACCTGTAATGCCAGCACTTTGGGAGGCCGAGACGGGCAGATCATGAGGTAAAGAGATGGAGACCTGCCTGACCAACATGGTGACACCCCATCTCTACTAAAAATACAAAAATTAGCTGGGCGTGGTGATGTGACCTGTAGTCCCAGCTACTTGGAAGGCTGAGACAGGAGAATTGCTTGAACCCAGGAGGCGGAGGTTGCAGTGAGCCGAGATCACGCCACTGCACTCCAGCCTGGCGACAGAGCAGAGACTCCATCTCAAAAAAAAAAAAAAAAGAAAAAGGAAAGGGAAGGTGGAGCCTCCACGTTGAACATGGCTGGCCCCCAAGTAGCCTTTTCCTATTGGCACAGCTGCTGGCATTCACCCATGCAAGCTTCCAGCTTACTTATATATGTTTGCAGCTCGATTTTACAGGCTGCTTTTTGTTAGAAATGATTTGGGGGCTGCTTTTTGTTAAAAAGGAAGACTTACTGTGGGCTCTCTTACCCTCACTAACTGCCTAAATAATTTTTTTATCTCCTGTGTCCATATAATAGTTATATTTTTAGTTTTTTGAATAATTTCTATACTGTTTCCATACATAATGGCTGTACTAATTTATATTCCCACCAACAGTGTGTAAGAGTTACCCTTTCTCTGTATCCTTGCCAGCATTTATTTTTTAATCTTTTTGAAAGTAGCCATCCTAACTGGGGTGAGATAACATTGTGGCTTTGATTTGCATTTCCCTGATGATTAGTAATTTTGAGCATTTTAAAATATAGTCTGTTGACCATTTGCACATTTTCTTGTGAAAGATTTCTGTTCAGCTCATTTGCCCATTTTTAATCAGATTGTTTGTTTTTGGTGTTGAGCTGTTTGAGTTTCTTGTATATTCTGGATATTAATCTCTTCTTAGATGAATAGTTTACAAATATTTTCTCCCATTCTACAGGTTATCTTTTCACTCTGTTAATTGTTTCCTTTGCTGTGTGGAAACATTTTTAGTTTGATGTAATCCCATTTGTCTATTTTTACTTTTGTTTTCCTTACTTTTGAGGTCTTACTCATAAAATCTTTGACCAAACCAATGTCCTGGACAGTTTCCTCAAAGTTTTCATCTAATAGTTTTTTAGTTTCAGGTCTTACACACTTAAGCCTTTCAACCATGTTGAGTTGATTTTTGAATATGATGAGAGATAGGAATCTAGTTTCATTCTTCTGCATGTGGATATCCAGTTTTTCCAGCACAAATTAAAGAGATTATCCTTTCCCCAATGAATATTCTTGGTGCCTTTAGACATCCCAGTGTTGCAGAATTTCTGCTCTTTTGTTCAGCTAAATCTGGGTTCTGCTAAAAGAGAAAAGAAACCTCTCAGCAAAGCGGGAGAGGTTCCTGCTAACAGGCCCACACCTCACAGATTGATTTCAGGACACAAGAATCAATCAGTTTCACACAGAAACTGAAGAGACCAGGCTCCTCCCCTATGCAAATGGCACAAGCTTCCCATGGCTCCACCCTGTCCTCCCTGTGTGCAGGCAGGTCAGACATTCTCCACGCATCCTCCACCTTATCTACCTCCTGCATCTATCACCAAGACTCTAAAACCCAGTGCTCAGCCTGGCGTGGTGGCTCATGCCTGTAATCCCAGCACTTTGGGAGGCCGAGGCTGGCGGGTCACGAGGTCAGGAGATTGAGACCATCCTGGCTAACATGGTGAAACCCCGTCTCTACTAAAAATACAAAAAAAAATAGCCGGGCATGGTGTTGGGCGCCTGTAGTCCCAGCTACTCAGGAGGCTGAGGCAGGAGAATGGCGTGAACCCAGGAGGCAGAGCTTGCAGTGAGCAGAGATCGTGCCACTGCATTCCAGCCTGGGCAACAGAGCCAGACTCCGTCTCAAAAAAACAAAAACAAAACCAAAACAAAACTCAGTGCTCATTTTTAGTTCAATGCTCTCATGGCTTGTAATAAACATTTTAAAGACTACTACAACTCAGAGTATGCTATTAACCATTTTTACGTTTTAGTTTGAACTTCAGGAATTTATTAACCTAAGACTAATTTTATGTTTAGGCGGTTTCCATATGCTCTCCAAAAGGTTCAAAACTAAGAAGTCTAATTTACTTGACATCTTATGGTTCATACATTTCTTTAATTATTAGATTATGAGAAAATTAGCAAGACTAATGAACCTGTTAAATAAAATCTAGGCCAGGTGCAGTGGCTCACACTTGTAGCTCCAGCAATTCGGGAGGCCAAAGTGGGTGAATTGCTTGAGCCCAGGAGTTCCAGACCAACCTGGGCAACATGGCAAAATCCCATCTCTACAAAAATTAGCCGGGCATAGTGGTGCCCAAATGTGATCCTAGCTACTCAGGAGGCTGAGGTGAAAAGATTGCTTGAGCCCAGGAAGTTGAGGCTGCAGGGAGCTGTGATTGTGCCTCTGCACTCCAGCCTGGGTGAGAGCGAGAATGACACGCTGTCTCAAAAAAGAAGAAAAAAAAATTATAAAGCTGTTGGTTTAGACTAAGCTCCTGCATTAGGGTGAATAGACGTAACCAAAATGGAGTCACTCATGCTAAAGTTCCATGCCACCAAGCCAAAACTAACTGGTTCCTCTGATCTTCCATGAAATCAGGAAAGAGAGAGAAAGTGAGAGGCGACAGCGTGCTGGCAGCCCTTGCTCGCTCTCAGTGCCTCCTCAGCCTCGGGGCCTGCTCTGGCCATGCTTGAGGAGCCCTTCAGCCTGCCGCTGCACTATGGTGGCCCCTCTCAGGGCTGGCTGAGGTCGGAGCCAGCTCCTTCTGCTTACAGAGAGGTGTGGAGAGGCACAGGCAGGAACGGGACCAGCGTGAGTTCTGGGTGGGTGAAGGGGTGGGTTGCCCCTCCACACCTGTGGGTGTTTCTCATAAGGTGGAACGAGAGACTTGGAAAAGAAAAAGACACAGAAACAAAGTACAGAAAAAGAAATAAGGGGACCTGGGGAACCAGCGTTCAGCATATGGAGGATCCCGCCAGCCTCTGAGTTTCCTTAGTATTTATTGATCATTCGTGGGTGTTTCTCCGAGAGGGGGATGTGTCATGGTCACAAGACAATAGTGGGGAGAGGGTCAGCAGACAAACACGTGAACAAAGGTCTTTGCATCATAGACAAGGTAAAGAATCAAGTGCTGTGCTTTTAGATATGCATACACATAAACATCTCAATGCTTTACAAAGCAGTATTGCTGCCTGCATGTCCCACCTCCAGCCCTAAGGCGGTTTTTTCCTATCTCAGTAGATGGAACGTACAATCGGGTTTTATACCGAGACATTCCATTGCCCAGGGACAGGCAGGAGACAGATGCCTTCCTCTTGTCTCAACTGCAAGAGGCATGCCTTACTCTTATACTAATCCTCCTCAGCAGAGACCCTTTACGGGTGTCGGGCTGGGGGACAGTCAGGTCTTTCCCTTCCCACGAGGCCATATTTCAGACTATCACATGGGGAGAAACCTTGGACAATACCTGGCTTTCCTAGGCAGAGGTCCCTGCGGCCTTCCGCAGTGTTTGTGTCCCTGGGTACTTGAGATTAGGGAGTGGTGATGACTCTTAAGGAGCATGCTGCCTTCAAGCATTTGTTTAACAAAGCACATCTTGCACAACCCTTAATCCATTTAACCCTGAGTTTGACACAGCACATGTTTCAGAGAGCACGGGGTTGCGGGGTAAGGTCATAGATTAACAGAATCTCAAGGCAGAAGAATTTTTCTTAGTACAGAACAAAATGGAGTCTCCTATGTCTATTTCTTTCTACACAGACACAGTAGCAATCTGATCTCTCTTGCTTTTCCCCACAGGTGGGCGTCGGCTCGGCAGGCCCCGCACTCAGAGCAGCCGGCCAGCACCACTGGCCCCAGGCACTGAGCTGCTTAGCACCCGGGCCAGCAGGTGCGGAGGGTGCGCCGGGTTCCCCAGCAGTGCTGGCCCGCTGGCGCTGTGCTCGAATTCTCGCCAGGCCTCAGCTGCCTCCTTACAGGGCAGGGCTCCAGACCTGCAGCCAGCCATGCCCAAGCCTCCCCACCCCCCTACCCCCGCCGTGGGCTTCTGCATGGCGCAGCCTCCCCAACAAGTGCCGCCCCCTGCTCCTCGACGCCCGGTCCCATCGATCACCCAAGGGCTGAGTAGTGCAGGCACAGGGCGCGGGACTGGTGGGCAGCTCCGCCTGCGGCACTGGTGTAGGATCCACTAGGTGAAGCCAGCTGGGTTCCTGAGTCTAGTGGAGACTTGGAGAACCTTTATGTCTAGCTAAGGGATTGTAGATACACCAATCAGCACTCTGTGTCTAGCTCAAGGCTTGTAAATGCACCAATCAGCACTCTGTGTCTAGCTCAAGGTTTTGAATGCACCAATCAGCACTCTGTATCTGGCTAATCTGGTGGGGACTTGGAGAACCTTTATGTCTAGCTAAGGGATTGTGGATGAACCAATCAGCACCCTGTGTCTAGCTCAAGGTTGGTAAATGCACCAATCAGTGCTCTGTGTCTAGCTAATCTAGTGGGGACTTGGAGAACTTTTGGGTCTAGCTCAGGGATTGTAAATGCACCAATCAGCACCTTGTCAAAACGGACCAGTTAGCTCTCTGTAAAATGGACCAATCAGCAGGATGTGGGTGGGGCCAGATAAGGGAATAAAATCAGGCTGCCCGAGCCAGTAGTGGCAACCCACTGGGGTCCCCTTCCACACTGTGGAAGCTTTGTTCTTTCGCTCTTTGCAATAAAGCTTCCTGTTGCTCACTCTTTGGGTCCGCACTTCCTTTATGAGCTGTAACACTCACTGCGAGGGTCCGCGGCTTCATTCTTGAAGTCAGTGAGACCAAGAATCCACCAATTCCAGACACAAAAGGATTAGATATTAGAGATTTGTTTAGCCAAATCCCTGAACAGGTCAGTTTTAACCGGCATGATAAAGCAATTCTCTCTGCTTTAATCTTTAGAAGGAAAGTAACATTGAAATGACCAATTCACTTTTTGTTCTCTGTTTCTGCTTTCTTCAGCCCTTTTCTGGATGTAAAGCCAGCCTCCTCTGCTTAGCTCATCAGAGCACTTGTTCTATTTTATGGAATAAAGTGTTGCCCAATTCAAGTATCACAAATAAAAGCCAATTAGATTTTTAAACTGTTTGCTGTAATTTTGTCTTTTGACAAACTAAAGGAAATTGCTGCTTATTCAACTGTTTTGACCTACAGAAATGGCAGTTTTTTGATGGTTCAGTCTAATGTATTGTGTTTTGGTAACATACATTTAATGTTCCATTTTCATTTAAAAATTGTTCACAGAGTATCTACTTAATGTAAGGGATTGGGGTAGAGCGAGAAGGTTACTAAGACAAATAATAGTCATCTGTATCCTCATATATTTAAAATCTAGAAGGTTCTCAAACTTATAGGAGTTTAAGATTCACCTGGAGATTTCTTTTTTTTTTTTTTTTTTTTTGGAGACAGAGTCTCGCTCTGTTGCCCAGGCTGGAGTGCAGTGGTGCAATCTTGGCTCACTGTAACCTCCGCCTCCTGGGTTCAAGTGATTCTCCTGCCTCAGCCTTCCAAGTAGCTGGGACTACAGGTGCGCGTCACCATACCCAGCTAATTTTTGTATTTTTAGTAGAGACGGGGTTTCACCATGTTGGCCAGGATGGTCACAATCTCTTGACCTCGTGATCTGCCTGCCTCGGCCTCCCAAAGTGCTGGGATTACAGGCATGAGCCACTGCGCGTGGCCGAGATTTTTCTTTTAATTAGGGCAAATGCCAGTGTCTCAGCCCCAAAGACTCCAGTTTCTACCAGGAGTTCTCAGACTATCCTTGGTCAAACACTGATCTAAGGAGAGAAACAATGGCCAGGCACAGTGGCTCACACCTACAATCCCAGCACTTTGGGAGGTCAAACAGGAGGAACACTTGAGGCCAAGAGTTTAAGACCAGCCTGGGTAACATAGCAAGACTCTGTCTCTACAAAAAAAATCAGTTGGGTGTTGTGGCATGCATCTGTAGTCCCAGCTATTAGGGAGCTTGAAGTGAAAAGATCACTTGAACCCAGGAGTTTGATGTTTAAAATACATTTTATTTGTATTCCAGAAAGAGAGGATAAAAAGAAGAGAGTTGTTGCAGAAATTTGAAGAGACAACGGGTGAAAATTTTATAGAATCTGTCAAAGACATCAGATTCACAAATGGCTACATATACCAAGCAGGATAATGAAAAAGAAATCCACACAACAGTAAAACTGCGTAACATCAAAGGAAAAAAAAATCTCAAAAGCAAGCAGGCAGAAAAGACCAATCATGAACAAAGAAATGATACTTAGACTGAATGTAAACTTCTCTACAGCAACAATAGAAGTCAGAAGATGGTGGAATAGTATCTTCAAAATGCTTAGAGAAAACAAGAGTCAACCCAGAGTTGCAAACCCAGTAAAACTGTTTTTTTTTTCTATTTTTTTTTGAGACAGGGTCTTACTCCCACTGCCCAGGCTGGAGTGCAGTGGTCTGATCACAGTTCACTGCAGCCTCGACCTCCTGACTCAGGTGATCCTCCTGCCTCAGCCTCCCAAGTAGCTGGGATCACAGGCATGTGCCACCATGCCAGGCTAATGTTTTGTATTTTTAGTAGAGGTGGTGTCTTGCCATGTTGCTCAGATTGGTCTTGGACTCCTGAGCTCAAGTGATCAGCCCACCTCAGCCTCCTAAAGTGCTGGGATTACAGGCAAATCACCACAACTGGCCCAGTAAAACTATCTTTCAAAAACAGGATGAAATGAAGACATTTTTCAGAAAGAGTTAATAAAATCTAAGAGTTCACAAAGTGGCCCTCACTATAGTAACTTCAAAAGGAGGAAAATGATCACATAAAGAAGATCAGAGATGAAAGAAGAAACCATGAGGCTGAGTGCAGTAGCTCATGCCTGTAATCCCAGCACTTTGGGAGGCCGAGGCAGGCAGATCACTTGAGGTCAGGAGTTTGATACCAGCCTGGGCAACATAGAGAAACCCGGTATCTACTAAAGATACAAAAATTAGCCAGGCGTGGTGACATGTGCCTGTAATCTCAGCTACTTGGGAGGGTGAGGCAGGAGAATCACTTGAACCCGGGAGATGGAGGCTGCAGTGAAGCTGAGATTGCACACTCTAGCCTGGGTGACAGAGCGAGACTCGTCTCGGGGAAAAAAAAAAAAAACAGCACAAGCAAAGAAAATAAAAAACATATGAATTGATGTGCATGAATGTTACTTCTCTAGATTACTGAGTTTTTGGTGTTCCCTTAAATTTTGTGCCTACAAGTGCCTCAGTCGTTTTGCCTGTGGGAAGGATCTTATTCAACACGAGGCGTTTCACTTTATCTCCCTATTTTCACCATAGTACCCTCTTCCTGTCTTCATCCTCAGCCAGCCTAAGTCTCTTTGGCTCAGTATCTTGAGAGAATGAACTCTACTCTTTTGCTTGGAGGAAGAAGGGAGATCTGGGGTCTCGTGCTTGTTGGACACACATTCAGAAAAGTTCTCGTTTTTATCACCACATGTACCCCCATTTCATAAGTGCTCGGTGCCCCAGTTTTTGGGCCTTTCTGGGGGTACTCAACACCACCTGACTTCCTATAGGCCTTTCTCCATGGCTGGCTGAGGTTTCTGCCTTCTTGGATTCATTGGGTCAATCATCAGTCCTCTCTCTCCTTGCTTCCAAAATGTCCATTTCTCCCATCATCTTTGCCCTTGTGAACTTACACTATTTCAAATCCCTTTTATAGCTTTTTTTTTTTTTTTGAGATGGAGTCTCATTCTGTCGCCCAGGCTGGAGTGCAGTGGCGCAATCTTAGCTCACTGCAAGCTCTGCCTCCCGGGTTCACGCCATTCTCCTGTCTCAGCCTCCAGAGTAGCTGGGACTACAGGTGCCTGCCACCACGCCCGGCTAATTTTTTTTTTGTATTTTTAGCAGAGACGGGGTTTCACCGTGTTAGCCAGGATGGTCTCTATCTCCCGACATTGTGATCCACCCGCCTCGGCCTCCCAGAGTGCTGGGACTACAGGTGTGAGCCACCGCGCCCGGCCTTTTATAGCATTTTAATGGAGCTTCTGTTGGATGAGAGGCATTTTTCCAATCCACTAGATTTAACAAGAAGCTCTTCTCTTGTGACTCTCTCTTAGGAGAGAGAACTTTCCTAGAGACTCCCTCGGCTGACTTCCCCTTCATCTCCTCTGTCAGAACTAATTCATGCACCGGATTCTAAAACTGACCCACCAGGCCGGAGAGCAGGGCTGCCGCTCTGGGTTAGAGCCTAATCATCTGGGGTGGAATGGATGTTTCGGATCAACCACAGTGGTCACCTTCAACAACCTTAATCAGGGCTTGGAAATTCAAACTCCAAACCAGTACTCAAATCAGAAGATAACCCCTTGAAGGCCGTGGTCTTAGTTTATAAATTCTTCATATCTTTAGCAACTGACTGAGGGAATGATCTATTACATAAATACAATGCACGGAGACCATATTTATGCATAAAACAGTGAGGTGGTAAAGGCAAGATGGGAAAGAAGGTTGAATAATTCAGACAAGACCTGGAATCATGTGGTGGGTGGGAGGGGGAAGAAAAACTTGAAAGCTTGGTTACTCTGCCAGAATCACTAACCAGTATAAGTGACTTCCTGTGTGAAATGGCATTTTAAATGTCAGGGAGCTAAAGGACAGGATTATGGTAGCTTGAAAGCTAAGCACTAAATCAAATAACTTCAAGGCCTCTAGCCTTAAGGTCATATTTATACAGCAATGGCCAAATTGGACTGGACCAGAAAGTTTGGGCTGTTTTGTTGACTGTGGCTTACACATACATCAGAGACACTCGTTTGGAAACCCCAGTTCTGCTCTGCAAGGCATTAAGAGAGCTTCTAACAAATTCTAACAAATTTAATCAAGTGAAGTTTGGGTCTGAAATTAAAATTGGTAATAACCAAAAAAAAAAAAAAGACAACAAAACTGCAGATGGTTGAAAATACTAATCTTGTATCCTTGAGTTGCTCGTGTTATTGAGAACAGAAGGATGGAAGGAAGAAGAACAATAACACATCTAGTCCCATCTAAAATTAGGGCTTAATGTGAGATATTAAGGAGAAAGTGAATTTATTAAACAGAATAAAAAACATGGTCATATTGATTACTTAAAAAGTAAACAAGCAAGAGGTCAGGCATGGTGGCTCATGCCTCTAATCTCAGCACTTTGGGAGGCCGAAGCAGTTAGATCACCTGAGGTCAGGAGTTCAGGACCAGCTTGGCCAACACAGTGAAACCCTGTCTCTACTAAAAATACAAAAATTAACCAGGCATGGTGGCACACACCTGTAATCCCAGCTACTCAGGAGGTTGAGGCAGGAGAATCACTTGAACCTGGGAAGTGGAGGTTGCAGTGAGCCGAGATTGCACCACTGCACTCCAGCCTGGTTGACAGAGTAAGATTCCGTCTAAAAAAAAAAAAAAAGGAAACAAGCAAGAAACACAGAAGGGCATGTTTTCTCATACAGGTAATTCTAAATTATCTGCTACAAAAACCTTGTGTTTAAGAAAAAATTCAGCCAGGTGTGGTGATTCACACCTGTAATCCCAGAACTTTGGGAGGCTGAGGTGGGAGAATTGCTTGAGCCCAGGAATTCAAGACAAGCCTGGGCAACAAGGCCCCCATCTTTAATAAAAATCATCTAGCAAGACCCCATCTCTACTAAAAATAAAAAACTTAGGCCGGGCACTGTGGCTCACGCCTGTAATCCCAGCACTTTGGGAGGCCGAGGTGGGTGGATCACCTGAGGTCAGGAGTTCGAGAACAGCTTGGCCAACATAGCAAAACCCCATCTCTACTAAAAATACACAAAAATTACCTGGACGTGGTGGTGGGTGCCTGTAATCCCAGTTACTCGGGGGGCTGATGCAGGAGAATCGCTTGAACCTGGAAGGCAGAGGTTGCAGTCAGCTGAGATTGCACCATTGCACTCCAGCCTGGGCAACAAGAGCGAAACTCCGTCTCAAAATAAAATAAAAATAAAAATAAAAAACTTAGCCACGTGTGGTGATGCACACCTGTAGTCCCAGCTATTCAGAAGGCTGTGGTGGGAGGATCGCTTGAGTCCAGGAGGTCGAGGCTATAGTGAGCTACGATTACACCACTGTACTCCAGCCTAGGTAACAGAGCACAACCTTGTTTTTTAAAAAAAAAAAAAAAGTCTTATTGACATTTAAGTTGGTTGGGGTAGGGGGGGATTTGAGATGGAGTCTTGCTCTGTTGCCCAGGCTGGAGAACAGTGGCGCGATCTCAGCTCACTGCAACCTCTGCCTCCCAGGTTCAAGCAATTCTCTGCCTCAGCCTACTGAGTAGCTGGGATTACAAGCGCCCACCACCACGCCCGGCTAATTTTTGTATTTTTAGTAGAGACAGGGTTTCACCATCTTGGCCAGGCTGGTCTTGAACTTCTGACCTCATGATCCACCCATCTCGGCCTCCCAAAGTGCTGGGATTACAGGCGCGGGCCACCGCACCCAGCCAGTTTTTTTTGGATAGACACAGAAATGGACCCTTCTGGTCTTAAAGCTTGAAGCTTACGTTTGTTTTATCTGAGTTCTTTCCTCAGGAATGGACCTTCAGGCTGCTCAAAAAAAGTATCAGGGAACTGAAACTCACCAGATCACCACATCCTGACAATGAGTTGGACCCTTCATTCATCATGATTGCCTCCTTGGCCCTCCCAAGTTCCTGTTTTCTTACACATTGTTACATTCCCTCCCTGCTATAGAAACCCCTAGTTTTAGTGGGTCAGGGAGATGGATTTGAGGCTGAGTCCCCATCTCCTCGGCCATAGCACTGGATTAACGCCTTCTTCCTTGGCATTACTGGTGGTCCCAGTTCATTGGCTTTCTGTGCAGCTTGCGGCAGGACGGAGACTGAAACCCTGGTGGTTCAGTAACAGAGAGAGTCTAGCATGAATTGAGCTCAACCTCGATTTGTACAGAGGTGACTGGGAGTTTTTAAAGAGAGAATGAGGGAGCAGTGAAGTGAGTGAGCAGGGGCTCAGTAGACTGAGGGAAGTGAAAAGTTATGAAAAGCAGGAATGAGGGCCTAGTGTTACCCAAGTTAGGCTCCTATGCCCCCACCGAGGTTGGGAGTCAGTAATTCTTTTGGCAGCTTGAGTTTCCTCAGGCAGGCATTTTTCCTCTGGGGACATCCTAGAGAAGTGGCTTTAAGCTGCTAGAAACTGGGTCAGTGTTTTGCTCAACTCTTGCTAGGCCAACATTGAGGTCCAGTGGAGAAAGGGCTCAGAGGAGCCTGGCCAGAGTTTGGATAAGGAGAGTCTTTGTCAGGGCAAAACAACAGATAGCCAGGAGTGCAAGGCCTGGGTGAGACAGCCACATATTCCCCTTCCAGAGGCAGGGTCAGCCTGGCTCTGTTCCTGCTCACTGGGCCCCATGGAAAGGCATTGCCAGAATATGTTTTGCTTTTTTTTTTTTTTAAGAGAAACCTAAAATCTTAATTCTATGTGATCTCTCCTGAATTTTTAATTTTGACCAATTAAAAACACACTTCAAATGGCAGTAGCCCCACAAAATACATCCGCCGGCCAGATTCAGACCATGACCCACAATAATTTTCCTTTCTTTTCTTTTCTTTTTTTCCTGAGATGGAGTTTCACTCTGTGGCCCAGGCTGGAATGCAGTGGCGTGATCTCAGCTCACTGCAGCCTCTGCTTTCCAGGTTCAAATGATTCTGATGCCTCAGCCTCCAAGTAGCTAGGATTACAGGTATGCACCACCATGCCTGGCTAATTTTTGTATTTTTAGTAGAGGTGGGGTTTCACCATGTTGGCCAGGATGGTCTTGAGCTCCTGACCTCGAGTGATCGGCCCGCCTCGGTCTCCCAAAGTACTGGGATTCCAGACGTGAGCCACCGCACCCGGCCTGCAATAATTTTCTAATTCGGCCCTAAGCAGAAAATAGAAGATGTCTTCGGTTGCTGTTTTATTTAGGAAAATATGCAGACAGATCATTTTGCTGAGCTAGTCTGTATTGCTTAGTTGCTCTACATAAAGCAAGATATTTATGTGGCATTTGCCACCTCCCTCACCCCCCATAGAAAATAAGAACGTTCTTAGGAGTGAGTGTGAAAGCAGATTTCAGCAATGTGCCTGACGGTCTGCACCCAAGGTCAGCGAGATGGGTAGGAACTCAGGCATGAGATGGCTGCCGTTTTTGCAGTCCCACTCCCCCACTGCACCCCCATGCACATGCTGCAATAACCCTGTTGTCGGAACCTGCGGTGGCAGCCTGTTTCACAGAAGCATTGCTGTAGTGGCACCAGGGGATAAAAACCAGTTGCCCCACTGGAAAGTTTAATAATGTTTCAAAAGATCATAGTGTTACTATTAGGAACAATGAATACCAGAATGCAAATATTCATGAATAAGGAAAGCAATGGTTTTAGCTAATTCATTTTATTTTGGAAAGTGACATGTGATCAGTGACTTTAAAGGAAGCCTTACGTTTATGTGATTGCGGGTTGGGGGGAAGGTTGTTTTGTCAGACACAGCAAATACCAAGCTTCCCCTGCCACCTACTGGCTGTTCCTTGCAATGAAAAAATTCTGAATAAGATGTGGTATATTAGAACCAGAGGTTGTTGTGAAAATAATTTTTAAAAATTAGCCTGGTGGCACACGTCTGTATTTCCAGCTAGTCGGGAGGCTGCAGCAGAGAATCGCTTGAACTCTTGGGAGGCGGAGGCTGCAGTGAGCCGAGATCGCGCCACTGCCTCCTGGGCGACAGAGGAAATTATTTCTAAAGCTGGGTGGTGTGCGCATTGACATTTATGATGTTTTTTGTTTGTTTTGTTTTGTTTTGTTTTGAGACGGAGTCTCGTTCTGTCGCCCAGGAGACTGGAGTGCAGTGGCGCGATCTCGGCTCACTGCAACCTCCGCCTCCCCGGTTCAAGTGATTCTTCCACCTCAGCTTCCCGAGTAGCTGGAACTATAGGCTCATGCCACCATGCCCGGCTAATTTTTGTATTTTTGGTAGAGACGAGGGTTCGCCATGTTAGCCAGGCTGGTCTCGAACTGCTGACCTCAAGTGAACCGCCCACCTCGGCCTCCCAAAGTGCTGGGATTACATGTGTGAGCCACCGCTCCTGGCCAAGAAATAAAATATTATTAATGAAGTTTGAAATCTCCTGCATACTCCTCCCTAATTGCATCTCCCTCCTACTCAAAAGTATCCGGTACTTTGAATTATATGTTTATCATCCCAACACATTTGTTTATAATTGTTGTCCATATGTATGTATCACTAAGCAACACTGGTATTGTTTTGCATAAAATTTGTATAAATGATATAATTGTATGGAATCTTCTGTAGGTTACTTTTAAAACCAACATGTTTATGAGAGTCATCTACATTTAGCAGTATAATCATTTTCACTGCTGTCTAGAATTCTATTTGTGGAGCTGCCATCATTTATTTGTTCATACTCATTTTATTTTTCTCTGAGACAGGATCTCATGTGACCTAGGCTGGAAGTGCAGTGGCACATCATAGCTCACTGAAGCCTGGACCTCCCAGGCTCAAGAGCTCCTCCCACCTCAGCCTCCCCGGTGGTTGGGACTACAGGCTTGCACCACCACACCAGTTTTTTTTTGTTTGTTTTTGTTGTTGTTGTTGTTGTTGTTTTTAATTTTTGGTAAAGATGAGGTCTCACTATGTTTCTCAGGCTGGCCTCAAACTCCTGGGCTCAAGTAATCCTCTGTCCTTGGCCTCCCAAGGTGCTGAGATTACAGGCGTGAGCCACCATGCCCAGCCATACTTGTTTTGATGGGCATTTAGATGATGGCTAATTTTTTACCAATACCAATACAGCTTCTGTGAACATTCCACAGTATGTCCCCATGTGTAAGTGCTGGATTTCTTAGGTAGACGGCAGTAATGCAATTGCTTTGTCATAAACACATCTCTAGTCTTTCTTGTCATTTCTAAATTTTGCTCCAAAATAGTTGTAGCGATTTATGCTCTGAGCATCAGTGCATAAAGGTTCCCACTGCACCACATCCTCATCCCCACTTGCTATTGTCTGATTTCTGGATTTTTGCGGTTCAGGTGGGTGTGTAATGCTATTTCTATGGTTTCATGACCCTGGTGGACTTCTGCATGGGCCGTAGAAATCCACTTGAGGAGAACTTTTGCTATTCAGGCTTTCCATACACAAACATAATTTATTTAGGTCATCTTGAATAAAGTTTTATAAGTTTCTCTGTAGAGACCTTGCAATTTTTTTGTTAGATTCATTCATTATTTCATATTCTTAAAGCATTGTAAGTGCATTGTTTTAAAATGACATTTTATTTATTTATTTATTTTGAGACAGAGTCTCGCTCTGTCGCCCAGGCTGGAGTGCAGTGGGGCAATCTCAGCTCACTGCAACTTCCACCTCCCAGGTTCAAGTGATTCTCCTGCCTCAGCCTCCCGAGTAGCTGGGATGACAGGCACATGCCACCATATCCAGCTAATTTTCTTTCTTTTTTTTTTTTTTTTGAGACCTAGTCTCTCTCTTGTGCCCCAGGCTGGAGTATAATGGCGTGATCTTGACTCACTGCAACCTTTGCCTCCCGGGTTCAAGTGACTCTCCTGCCTCAGCCTCCCGAGAACCTGGGATTACAGGCTCCTGCCACCACGTCCGGCTAATTTTTGTATTTTTCTTAGTAGAGACGGGGTTTCACCATGTTGACCAGGCTGGTCTCGAACTCCTGACCTCAGGTGATCCACCCATCTCGGCCTCCCAAAGTGCTGGGATTACAGGCATAAGCCACCGCACCCGGCCTAATTTTTGTATTTTCAGTAGAGATGGGGTTTTGCCAAGTTGGCCAGGCTAGTCTCATCTCCCAACCTCGAGTGATCCACATGCCTCAGCCTCCCAAAGTGCTGGGATTACAGGCGTGAGCCACTGGGCCTGGCCAAAATGACATTTCCTAACTAATTTTTTGATACCCTAACTGGACTATATTAATGCAACTGATTTTTTAATTTTGATTTTGTGTCCAGCAACATTGTTAAATTATTTCATTAACCCCAACACTTTATTTGTAGATTATTTTGGATTTTCTATGAAAACAATCATTTTCTATGAATTTTGACATTCTTTATTTCCTTTCAAACTCATTTCCTTTATTTATTTTTCTTACCTTATTATGCTGCTTAGGACCTAATTGAGTGTTGAATAGAAATGGTGAAAACCAGCACCCGTGTATAGCCCTTGATCTTATTAAGAAATACTCTTTGTGGGGCACGGTGGCTCACGCCTGTAATCCTAGCACTTTGGGAGGCCGAGGCAGGCAGATTGCCTGAGGTCAGGAGTTCGAGACCAGCCTGGGCAACACAGTGAAACCCCGTCTCTATTAAAAACATAAAAATTAGCCAGGCATGGTGGGGGGCACCTGTAATCCCAGCTACTTCGGAGGCTTAGGCAGGAGAATCGCTTGAACCCAGGAGGCAGGGGTTGCAGTGAACTGAGATGGTGCCACTGCTCTCCAGCCTGGGTGACAGAATGAGACCCTGTCTCCAAAAGCAAAACAAAACAAAACAAAAACCATCTTTTGACCTTGCAGATAATGACAGTTCTATTTGGTTGGTCTCCTATATTCCACTAATCTAGTGAGTTACATTATAGTTTGTTGAGTTTTTTTCTTCCAGAGACGGAGTCCTGCAATGCTGCCCAGGCCATCCTCAAACTCCTGATTCTTTCGCTTCAACCTCCCAAGTAGCTGGAACTGCAGGCATGCACCCCTGTGCCTGGCACATTATAGATTTTTTCCCAGAGTTAAACCATCCCTGCATTTTTGGGATAAACTTTAATAGCTCAGAATGAGTGAGCTTAGCATGTAATTTTCTTTTCTTGCACTGTTTTGTCTGGTTATGTTACATCAACCAAATCAGGATACATTCTCTTATTAAAAGATTCATTAGAAATATTTGGTCCTGCATTCTGAGAGGTCAGTGAGAACATTTAAAGATTGCTTCATTTCACATTATAAATGCATAGTCTACTAAATTATGGCTCAGAAATAAGAAGAAAGAAAAAAGCCTTGCTTCTCTGCCATGAGATGTTAAACCAGCCTGATTTGTCCAAGGATTCACCTTGATTATGTGAACTTGGTTTCTTATAGAAAATTGCTTCTGAGCTAGCAGGTTTTTTGTTTTTTTTTTTAGACGGAGTCTCACTCTGTCGCCCAGGCTGAAGTGCAGTGACACAATCTCGGCTCACTGCAAGCTCCGTCTCCTGGGTTCATGCCATTCTCCTGCCTCAGCCTCCTGAGTAGCTGGGATTACAGGTGCCTGCCATCACGCCCGGCTAATTTTTTGCGTTTTTAGTAGAGACGGGGTTTCTCCATGTTGGTCAGGCTGGTCTCGAACTCCTGACCTCAGGTGATCCGCCCACCTTGGCCTCCCAAAGTGCTGGGATTACAGGCGTGAGCCACTGCGCCCAGACGTTAAAAGGCTTTCTTAAAAGGCTTTTAACATATTAGAAGTTCTGTTTATTTGCTGGGAATTCTGGGCACAGTAGATTTATGGAAGTGCTTAATCAGTCTCTACAAACAAATCAGAGGAGAACTCCTATTTTGTTTGTTTGTTTGTTTGTTTATTTATTTATTTTTGAGACAGACTCTTGCTCTGTCACCCAGGCTGGAGTGCAGTGGCACGATCTCAGCTCACTGCAAGCCTGCCTCTCCAGTTCACCCCATTCTCCTGTCTCAGCCTCGCGAGTAGCTGGGACTACAGGCGCCCGCCACCATGCTGGGCTAATTTTTGTGTATTTTTAGCAGAGACAGGGTTTCACCATGTTAGCCAGGATGGTCTCGATCTCCTGACCTCTTGATCCACCCCCCTCGGCCTCCCAAAGTGCTGGGATTACAGGCGTGAGCCA
Source organism: Homo sapiens (assembly GCF_000001405.40). Taxonomy (NCBI): domain Eukaryota; kingdom Metazoa; phylum Chordata; class Mammalia; order Primates; family Hominidae; genus Homo; species Homo sapiens. The sequence goes on from NC_000008.11 coordinate 42,809,789, forward strand.
CCATGCCCAGCCAATTTGTTTATTTATTTTGTTTTCTGAGACAGGGTCACACTCTGTTGCCCAGGCTGGAGTGCAGTGGCACGATTTCGGCTCACTGCAGCCTCCACCTCCTGGATTCAAAGCATTCTCCCACCTCTGCCTTCTGAGTAGCTGGGACTACAGGTGTGTGCTGACATGCCTAGATAATTTTTGTGCTTTTAGTAGAGACGGGGTTTCACCATGTTGGCCAGGCTGGCCTCGAACTCCTCACCTCAAGTGATCTGCCTGCCTAGGCCTCCCAAAGTGCTGGGATTACAGGCGTAAGCCACCGTGCCCGGTCAGAACTCCAATTTTAAGATACTGTCACCTAATTTCTGAATATGTTTCAGAGGTAGGAAAATATTTGACACACGTAAAGAAAAGTAAGGACTTTTCTCCATTACAGCTAAATACCCAGAGTTCTCACAGCTTCAATTTTACAGCATCAATCATGGGTTCAGAAGTAAGCAAAAAGGGGCCGGGCATGCTGGCTCATGCCTGGAATTCCAGCACTTTGGGAGGCTGAGGCAGGAGGATCACTTGAGGCCAGGAGTTTGAGAACAGCCTGGGCAACATAGCAAGACCCCATCTCTAAAAAAAAAAATAGCCTGGTATGGTGGCATGTCTGTAGTCCCAGCTACTCGGGAGGCTGAGATGGGAGGATCACTTGAGCCTAGGAGGTAGAGGCTGCAGGGAGAGGAGATCACACCACTGCACTCCAGCTTGTGTGACAGAGCCAAATCCTGTCTTAAAAAAAAAAGAAAAAAAGCAAAGAAACAAAAACTCATCAGTCTAAATGACAAGATATCTTCGTAATTAATTTGGAGTCACAAGTAGATGAACAAGTAAACAAAAACAGATTATCTGTTATGTCTTATCCAAAAGAGAATAGATACCAGCATCTCAACAGAGATTACCAAATGGTCAGAACATAAAATAGATTGTCAGATATTGCGGCTGCCAATGAGGAAAAATTTGTTTGCCATGTCCAAACTATAGTTATATAAATGTAGAATGTTCTCATTCTATTCACAGAGGCTGACATACAGTGGTCCACGATACACCAGTCCCTGGACCCAGCTGTGAAAAGGATCAGAGCCCAAACCATTAAAGGACTAACAGATTTGACCAAGAACCATAAACAAAGTAAAAAACATAGAGAGTCAATGAAGGACAAGTTCTATTTCCACTTGGGATTCATTCTGGAAGCTAAAGAAAGATGTGCCCAGGGCTAAACAATCCATGATGTGCATTTCTCGTGCACCACAGTTTAATTGATTCTGACAGATAAATCCACGTGAACATTCTGGTGGGGCCTCCAAAACTGTCAAAAAAAGCTGTCAAAGTATATATTTATTCATACTTTTATTTTTTAGAGGCAGGGTCTCTGTTGTGCAGGCTGGAGTGCAGTGGCACAATCATAGCTCCCTGCAGCCTCAAACTCCTAAGCTCAAGCAGTCCTCCCACCTCAGCCTCCCAAGTAGCTGTGATTATAGATGTGCACCACCATGCTTGGCTAATTTTTATTTTTCGTAGAGATGGGGACTTGCTATGTTGCCTGGGGTAATTTTTTTTAATTAAAGCATGACTTTCACATGAATATAAAGTGAACATATGTCAAAGATTTTTTAACTCGTTCATAAGGGTACCAGCAGGATGATAAAGCTGGTTCAGAGTGTTTGAAAGACATGCTGGAATACAATGGCTACATTAGATACAAAACAGATTAATACCCTACTGGTGATAAAACTGCAACCTTTGGAGTTATCTCTTTTACTGAACAGAAATCATAGGCATGCATACTCACAAAAATCTGCCAGTTAGCATGCAACTTCAAAGACTCTTAGTCCTGGATCAAGAGTAAATAATAAATTAAACAAAAGGTACAATTTCTTAGAGAACTTAACAGTCTTTGAGGGAGCCCATTAGATGCGCTCTGGCATGGCATGGAAGGGACGTGCAGTCATCCTTTGCCTTATTTCCATGTTTTGGATAACTTTTCTGGACAGTTTAACTGTTGAATGCCTATTGTGTGCTGTGCACTCTGGTAGGGGACTAAGGTGAATAAGACTTGACTTTATTTTCAAGTATCAACTTTTGTAGAGAAAGACAGCCAGATGGCTGGGTGTGGTGGCTCACGCCTGTAATCCTAGCACTTTGAGAGGTCAAGGCATGTGGATCACAAGGTCAGGAGTTCGAGACCAGCCTGGCCAATGTGGTGAAACCCCGTCTCTACTAAAAATACAAAAAAATTAGCCGGGCGTGGTGGCACATGCCTGTAATCCCAGCTACTTGGGAAGCTGAGGCAGGAGAATTGCTTGAATCCGGTAGGTGGAGGTTGCAGTGAGCCGAGATCACACCACTGCACTCCAGCCTCAGTGATAGAGACTCCATCTCACAAAAAAAAAAAAAAAAAAGAAAGAAAGACAGCCAGATAAACAACTAAGTTCAGTAACATACTACAGGTAGCCTGACAAAAAGTCTCCACAGAGCTCAGGGGAGCACTGAGGAGGGGATAGTCAGGTCTACTAGGAAACCACAAAGGTCAGAGGCATTGCCCTGCTGCTGGAGAACCGATCAAAGGCAAGAAGACATAAAACAGCCGGTCATTTTACTTGTCACAGCCATTCACTATGGCCTTTAATCTGTTCATGCTGTTCTGAAGGGCCACTTAGGTGCTTTGTGTAATATCACTTACGCTTTGTGTAATATCTACACAATACTACAAAGCCACTTACGCTTTGTGTAATATCAACATTTCAGCAACATCCAGGCTTGGAATGAAGAAATGCTGTAAAGTATAAGAGATTGTGTTATACTTTTTTTGCAAAAAATAAGAGGCAGTGGGCAGCTGATGGCATTTGTAAGAATCAGGAGGCTGGGTGTGGTGGCTCACACCTGTAATCCCAGCACTTTGGGAGGCCAAGGTGGGCAGATCATGAGGTCAAGAGATTGAGACCATCCTGGCCAACCTGGTGAAATCCCGTCTCTACTAAAAATACAAAAAAATTGGCCAGGCGTAATGGCTCACGCCTGTAATCCCGGCACTTTAGGAGGCCAGGGTGGGTGGATCACCTGAGATCAGGAGTCTGAGACCAGCCTGACCAACATGGAGAAACCCCGTCTCTACTAAAAATACAAAATTAGCCAGGCGTGGTGGCACATGCCTGTAATCCCAGCTACTTGGGAGGCTGAGGCAGGAGAATCGCTTGAACCCGGGAAGCAGAGGTTGCGGCAAGCCAAGATTGTGCCACTGCACTCCAACCTGGGCAACAAGAGTGAAACTCCTTCTCAAAATAAAAAAAAAAGCAAAAAAATTAGCTGGGCATGGTGGTGCACACCTGTAGTCCTAGCTACTCGGGAGGCTGAAGCAGGAGACTCGCTTGAACCCGAGAAGCAAAGATTGCACTGAGTCGAAGTTGCAGTGAGCCAAGATTGCGCCACTGCACTCTAGCCTGGAAACAGAGCGAGACTCTGTCTAAAAAAAAAAAAAAGAAGAATGAGGAAATTTGACATTTGGAACCCACATTCAAATCCCATTTGCTAGCTGTGAGACCTTGTGTAAGTTCATGAACCTCTCTCTGTGAGTCCTTCGTGGAAAAGGGTCATAGATCCACCCATTACTGGGGCCATGAGGTGTACATGAAGAATAGTGTTTATCTGGAAACTCACAGGGAGAAAGGCCACAGACTCCAAAGATCCCCTGTCCTTGTGCCACCTACGAGCTGGGTTGGGCATGGGTGGCTGGTGCCATGGTCTGGATATGGTTTGTTTGTCCCCACCAAAGCTCAATTTGAAATTGGATCCCCAGTGTGGTGGCGTTTGGGAGGTGGGGGGGCCTGGTGGGAGATATTTCGGTTCCAGATCCCTCAGGAATGGCTTGGTGCTGCTCTCAGGGTAGTGAGTTCTGGCTCTCTGAGACTGGATTAGTTCACATGGGAATGGATTTGTTCCCATAAGAGCGGGTTGCTATAAAGCCAGGAGACTCCTCAGCTTTCCCCCTCTTCACTCGTGTCCACTTCCCTTTGACCATCTCTGCCATGTTGTGACGTGGCACAAAAGCCCTCACCAGAAGCCAGGGCCATGCCCTTGAACTTCTCAGCCAGCAGAATTATGAGCTAAATAAACCTCTTTTCTTCATAAATTATCCAGGCTCAAGTATTCTTTTATAGCAACACAAAATGGGCTGAGCTAGTTGGACTCACCATGCAAGCACCCAGTAGGGGACATCCCTCCCATATTAACACAGTATGTGGAGGGCTGGGGGGTGCAGAGGGAACTTAAGTGAAGCCATAATTATGGGAACCTCCAATACTAGGAAATGACCTTTTTAGAATGACGGACCTCTAGACGCAGCCTCCAGTTTCCGTGTGTAGGGCCTGCTAGTCAGCTTCTTGCCAAGTAGGCTGTTGCCCTCTGGAGCCACCTGGACTGGTCTCCCCTCAGCTCGTCTATGATTTTGGAGGGTTACTATTAACACCTGCTTCACAAGGTTATCATGAGGCTGCAGTGTAGCAGCAGGCACCTCATAAATGACAGCTGTGTGGCCCGTTTCACCAGCGTGGCTTACATCACCCCACCTCATGTTTATTTCTGAGTGATCACTCAACTCACCACGTGCTCGTCAGCCCATGGGCTCCTGTCCCAAAGTAGGAATCAGATGCAGGCAGGCGCCAAACCTGCAGTGCAAACAGCCTGCAGGGGAAGGGGTGGGGATGCCATTGCGGCCGCAGAGTCAGTGCTGAGAACTGCCCTGGGGCAGCCACAGCACAGCACTGGCCCTTGCTCCTCTGTGACCCCACAGCGAGGACCACTCCCCATCACAGCCACTGCAGGGTGACCCCTCACTCAGCTCCAGCCCGGTCAAGGCTGCCCGTGCACTTGAGTTCACACTCGCGCTGGCTGGGTGTGATGCCGCCCGAGCACACCGCTCTAAGGAGGAGGAAGATGAAGCGGGACTTTCACCCCCTGCCCTGGGTGGTCTCTCTCTCACCAGGCCTGGGCTCCGTTTCTTCAGACTGCGCTTCCCCGGAGAAGCCCTTGGGGCTTTCCCTGCCTATAGACGGCACTCGGTCCCTCAAGAAGTTCTGATACTGTTGGGTCTCCAAGGGGAAGGAGTCCATAGTTCTCCTGAAACTGCCAAGGTCATGAAAAACAAAGTCTGGTGTGAGGACAGAACGCAATGCAGCTCCCAGAACAGAAAAAGGACGCTAAGTGGAACAGCGGTGACCTCAGAATACAGTTGGGAATTTAGTTCAGAGTAACGCACTAGTGTTGGTCGCTTAGTTTTAACAAAGCTACCATGCTCTTGTAGGGCGAAATCATTAAAGGAAACTGAAACTGGATGGGAAATACATAGGAACTTCGCAAATGTTCTTTCTCCCTCCCTCCCTCTCTCTCTCTCTTTCTTTTTCTTTCTTTCTCTTTCTTTCCCCTTCCTCCCTCCCTCCCTCCCTCCCTCCCTCCCTTCCTTCTTTCCTTCCATTTCTTTTTTTCTAATTTTGTAGAGACAGGGTCTCACTCTGTTACTCAGGCTTGTCACAAACTCCTGGGCTCAAGAGATCCTTCTGCCTTGGCCTTCCAAGTAGCTAAGACCACAGGTGCACACCACCACACCCAGCTAAGTTTTTAATTTTTTTTTTTTTTTTTTTTTTTTTTGTGGTAGAGATAGGGTTTCACTATGTTGCCCAGGCTGGTCTTTAACTCCTGGGCTCAAGCAATCCTCCTGCCTTGCCCTCCCAGAGTGCTAGGATTACAGGTGTGAGCCACCAGGCCTGGCCAAATTTTCTATACATCTAAAATTATTCCGAAATTTAAAAGTTTATTTTTAAAGAGAGAAAGAGAAAGGGCCCAGGTTTTAGTCTCTTACTGTGCAGGAAAATCCCTGGTCCTTATACAAATATATTTACCTCTTTCTTATCTACCAGTTTCTTTAAAAAAAAAAATTCTTTCACAGGGCAACCTAGTCAAACCAAAAACATGGACATGTTTCCTCTATGCATACAGTACCTATCTGCACACATTTACCTAATACACGATAGGTGATTCTTCCCAGATTAGAGAAAAATCTGCTCCAGGAGGACTGAGAAGGAGCTGAAATTCCTAAATAGCAGCCTCTTTCACTAAGAAAATGTAAAAGTCAGCCTAACCATATTCTCCCTTACAGCAACCACACTTACAGGGCTTTTTCAGGCTGGAGTGCAGTGGTGTGATCACAGTTCACTGCAGCCTCAAACTCCTGGGCTCAAGCGATCCTTTTACTTTGGCTTCCTGAGTAGCTCAGATTACAAGTGTGCACCATCATGCCCAGCTAATTTTTAAAATTTTTTGTGGAGGTGGGGGTCCCATGATGTTGCCCAGTCTGGTCTTGAACTCCTGACCTCGAATGATCCTCCTGCCTTGGCCTCCCAAAGTGCTGGGATTACCAGCATGAGCCACTGTGCCAGGGCTACTCTTACTGTTGATATGAACCAATAAGAATAAAATAGTCACTATGTATTTCTAGAAGATTAATAAACAAACAAAGAGGCCGGGTGTGGTGGCTCACGCTTGTGATCCCAGCACTTTGGAAGGCTGAGGCGGGCGGATCACACGGTCAGGAGATCAAGACCATCCTGGCTAACACGGTGAAACCCCGTCTCTACTAAAAATACAAAAAAACCCAAAAAAATTAGCTAGGCATGGTGGCGCATGCCTGTAATCCCAGCAACTTGGAAGGCTGAGGTGGGAGAATCGCTTGAACCAGGGAGTCGGAGGTTGCAGTGAGCCAAGATCACGCCACTGCACTCCAGCCTGGCAACAGAGCGAGACTCCATCTCAAAAATAAATAAATAAATAAATAAACAAACGAAGAGATACTTACTTACAAATCTTGACCCACGGAGAAGTATCATGAGCCTCTTCTAATCGGAAGCATTTGTCTAGATCTCTCTTAGGATAAAATGACAGCAAAATGAGCTATCTCATCCAGTGCATATGCATTAATTACATTCTGTGTGGTTGCCTTTTTATTGGTGAGAACTATCAAATGACTTAGCTGTAAGTATGTTGGTAAAGCGTTAAACAGCTTTCGCCTTGATCTTCAATGTCCTGTATCATAGCAGTGCGGCCAGCAGTCCCAGGATGAGCAAGTGCTAACCCTCCAGGCATCTTGTATCAGATGATATGGACATAAGACACTTGGCCCTCCAAATGGCTTAGTCTGAACTGGTGCTGCCATCAGGCCCCCAAGGGAAAACGTGAGTCATGATTTTTCTAGACATCCTTGAAAAATGGACGTTCCAAAAGTCAGGAAAGAATGAGAGTTTCAAATGAAAAGTGACAGAGGAATTAGTCAATGGTTATCACTCAGTATCCAGCAATTGTCCCAAGCCAGAAGTTGATCAATGATTGAAATTTTCCCAAAATTCCCTAGATGAGAATGTAGGCAAGAAGCCCAAATCCCCTGTGCCTCATCAGCTGGCAGAGCCGTTTGATGCATCTGTCTGAGTAAGCTGAGCGGTGACCTGGCTCCACAGGGTCCCCTCGAGATGGAGAAGGGGACCCAGCTGACAACCAGGAGTCCTGCCTTAGATGGTAGAATGGGGAAGGGATGGGGTGGGCACACTGTAGAGCCTCCTGAGCACCTAGTCCCAAAATGAGTTCGATTTTAGGACGTTACATATTCTGAATGTTAAATTTGAATGTGTAAGTTAGGAAGTGTACCAGTCAAGGTTCTTGGTGAACAGAAATCAGATCTGGGTAACTTACACACATAAAGAAATGCCCATGTTTCATTGATTCTTAAACACGCTTTTTTTTTTTTTACACTTGTAACATCTTTTTAAATCAGAAGCATCTTCCAATAGATGATGCCTTGTCACTGCTGTTGGCCAGGTACAGTCATGACAATTGCCATATGCTATCAACATATGTGAACTTGGTTGATTTTCCGATTGGCAGGATGGAAAACTGCAGCCCCAGATGGCTCTGCCAAGAAGCCATTTTAAGGTCCATTTGAGGAAAGAACATGAGTCCTGGATTTTGTCTGATAATCTTCTCTTAACACCTTATGGTAAGATCAAGAAAGTGTTACTATCACAGCTTAAATAGCTGCTATCAGGGACTTGGAAGGAAATTTAGGAGACAATAGTAGAACATTATTTTATTATTTATTTATTTATCTTTGTTTTTAGAGACAGGGTCTCTCTCTGTGGCCAAGGCTAGAGTGCGGTGGAGCAATCAGAGATCACTACGGCCTCAACCTCCTGGGCTCAAGTAATTCTCCTTCCTCAGCCTCCCAAGTAGCTGGGACTATGGGTGTGCACCACCATGCTCAGGAAATTAAAAAAAAAAAAATTTGTAGTGATGGAGTCTTCCAATGTTGCCCAGGCTTAGAACACTCTTTTAATAAATGCTGCATCACCGAAGTTCTTAATAACGCAGAGAACAATGTTGTAGGGGGAAAAAATGTTTGTCAAAGACTCTTAAAGATCATACTCTGAATCAGGAGTTCGAGACCAGCCTGGCCAACACAGTGAAACCCCGTCTCTACAAAAAATGCAAAAAAAAAAATTAGCTGGGCATAGTGGCGGGAGCCTGTAATCCCAACTTCTCTGGATACTGAGGCAGGAGAATCTCTTGAACCCGGGAGTCAGAGGTTGCAGTGAGCCAAGATCGCGTCACTGCCCTCCAGCCTGGGCGACAGAGCTAGACTCTGTCTCAAAACAAAAACAAAAACAAAAACAAAAACACATACTCTGAATGGGGAGAAGTTTTAAAGCCCCTTAGGCAATTTATTTTTATTTTATTTTGTTTTGTTCTCTCTTTTATTTTATTTTATTTTATTTTATTTTTTGAGACGGGGTCTTACTCTGTCACCCAGGCTGGAGTGCAGTGGCACCATCATAGCTCGCTGCAGTCTTGACCTCCCGGGCTCAGGTGATCCTTCCACCTCAGCCTCCCAAGTAGCTGGGACCACAGGCCTGAGCCACCTCACCCAGCCTTGTTTTGTTTTATTTTATTTTGCTGTATTTTGTTTTATTTAGTCATACCTTTATTTATCTTTAATTAATTTTTTTTTGAGACAGAGTCTCACTCTGTTGCTCAGGCTGGGGTGCAGTGGCGCAAACTTGGTTCACTGCAACCTCCGCCTCCCGGGTTCAAGCAATTCTCCTGCCTCAGCCTCCTGAGTAGCTGGCACTACAGGCATGTGCCACCATGCCCGGCAAAGATTTTTTTATATTTTTAGTGGAGACAGGTTTCACTGTGTTAGCCAGGATGGCCTCGATCTCCTGACCTCGTGATCCACCTGCCTCAGCCTCCCATAGTGCTGGGATTACAGGCATGAGCCACCGCGCCTGGCTGGTGATGTTTTGGTACACAGAATCTTTAGTGATCAGATCAGGGTAATTAGCATATCCTTCATCTCAAACCTTTATCACATCTTTGTATTGGGAAGTTTCAATACCCTCCTTCTGTTTATTTGAAACTATATAATTTATTTTTATTATATATATAAAATATTTATTTTGATTATATATATATATAAAGTGACTGATTCTTTCAAGACAAGCCCCGCCCCCGCTCCCCCCTCCCCCGCTTACCCACCACCTTGTTTTAGCATAAACAGCTTTCCTCTCAAGCCAGGAATTCCTTCCACAATGTCGCAAACCAATGATCATGTAAGATTTTCTTTATTATGCCCAGGGATGGCAAACTCATTACTTCACAACGCGATCCATGACACTCTTGGACAAGTCTAATTATTTAAATATTTCTCCTTATAAAGGGCCAAAGTCTGCCTTCAGCTTTTCTTTCTTTCTTTTTTTTTTTTTTTTTTTTGGAGACAGAGTCTCGCTCTGTCCCCCAGGCTGGAGTGCAGTGGCTGATCTCGGCTCACTGCAAGCTCCGCCTCCCAGGTTCGCGCCATTGTCCTGCCAGCCTCCCCAGTAGCTGGGACCACAGGCCCCCGCCACCGCGCCCGGCTTTTTTGTATTTTTAGTAGAGACAGGGTTTCACCATGTTAGCCAGGATGGTCTTGATCTCCTTGCCTCCTGATCCGCCCGCTTTGGCCTCCCAAAGGGCTGGGATTACAGGCATAAGCCACCGCGCTCTGCCTGCCCTCAGCTTTTCTTTTTGAGGCTGGTTTATTTCACTTAGCGTAACGTTCTCAAGGTTCGTCTGTGTTGCAGCATTTGTCAGAATTTCCTTCTTTTTAAGGCTGAATAATCCATTCATCTGTTGATGAACACTTGGGTTGCTTCTGCCTTTTGATTATTGTGAATACTGCTGCTATGAACATGGGTGTATAAATATATCTTTGAGTCTCAGTCTTTTTTGTTTGTTTGTTTTTGTTTGTTTTTAAGACAGAGTTTCACTCTTGTTGCCCAGGCTGTAGTGCAATGGCTCAATCTCAGCTCACTGCAACCTCTGCCTCCCTGGTTCAAGCAATTCTCCTACCTCAGCCTCCCTAGTAGCTGGGATTACTGGCACGCACCACCACACCTGGCTAATTTTGTAATTTTTTTTTTTTAGTAGAGATGGGGTTTCGCCATGTTAGTCAGGCTGGTCTCAAACTCCTGACCTCAGGTGATCCACCCACTTCTGCCTCCCAAAGTGTTGGGATTACAGGCCTGAGCCACTGCGCCTGGCCGAGTCTGTTTTTTATTCTTTTCTGTACTCAGAAGGGAACTTGCTGGATTCTATCAAAGGGTAATTCTGTGTTTAATGTTCTGAGGCACTGCCCTATTGTTTTCTACAGCAGTGCACGGGGGCTCCAATTTCTCTACATCCTTGCCAACATGTATTATTTTCTATTTTTTGATAGCAGGCATCCTAATGGGTGAGAGGTGGTGTTTCATTGTGGTTTTGGTTTGTGTTTCCCTTATGATTAGTGATATTGAGCATCTTTTCATTTGCTTATTGGCCATTTGTTTATCCTCTTTGAAGAAATGTCTACTCAAGTCCTTTGCCCATTTGTTAATCAGCTTGTTTCAGACTAACATGTTTTAATTAAGAAGCTGAAACATGAAGTTTAATAGGTAAAAATTTGTACTTGTATTTTTAAATGGAAGGAAAACTGTATTTAAGAAAAAAAAGAGGCCAGGTGCAGTGGCTCACGCCTGTAATCCCAGCACTTTGAGAGGCCGAGGTGGGTAGATCAACTGAGGTCAGAAGTTTGAGACCAGCCTGGCCAACATGGCAAAACACCATCTCTACTAAAAATACAAAAATTAGCTGGGCATGGTAGTGTACGGCTGTAGTCCCACCTACTCGGGAGGCTGAGGCAGGAGAATCGCTTGAACCCAGGAGGTGGAGGTTGCAGTGAGCTGAGATTGCACCATTGCACTCCAGCCTGGGCAACAAGACTGAAATTCCGTCTCAAAAAAAAAAAACCAAAGAAACAAAGAAAGAGTAATAATAGCTTTAAAAAAAAACGGTCGGGTGCAGTGGCTCATGCCTGTAATCCTAGCAGTTTGGGAGGCCGAGGCGGGTGGATTTTCTGAGCTCAGGAGTTTGAGATCAGCCTGGACAATATAGTGAAACCCTGTCTCTAGTAAAAATACAAAAAAATTTAGCCAGGCATGGTGGTGCATGCCTGTAATCCCAGCTACTCGGGAGGCTGAGGCAGGAGAATCGCCTGAACCCGGGAGGCAGAGGTTGCAGTGAGCTGAGATCATGCCATTGCACTCCAGCCTGGGCGACAGAGTGAGACTCTGTTTCAGGAAAACAAAACAAAACAAAAAACCAGGTTGTTGGGGGAGAAGGGGCTGGGAGAAAATAGTGGAGAGAGAGGGTGGGGAAAAGGGGCATGCAGAGGGGCTGGAAAGACAGCCTTGGGGAGAAGAATGAAAAGGAGATGGTGGGGAGAAGAGGATGGGAAGACAGTGGGGAGAAGCAGGTGACAGGGTGGGGAGTAGCAAAAAAAAAAAAAAGATGATGTAGGCCAGGCACGGTGGATCACACCTGTAATCCCAGCACTTTGGGAGGCCGAGGCGGGCGGATCACGAGGTCAGGAGATCGAGAGCATCCTGGCTAACATGGTGAAACCCTGTCTCTACTTAAAATACAAAAAATTAGCCTGCTATGGTGTCAGGTGCCTGTAGTCCCAGCTACTCAGGAAGCTGAGGCAGGAGAATGGCATGAACCCGGGAGGTGGAACTTGCAGTGAGCTGAGATCGCGCCACCGCACTCCAGCCTGGGCGACAGAGCGAGACTCCATCTCAAAAAAAAAAAAAAAAAGATGATGTATATATTAAAATTTGAATTTGTCATCCATGTGTTTTAGCCTCTAGAACATCTTTGTGAATGAGGAATTTTTTTTGACATTGACATTTTCTAGACATGATCTAAAAATGTAGACTAAGTTTTCAGTGCATTGAAGATGGGGAAGGGCAATTCTTTGCCCCAGGTTTTGTGTGTGTCCATTTATGAATGAACTAAACTCATGTTTTTTCATAGCTGTGAGCCTATTCTGCAAAGAATTAGAAGCAAGTTCAAGGGTGTACAGCTTGCAGCTCAACCTTGGAAAACTTCCCTGAGGAGTTAGTACAGAACAGAAAATCCAGTTCTCTGTCCCCAGATGCATAATTCATCTGCCAGCAGAGCAGCTTTTAGATGAAAGGGCCCCAACAGAAGTTTTGGTAGAAAATGACACCAAGAAATGGTGAGTGTTTGGAGATCAGGCTCTTAAATGTTACTCAACTTTGCACAAATATTTGTAAACTTTCCACATGTCCTGAAATTTGTGCAAATAAGTTCACAAAGTCATTTCCAAATTGCTTCTAGTATTTAAAATACTTCCTCAGGGAAAGCTGGAATTCGGCATATTAGAAATGTGTAACCATTTCTTATTCTTAAGAGTCTGAAACCCTAGTTAAGCCCTGGTTTTCCAGATTGTTTGCTTTTATAAAGAATGCTGCCATATATGATAAGCATGGTTTTCTTCACCATATATATCTAGCACAAGGTGTCCAATCTTTTGGCTTCCCTGGGGCACATTGGAAGAAGAATTGTATTGGGCCACAAATAAAATACACTAACACTAATGATAGCTGATAAGCTTTAAAAAAAAGTTTTAAGAAAGTTTATGGGCCAGACACAGTGGCTCATGCCTGTAATCCCAGCATTTTGGGAGGCCATGGTGGGCAGATCTCCTGAGGTCAGGAGTTTGAGACTAGCCTGGCCAACATGGTGAAATCCCTTCTCTACTAAAAATACAAAAATTAGCCGGGCGTCGTGGTGGGTGCCTGTAATCCCAATTACTTGGGAGCTAGTACTTGAATATCACACAGAACCATAAACCGGGTGCACGTCTTCTCCTTCCTTTGTCAAAAGATCATAGGGTACTTCCCTTGAGGCCAAATGCCCAGGCTGGGAGAGAGAAGGCAGTGTAGCAGAAATAGGAACTGGAAATAGGAACCATTGGGGTCACTTCTTCATATAACTTACTTGTGCCTTTAGGACGTGCTTGGGCCCAATCATGTTTATACTACTTCCATTTGATAATGAAGTTCTTCTATGCATGCCCAACTTTATGGTTTAGTGGGTCAGATGACATCCAGTTTATAATAGGCAGCTCAGGTTGCATGGTAACTTGGCGGCCTATGGTCAAACATTCAGTTTCTACTAAAGCCCATTAGCAGGTCAAGAGCTGTCTCTCAAAACGAGAGTATTTATCTGTGGATGATGGCAGGGCCCTGCTCCAAAGTCTTAAAGGCCTGCACTGTGATTCACCTATGGGGTCCTGCCAAAGTCTCCAGACGGCATCCCTATATGGCACAGACACCACACGCACCATTAGATCCACTGGATCATATGGCCCAAGTGGCAAAGCTGGCACAACAGCCAGGACCTGTTGCAGAGCTTTCTCCTATTCTGGATACTACTCAAAACTAGCAGATTTTTGGATCACTCGTGAATGACCCAACATAACACACCCAAATGAGGAATATGTTGCCTCCAAAAATCTAAATAGGCCAACTAGGCATTGTGCCTCATTCTTGGTTGTAGGAAGGATCAGAAGCAACAACTTCATCCTTCACCTTAAAAGGAGTTTGTTCTTCTTTTTTCTGTGTCTTAAGGTTATTGAGATCTTTCTTCTTTTTAAAAATATAGGTGTTTACAGCTACAAATTTCCCTCAAAGCACTGCTTTAGCTGCATACCAGAAGTTTTAGTATTTTGTGTCTTCATTTTTATCTATGGCAAAGTATTTTCTTATTTCTCTTGTGACTTCTTCTTTGACCCATTGGTTGTTTAAACGTGTTTTAAAATTTCCACTTTCTTGTGAGTTTATCTAATTTATCGTTATTGATTTCTCATTTTATTCCATTGTGGTCAGAGAATATACATTATGTCAGCAGCCCCTAACCTTTTGGCACCATGGACCAGTTTCTTGGAAGACAATTTCTCCATGGACTGGGAGTGGGGGATGGTTTCGGGATGAAACTGTTCCACCTCAGATCATCAGGCATTAGGTAGATTCTCATAAAAAGCATGGACCCTAAATCCGTCACATGCACAGTTCACAACAGGGTTCATGCCTCTATGAGAATCTAATGTCCCCACTGATCTAACAGGAGGTGGATCTCAGGGAGTAATGCTTGCTCGCTTCACCACTCACCTCCTGCTGTGTGGCTTGGTTCCTAACAGGCCACAGACTGGTATCCATCTGTGGCCCTGGGGTTGGGGACCCCTGAATTATATGATTTAATACTTTAAAACTTAGTGAGATTTGCCGGGAGCGATGGCTCACGCCTGTAATCCCAGCACTTTCGGAGGCTGAGATGGGCGGATCATGAGGTCAGGAGATCCAGACCATCCTGGCTAACACGGTGAAACCCTGTCTCTACTAAAAATATAAAAAATTAGCCGGGCGTTGTGGTGGGCACCTGTAGTCCCAGCTACTTGGGAGGCTGAGGCAGGAGAATGGCGTGAACCCAGGAGGTGGAGCTTGCAGTGAGCTGAGATTGAGCCACTGCACTCCAGCCTGGGCGACAGAGCAAGACTCTGTCTCAAAAAAAAAACAAACTTACTGAGATTTGTTTTATGACCCAGTATGTGGTCTATCCTGGAGAATGCTCCATGTGACTTGAAAAATATATATATTCTCTATGGTTGGGTGCAATATTCTATAGAAGTTGGCTAGATCCATTTTGTTTATAGCACAGTTAAAGTTTTCTCTATCATTATTGATCTCCTGCTTAGTTGTTATATCTAATATTGAAGGTGGAGTACTGATGTCTTCAGCTGTTGTTCAATTTTTGTTGAATTCTCCCTTCATTTCTGTGAGCTTTTGCTTCATGTATTTCAGGGCTCTATTGTTAGTTGCATATGTGCTTATAATTCTTATATCTTCCTGATAGATTGACTCTGGTAACATTACAAAATTCCCTTTATATCGAATAACATTTATTTATTTATTTTATTTGGTTTTGTTTTAAGGCGGAGTCTCAAAATTTAGAACTACCTGTATGAGAAAACATGCTCTTCCACGTTTCTTGCTTGTTTACTCTTTTTTTTTTTTTTGGAGACAAAATCTCACTCTGTTGCCCAGGCTGGAGTGCAGTGGCATGATCTCGTCTCACTGCAACCTCTGCCTCCCGGGTTCAAGCATTTCTTCTGCCTCAGCCTCCCAAGTAGCTGGAACTACAGGCACGTACCATCATGCCCAGCTAATTTTTGTATTTTTAGTAGAGACAGGGTTTCACCATGTTGGCCAGGCTGGCCTTGAACTCCTGACCTCAAGTGATCCACCCACCTCGGCCTCCTAAAGTGCTGGGATTACAGGCGTGAGCCACTGTGCTCGGCCTCTAATAACATTTTTAAAAGCCTATTTTGCCTGATATTGCCATACCCACTTCACATCTGTTTTAGTTGTTGTTTGCATAGTATGTCATTTCCATCCTTTAGCTTTCAACCTATTTTTATCATAAGGCTAAAGTGTGTCTCCTGCAGACAGCATATAATTGGAGCTCGTTTTTCAATATCCAGTCTGACAGTCTCTGCCCTTTGATTAGATCAGTTCACATTAGATGCTATTATTGGTATAGCTGGATTTACATCTGCCATTTTGCCTTTTAGTCTCATGTCTTATTTCTCTAGTCTTCCTTCACTGCTTTCTTTTACATTAAGTAAACATTTCTAGTTTAATATTTTAATTATTTTAATGATTTTCTTCACTACACTTTGGACTTATTTTCTAAGTGGTTGCTATAGGGCTTACCATATATATCTTATTATAATCTACTTCAACTTACCAGTGTGATATTTTGCTGTATATAGTTCCACTACCTCTTCTCCCATTTTGTACTATTATTAATATACATGTTACATCTACATGTTACAAACCAATAATGCATTTTTATAATTATTGTAATAATTTTATGTCTTCTGAGGAAGCTCAAAAAAAGGGTGAGCAAGTATGTATGTATTTATTTTTTAATTTTTTTTTTTGAGACGGAGTCTAGTCCTGTCACCAAGGCTGGAGTGCAGTGACGCAATCTTGACTCACTGCAACCTCCGCCTCCTGGGTTCAAGTGATTCCCCTGCCTCAGCCTCCAGAGTAGCTGGGACTGCAGGCGCCCACCACCACGCCCGGCTGACTTTTTGTATTTTAGTAGAGACGGGGTTACACCATGTTGGCCAGGCTGGTCTCAAAACTCCTGACCTTGTGATCCACCCGCCTTGGCCTCCCAAAGTGCTGGGATCACGGGCGTGAGCCACCACACCGGGCCACAAGTATGTATTTATAGTTTAATTAATTTTTGATTTATTATTTGTTTCTCCACATTTCTTCCTATAGATTTAAGTTCTCATCTGGTGTTCTTTCTTTATTTCAGTACAGCTTGCTTCTCATCTGCTTCTTACTATCAAACATATTACATTTCTCTATGTTACAGGCCTAACACTAAAATTATATATACAGTTTTTGCAGTTGCTTTTAAATAAGAAAAAAGATGCAGCTATGTGTCTTTCATAATTATTTACATAATTATCTTTTTTTTTTTTTTTTTTTGAGACAGAGTCTCGCTCTGTCGCCCAGGCTGGAGTGCAGTGGTGCAATCTCCGCTCACTGCAAGCTCCGCCTCCCGGGTTCACGCCATTCTTCTGCCTCAGCCTCCCGAGTAGCTGGGACTATAGGCGCCCGCCACCACGCCCGGCTAATTTTTTTGTATTTTTAGTAGAGACGGGGTTTCACCGTGTTAGCCAGGATGGTCTCGATCTTCTGACCTCATGATCCGCCCGCCTCGGCCTCCCAAAGTGGTGGGATTACAGGCGTGAGCCACCCTGCCCAGCCTACATAATTATCTTTACTGGCAATCTTTGCTTTTTTGAATTACTGTTAGGTGTCACTTGCTTTCAGCCTGAAGAGCTTCCTCTAGTATTTATTTTAAGGTGGGTTGGCTAACAACAGATTCTATTTTTCTTTTTCTGAGAATGTTTCTACTTAATCTTCATTTTTGTAGATCAGTCTGTTTCTCCTTTTAATTCTGCCAATTTTTGTATCATATACTTTGGTGGTCTGTTATTAGGTGCAAAAATGTTTACGATTGCTATGTCTTTTGGTGTATTAAACTTTTTAATTAATATATAATACCTGCTTTGTCTCTTGTAACTTTTTTATTTAAAGTCTATTTTATCTTCTGTTAATACAGCCACCCCAGCTCATCTTGATTACTATTTGCATGAAATATCTTTTTCCATCCTTTCACTTTTAACCTGTTTGTGTCTTTGGACCTAACATGAGTCTCCTACAGGTAGCATGTAGTTGGGTCTTGGGTCTTGTTTTTATTTTTGAGACGGAGTTTTACTCTTGTTGCCCAGGCTGGAGTGCAATAGAACAATCTTGGCTCACTGCAACTTCCACCTCCCGGGTTCAAGCAATTCTCCTGCCTCAGCCTCCCTAGTAGCTGGGGTTACAGGCGACTGCCGCCATGCCCGGCTAATTTTTGTATTTTTAGTAGAGATGGGTTTCACCATGTTGGCCAGGCTAGTCTGAAACTCCTGACCTCAGGTGATCTATCCGCCTCAGCCTCCCAAAGTGCTGGGATTACAGGCATGAGCCACCGGGCCCAGCCGGGTCTTGTTCTTTTTTTAAAAAAAATCCATTCTTCTAATCTCTGTCTCTTGATTAGAAAGTTCAATACAATATATTTAAAGTAATTATTGATGAGGAGGGACCTACTTCTGTCATTTTGCTATTTGTTTTATAAATGTCTTATAGCTTTTTTGTCCCTTATTTCCTGCATTAGAATCGTCTTTGGTGTTCAGTTGATTTTTTAATAGTGAAATATTTTAATTCCTTTCTCATTTTCTCTTGTGTATAATTCTATAACTATATTCTTTGTGGTTACCTTGCGGATTACACTTAACATTGTAAGGTTATAACACTCTAATTTGATTTATGTCATCTTTTATCTCAGCTTAACTTTAATCCATACAAAAACTCTACTCTGTTACAGTTCCATCCTCAGTTATTGATGTCTCAAAATTACATCTTTATACATTGTGTGTCTAAAAATAAAAACTAATTATTTTTAATGCATTAGTCTCTTAAATTATACAGAACATATGTGAAGTTACAAACCAAAGTTACAATAATACTAGCCTTTAGACTAATAATCATCTTCTTTTAAATGTATTAGTCTCTTCAATAATGTACAAAACAAAAAGTGGCCTTACAAACTATTGTTACAACAATATCAGCTTTTACAATACCAGCTTCTGCCCATGTACCTTTACTGAGATTTTTTTTCTTCATACAACTTCAAGTCCGTGCCTGGGGTACTTTCATTTCAACCTGCAGGGCTCTCTTCAGCATTTCCTGTATGGCAGGTCTAGTAGTAACAAACTCCCTCCTTCAGCTTTTGTTTATCTGGAAATGTCCTGATTTTTCTCTCTAGAGATTTTGGTTGACAGTTTTTTCCTTTTATCACTTTGAATATATTGGCTCACTGCCTTCTGGCTTCCAAAGTTTCTGTCAATAAATATGCTGATCATTTTATTGAAGATCCTTTACATGTGATGAATTGTTTTTCTCTTGCTCTTTTAAGATGATTTCTTTTAAGATGATTTAGTTTGACTGTAAAGTCTCAGTGGGGTCTCTGTGAGTTTATTTTACTTGACATTCATTGAGTCTCTTGAATGTTTCTATTCATGTTTTTCATCAAATTTGAGATGTTTTCAGCCATTATTTCTTCAAATAATTTCTCTGCCCCTTTCTCTCTCTCTTCTTCTGGGACTTCCATAAAGTGCACACTGATCCCTTTGGTGGTGTCCCACAGGTCTCTTAGGTTCTGTTCACTTTTCTTCAGTCTTTTTTCTTTCTCTTACTCTGACTTGATAATTTCAATTGTCCCATCCTCAAGTTTACTGATTCTTTTGCCTGCCCAAATTTAAATTCTTCTAGTGAATTTTTATTTGTTTTTATATTTTTCAGCACCAGAATTGTTTTGTTTTGTTAAGGTTTTCTATTTCTTCATTGACATTTCCATTTTGTTCATACATCATTTTCTTCACTTTCTTCATGTCTTCCATTAAAGATACTTCCTAGGCTGGGCACGGTGGCTCACACCTGTAATCCCAGCACTTTGGGAGGCTGAAGCAGGTGGACCACGAGGTCAGGAGTTTTGAGACCAGCCTGGCCAACATGGTGAAACCCCAATTCTACAAAAAATACAAAAAAATTAGCTGGGCATGGTGGCACACGCCTGTAGTCCCAGCTACTCAGGAGGCTGAGGCAGAAGAATTGCTTGAACCTGGGAGGCAAGGTCACGCCACTGCACTCCAGCCTGGGGACAGAGCAAGAGTCTGTCTAAAAAATAAATAAATAAGTAAATAAAGATGCTTCCTCTAAGTATCTTTAATACTATTATTTTAACATTTTTGTTTAATAGGTATGCCATATGGTCTTTCTAAGTGATAGTTGCTGTTGGTTTATTTTTTCCCTTTGAATGGGCCATACTTGCCTGTTTGTATGCCTTGTGATTTTTGTTGAAAACAGGACATTTGAATTTTATGGTGTGGTAAACCATGGAAATCAGGTTCTCTCCCCTCTCCAAGGTTGGTTGTTATTGTTGTCTTGTTTTGGCTTTTATGGTTTTAAGCTGTCTCTGTGGCAAGCATTAGCCTGAGGTGTAAACTTAACATATTCTCAGGTCTCTTCTGAACCTGCACCCTTCTCTGACTATGCACAGTGACTTTCTAATTCCCCCTCATATGTGCAATTGTTTTTGAATGCCCTAGTCTTTAATGCCTGGCTCTCAAAAGGGTACAAAAAGAAAAACGAAGGGAGTGAGGGGAAGACACCAATCCTTTAACTTCCCTGGAAGTTGCTTTAGCTAAAGGGGAAGGGGCTTGCAACTGTCTGTGGGGTAGATGTAACAATGGCTGTTCACCTGTGTTTGCATGTCCATGATCTAAGCAGCAATCAGTGATCAGACATTAATACTGATATTTGAATTTTGGATATTGCCCACCTTGGCTTCCACAAGTCAAGTCACATGCAAGCTGCTCCTGTAGCTTGTGCACTACTTGCCATGGGGCTATGAATGGGAGATGGGTAATTGCCACCAAGCCAAGAGCTGAAATTGACCAAAATTAATCACAGTTTGTAATCCAAGCCTTACCCCTACAAGTTGCAAGCCTTCAATAGACTCCAGAGTTCCAAAATAGTTACATCAAATTTTGCCAGTCCCATTGTAGTGTAGGTAGTGAGACAGATTTCTGGTGCTTCCTACTCTGTCATCATCTTCCCAGAATCAGCCCCCTTTACCATCATGTTTGAAAGATAATTTTGCTACATATAAGATTCTTGATTGAGTTTTCCTTTCAGCACCTTGAATATGCCATCCACTGCCTTTTGGCCTCCATTTTTTCTAATGAGAAAGTCAGCTGTTAATCTTGTTGCCCTTGGAACTAGTCATTTTTCTCTTACTGCTTTCAAATTTTTATCTTTGGTTTTCAGCATTTTTTACTATTATGTCTGGGAGTGGATCTCTTTGCATTTACTCTGCTTGATATTTATTGAGCTTCTTGAGTTTGTGCTTTTTCATCAAACTTGAGAAATTTCTAGTCGTTTTTTCTTCAAGTATTTTTTCTGCTCTCCCCCTGCCCCTCTTCTTCTGGTACTCTCATTAAGCATATTTGGTGTGTTTAATGGAGTCCTATATTTCTCTGGGGCTCTGTTCATTTTTCTTCTTTTTTTTTCTGTTTTTCAGATAGCATGATCTCTACCTCAGGCTTACTGATTTTTCTTCTGCCATCTCGAACTACTGTTGAGCTTCTTCCTTTTTTTTTTTTTTTTTTTTTTTCTGTAGAGACAGAGTCTTGCTCTGTCGCCCAGGCTGGAGTGCAGTGGTGCGATCTTGGCTCACTGCAACCTCCGCCTCCCGGGTTCAAGCAATTCTCCTGCCTCAGCCTCCTGAGTAGCTGGGACTACAGGCACACCCCACCATGTCTGGCTAATTTCTTTTGTATTTTAGAAGAGATGGGGTTTCACTGCATCTGGTCTCAAACTCCTGAGCTCAGGCAATCTGCTCGTCTCAGCCTCCCAAAGTGCTAAGATTACAGGCGTGAGCCACCACACCTGGCTAATTTTTTTTGTTGTTTTTTTGTAGAGATAGGGTTTTACCATGTTGCCCAGGCTGGTATTAAACTTCTGAGTTAAAACAATCTGCTCACCTCAGCCTCCCAAAGTGCTGGGATTTCAGGCATGTGCTACTGTGCCTGGCCCTGTCTGCTCCTTTATTTCATTACTTGGCTGCACTAATTAAGTTTATATCTTCTTCAGTGTGACGTCTCTGATTTCATTCCTTAAAAGGTGCAGGCTTAGGTATACATGTAGTCACCAGGGATAACAGTAGTTTCAGCAGGTCTGTCTTTGACTGCTTATTTTGCTAACTGCTTTTGTTGGTATCACACTCAGCTGTAAGCCTCCAATTTCCAGTTGATTTCTCTATTGTTTTTGACAATGCCCCAAGGCATGAATTGCTCCACAGTGTGATCCTATTAAATTTGGGCCCCTTTGCAGGGGTTATCTGATCTGACCCCAGGAGGGCCCTTCTTTTTTTTTTTTTCTTTAGACAAAGTTTTGCTCTTGTTGCCCAGGCTGGAGTGCAATGGCGAGATCTGGGCTCACTGCAACCTCCGCACCCTGGATACAAGCAATTCTCCTGCCTCAGCCTCCCGAGTAGCTGGCATTACAGGCATGCACCACCATGCCCGGCTAATTTTGTGTTCTTACTAGAGACAGGGTTTCTCCATGTTGGTCAGGCTGGTCTCGAACTCCCAACCTCAGGTGATCCGCTTTCCTTGGCTCCCCAAAGTGCTGGGATTACAGGTGTGAGCCACTGTGATGGCCTCTGACCCCAGGAGGGCCCTTCTTAGCTCTCTCCTCCTCTGGTTCTTTCTGGTTAATTACTAGCCTACAATTTAGCTGTTGTTGTGGAGCTACTAACTTCCTCTTAATTGCTTACCACTAAATTCTCCATTGTTTTTGACAGCATCCTTAGGGTTGAACTTTCCCACAGTGTTCCAATTGTCAGTTTGGAAATAGCTTTGGAAATAGCTTCAGAGCTCTCTATTCTTTTTTTTTTTTTTAAGACAGAATCTCGCTCTGTTGCCCAGGCTGGAGTGCAGTGGCACCATCTTGGCTCACTGCAAGCTCCGCCTCCCGGGTTCACACCATTCTCCTGCCTCAGCCTCCCGAGTAGCTGGGACTACAGGAACCTGCCACCATGCCTGGCTCATTTTTTGTATTTTTAGTAGAGATGGGGTTTGACCGTGTTAGCCAGGATGGTCTTGATCTCCTGACCTTGTGATCCGCCCGCCTCGGCCTCCCAAAGTGCTGGGATTACAGGCGTAAGCCACCACGCCCGGCCAGAGCTCTCTGTTCTTATAACCTGCATCTCCCTTGGGAAAATCTGAGTCATTGCTCTTCTTGTACCCAGGCGAGTTAGAGAAAACGCCACACTTTGAGATGAATTAAGAGTCCTTTATTAGCCGGCGACCGAGAGACGGCTAACGCTCAAAATTCTCTCGGCCCCGAGGAAGGGGCGTGATTAACTTTTATATCTTGGTTTAGGAAGGGGATGGGGGGGTCTAGTTAAAACAATTTTACAGAAGTTAAGTAGTCAAAAAAGTTAAAAGGATAAATGGTTACAGGAAAGTAAACAGTTCCAGGTGAAGGGGCTTTAAGACTATTACAAGGTGATAGACACGGGGCTTTGGGCATTATCAATCAGATGAATTTTTGGGGACTGCGGATATAGCTTGCCACAGTATCTTATCAGTTAATTGCATTCTTGGATGTGCTGGGAGTCAGCTTGCACAAGTTAAGTCCTTGAGGAAGGGGCTGCCAGTGAAAGAGCCAAGATGGAGTTTGTCTGGTTCTCTTAGCTAAGGGAGAAACAAGGCCAGGTGAATAAGGAAAAAACAAGGTTGGGCATTACACTCTGGAGCTAGGAGTGAGGAAAGCGGCCTGACTCTCTGGGAGTTACATGCCTGCTTTATGGGCTCAGTTGAGACAATAGCCTCTGGTGTTCTTGGCTTACTTCTGGCATGGAAAATCCATCTTGAGTGAGGTATGGAGAGGGTGATCAAGGCCCTGTGTCTTGGCCT
The DNA here is from genome assembly GCF_000001405.40 of Homo sapiens. Lineage (NCBI taxonomy): Eukaryota > Metazoa > Chordata > Mammalia > Primates > Hominidae > Homo > Homo sapiens. Next base: position 42,833,409 of record NC_000008.11, read on the forward strand.
GCCATACCTATGGTAAAGCCTCCACCTAGAGTGGAAGTTGGGTGTAGGGAGTCCCTGACCTCTTGGCTGGACCCTCCTGGAATTTAGTCTCTGCAACACAAAGCTAGAGGGACGTGAGAATACTGGCAACCAGCCCCTCCCTGAAAGATACCATAGCCCTTGATTGGGAGTTAAGGAGTACGATCTTCTTGACCATATCCAAGAAGACTGAGTGGAGCCTCAGAGTAGAGCTTCTATAGCATTGAGTTGGGGCAGGGGTTTGGTTAGGGAGAAATGGATTGTAGCCTAAATGCCACAGACTCAATGTTCTTATGGAGATTTAGTAAACTTTCCTTATCATTTCTTCATTTGCTATATTCCCTTAGGACAACTGGCAGAGACTTTAAATGGTTATTTAAAAAAATTTTTTTCTTGCCAATACACTCTGGAAGTCATTTTTCTATTAAATTATTGTTTGTATTCTACAGTTTTACCAAAAACTAAAACAATGACGTTTATTTGTATCCTTTAGGATATTTTAAAAATAAAATTTTTATAATCTCAAGACATAAAATGCCATGAATTTAAAGAGAATAAAAATTCAACAGCTTTTTAATTTAAAAAATATTTATCATTCAGAAAAATCTCAGTAGAATAAAGCTATATCCAAGTTTTAAAAAGACAGAATTATAAGAGAACATTACCTTGAGCAAATTTTTCTATTACTTTTAAGTGTAATAGTTTTGCTTATTTGCAAAGCACTGTTGCTCTTCAATATTTTTCTTTCATGTGAGTGACTGTACTTTTAAAACACAAGACTATATAAAATCATAATGCCAAGCAACACCAGTTACCATCAGCTGGAAAATCTATTCTTTTTCTTTAAATACTATTCAGGGTGGACTATCTTTTTAAAATTCTGGAACACAAATGGATTTTAAAATATGTTGTTTACTATCAACTTTCTAAAAGCTATAGTGTTGGGTATGTGTACACATGTATACTTTTTTTTTTTTTTTGAGATGGAGTCTTGCTCTGTCGCCTAGCCTGGAATGCAGTGGCGTGATCTTGGCTCACTGCAACCTCCACCTCCCAGGTTCAAGCGATTCTCCTGCCTCAGCCTCCTGAGCACATCTGGGACTACAGGCGCGCACCACCACGCCAGTCTAATTTTTGTATTTTTAGTAGAGACAGAGTTTCACCGTATTGGCCAGACTGGTCTCAAACTCCTGACCTCAGGTGATCGGCCCACCTCTGCCTGCCAAAGTGCTGGGATTACAGGTGTGAGCCACCGCGCCTGGCCACACATGTATTTTTTTTTTTAGCATTAAAAGATGATCAGGGAATATTAATGCAAGCTAAAGAGCCCGTATCATGTGAAACTTTCATTTGCCATCACCATTATTGTTATAATTCTAAGAAAGGGATCACATAAATTATAGTTGAAAGAAAAAAAATCCCCTCATGTACTTGGATTTCCAAGTACAAAGTTTTGCAACAACAGAATTATTTTTAGTACACTTCTATACAATTAGTAAACATTTAAATTAGTTTTTAAAAACTTAAAACTTCAATTGGAATGTGCTAATTCAAGCCAAGTAGCAATTCAGGTGACCTTTATATTTGCATTATAAGGCAGTATTAAAAGATTGAGACCGCCTGGGCGCGGTGGCTCATGCCTGTATTCCCAACACTTTGGGAGGCCAAGGCAGGCTGGTCACCTGAGGTCGGGAGTTCAAGACCAGCCTGGCCAGCATGGAGAAACCCCGTCTCTACTAAAAATACAATATTAGCTGGGCGTGGTGGCGCATGCCTGTAATCCCAGCTACTCGGGAGGCTGAGGCAGGAGAATCCCCTGAACCCGGGAGGCAGACGTTGCAGTGAGCCCAGATAGCGCCATTGCACTCCAGCCTGGGCAACAAGAACGAGACTCCTTCTCCAAAAAAAAAAAAATTGAGTCTTTGTCCCTGTTTATGTCAGACTGTTTACTATGCCTGAACAGAACCTATTTTTACCTAAATGACCTCCTTTTCTTGGCAATGTTATAAACAATAGCCAATTCAGAAATAAGTACCTGCACCTCAAACTTCTGTTTACTATGATAAATTATTTAAATGAAAGCAGTTGGTGTACATGCTGCTTGCTCAGTTCTCTCCAAATGGGGATTTATGTCTGTTATGAAAAGAAAGTAGCTTGAGGTTAAATAATAATGCTAATATGCTAAGTAATTATGATTTCCATTTTTATAATCTTACCTGGATTCTTCATTCTGGGACACACACATAGAATTTGTCTTTTATGTAGAAGAGTACTTAGATTGAAGGTATATACTTTTCTTTTTTTTTTTTTTTGAGATCGGAGTTTCGCTCTTGTTGCCCAGGCTGGAATGCAATGGCACCGCCCTCGCTCACTGCAACCTCTGCCTCCCAGGTTCAAGCGATTCTCCTGCCTCAGCCTCCCAAGTAGCTGGGATCACAAGCATGCGACACCACACCTGACTAATTTTGTATTTTTAGTAGAGACAGGGTTTCTCCATGTTGGTCAGGCTGGACTTGAACTCCTGACCTCAGGTGATCCACCCGCCTTGGCCTCCCAAAGTGCTGGGATTACAGGCATGAGCCACTGTGCCCGGCCGAAGGTATATACTTTTCAAAATATTCAGGAATAAATCTAAATATTCCTGAGTACTTCCAGGAATTGCTAGAAAGATGACATATAAAACCAAACTTCTTGAATACTTTGTAGCTTCGAGTTCCATGAATAATCTGTAAAAGCCTTCTGACTGATCAGCATGAGTTCTAAATGATGTTATCAGACTATGTAACTTCAAGTAATCTTTTTTTTTTTTTTTTTTTTTTTTTGAGACGGGGTCTTGCTTTATTGCCCAGGCTGGAGTGTAGTGGCGCAATCTCAGCTCACTGCAACCTCCACCTCCCGGGTTCAGGCAATTCTCCTGCCTCAGCCTCCCAAGTAGCTGGGACTACAGGCACTCGCCACCATGCCCAGCTAGTTTTTGTATTTTTAGTAGAGACGGGGTTTCACCATATTGGCCAGGCTGGTCTTGAACTCCTGACCTTGTGATCCATCCGCCTCGGCCTCCCAAAGTGCTGGGATTACAGGCGTGAGCCATGGCGCCCCGCCCAACTTCAAGTAATCTTCTAATCATTATTTCTATTTTTGAGATACTGGTTCATAAAACATCAAATATGCATGAATCACAGTGCTATCCACTGGCAGCATGGCAGTGAACTACAATGAAAACCAGTTCTACAAAAGACACTTTGAATGCCATTGTTTCACACCTTTAATACTGTCTTAAAGGTTCTATTGCTCTTCAACGATCTTAGTGTACTTTGAAATATAAAAGTAATAATTATCATTGGAACAGTTATTCTAAATCTAAAAAGATAACTCCCATAGCAATATTTGTTTACTCAGAACATATTTTCACTTCCAATATATGTAAAATTTCTCACAAAGAACAGAACTCACAGTTTGAACAGAAACCTCAGTGTTTAAATCTCCACATTCAGTAAAATAAACGCTACATAGTAGGTTGTTCTGAATATAAATCACGCACTTAACTAAATGGGATATAATTTCTAACTTGTGTTAAAAGTGAAGAAATAATTTTTTATGTGAAGCCTTGTCCCAACTCAGTCAAGTGCAAGATTATCATATGATACAAATCAAACTCTACTAACACAGCACATTTGTCAGAGACTTGAAGGCAGATACATAACTACAGCTGGGGAACTGGATGTCCTTCAGCTAGGGTGTAATGAAAGAAAAAAGCGTATCATAGATCAGGTCCCAGTTTTAATTACTTCATTGATGACAATGCCTTACTTTATTTATTGAAAAATGTTTCTTCCACTGAAAATACACTTCTAATTTTATAATGCAAGACAGTAGGGGAAAAAATAGGAGCCCATGTAAAAAAAAAAAATCCACTCTTAGAATCTGAAGTTATTGATCAGATATGCAATGACTTTTTTCTGCTGTGATGATAATCAAATCTTTTTTCTTAAGTACTGACTTGCCAATTTATCTTTGATAACTGATTCAGAAAGATAAATGAACCTTGTGACTTTACATATGAGAATATGTACATATGTATATATATATTCTAAGAAGTTATGTCCCATGATCTGACCCATACTTCTGATTTAAAATATAACTAAATTCTCTCAATAAAACAGTACTAATTTTAAGTTTTAAACTGAAATCACCCTTTTACCACACTGTTCTCATTCTCTTTACTTTTTATTTTTACATTATTTCTATAAATACTAAAAAAAAACCCCAAAATCCCCAATCTTGAAACCAACTTACATTAGAGGTCTGAGGTTAGTTTATAACTTTTAAAATATTTTGTTAAAATGTAAAAAACCTGAAATTACAAACAAAAAAATTTATAATTTTACAGTATATATAGAATTTTTTTTAAAAAAATATTCTGAACTGTTTTTATATAAGTAATCAAATGTTATTTTTTTAAATGAAACTCCTTTACAGGCTAGAGGAGGATATGTGGTATTGCCCCATTAGAAATCAATACACATTTCATTTTTTTATGCTGGTACTTCAACTATTTCAAAGTAGTCATTTGGTAGAATCACATAACCTCTTTCTGATACGTCGTCTTTCTCTTTCTGGAAGTGAACAACCTCCTTTAATTTTTCAAGCTGCCGTTCTTGCCTTCTGCATCGCTGCTGTGCGGTCTTGAGCTTCTTTCTGAGTTTTTCAACTTGCTGTTCTAGCTGATGAATCCTTTTCCGCTGGTGCATTGTATCCTCCACAGTATAGTTGTGGTCACAGAAAACTGAGAGATTAACAGGGGTCTGAAGAGGCGGCATTAGTAATCCAATAGCAGCATCAACCTGGGAAACAGGAGGCGGTAAAGGAGGTGGGGGAAGCTGTTCCTGTGGCTCCAGAAGATCTTCTTTCTAAAACAAAAATACAAAGTATGTTTGAATTTAGTAACTAAAAACAGTTTAAAAGAATCTGTGGACTGACCAGGCGCAGTGGCTCATGCCTATAATCCTAGTACTTTTGTGAGGAAGAGGTGGGCGGATCACCTGAGGTCAGGAGTTTGAGACCAGCCTGGCCAACATGGTGAAACCCTGTCTCTGCTAAAAATACAAAAATTAGCCAGATGTGGTGGTGCACGCCTATAATCCCAGCTACTTGGGCGGCTGAGGCAAGAGAATTGCTTGAAACTGGGAGGCGGAGGTTGCAGTGAGCCAAGATCATGTCACTGCACTCCAGCCTGGGCAACAAAGACTTTGTCTCCAAAAAATAAATAAATAAATAAATAATAAAAGAATCTGTGGAATTTAAGAAATACTGACTTTTTTTGGGAATCAGTGGTATAGAAACATTCCAAAATGAGAAAACAGTTTCAGTTTGAATAAACTTTTCTACCTGAAGTAGAGGGACGGTGCAGGAAAGAGACAAAATGAATCATCAGATCTAATTAAATATTAAGCACTGAGGAGAAAAAAATGCTTTGAAACTAAACTGTCACTGATAAAGAAAACCCAAAACTTATCAATATATAACTGGCAGTACAGAGTGGTTTTTAACTAAGTTACAAAGCTGGACTAAGTTTCTTAGTGTGAGGATATTTATCTTTAATAAACTGCATTTTGTGTTTTCAGAAGTGTATCACTGTTAACTACAAGGTTCCAGGCACATTTATTCTCTTAACACTAACTCAATTTTCCACATTTTAATCAATGAACACATCAGTTTGATAAACAAAAAGCAACCCAATATTTTAAAATGCATATTACCTTGTCATGTGGCTCAGTACAAAGAAATATTGTGGGCACAGCATTCTCTTTCAGTAACTTGTTGTTGCACTCTCTCTTAAAGCAGTCTGGAGTAAAGTGCTCTGAACAAATACTGCTATACTTGGTGGGTTTAAAGTTTTTTCTTCTGACAGCTGCCTCCCATTCTTTACAAAGACTGGGTCGAGTAAGAGGAAACCTAAGAAGAAGGCATAATTCAATTATCTGTCCTGATTTTTTAAATAAATAAAGGCACCCAAACTTTCCAGCTTAGGAAATATCTTACATTGGTATTAAAGATGTTACAATTGTATTATCCTATTGGATTAAAGATTAGCTCTAGTTATCTATTTATCTCATTTATTAATTTTTTAAAAATTTTTTTGAGATGCCGTCTTGCTCTGTTGTTAGGCTGGAGTGCAGTGGTGCAATCTCGGCTCACTGCGTCTCCGCCTCCCAGGTTCAAGCGATTCTCCTGCCTCAGCCTCCCAAGTAGCTGGGACTCAGGCGTGCGCCACCACGCCCAGCTAAGTTTTGTACTTTTAGTAGAGATGGGCTTTCACCATGTTGGCCAGGATGGATTCGATTTCTTGACCTTGTGATCTGCCCGCCTTGGCCTCCCAAAGTGCTCGAATTACATGCGTGAGCCACTGTGCCTGGCCCTCATTCATTAACGTTTAACTTTTTATACTGAGTTCACCAAAAGATTCAGGTAAAATACATACTATAGAGTAAATGTGCCCACGGCTCATGCCTGTAATCCCAGCACTTGGGAGGCCACTGTCCGAGGGACTACTTAAGTCCAAGAGTTCGAGACTAGCCTGGGCAACACGGCAAAACCCTGTCTCTACAAAAGACACAAAAATTAGCTGGGCATGGTGGTATGTGCCCAGGTACTCAGGAGGCTGAGACTGAGGTGGAAGGACTGCTCGAGCCTGGGAGGTCAAGGCTGCGGTGAGCTGAGATCATTCCACTGCACTCCAGCCTGGGTGACAGAGCCATACCGTCTCAAAAAGAAAAAAATAACCTGTATTCATATTTTTTACCAGTAATTTTCTGTGTGCTGCACAGAGAGACAAAGATTGCACATTTGTATCTGCGTACTGGGAAAAAGGGGCTTCTAGTTCTCTTAGCATCAGTCTGACAAATATGAATAGGCTAAATTTGAATTAAAGGCAGATAATAACGAAAGAATTTATTTTCTAATCAACTGGGATGTCCATTAGGCCCAGGTAAACGGGGATAGTGAGAGTTTACATTTATTGTGGTAATTTTACTCTTCCAAGTTAAGAATTTGGTAAACTGGGGGGATTAGAAAGAAAAAGGGAAGGGAATTTCAAATTTATGTTTCACAGTCTCTCTTCCATGTACGATATGCTAGAGCCTGACTCTGCTAGTAAGAGATCTTTATGACAGTCCCTTTTCTTTGTACGACATAGCACTCTCCGCTGCCACTATGTAGAGGGTGGGAGAAGTGGTACTCCTAGAAAATCTCAGCTGGGGCTGGGCATGGCCTGTAATCAGGCCTGTAATCCCAGCACTTTGGGAGGCTGAGGAGGGCGGATCAGGAGGTCGAAGTATGGAGACCATCCTGGCCAACATGGTGAAACCCTGTCTCTACTAAAAATACAAAAATTAGCTGGGCGTGGTGGTGCACACCTGTAGTCCCAGCTACTTGGGAGGCTGAGGCAGGAGAATCACTTGAACTCGGGAGGCAGAGGTTGCACTGAGCTGAGATCGTGCCACTGCACTCTAGCCTGGTGACAGAGCAAGACTCCATCTCAAAAAAAAAAAAAAAAAAAAAAGAAAGAAAATCTCAACTGGAACGGCCTCTATAAGTATAAACTAGGGTAGCATTTGCTGGTAAAATTCAGTACCTATGGCCTCCTGGCTCTGTAAGTATAAACTATGGTAGCATTTGCTGGTAAAATTCAGTACCTAGGGCCTCCTGGCTCAAGGACAACAAATTTACAGCTGTTTGTGAGATTCTCTTAAGATCTTTCCCATCTACTCTCCCTAAACCTGCTATTTTAGATAAGGGATAAGATGCAGGTTAGCCCTTCTTTTGATTCAATCCATATCTGCTTAACATCTAGCAGAAACAGTTGTATCTTTTTTTTTTTTTTTTTTTTTTTTTGAGATGGAGTCTCACTCTGTTACCCAAGCTGGAGTGCAGGGCAAGATCTCAGCTCACTGCAACCTCCATATCCCAGGTTCAAGTGATTCCCCTACCTCAGCCTCCCAAGTAGCTAAGATTACAGGCGTACGCCTGTATTTTGTATTTTTAGTAGAGACGGGATTTTGCCATGTTGGCCAGGCTGGTCTCGAACTCCTGACGTCAGGTGATCCGCCCACCTTGGCCTCCCCAAGTGCTGGGAATTACAGGCATGAGCCATCGTGCCTCGACAAAAACAGTTATTTCCGACGTGTGAATACCCTCTTTAAACTAGTTTCCAGTGCCAATGAAACATTTTCCATAATTTTAGATTCCTTCTGCCAAGCCATCAGAAATGTGGGTGGGGAGCTGGGCATGTAATCCTGTTACCATCACCTGACCTTTCCCTACATTTAGAAAGAACATGTTTACAGAAATTCCAATTAAATCAAGAGATAATATTAGGATATCCTGAACTGAATCCTCTAAGTGTTCTATCCCCTTCTCCAAGGGGTAACATTATTACTCTGGAGACCTCTCTATGTTCTACACACTCTTATTTCTATAGGGTCCATCTCACATGATATCAAACATATTTAAAAAATGCATGGACACTCCCCTAGTAAACACAGATGGCCCCACAGCAAAAAAATAAATTAACTGAAAAGATATTTAACATTTTGCTTTTGTAATTATTTACCTAATTATAAAAGATAATTAGCTAATTACCTATGGCTAATCTGTATAGTTTACCCCTGGATCTGATTTCTTACCTATCATCTGCGTATAGCTGTCAGGAATTCTTGCAAAGAAAACTTAACATAAATGTAATTAAAATTTGTAAACAAATTCAGCTGAATGAAAATGTTATGTCACATTTTACAAGCGTTTATCATAAGTAATTACAACTCTGCACTTTTTTCCTATTTTCAAGAGAATATTTTTGATCCTATCACTTAACTGTGCTACCTACTGGATAAGACAGCTCTGAAAGCTGTGGGGCAGTTTCTTTCGAAAGAGCTTTCTCTATGCACAGGTAATGCCATAATAAATAAAGATCCGTGTGAGTCATTTTATTATGATCCATGTTGTAACTGTCCATATTATCATTATTGTGTGCTGAAAAGATAACGATTTATCTCGGCAGTACCTGAAGCTTTCTCCAAAATACAGGGTCCTTAAAGCTTAGTTCCTAGAGATTGGGGGCAAAAATTCTCCCTGATTTCCCAGCCAAAAAACCCTTAATTGCTACGATGCTGGCCTCCCATCCACGGCAAGGGCGAAAAGTAGTGATTTCTTCGTTTAAAGGCCTTTGTTTCTATTTTAAATTTACCCCTAAGACCATATTAAAACACCTGGCTGCTCTGTGACCCTGGTGGTGGCAAAACCCGCGCCACCCTAGGCATCGCCCGTGGGCTCCGAACGCGTCAACCCAGGCCGTGAGCGAAGCCTGCAACCAGGGCCTGTTCCAGGAGCGCGAGAAACGGCTGCCGCGGCGACGCGCGCCGAGAACGCGCGATCGGGCGGCGGTTCCCAGCGGGACGCGGTGGGAAACGCCCGACACGGCCGGCCCCAGACCCCACCCGCCCCTCGCGCGGACACGCGCCTGGCTCCGCCCCCGGCCCCGCCGGCCGCGCGCCCCCACCCCGGCTGAGACCGGCCCCGCGAGGCGCGCAGGGTCCTCACTTGTGGAAAGAAACGGGCTTGTCCTTGTCGTAGCGGTTCTTGCAGCCGTAGGCGGAGCAGGACTGCACCATCCTTCCGGTCCTCAGGCACTTCACTTCTGCCGCCGCAGAAGGCAGGGGAAGCTGTTCTCAGTGTCGCTGCGCTCGGTTGGATTCCCTCGCTTCTTTTGTAGCTTTGGCCAACAGTTACAGTGATGGTGGCCTCCCTCGGGGGTGACTAGTGTGCCCGTTTTGTTGTTTGCATTAGCAGAAGGACCACAGCCATCGCCCGTCTCCCATCTCCAAGATGGCGGAGGCAGCTTCAACCTCACCTCTCGCGAGGGGTGCGTCCCACTGTCTCTGATTAGCCCCGAGGTCAGAGGTAACGTTTCCTGGGAAGCTAACTATTGGCTGAGGCCAGGTGTTTCCGGCGGTGGCTTCAGAGTTGCCGAAGTGGGCGGAGCCCTGAGCTTCCGGCAGGCAGGAAGGAACTGCTTGTGGGGGGAGGAGGCGCGGCGGGAGGCCGGATTCCTGGGGCATCCTCCAGCCCCGGGCTGTTCCCGTGGGTTAATTGATGCGGACCTTTTCTGGGGCAGCTTACAGTAGGGAACAACTAGGGCCTCTTGGAGAACAGGTGTAAAGCCGAGGTCGTTGGCTGATTGCGCCCATTTCTTTAAAAGGGCGGACACAGATGGTGTATGATTAATAAAATTGTGGAACCTTTTCCCAGAGTGCTAATCTTTATCCCATTACCTGTGTCTTCAGGTATCACAAGTTTCTGTGAGAGCCAACGTGACAGATTTTTAGCAATGAAAAAAGACACACTCGCCAAATCATCTCAATTGCCAACGCAGAAGCGTTTTATATATATGTATGTATATGTATGTATATATGTGTGTATGTATATATGTGTGTGTGTATGTATATATATATATATATATGTAATTTTTTAAATAAATAGAGGCGTTGTCTCCCCACGTTGCCCAGGTCAGTCTGGAACTCGAGCTCAAGGGATCCTCCCATCTCGACCTCCCCATGGGTTGGGATTACAGGAGTTGAGCCACCAGGCTGTCCCTCCCCAGAAGCTTTTCTGAAGGCTCTCCATTGCTGTGATTTCCATGTGCTGTGTTGCAAATAGCGAACTGCTGCAGCAATTTTCACACCTGAGAGAGAATATGTTAGAGGGGTTCGAACTAGAGCGACTCTGTGTTGAGTGAGGGCTAGGAAAATGAGGCTGGGACTTGCTGGGCTGCATTCCCGGGAAGTTAGGTATTCCTAGCCTCTAGATGTGTATACCATTAAGGCAACAGATTGATAATGTTTACTACACAGACCCAGACTACCAAGTGTCCAGATATCCCGATATTTTGAGAACAGAAGCATTCCTAATTTTGCTTTAAAGATAATAATATTGGGCTGGGCACAGTGCCTCACGCCTGTAATCCCAGCACTTTGGAAGGCCGAGGCGGGCGGATCACTTGAGGTCAGGAGTTCAAGACTAGCCTGGTCAACATGGTGAAAACGTCTCTACTAAAAATACAAAAATTAACCGGGTGTGGTGGCACATGCCCTCGAATTTCAGCTACTCTGGAGGCTGAGGCAGGATAATCGCTTGAATCCGGGAGGCGGGGGTTGCAGTGAGCCGTGCTTGCACCACTGCACTCCAGCCTGGGCGACAGAGTAAGACTCTGTCTCATAAATAAAGATAATATCGATTCTTACATAATATAGTAATTAATCCTTTATCACAAACCCTTGTAGCAAAGCACATCTCCCCATGATCTTTTTTTATCCTATATATAAACTAAGTGTTGTACTTAGGGTGGACGCGTTCCTCCTCTTACTTTCGGGAATGCCCTACTCTGTCTGTGGAGTAGCTGTACTTTCACCACTTTACGTTCTTAATAAACTTGCTTTTGCTTTGTACTGTGGACTTGCCCTGAATTCTGTCTTGCGTGAGATCCAAGAACCCTGTCTTGGGGTCTGGATTGGGACCCCTTTCCTGTAACAGTTTTACTTCATTCCCTGCTCCTTTTCTTTATATAGATCTGAGCCAGGCAGACCTGGAGAGCGGACTGTTGAGTAATCCCTTGGCCCTTATTCTCTACCTTTCCTGCCCTTTTAAATGTTGCTGTTTCCCCAGGGTTCCATCTTCTGCCCTCCTCTAACTCCTAAACACCCTGCTCCTTAAACTGAACCAAATACCATAATTCTCTCATCTTTTATTTCCTTTGTATATCCGTTCTGCCTTTGGGATTATCATCTGTGAATTATCATCTGTGAATTATCTGTTCAACAGTTGTCTAAACCAGAAACCTTGGAGTCATCTTGGATTTTTTTTGTCACCCATAAAACCCGTTGATGACCAGGTTAATTTTGTAGACTAAATAAATAAATGCCCCTTAAATCCATCCCTCTTCATGTCTCCTCACTGTTGTTGTTGTTTTTTTTTTTGTTTTTTTTTTTGAGAGGGAGTCTCACTCTGTCGCTCAGTCTGGAGTGCAGTGGCACAATCTCAGTTCACTGCAACCTCCGCCTCCTGGGTTCAAGCGATTATCCCGCCTCAGCCTCCTAAGTAGCTGGGATTACAGGCACCCGCCACCATGCCTGGCTAATTTTTGTATTTTTGTAGAGATGGGGTTTCACCATGTTGGCCAGGCTGGACTCGAACTCCTGACCTCAGGTGATACGCCTGCCTCGGCCTCCCAAAGTGTTGGGATTACAGGCGTGAGCCACTGCGCCCAACCCTCACTGTTCTTTAATTATTTTTATTATTATATTTAACAGAGATGAGGTCTCACTGTGTTGCCCAGGCTGGTCTCAAACTCCTGGGTTTAAGCTATCTGTCAGCCAGGGCCTCCCAAAGTCCTGGGACTACAGGCGTGAGCCACGGCACCTGGCCTCCTCACTGTTCTTGACCAAGCTCTCATGGTCTTAACCTTGCAGCAACCCCTTAACTATCCTAGTCTCCAGTTTTACCTCTCTCCATTCTATCTTCTATAGAAGGGTGGTGCATGCCTGCCACGCCCTTGCTCATATCCTTCCAAGGCTACCTGCTGTACTGAATAAAATCCAAACTTCTTATGGTGAATTATAAAGCTCTTTAAGACCAAGTACTTCTACTCTTCCACCATCATCTCCCTCCACTTGTCTTTACCTTTGTTCCGGCTTTATGTCTTAGAGGGTAGGCTCTTTTGTGGTTTCTTTAAATAGGCTGTTTTCCTTGGCTTGAAATGCCCATCCCTGACCTGTCCACCCTTAAGATGTGGCTTAATGGCCTGGTGCAGTGGCTCACGCCTGTAATCCCAGCACTTTGGGAGGCTGAGGCGGGTGGATCACATGAGCCCAGGTGTTCAAGGCCAGCCTGGGCAACATAGTGAGACCCTGTCTCTACAAAAAAAATACAAAAATTAGCCAGGCATGTTGGCACACACCTGTAGTCCCAGATACTTGGGAGGCTGAGTTGAGAGGATTCCTTGAACCCAGAAGGTTGAGGCTGCAGTGAGCTGTGGTCATGCCTTTGTACTCCAGCCTGAGCAAACAGAATGAGACCCTGTCTCAAACAAGCAAACCAACAGTTACCATGAGCTGGGTGTCAGGGCTCAGGAGGCTGAGGCAGGGACTCAAGGCAGCCTGGACAGCAGAGTGAGACCCTGTTTCTAAAAAGTTGTTTTTAATTGGTCAGGTATGGTGGTGCATGCCTGTAGTTCCAGCTACTTGGGAGGCTGAGGCAAGGAGGATCCCTTGAGTCCAGGAGTCTGAGGCTGCTGGAGTGTGAGCTATGATCATGACAGTGAGATCCCATCTCTAAATTTTATACACATACACATACACACACAGATATGTATTGCTAAAAAAAAAAGCTAATGATCACCTGAGCCTTCAGCAAATGGTGATCTTTTTGTTGATGGAGAGTCTTGCCTTGATGTTGATGGCTGCTGACTGATCATGGTTGCTGAAGGTTGAGGTGGCTGTGGCAAGTTCTTAAAATGAGACAACAATGAAGTTTGCTGCATCGATTGACTCTTCCTTTCATTAAATATTTCTCTGTAGCAAGTAATGCTGTTTAATAGCATTTTGGTCACAGTAGAACTTCTTTAAGAATTGGAGTTAATCCTCTCAAACCCTGCCACTGCTTTATCAACTAGGTTTATTTAATATTCAAAATATTCTAAATCCGTTGTTGTCATTTCAACAATGTTCACAGCATCTTTGCCAGAAGTAGATTCCATCTTCATAAACTACTTTATTTGCTCATCTATAAGAAGCAACTCCTCATCTGTTCAAGTTTTATCATGAAATTGCAGCAACTCAGTCACATCTTCAGGATCCACTTTTAATTCTAGTTCTCTTGTTGTTTCTATCACACTTGCAGTGACTTCTTCCACCAAAGTCTTGAACAACTCAAAGCCATTCATGAGGGCTGGAGTCAATTTCTGCCAAACTCCTGTTAATGTTGATATTTTTCCTCCCATGAATTATTGATGTTCTTCAGGGCATCTAGAATGATGAATCCTTTCCAGAAGGTTTTCTACTGACTTTGCCCAGATCCATCAGAGGAGTCACTATCTATGGCAGCTATAGGCTTACAAAATTTATTTCATAGGTAATAAAACTTGGAAGTCAAAATACTCCTTGATTTATGGGGCTGCAGAATGGATGTTGTGTTACAGGCATGAAAACAACATTCATCTCCTTGTACATCTCCATTAGAGCTCTTGGGTGACCAGGTGCATTGTCAATGAGCAGTATTATTTTGAAAGGAATTTTTTTTTCTGAGCAGTAGGTGTAACAATGGACTTAAAATATTAAGTGAACCATGCTGTAAACAGATGTGCTGTCATCCAGGCTTTATTATTCCATTTATTGAGCACAGGCAGAGTAGATTTACCATTGTTCTTAAGACCAATAGGATTTTTGAAATGGTAAGTGAGCATTGGCTTCAACTTAAAGTCATCAGTTGCATCAGCCCCTAACAAGGGAGTCAGCCAGTCCTGTGACACTTTGAAGCCAAGCACTGAATTCTCCTTCCTGGCTACTAAAAGTCCTAGATGGCATCTTCTTCCAATAGAAGCCATTCTATCTACATTGAAAATCTGCTGTTAGTGTAGCCACCTTCATTAATTATCTGAGCTGGATCTTCTGGAGAACTCACTGCAGCTTCTCCATCAGCACTTGCTGCTTCACTTTGCACTTTTATATTATGGAGATGGCTTCTTGTCTTAAACCTCCTGAACCGACCTCTGCTAGCTTACAACTTTGTTCTGCAGTTTCCTCACCTCTCTCAGCCTTCACAAAATTGAACAGAGTTGGGGGGGATTTGGTTTAAGGGAAGACCATTTAAACTTTTTTTCTTTTGAGACTGAGTCTCGCTCTGTAGCCCAGGCTGGAGTGCAGTGGCGCAATCTCTGCTCACTGCAACCCCCACCTCCCAGGTTAAAGCGATTCTCCTGCCTCAGCCACCCATGTAGCTGGGATTATAGGCGCGCACCACCACACCCAGCTAATTTTTATATTTTTAGTAGAGACTGGGTTTCACCATGTAGGCCAGGCTGGTCTCGAACTCCTGACCTGAAGTGATCCTCCCACTTTGGCTTCCCAAAGTGCTGGGATTACAGGTGTGAGCCATGGCACCCAGCCCATTTAAACTTTCTCCATATCAGCATTAAGGCTGCTTAGCTTTTTTATTATTCGTGTGTTCACTGGAATAGCACTTCTAATTTCCTTCAAGAATTTTTCCTTTATGCCAGGCACGTTTGCTCACACCTGTAATCCCAGCACTTTGGGAGGCTGAGGTGGGCGGATCACGAGGTCAGGAGATCGAGACCATCCTGGCTAACACAGTGCAACCCCATCTCTACTAAAAATACAAAAAAAAAAAAAAAAAACCCAAAAAATTAGCTGGGCATGGTGGTGGGCACCTGTAGTTCCAGCTACTCAGGAGGCTGAGGCAGGAGAATGGCATGAACCCGGGAGGCGGAGGTTGCAGTGAGCCAAGATAGCGCCACTGCACTCCAGCCTGGGCGACAGAGTGAGACTCTGTCTCAAAAAAAAAATTTTTTTTCCTTTACATTCACAACTTGGCTGTTTGGCACAAGAGGCCTAGCTCTCAGCCTGTCGTGCCTTTCAACATGCCTTCCTCACTACACTTGATCATTTCTACCTTATGATTGAAAGTAAGAATCTTAGCAAGGACTTAGTGGGCATTGGTATGGTTACTAATTGGCCTAATTTCAATGTTGTTGTGTCTCAGGCAATAGGGAGGCCCAAGGAGAGCGAGAGAGACTAGGGAATGGCCAGTCAGTGGTGAGTGAGAACACATACAACTTGTATCAATTAAGCTCACCATAAGTGGGTGCGGTTTGTAGCACTCCAAAACAAAGATCAGTAGTAACATTAAAGATCACTGATCACGGATCACCATAACAGCTATAATAATAATGAGAAAGTTTGCAATATTGCGAGAATTACCAAAATGTGACAGAGACATGACTTGAGTACGTGCTGCTGGAAAAATGGTGCCAATGGACTTGCTCGAAGCCGCGATGCCACAAACATTCAATTTGTAAAAAGTACAATATCTGCAAAAATCAATAAAGCAAATTACAATAAAATGAGGTCTGCCATTACCAAAATGCCAGAATAGTAGTTTATTAGCATTACCATGGATATTGAGACTGCTGGGAATATCTCTGAGGTCCTCTGTGCCTGTGTCTGATAAAGGTCAGAATGGATAACATTGTGAACTGAGAAAGTGTATTTCAACTTAGAGTTCCCTGATATTGTTTTCTCATTCATTGATTCAACAAATAGTTACTGACTATGCTGCACGCATAGTTCTGGGGGCTTGGGATATGTCAGTGAAGGAGATTTCTGCCCTCAGGGAGCTAATGTTCTCAAAGACATTAGGGAGGCAGATAGCAAACACGTGACCACAGAGTATGTTAGCCGGTGAGAGGTGCTCTGTGGGCTGAGGGAGTTGCAAGTTTCCTTATGGTGGACAGGACAGGCCTAACAGAGGAAATGGCTATTGTGCGAAGATCTGGAGTTGGTGAGAGTTGGCTGTGAGGATGCCCGGCGGAGGAGCCTAGCAGTCAGAGGGACTGGCCAGGGCAGAGCTCCTGAGGCTGGGCGTCTTCAGCCTGCTCAAAGGACAGCAAGGAGGGCTGGATGGCTGGAGCAGAGTGAGCTGTGGGGACAAATGTGAGATGAGGTTAGAGAGGAAATGAGCAACCAAGGTCACATGGGGCCTTGCAGGCTGGCGTGAGGACTTTACCTTTACTCTGTGGGAAAGGGAGAGCAGGCTTTCCAGCAGAGTCACACTTGAGATGATCATCGGGCTGCGTTGCATGTAGGGAGCCAGGCACTTGGTGCCTGGGAGACTGCCTGGAAGGTCGCTGTGATCCTTTAGGTGAGAAGTGAGGGTGGCTTAGACCTGGGCGGCAGCCATGACTGAGTAAGAAGTGATCTTTCCTTGTCTTCTGCCCTTTCCTGTCTTTCCCTTGCTTTATTTATTAATCTTTAATGTGTTGAGCACTACTGTGGTGGCAGGCATAATGGTACATCTGTGAATATCTGGGTGGACAAAACTAACATTGTCTCTGTTTTCATAGAGCTTGTGTTCTAGTGAGAAGCAGACAGACAATGGAAATGTCAATATGATGATGCTGTGCTGAGATGTCTGAATGCCTCAGAGTGCCCTGGGGTAAGGGGAGGGGAGGGTCACTGCCTACTTTTGCACTACTTTTGCACTGCCTACTTTTGGGTAGTCTGAGTGAGGAGGGAACATTTAACCTGAGAACCAAAGGATGGAAACACAGTCTAGTAACGTGAAGCATAAACGTGGTGAGGCTGAAGGGAGCATTCGGTCATGGGGTATATGCTGAGGCCCTGACCTGCATCCGACTGTACAGGCAGGAGAGTTCTGTGTGTCCAGGCATGCAACAGCCTCTTGATGGGTCTGCTCACTTGCACGGCTGCTCTTCTCTGATGAACCCTACACACGGTAGTCAGAATGACCTTTTAAAAATGTTTGTTAGATCATGTCTTCCCACTGCACGTAAATCCAAATCAACAGCCTTCCTGCTTCTTCAACCTCACTTCATGCCCTCCTTCCAGCTCCCTGGGCTCTACCACCACAGCCCCCATTGGGCTCCTGGACACACAGAACTCTCCTTGGACTGCGGTGGTGGCAGAGGGTATAGAGTGATAGGATTCGACATGTCAATGGTAGAAATGCCAGGGCTTGTTGATAGATGGTTATAAGAGTAAGAGAGGAGGCTGGGTGCAGTGGCTCACACCTGTAATCTCAGCAATTTGGGAGGCCGGGACTGGCGGATTACCTGAGATCAGGAGTTCCAGACCAGCCTGGCCAGGGTTTAGTAGAAACCCTGTCTCTACTAAAAATAGAAAAATTAGTTGGGTGTGGTGGTGGGCATCTGTAGTCCCAGCTACTCGGGAGACTGAGGCAGGAGAATCGCTTGAGCCCAGGAAGCGGAGGTTGCAGTGAGCCGAGATTGTGCCATTGCACTCCAGCCTGGGTGACAGAGTGAGACTCCGTCTCAAAAAAAAAAAAAAAAGAAAGAAAAAGAAAGAACAAGAGAAGGATTCAGATATTAACACCGAATTAAGCTTGCACCTCTGGCTTGAGCATTTTGAGATGGGATCTCCTGTCACTCAGGCTGGACTGCAGTGGTGCAACCCACAAGGCTCACCACAGCCTTCACTTCTGGGCCCAAGTGATCCTCCCACTTCAGCTCTGGAGTAGCTAGGACCACAGGCATGCACCACCACGTCTGGCTAATTTTATTTGTAGAGACGGGGGTCTCACTATGTTGCTCAGACTGGTCTCAAACTCCTGGACTCAAGTGATCCTCCTGCCTCGGACTCCCAAAGTGCTGGGATGATAGGTGTGAGCCACCACACTGTCCTCGCTTGAGCATTTAAATGGATGGATGGTGGTTCCTTTTACTGAGAGTCAAACGGCCTTTAATAAAAAGAAGGGAGCTATTTCTGCCAGCAAAGTAAAGGCCTTGGCAGGGGAGAAGTGGTTTAGGAAAACTAGGTTGTCACCTGGGAGGTGCAGGAATATCAGAAGAGAATGAACGTTTAAGACAGTTCAGAGAAGCTGGGGGCACAAGCCACTCAAGCAGCACCCAAGGATCACCTGCCAGCAGGGTGCCCTCTTGGTGTCTATGATCATTAATCCATCTAGAATGAAACTGGTCAATGTGGTGTCCCTCAGCCAAGTTCTCTTCCTTGTTCCCTTTTCTTGTTTCCTGTCTTCCAGTGATCCATAACTTGGAAATGAAATATATACTTTTATTACCTGTTGAATATAATCCTTATATTTCCTTATTTCAAAGTGGTAAACTTATCATTGGTATGGTGAATTACATATAATTTATTTATTCATTTATTTTTTTTTAATTTTTGAGATGGAGTCTCACTCTGTCACCCAGGCTGGAGTGCAATGGCATGATCTCAGCTCACTGCAACCTCTGCCTTCCAGGTTCAAGCGATTCTCCTGTCTCAGCCTCCCAAGTAGCTGGGACTACAGGTGCGTGCCACCACACCTGGCTAATTTTTGTATTTTAGTAGAGACGGGGTTTCACTATGTTGGCCAGGCTGGTCTCAAACTCCTGACCTTGTGATCTGCCCGCCTTGGCCTCCCAAAATGCTGGGATTACAGGTGTGAGCCACTGCGTCCAGCAGAATTTCATATAATTTAAAACAAAATTTGTTGCATTGAACTGAATGTTGAATTTTTCTTTGTAAAACATCTCCGTGACTAAATTTTCACTGTGGTCTGCAAATTAATTTATTTGCTTAATAGAAAAATAATTTTCAGCACTGGGCATGGTGGTTCACACCTGTAATCCCAGCACTTTGGAAGGCTGAGCCTGGGAGTTTTAGACCAGCCTGGGCAACACAGCCAGACCATGTATCTACAAACTTTTTTTTTTTTTTTTTTAATTAGCCAGGTGTGATGGCACACATCTATAGTCCCAGCTACTTGGGAGGCTGAGACAGGAGGATCACTGGAGCCCAGGAATTCGAGGCTGCAGTCAGCTATGATTGTAACACTGCACTCCAACCTGGGCAAGAGTGAGACCCTGTCTCTGACCAAAAAACAAACACACAAACAAAATAAAAAACCTAACAAAATTAATTAGAAATGTGATGAGATATTGGATGTCCATTAGTGATAAAGCCGTTGCAACCATTATACTGAATGCTCTTTCAGGAGTTCTGAAAGCAAACAACTGTTAAATAAACAGAAAAATAACACCTTTAAAATGTTTTAGATATGTTGCTTTTATTCAAAAGAATAAAATGCTTGACAAACTCTTTAATCACAAGGTTTGAACCAAACCACCAGTCTTCTACAACAACTCTGTGAGGTAGGTATCTGCATAGCCACAAGGGATCCACATAGTCCTTTCTTCCCTTGTACCTCTCAAACACTGAGAATTGTAGTAGTTGAAACCACTGTTCTAGTGGGCAGTTAGAACAGTTGTTTTCCCCGTCTTGTTCCCCACAGAGCTGCCCAAGTTATTATCTGCTCCTGGGGTTGGACCATCTGTTTTATGACAGTTATGATATTGTTGTTTAAAAAAAATCCAAATTGTTACTTTGATTTATATGATCTAACTCTGAATCACGGAAGTATTACTATGATGTTCAAAACTCTGATTGACTCTACTTGCTTTAAAAACTCTCAGATCCCTTCTGCATTTATCATCAGAGATCGGTAAAGATGACAACAAGCAGGTCTAAAGTTCTGAGATGTTAGCACATACCCTTTTCACAATTTAGGAAGCTTTAAGATCATTTAGTATTTTTTTATGTTACAAAATTTGGTACAATACACCTCTTTCAGGAAAGTCTTAGTAGTAACTCCAAATATTATAATTATTGTAACCAGAATTGTGACACTTGGAGCAGAATGCATGCACACAAAATAAAATCCTGTCAAAAAATGACATCACCATTCCCCCACACCAAATGTGTAATTGGTAGGAAATGCATTTCCAGTCTGGTACATGGCAGTGTGACAAACTCCTACTCACTCGCTTTTCAAGTTGGTGACTGCAGCTGAAATGTTTTTCTGTGATGTATGCCACCCTTTTACCTATTTGATTTGGAAGTGTAGAATTCGGATTCATGTCATCTCCACAGACCTTTCCTCTTAGGAGTGCCTAAGCTGTCTTACTCTGATGGAGGTATAATGTAGCACGAAAGACTTCCAAAGAACCAGTTTCTCTCTTGCTGTTCCTCTTAACAACTTTCACGTCTATCTAAACATTCTATGCAGGAGTCCTACTAAGAAATTTTGGTGTAATGCCACTTTGATCAGTTATTTGTTGTATGACTTCATTCAAAAACACTTTCATCAATAGCATGGGGATTGTATCTATGAAAGGGAAGTTGGTGTCCTGCGTTCCTCACAAAATTATCCAAAGGATAAAATGAAAAGTATGTGAGAAACCTGCTTTAATTATAATGTGCTATGTTTAAGCATTATTGTTTTTCTCTATGACAAGCAACAGCTCTGTCCTAGGTCCAAATTAGAAAAACACATATTGATATTTCATTCAGAATCTCATTAATTGGTAGCTGATCTGATTAGCTAGAGAGAATGTGACAGATTTTCTCCTTATCTCCCAGTCTGCATATAGTGAAGCTCACTAATAAATTAATGGATGATATTAATAGCAGTGATCTCAGATGACAATGCTAACACTGACTCCTGGGCATCCCCTCACATCCTGCTGTCATACATTCACTAATGAGCAACGCCAGCTGAAGTGAGTAAGATCTCCCAGTACCATGTGGTACTGAGTCTTCTCAGATACATTCACTTGTTTGGCTCAAGACATGAATCTGAGCTGTGTGCTGCCATCCTGAGACAGTATTATAAAAATTTCTGACAACAGAAAACTAACAAAATTTGTCCAATCTGTTGCTATAGCTAACCAGTAATTTCTTTTGTCAAATGTAAATACCGTTCCCAGTACCTTCCTATTGGCTTGATGCTCAAAGACACGAAGATTCACCTTCCTCAGAAATGCATCAGGCTACTCTGTGTTTGCAGCATCGCCCAGGTTCCTAAAACAATCTTCCCTTTACAAATTACTTTTATATCTACTACGAAAGGATGAGCTCTTGTTTAAATGTCTAACTGTGAACATCAAGTGTGCTGACTGGAGATAAATGTTTTTCATCTTTTTTTTTTTTTTTTTTGAGAGGGAGTCTCACTCTGTTGCCCAGGCTGGAGTGCAGTGGCGCAATCCACCTCCTGGGTTTACGCCATTCTTCTGCCTCAGCCTCCCGAGTAGCTGGGACTACAGGCGCCTGCCACCACGCCTGGCTAATTTTTTGTATTTTTAGTAGAGACGGGGTTTCACCATGTTAGCCAGGATGGTCCTGATCTCCTGACCTTGTGATCTACCCGCCTCAGCCTCCCAAAGTGCTAGGATTACAGGCGTGAGCCACCCCGCCCGGCCATGTTTTTCATCTTAATTCTTCTATTGATTAAAATGTGTTCTGTAAACTAGAATATGATATCGAAGTATGAAGTTCAAGTTTCTTCTTTCAGTTTCAGCTGATAGCAAATAATTAATTATACCAGAATGAAAAGGCAGAACTGCTCCAAATGCACAAAACTTAGCTAGCACTAAAAGAAATACTGAATTTTCCCCAATAGTATATAATATTTTATTGGAACAAAAATATTTAGATGAGTTTCACAGCTATATATTATCATATAGGTACCTGCTGAGAAGGATAAGATGGATAAACTGACATTTAACAATATTTTACTATACATCTAATTAATCTAAGTAATTCTGGGGAAAAGAAAAATATATAAAAGCATCCCTTTTTATATAATTCCATATTTTTTCCAGACAACATAGAATCAAGATACAACTGTAGATCATTATAATTCTAAACTTAATATTAGAACTTCAAACATGAAAATTCCAGTTATACCTAGGTATTTGTCAAATGATAATCAAATGTTTGTCTTATAGTGGTTTTATATTTGTGAGATAATACTCCATTGCTTCATTGCTTTATACTGCCATGGGTCCTTCTGTTTGATGTTCTACATTAGCTCAGATATCCTAGTAAACTCAGTTTTGTTTTCTTTTTCATCTAGTTAGCCTTTGGGTTATCACTTCTCGATACATAATAGAGATGTAGATAAGCAATAAAAAGATGACAAAGAAATCATCTAGAAAGCCTAGAATTCCAAACAAGGCTTCAGGTACAAAATCTAGAGGTGATATAAGATAGAAAAAAGCTCCCATTAAACAAAGTATTATCCTGATGCGAAACATCCAGAAAAGGCCCCCGACTGAAAACATTTCCCTGAATGCATGCCTCAGTAAAGTGGGTAGATCCATAATTCTCTCCATAATCTGGTAGAGGGAAAAACAAGTATTATGATTCAGCACCTAATGTGTCAGATTTCAAAATAATATAATTTTCTTACTATATGTAAACATTGTTAAGATGAATTAAGGAGTTACACATTAATTGAACATATTTTCTAATTATGTGTTGTATTTAAAAATAGCTCTTTGAATACTAGTTCTTACAGAATAGATCTTATTGCAGATAATTGAAAGGCAACTAAAGTGTCAACAAGCTTAAAATACGGGATATAGTAATGCAAAACTCAAGTAACATCTGATTTGAGTTAGTAAAATAAACCAAAGAACCTAGCGCGCAGGATTAGAGTCTGAGACTTGAGCTTAAGTCTCAGCTTTAAAGTCAGACAGATCTGGGTTTGAATTCAAAATCAATCACTTACTAGCCAGGTGATCTTAGGAACAGTTGCTTAACCTACTAGAGATAATTCAACAACTAACTGTGTATTTATGTGCAAGGACTGTTAAGAACGAAAAGGTTCCCTGGCAAGCGGACTAAAAATTCAAAAGAAAAAAATAACTAAAAGAGATACTGTGTATGAAAGACCTTTATAACTTGCCAGACAATATAGAAGTGATTATACATTAAAGACATAGGAACTTTGATGGCTTAAATAGTTTAAGAATAGCAGTGAAACTGATTCCTTCTGGTGAATCACTTCCTCTGGTCATTTCTCTGCTATGTTTAACAATCTGTGTAACAGTCATACACGCAAACTCTAGATAGGCGTTTTATGTAACAAGTGCCAAATAAGTTGAGAGGGAGATGGAGACAAAAACGCAAAGAACTGAGCAAGTGAGGAGAAAATAGTTTTTGAAACCCCCAGACTAAGAGAAAATCATCTTGTGACTCCTTTTGGAACAATGCTCACCGAAGTACAAGAATGGTTGTTTCATAATCACTTCCTATGTTCTGTGGAAGAACTAATATCTAAAGCAAAACAGCCTTACAGCTTTCACAAAGTTTATAGTAAATGACTTTAGATACTCTAACAAACAGCCAGCATGTCTTTTGAATACCCTTCTGTCCTTTTTCAGAGCTATTTTGTTCACTTGTAATACAGTATCATCATTTATACAAAATCTTTAATAATTAGACCAGAAATAATGAAATGGTTTAGTAAGAAATGTTTCTGCATAAACTTACTCCAACTTTGAAGGAGGCAGAATATTAAAGAGCTAAATGCCTTTTTTATATTATAATTTCATCACATACCAGGCTTTCTTACTCATTAAATATCTGACACAAAAAATAATAATTGAGTAATAGTATGCTTCACATTTTAAAAATAATGAAGGAAAAATTCTAAAGGCTGGATGCAGTGGCTCACACTGGTAATCCCAGCACTTTGGGAGGCCAAGGTGAGCAGATCGCTTGAAGCCAAGAGTTTTGAGATCAGCCTGGAAAGCAGGGTGAAACCCCGTCTCTACTAAAAATACAAAAATTAGCTGGGCATGGTGGCACACACCTGTAATCCCAGCTAGTCAGGTGGCTGAAATATGAGAACTGTTTGAACCCAGGAGACAGAGGTTGCAGTGAGCCGAGATCGCGCCATTGCATTCTGGCCTGGGCGACAGAGCGAGACTCTGTCTCAAAAAGAAAAGAAATGAAAAGAAAAATGTTAAATGACTTTATTAAAGTTTAGTGGTAGCTCTTAAATTTGAAACAGGTTGCATTTTTAAAGAACCATCCTACTGATGTCACCGGAGGATATGTAAAAAAAAAATTGCTGGGTCAAAATTGCAGAAGAGGCTCCCAAATAATTATGGAGGACAACATGATTGGATTAAGTTTTTTTTTTTCCTGCTCAATGAAAAATGGGTAAATCTACCCATTATCATCCATAACAGTTGAAATCTATGCCCTGAAATGTACACGACCTCACAGAACAAGGAACAATGGAGCATGAGCACATGTCTGTTTAACACTGAAGCATCTGAATAGCTTAATATATTCGGCTGGGAGCAGCAGTATCAATTCTTATCTTAACAGTAATTCATTTATTCAACACACATTAAGGCACCAAATTTGGCACTGTTGGAAACTCGGCAGTGGTAAATAAATAAAAATGGTCCTTACCCTTATGAAGCTTTTAGTTTACTGAGAGAAAGATAATGAACAAGAATTGAGTGCTGTCTATGATAAACGCCATGAAGGAAAGGTACAGAGGGCGCCACAGAGCAGGGAAAACTTCTCCAAGGAGGGTCTACTTAAGATAGTTGTCATTTAAAGACTGGGAAATCACCATAAGAGCAGAAGGACAAGCATTCCATGCAGAGGAAGTGTCAGGTGTGACAGCCTTAAGGTGGAAGGAGTTTGTGTGTGTGCTGAGAGCATAGAGCAGGGTGGCTGCAGGGTGGTGATTGAGGCGGTTAACAGAAATTTGGAGAGGGAGGGAGGACCAGATCATGTGGCGCCCTGTAAGCCACAGTAAGGAGTTGGAACATTCAAAGACATTGGGCCACAAGTGGTGGCTCATGCCTGTAATCCCACCACTTTGGGAGGCCGAGGTGGGAGGACCACTTGAGCCCAGGAGTTTGAGAACAGCCTGGCCAACATGGCGAAACCCCATCTCTACAAAAAATATAAAAATTAGCCGGGTTGTGGTGGCATGCACCTGTAGTCCCATCTACTTGGGAGGCTGAGGTGGGAGGAAGGCTTGAGCCCAGGAGGCAAACGTTGCAGCGAGCCAAGATTGCACCACCGCACTCGAGCCTGTCTCAAAACAAACAAACAAAATAGAAGTTTTCAAACACAAGAGCATCATGGTCTCATTTATGTCTAGAAAACATGTATCAGGCTGCTGTGGCAGGGAAAAAAGTAGAAGTGAGGAGGCCACTGTGGTTGCCGTGAGCAGAGATGACAGGGCTGGACCAGCACAATGTCTACAGTGATTGAAAGAAGTGGACACAGGCTGGGCACGGTGGCTCACACCTGTAATCCCAGCACTTTGGCAGTCTGAGGGGGTGGATTGCTTGAGCCCAGGAGTTCAAGGCCAGCCTGGGCAGCATGGCAAAACCCAGTCTCTATAAAAAATTAGCCGGGTGTGGTGATGCACCCCTGTGGTCCCAGCTACTTGGGAGGCTGAGGCGGCAGGATGGCCTGAGCTTGGAAGGTTGAGGCTGCAGTGAGCCGTGATCACACCACTGCACTCCAGCCTGGGAAAGAGTGAGAATCTGTCTCAAACAACAACAACAACACAGCCAAGACATTTTTGTTCTTTTTGAGACAAGGTCTCACTCGATCACCCAGGCTGGAGTGCAGTGATGTGATCCTGGCTCATTGCAACCTCTGCCTCCCGGGCTCAAGCAGTCCTCCCACCTCAGCCTCCCAAGTAGCTGAAACTACAGGTGCACACCACCGTGCCTGACTAATTTTTGTATTTTTTGGTAGAGACAAAGTCTTGCTAAGTTGCCCAGGCTGGTCTCAAACTCCTGAGCTCAAGTGATCTGCCTGCCTCAGTCTCCCAAAGTGCCAGGATTACAGGCATGAGCCACTGTGCCCAGCCAGCAAGAATATGTTGATGCAGTAAAAATAATAGGACACCCCAAAAATAGAAAGAAAAGGTAGGATTACTTATAGACCAGATGAGAGGAATGAAGAAGAGGAGGAAATCAAAACTGAGAAAAGAACAGACTATGTCAAGGAGGGAATCAGCTCAATACTCCACGTGTTAAGTTAGGGATGTCTGTGGAGCACCCACGCTGAAATGGAAGCGAAGCAGTTGGATCTACAGAGTCTGGAGCTCAGAGGAGAGGTCTGGGCTGTCCATATAAATTTGGATTTAGTACATTCTAGTTTTTGAAGTACTTATTCAGTTTTACATTTCTAAGAATGTGTTAGATTTTGATAAAACAAGAATGAGTCAGTAAAATGTGCTAGTTTTTGATTTATCAA
The DNA here is from genome assembly GCF_000001405.40 of Homo sapiens. NCBI lineage: Eukaryota > Metazoa > Chordata > Mammalia > Primates > Hominidae > Homo > Homo sapiens. The sequence goes on from NC_000008.11 coordinate 42,860,339, forward strand.
ATACTTCTAGGGTAAGGGGAAGAAAGGTTATCTGTACAGTGTTCTGCTTTTAAATAGCTAAGATGACATATAAACATATCCCTCCAAACTTTTTTTTTTCTGAGACGGGAGTCTCACTCTGTTGCCCAGGCTGGAGTGCAGTGGCGTGATCTCAGCTCACTGCAACCTCTGCCTCCCGGGTTCAAGTGATTCTCCTGCCTCAGCCTTCCAAGTAGCTGGGACTACAGGCACAAACCACCATACCCAGCTAATTTTTGTATTTTTAGTAGAGACAGGGTTTCACCATGTTGATCAGGCTGGTCTCAAACTCCCGAACTCAAATGATCTGCCCACCTCAGCCTCCCAAAGTGCTGGGATTACAGGTGTGAGCCACTGTGCCCGGCCTAAACCTGGAATTTTTTGGAGTTTCACTCTCGTCGCCCAGGCTGGAGTGCAGTGGCGTGATATCGGCTCACTGCAACCTCTGTCTGCCGGGTACAAGTGATTCTCCAGCCTCAGTCTCCCGAGTAGCTAGGATTACAGGTGCCTGCCACCACACTCAGCTAATTTTTGTATTTTTAGTAGAGACAGGGTTTCACCGTGTTGGCCAGGCTGGTCTCGAACTGCTGACCTCAGGTGATCCACCCGCCTCGGCCTCCCAAAGTGCTGGGATTACAGGCGTGAGCCACCGCCCCCAGCCAACCTGGAATTTTTTTAAGGGAACATTTCAAACAGGGCTAGGGCAAATAGAATAAACCACAACTGTGAAACTTAAAGTTTTCAGTTGTAACTTTTCTCAAAAGACAAATGGTGTTTTAGTATCACAAAGAAGTAAATAATTTTCTATTTCCCTCTAATTTTTTCTATTGCTTTTCTGCTAGTTTCTCTTTCATAAAAACTTTTATAATGCTGTTTGTTTTTTAAGAAAGAAAATTGTAGTCCTTGGGAAAGGTGTAATGTAGTGATTGGCAGCAATGAAGGTAAAAACTTGACCCAACACATATAATGAGATTTTTTTTTTTCTTTTTCTTTTCTTGTTTTTTGAGGAAGGGTCTCACTGCCACCCAGGTGGGAGTGCAATAGTGCGATCATGGCTCACTATAGCCTCAACCTCCTGGGCTCAGGTGATCCTCCCATTTCAGCCTCCCAAGAAGCAGGGACTACAGGCATGTGCCAACACTCTTGTCCAATTTTTTGGTGTTTTTTCTAGAGATGGGGTTTCATCATGTTTCCAAGGCTGGTCTCAAACTCCTGGGCTCAAGTGATCCACCTGCCTTGGCCTCCCAAAGTGCTAGGATTATAGGCGTTAGCTACTGTGCCTGGCCAAGATTTCTCATAGTCAAAGAATACTTGTTGGTAAACCTCACTTTACAAAAGAGAAGAAATGTGTCTTCCTCTAACTTTGAACATGCTTTAGCATTACTTACAGATCTGGGTTGCCCTGAGAATCTCCGGTTATAATCATTAATATCCTGATGCAATCTCAGAACATCCTGAGACTGATCATCTTCACCAAATACTGTTAGGAGTAAGGTTACCTGTATATTACAGAAAAAAAAATTATTTCAACTTTCTGCATCATTATGTTTTTTTCATTTTGTGTTATTATTCAATAGAATGATAAAGGCTTCTATATTTATATTTCACTCATTTTTAAATAAAGGCAACCTGGGGGAGGGGAGTAAGTAACTGCTTTGCAATAAAATCCAATGCAACATAGAATTTGAACTCCTATAAAATAGACACCATATCCAACTACTGGCCTAATATTTTCCTGTCCACACCAGGGGTAAATTCCTTAGTTCTCTATTTGGGCTAACAGATATTTGAAGATAAAAGAAGGATGAGGAAACATTCAGGAGGAAAGTGACATAAAATATATAACTGTCACTTTAAGACAGAAAAATTATGGTTTTCTTTTTCAGTATTAAAATAATGATTGGTTATTCTTACTGGTATTTGAAAGATCTTTGAATGCTACCAACCATAATATAAAGATTATGTTATTGCAGGGACCAGCTCTCAAACACCAATTCCTACTATAATAAAAAAAAGAAATTTTTGATATTGTCATATAACATAATACATTTAACCCTGCTTCCTTCATGGTTGTGGTAACAAGGATGTACAAATGTCCCAGGACCATACTGGGGTAATCTGACGGTGACAGTACCTTGAAAAATAAATACACTTTAGGACGTAGCACCCTTATAGAAAATGGTCACTAATGATTGTATGATGACATAAAAACGGGAAGGAGTGGTGGCCGATTTAGTTTTAAATCATTTAGTTGTTGTTTTGTCCTTCCTCAGTTCAGCTGTAAAACCAAGGCTTCCCACTGTTTAGATGCTTTCCAAACAGCTAAAAGAAGGCGTGACTAAGCACAGAAGGTGGTGAGAACAGCAGGTGCAGCCATCACTTCCTTCACAAATTTGTTAATAAAAATGCATTCTTTCAATACACATTAATGGAACACCTATGGCGGGCCAGGCACTCTGCTTAGTGCTAGGTATGCCAGAAAAATGAAGTCAAAAGCCTGCTCCAGGGTGACTACAACACCCACAAGGAAAGGGGAGGAAGACCTGGCCGACAGCCTTACATGGTCCTGGGGCAGGTGCAAGAATGCTGCTGTGAGAGCGAGGATCTCTTCTGCCTGGGGTGGTCAGAAAGCCTGATACTGAGCCAAACCTGGAAATGGTGGTAGGACTGTGGCTGGTGTGCACGCATTCAAGGGGAGAAGTGGTGAATGTGTTCCAGTCAGAGGCGGCAGCCTGTGTATTGCTATTTCCATGACCATTTACTGAAGGGGCTACTGAAAACAGGAGGTAGAACAAGCATTTGCCATCTGTCTTGCCTCCAGGATGAATTACTCTTATCTTAGGGAACCAAGACCTATTATATTAAGACAACTTTATCTCGACCTTCTGAGCCTCTAGTCAATTTATGGATGGTACACAGGATACCACTGGCTACTGTACACATGTCCTATGAAAAGCCATGGGCAGAACCAAGAAGAGGGAGGGCCTGGAACTATTTTTTTAATGTAAGACCTACTCCCTAGTTTGGATGTTGCTGACCGAGAGCAAAAGATGCCAAGAAGTAGTACGGGCAAATAAGCTTCAATTTAAAAAAAAAATTTTTTTTTGAGACAGTCTCGCTCTGTCTCCAGGCTGGAATGCAGTGACACCACCTCGGCTCACTGCAACCTCCACCTCCCAGGTTCAAGTGATTTTTCTGCCTCAGCCTCCCAAGTAGCTGGGACTACAGGTGTGCGCCACCATGCGCAGCTAATTTTTGTATATTTAGTACAGACTGGGTTTCACCATGTTGGCCAAGATGGTCTTGATCTCTTGACCTTGTGATCTGCCCGCCTCAGCCTCCCAAAGTGCTAGGATTACAGGCGTGAGCCATCACGCCCGGCCATAAGCTTCAATGTTGACTGCCTTGTGTCACGCATCAAATCAGCCAGAGAGGCATATAGAAACATCAGTTTTCCTCCTGACCATGTGGCCACAAGTAAAATATGAAAGAGGCAGAATTTGGGAATGTATAAGCAAGAATGGTAAGAAAATGACTTGGACCTCCCTCTTTGCACCAAAATAAGAGGGCAGTTGAGGGGAAACAGACAGCTACAATAAAGGCTGAAGGAGAGAGAGAGAGAGAGTGTGTGTGTGTGTGTGTGTGTGTGTGTGTGTGAACATTCCACCCACGGGTAAGTGGAGGAATACTTTTTTTTTTTTTAGTGTGTGTGAACATTCCACCCATGGGTAAGTGGAGGAATACTTTTTTTTTTAGTGATGTAATCTCGTTCTATTGCCCAAGCTGGAGTGCAGTCCCATGATCATAGCTCATTGCAGCCTCAACCTCCTGAGCTCAAGCAATCCCCCCACCTCAGCCTCCCAAGTAGCTGGGACTACAGGTATACACCACCACACCTGGCTAATTTCATTTTTTAAATTTTTTTGTAGAGATGGAATCTCATTTTGTTGCCCAAGCTGGTATCGAACTCCCAGCTTCAAGTGATCCTCCTGCCTTGGCCTCCCAAAGTGCTGGGATTACAGGCATGAGCTACTGCGCCCACCCTGTATTTTTATTTTAAATGAAAAATAAATATAAAGGAAATTATGAAAAACAGTGTACAACTGACACAATGTCCTATTTTGTCATACTTAAAAACTGAGAATATTGGTTTCTCAGAATTGTTCAGTATTTCATTTCTCCAGTTTATCAAAGAAATGGAGAGAATTTGGCATGTCTCATCTGCAGTGACATTTCAGTCTCACGTTCATGCTTACTTACTGCCTCCCTCCTCAGGTGGCTTCGATGCTAACTGTCATGGTCTAAGCTGTTCTGGACAATGCAATGTGGCCATGTCTCTAAAAGGAATGAAACATTAAAAAAAAAAATCATTATATACCATTTAAAGCTATCTGGGTCCTCACTGGAAAAAGACAGATTAAATATACATTGAGAAGGAAAAAAATTTTTTTTCAAAACAAGTATATATGCATATATAGAGGATATATGCTCAAGCCTGATTGTCTTTCACTACAACTGTAGGATTTCAAATAGGATTCCCTTTTGTAGTGGTATCTCAGTGACAGTTTTAAAAAAATAATCGTGGGCCGGGTACAGTTTAAAAAAAAAAAAAATCGTGGGCTGGGCGTGGTATCTCATGCCTGTAATCCCAGCACCTTTGGAGGCTGAGGCAGGAGGATTGCTTGCGTTCAGGAGTTTCAGACCAGCCTGGGCAATGCAGGGAGACCTCATCTTTACTAAAAATAAAAAAATTAGCCAGGCATGGTGGCACATGCCTATAGTCCCAGCTACTCAGGAGGCTAAGGTGGAAGGATTGCTTGGGCCCAGGAGGTCGAGGCTGCAGGAAGCTACGATCATGCCACTGCACTGCAAGACCTTTTTTCAAAAAAAATAAAAAAAAATAAAAATAATAATAATAATATATGGTGACATCAAAGAAGATTTGGATAAATGAAGTTCTGCTAAAAAGACAATAATAATTCCAAATGTAGATACAAAAACTATAAAAATGTACAAAATAAACTAGCATAAATGATACTTTCTGCACACAAAACATTACCGTTTGTCTACAGATTGGACAACTGATTGCCCCAAGCCATGAACCATATCGCCAGTAAGCAATAATGCAGGCACCTAATAGACAAAACAAAACAAACACATAACCCATTAATATTGATGTTTTAAAGTCCACATATCCTCAGAAAGATTCAACTATTTGAAATATTTTAACAGTACCACGTTATTTAAAAATACCTTTTACTTCATCCAGCCAACCCTTCAGGCAAATTCAAATCTAGTAAGAACTCCTAGCCATTAAAAATTTTTTTATTTAAATTCCAAGTTAAGGCCGGGCACAGTGGCTCACGTCTGTTATCCCAGCACTTTGGGAAGCCAAGCTGGGTGGATCACTTGAGATCAGGAGTTTGAGACCAGGGTGGCCAATATGGTGAAACCCCGTCTCTACTAAAAAATACAAAAATTAGCCGGGTGCGGTGGCACACGCCTGTAATCCCAGCTACTTGGGAGGCTGAGGCAGGAAAATCACTTGAACCCGGGAGGTGGAGGTTGCAATGAGCTGAGATCATGTCACTGCACTCCAGCCTGGGCAACAAAGCAAGACTCTGTCTCAAAAAAAACCTCCAAGTTAAGCTACAGTTGTACACAATCAAAAGCAAGTATATATTAACTGCCTTAATACTATGAAGCTTCATACAAAACATTATATTTCCTATGTGATATAAATAAAACAATAATTAAACATCATTGTAAATATAACAACCAACAAATCAGAGCATAAATTTTCTGTTCTAAATTTGATATGTTACAAAACACAACTTTTAGAAGAGTTTAGAAAACCAAATTATCAATGTATTAACTAATAGTAATAAGGTATTAGTACAAGTGGCCAGGCGCGGTGGCTCACACCTGTAATCCCAGCACTATGGGTGGCTGAGGCGGGTGGATCACGAGGTCAGGAGTTCGAGACCAGCCTGGCCAACATAGTAAAACCCCATCTCTACAAAAATACAAAAAAATTAGCCGGGGGTGGTGGTGGGTGCTACTTGGGAGGCTACTTGGGAGCTACTTGGGAGGCTGAGGCAAGGAGATCCCAGCTACTTGGGAGGCTGAGGCAAGGAGAATCGCTTCAATCTGGGAGGCGGAGGTTGCAGTGAGCTGAGATTATGCCACTGCACTATAGCCGGCTGACAGTGCGAGACTCCGTCTCAGAAAAAAAAAAAAAAACTAGTACAAGCAAGGAATCAAAAGACACAAAAAGATTATATGCTCTGCCCTAATGAAGTTTAGAATCCAGTTCAAGAATTGAATCAACTCTTGCACTAGATGGATTGGATTTTTCTGCTTGAAGGTATTCATGAGCAGCAAGCCAGCCGAAGATGGGCAACACAGCCTAAAGGAAGAGTCTGGCGACCTCAAGAAGGCACGGGTGTGCCAAGTGTATAAGCACCAAACTTCAGGCCAATAAGAGGTGAAGGAATAGTTTTGAATACTGTCTGGGATTTAAGGGGCCAATCCACTTTCTTTTTTGTAGGACACCTGCATCTTCAACTATCCAGGTCCCACTGTGAATCTGAACTAAGTGTTAAGTGCTGAACTAGGTGTCCCTTCTCCCTCCACGAACCTCTGTGTATTCTTGCTCTTGCCTCAGCAACCTGGCTTAGCCCTCATGTGTTCCTTATTCCTCCAGATCAAATAAGTGTTCAGAATGCAGGACAAGCAATGGCAATCCAATTGAGGAGACCAAGATGACATACTCAAATCAATGTAGAAGGCAAATCTTCAACTGTGTAATATTAACTTGAAATACAAAAAAGGGCCTGGCACAGTGGCTCACGCCTGTAATCCCAGCACTTTGGGAGGCTGAGGCAGGCGGATCACCTGAGGTTGGGAGTTCGAGACCAGCCTGACCAACATGGAGAAACCCTGTCACTACTAAAAATACAAAATTAGCCAGGCTTGGTGGTGCATGCCTGTAATCCCAGCTACTTGGGAGGTTGATGCAGGAGAATTGCTTGAACCTGGGAGGTGGAGGTTGCAGTGAGCCAAGATTGCGCCACTGCACTCCAGCCTGGGCAATAAGAGCAAAACTCCGTCTCAAAAAAAAAAAAAAAAAAAAAAGGCCGGGCGCGGTGGCTCACACCTGTAATCCCAGCACTTTAGGAGGCCAAGGCGGGTGGATCACGAGGTCAGGAGATCAAGACCATCATGGCTAACATGGTGAAACCCCATTTCTCCTAAAAAATACAAAAAATTAGCCAGGTGTGGTGGCAGGCGCCTATAGTTCCAGCTACTCAGGAGGCTGAGGCAGGAGAATGGTGTGAACCCGGGAGGCGGAGCTTGCAGTGAGCCGAGATCATGCCACTGCACTCCAGCCTGGGCGACAGAGCAAGACTCCATCTCAAAAAAAAAAAAAAAAAAAAAAAAGAAAAAGAAATACAAAAAAGGAGTGCAGAGAAGTATGCATTAGAAACTAACTTGTAGAAAAGAAAGGATTTGAACTGAACTTCATAGGAAAGATGAGATTTAGATAGGCAGAAAACAAGAGGGAGGACACTTCAGGTTTTAAGAACAGCAAGGGCAAATGTCGGAAAGGAGTGTCACGTGGATTAGGTTCAAGAGGAGAAACGTATCTGCCTTCTATGATGCCCGTTTAATTTTCCCTGCCCAATCTTTCATAACTTTCCTGGTGATTAGCATTTCCAATAGAAAATTAAAAGATAAAAACTGAAATAAGCATTTTATACTTTGTTAGCTACTTAAGTGAAAACCTTAAAGAAGAGACTGGAATGAGTAGATGAAGCAATGATGAGATTGGATTACTGAAAGAGCACAAGGTACAGGAAACCCTGCCATTACATGGTATGGGTTCCAAATATGCCATCTCCAACTGCACAAATAACACTGTATCTAATAATTCTATACTATGAAGTTAGACAAAAGGGCCAACACAATTTACAGGACGATTATATGCTACATGTTAAATTAGTCCCTATATGAAAATTTCCTACATTTTGGGAGCAATAATACCCTATCTCAAACACAACTGTTTAAACAGAAAGAAACAATAAAAAACTAGGTCTAGTGATTGGACAAATCGAAGTGGCTTCGAGTGTTTACTATTGTATGAACCACTAATCATGCAGAACTGAGCACAGGGATTGAAGATAAACCTCGGTTTAAAAACTTGGCTCTGTCTGGGCTGGGTGCAGTGGCTCACATCTGTGATCCCAGCACTTTGGGAGGCTGAGGTGGGTGGATCACGATGTCAGGAGTTCGAGACCAGTCTGGCCAACATGGTGAAACCCCATCTCTACAAAAATACAAAAATTAGCTGGGCATGGTGGCAGGCGCCTGTAATCCTAGCTGCTTGGGAGACTGAGGCAGGAGAATCGTTTGAACCTGGGAGGCAGAGGTTGCAGTGAGCAGAGATCGCACCATTGCACTCCAGTCTGGGCGACAAGGCGAGACTGCATTTCAAAAAAAAAAAAAAAAAAATTGGCTCTGTCACTTAACAACTGGGCTACTCTTTGTAAAATGTATTATTATTATTTGTGAGACAGGATCTTGCTCTGCTGCCCATGCTGGAGTGCAGTAGCATGATCACAGTTCATTGCAGGCTCAAGCTCCTGGGCTCAAGCGATTCTCCTTCCTCAGCCTCCCCAGTAGCTGGGATTGCACATGTGAGCTATTGCGCCTGGCTAATTTCTTATTTTTTGTGGAGACAGGGTCTCCTTATGTTGCCCAGGCTGGCCTCCAACTCCTGGGCTCAAGCAATCCTCCTGCCTTAGCCTCCCAAAGTGCTGAGATTACAGGCGTGAGCCACAGCGCCTGGCCTCTTTGTAAAATTTCTTCACATCTCTAAAGCCTGTTTCCTCATAGGTGGGGTTAGATGAAGTACATTAATGTCCAATACATAGGCATGTAATAACTGATACTTTGCCCCTCAATCTTCTATGGCGTAAGAAGCCATAGAAGATTTTCCTGAATCTGCAGATTCAGGAAAAATAAGTGGTGGAAAGCACTCCTTCCTGATACTAAGTAAGTGTGAAATTATTCCCTTCTTACCCCAAGGTATGCTCTAGGATTCTCATTCTCCTTCATTAAACCTCAAGAGGTTGAGAGAGACAGAGACAGAGACAAACAGACTGAGACTAAGACCTTTAAGACTTTTAGTACAAACTCAGAGTCAAAAGAGGCAGGAGGACTAAGGCAGGGTCTTGGGCAGGTTCTTGAGAGAAGAACCTTCCTGCCCTGGCAAGGATGAATAATAAATGAAAGTCCCAAAAAGTGATGAACAAAGAGGGACTCAGTGAATCCCTCATGCTATGGATCTACTTGAACTACTGTCCAAACAAACACATTTCTGTTTATGGGGAAGCTGAATAGTTTCTTTAACCTCTGAACCCATAGCTGCTACATGGACACACTAAATAGAAAATAAATAAGTAAGTATATTATTTAGATGCTAAGTATACTTGGTTGACAAGTAGAGCAGGATATCAGAGGTAATCTACCCTACTCACAAAATACAAAATGTGACAAAGAGAAAATTGGGAATCCAGCCTTTGTACACATAGAGGTCTTGGTCTACACAGTCACTTTTCCCAAGTATAGCGTTGTTTGCTTACCACAAAAAAGATGTCCACAGTTGGTCTCCACCGGGAAGGAGGCTTGGTGCAGGCAGATGGGACAGTACATGTCAGTGTAGAACTGCTGTCGAGTGGCAGCAGGTGCATCCTAATAAGAACACAGGTGCACACATTGGAACACAACACATGTGGCCCTCAACAGTATCTCATGTTAAATTATATTTGAGAACAGAGTCAGCAGTGTGTAACCCTCATCAAACTGTAAACGTGCAATAGTTTAAGGTTATAATTTTAAGAATGTTATGAGGCTATATTGTTTTTATTTAAGCTGCATGGTTTCCACTTTCCTTCCTAAACACAATTTAAAGACAAAAACTTAGATTAACTCAAGAGTTCATCTTTTACTCTACTGGAATAAGTAAATTATTCTGAGTAACACAAGGCTGAGCTAGTGCATAAGCTAACAATAATAAATGTCGAGGTCAGGTGCAGTGACTCACGCCTGTAATCCCAGCACTTTGGGAGGCCGAGGCAAGTGGATCACTTGAGCCTAGGAGTTCCAGACGAGCCTGGGCAACATGGCAAAACCCCATCTCTACAAAAAATAGAAAAATTAGCCAGGAGTGGTGGTGGCATGCGCCTGTAGTCCCAGCTACTTGGGAGACTGAGGTGGGAGGTCACCTGAGCCTGGGAGGTTGAAGCTGGAGTGAGCCGTGACTGCACCACTGCACTCCAGCCTAGGTGACAGAGCGAGACCCTGTCTCAAAAAGAAAAAAATATCAAATGTCAAACTGTTTTCTAAGTCTTCACTTTTTTCATTTTCAACATCTTTTTCATTTTAAAAGTGTTGCACATATGCAAGAAACATCTAGATATCAAAGACCTCACTAGGATGGATCATGAGGGCAAGGGATTTATCTGTAGGACTCATTGTACCTCAGGACCTAGAAAAGTGTCTACATGGCCGGGCACGGTGGCTCACACCTGTAACCCCAGCACTTTGGGTGGCTGAGGTGGGTGGATCACTTGAGGTCAGGAGTTCGAGACCAGCCTGGTCAACATGGTGAAACCCTGTCTCTACCACAAAATACAAAAATTAGCTGGGCATGGTGGCGCACACCTGTAGTCCCAGCTACTCGGGAGGGTGAGGTGGGAGAATCACTTGAACTCAAGAGGTAAAGACTGCAATGAGCCGAGATCACACCGCTATACTCCTGCCTGGGCAACAGAGACCCTGTCTCAAAAAAAAAAAGTGTCTACATAACATATATTTTATGTTATTGTATTGTAAAACTTATTTATCAAAACTTGTTTTAATGGAACCCAGCACAGATAAAGTTGCTAGCATGAAAAATATCTAATTACAGAAAAAAGTATTAAGTTTACTAAATAGGAACTGTTCTTAAGTGAATCAGATTTTTGCCACTCAATATTCATAAACAAATTTAATAAATTTAAATAATAATAAATATAACTAAAATTTCATACTTCCAAAACAGTCCTAAATCACCAGAATATTCTGTGATCCAAGGCTACACCTTGATGTTATAGTCACTTATGTCAGTTCTAATGCTACAAAAAGTGTACAGCACTTTATGTTCCCTTCTCTACTTTTTTTTTTTTTTGAGACAGAGTCTCGCTCTGTCACCCAGGCTGGAGTGCAGTGGCACAATCTCAGCTCACTGAAACCTCTGCCTCCTGGGTTCAAGTGATTCTCCTGCTTCAGCCTCTGGAGTAGCTGGGATTACAAGCACCTGGCTAAAGTTGTGTTTTTAGTAGAGATGGGGTTTCGCCATGTTGCCCAGGGTGGTCTTGAGCTCCTGACCTCAGGTGATCTGCCCGCCTCAGCCTCCCAAAGTGCTGGGATTACAGGCGTGAGCCACTGCACCCAGCCTTCTCCTTATTAATTTTTAAAGAAATTGACAAAAAACAATTAACGGTGCTGTCCAACAGAACTTTCTGCAATAATTGAAATCTTTATCAGTGCTATCCAATACAGTAGCCAGGAGCCACATGTGGCCATTGTGTACTTGAAATGTGGCCAGTGTGACTAAAAGACTTAATTTCAGATTGTGTTTAATTTTAACTCACTTGAATAGCCACAGGTGGCTGGTAGCTGCCATACTGGACAGCACAGAACAGACTACATCGCCAGCCTTATTTTCACTCTGAGAGCTGTGTGCTGGGCCTCAGGAAGAGGTGAGGCAGTTGAGTGGACACTGCTGCAAGGAGACCTGGAAGATTCTCCTCAATCTGGGGCCCCTCCATAGCTGAACCCAGTCATGAAATTGCTAGTGTGAGTGTTAGCAAATCTTAGCAGTCTCATATGTTAATGAGAATAATAGTAGTTGCCTTACTTATGTCTAAAGATTAAATACAATTGTTGTTTGGGAAATCACTTTGTAAATTATAAAACACTATCTCAACATGAATTATGGGTAACAATTGTTATGGAACACAGTACTACTAATAGGCTTAAACTATTCTGTCTTTTTTAGACGGAGTCTCACTCTCTGTCACCAGGCTGGAGTGCAGTGGCGCAATCTCAGCTCACTACAACCTCCGCCTCCCGGGTTCAAGTGATTCTCCTGCCTCAGCCTCCCAAGTAGCTGGGACAACAGGTGTGCGCCACCATGCCCGGCCAATTTTTGTATTTTTAGTAGAGATGGGGTTTTACCATATTGGCCAGGATGGTCTTGATCTCTTGACCTCGTGATCTGCTTGCCTTGGCCTCTCAAAGTGCTGGGATTACAGGCGTGAGCCACTGCACCTGGCCCCGCTTAAGTTATTCTTGTATCAATAAATATAAGTTCCATGAGGGTAGGAATTTTTGTCTGTTTAATTCACAATTGAATTCCCAATGCCTAGAAAATGTATGGCATGTGGTAGATGTTCAAAAAATATCTGGTGAATGGATAAATTATAAAACCCTTATTGGGGCTAGGCATGGTGGGCTCACACTTATAATCCCAGCACTTTGGTTTTAGTGAAGCAAGCACAGCTCACTGTAGCCTCAACCTCCCAGGCTCGAGAGATCCTCCCACTTCAGCCTCCTGAGTAGCTGGGACTATAGCTGTGCACCACCATACCCAGCTAGCTTTTGTATTTTTAGTAGAGACAGAGTTTTGTCATGTTGCCCAAACTGGTCTCGAACTCCTAAGCTCAAGTGATTCTCCCGCCTCGGCCTCCCAAAGTGCTGGGATTACAGGTGTGAGCCACCATGCCCAGACTAATCCCAGCAATTTGTGAGGCCGAGGTGAGAGGACTGCTTGAGCTCAAAAGTTGGACAGCAGCCGGGGCAACATAGTGAGACCCTGTCTCTTTTTTACAAAAAAAAAAAAAAACGCTTATTGGAACTGAAGTTTGATCTATAGGAAAGGAATTTTTAATTTTGTTTCTTGATGTTAGATATCTTAGCCTGAAGGTGTACAATATCCTATTTATTCCAGGCTTCATAAAGTATATCTCCAATTCTTAGAGATTCGATCTGGTAAAAAGCAAAGAACAAACAGGAGAAAAGTTAGTTTTTCTCTTTGCCTAACTAGTTTTGTTGTTATAACTTTGACAACTGAAGAAAAAAGGAGAAAAAAAAACAAAAAACAAAACAGCCACCTCTTCTAGTTATTTCTTTGTAGATATTAAGGAGTATATGTCAGAAAAAATGTTTTTTCTACTACATTTCATTAAGGTCAATTAGACAGCAATTATTTCTACACTAATAAATAATAGGAAAACTGCTATCTTTTAAAGCAAATTAATAATAAACAAACATGAAGACATCTGAATAGATTAAGGCTAGGCAATTTGCCCATTCTTGCAAATATACAATCTATAAAATAATATAAGGTAATTTGAAGCTGGAAAGAAGCCCATGTTTCCAAAAAGTAATTTAGTAATGTTTTATCACAATTTCACATGCAAAGGGAGCTATCACATCTACTCCTCAAATAAATACATATACAATACCTGTTCTGTTTGAAGCTGTTCTCGAAGTACCCTTACTAGCTCCTGGTTTTCTGGGTGAATGTTTTGATGTACATTTCTGTTGAATAGAATATAATAAATTTTGAATAGAAAATATTATCATATGAATCCATTTTCTTCATGGGTCTACTTTCTGACTTATAACTACTGGTAATTAATGTAATTGATGGCATACAAGCACTTCACTTCCAGGACTGTACGTTTCAGGCTGTCCTGTGGTGAGTTCTTCTGAGATCACTGATCATTAGCCAATTTCAGGTTCAAGCGGCAAATGGTAAAATCCAGAGGCCTAGTACCTTGGAAATCTATTGTAAATGGAAGCTTACAAGTAATGTAAAGAACATTTGTTTCTTTGGTGAAATTTCTTCAAAATAAGCAGCTATCTAATTTTACCTACTATTATGCATTTGAACGCTTTTCCACATCTAATTAGATCCTTCTCCTAATTTTCAGGTATTAGGGGAGGGGAACAGAGCAGAAACTAAATTTAATGTAGAAAAGCCAAAACTTGGCCGAGTGTGGTGGCTCATGCCTGTAATCCCAGCACTTTCGGAGGCCAAGGCGGGTGGATCACCTGAGGTCAGGAGTTTTGAGACCAGCCTGGCCAACATGGTGAAACCCTGCCTTTACTAAAAATACAAAAATTAGCCGGGCTTGGTGGCGGGCGCCTGTAATCTCAGCTACTCAGGAGGCTGAGGCAGGAGAATTGCTGGAACCCGGGAAGCAGAGGTTGTAGTAAGCTGAGATCATGCCATTGCACTCCAGCCTGGGCCAACAACAGTGAGACTCCATCTCAAAAAAAAACAAAAGGAAGAAAAGCCAAACCTTAACATGTCACTAATCTCTTGACATTAACAATTAAAATGGTGAATCAAAGGCAAGCGGTTAGTGGCTAATATAAATGGATGGGATAAAACATCCCATATTGAAAGTCAGATGTTGGCTGGGCACGGTGGCTCATGCCTGTAATCCCAGCACTTTGGGAGGCCGAGGCCGGTGGATCACCTGAGGTTGGGAGTTCGAGACCAGCCTGACCAACATGGAGAAACCCTGTCTCTATTAAAAATATAAAATTAGCCGGGCTTAGTGGCGAATGCCTGTAATCCCAGCTACTCAGAAGGCTGAGGCAGAAGAATCGCTTAAACCCCGGAGGTGGAGGTTGCGGTGATCTGAGATCACGCCATTGCACTCCAGCCTGGGCAACAAGAGCAAAACCGTCTTAAAAAAAAAAAAAAAAAGAAAGATGTGTTGGTCAGGCTGGTAGGTGGGGTGGGGGTGAAGCGTTACATGTTATCACAGCTTAATTTCATTTGACTACTGATGTATCTTCTAAACATAAATGTCTTGAACAAGAATATTTTAAGTCTACACAGTCCCATGGTTACTCTACAGAGAGCCTTTACTCTCTGGGTAAGCCAATATCCAACAGACATAAGGACTCTCATATCCGAATGTGATAGGGAAAAGTATAGAAATCCATCCTGTGATTATTCAATTGTTAGCAAAAAAACACAAATTTTAGAAAAAGAAGTCACCTAAATATAACTGTTAGTTCAGAGAAGACATAAAAGCAATTTAAAGTCAAATATCTAAACAATGAAACAATTTGAACTCTGTTTAAACCTGTTAAATCTTATTTTGTTGTTGAGAAGGAGTCTCACTCTGTCACCCAGGCTGGAGTGCGGTGGCACAATCTCAACTCACTGTAACCTTTGCCTCCCAGGTTCAAGCAATCCTCTTGCCTCAGCCTCCTGAGTAGCTGGGATTATGGGCACGTGCCACCATGCCTGGCTAATTTTTGTATTTTTAGTAGAGATGGGGTTTCACCATGTTGGCCAGGCTGGTCTCGATCCGGACCTCAGGTGATCTGCCTGCCACGGCCTCCCAAAGTGTGGAGATTACTGGCGTGAGCCACCGCACCCGGCCTAAACCTGTTAAAGCTTGATGCATTCTTCATTTTAAAATAAGGCACATTTTTATGATTGAACAGATGATCTGTGAAAGAAAGCACTCACTATATGAAAGCACCCTGTCAAGGAGCAATCTAACTAGCAGAGGAACCATCTCATTTAAATACCAGTGAATACCTAGCTAAATGGCATTTCTCCATTCTTTGAGAGTAGAAAACCATTCCCTTTTCATTGGAAAAAAAATCGTGATGACATTTCAGAATACAGACATGAACCACGTGACTGGAAAGCCTCTCCTCTGGCTTCTTTCTATAAGAAAGAAGATGTAGGAATTCTTAAATCTGGTGGTAGAATATTTAATATATATTTTAAAAATATATTTAAATAGAATATATTTTAAAAAATATTCTACCACCAGATTTAAGAATTCCTACATCTTGTTGTGAAGCCAAACAACAAGAACAAATAGCCCAAGCTGCTGAATACTGCCTGTAACTCCCATAATAATGGTATTTGGAGACAAAACCTTTGGGAGGTAATTAGGTCATGAGGGTGGTGCCCTTGTGATAGGATTAGTGCCCTTATAAAAAGAGACATGAGATAACCTGCTCCCTGCTCTACTCTCTTCCATGTAAAGACACAACAAGAAAACCACCATCTACAAACCATGAAGCCAATTCTCGCTAGACACCAGATCTGACAACACCTTGATCTTAAGACCTCCCAGCCTCTCGAACTGTGAGAAATAAATGTTTATTGTTTAAGCCACCCAGTCTATGGTTATTTGTTTTTTTGTGGGTTTTTTTTTTTTTTTTTTTTGAGACAGAGTCTTGCTCTTTCGCCAAGGCTGGAGTGCCATGGTACAAACTCAGCTCAATGCAACCTCTGCCTCCTGGGTTCTAGTGATTCTCCTGCCTCAGCCTCCCAAGTAGCTGGGACTATAGCTGCACGCCACCACACCCTAATTTTTGTATTTTTACTAGAGACAGGGTTTTACTGTGTTAGCCAGGATGGTCTCAATCTCCTGACCTCATGATCTGCCCGCCTTGGACTCCCAAAATGCTGGGATTACAGGCGTGAGCCACTGTGCCCGGACTTTTTTTTTTTTTTTTTGAGACAGAGTCTTGTTCTGTCGTCCAGGCTGGGGTGCAGTGGCGCCATCTCAGCTCACTGTAAGCTCCGTCTCCCGGGTTCATGCCATTCTCCTGTCTCAGCCTCCCGAGTAGCCCGGCTAATTTTTTCTATTTTTAGTAGAGACGGGGTTTCACTGTGTTAGCCAGGATGGTCTCGATCTCCTGACCTCGTGATCCGCCTGCCTCGGCCTCCCAAAGTGCTGGGATTACAGGCGTGAGCCACTGCGCCTGGCCTGTTTTTGTTTTTGAGACAGATCTCACTCTGTTTCCAGGCTGGGGTGCAGTGGCACAATCTTGGCTCCCTGCAACTTCCACCTCCCGGGTTCAAGCGATTTCCAGCTAATTTTTATATTTTTAGTAGAGTTGGGGTTTCACCATGTTGGCCCATGTTTTGGCCAGGCTGGTCTTGAACTCCTGACCTCAAGTGATCTGCCTGCCTCAGGCTCCCAAAGTGCTAGGATTACAGGTGTGAGCCACCGCACCCAGCCTATGGTTATTTGTTATAACAAGCCAAACTGATTGAGACAATGGTCAAATACTTTTTGACAAGGGTGCCAAGACCATTCAATAGGGAAAGTACCCTCTTTCAACAAATAAGTGCCAGAAAACTGAATATCCATATTAAAAATATAAAAACTCAAAATGCATCAAAGGGCCAAACTTAAGAGTTAAAACTATACAAATTTTAGGAAGAAGCAAGAAAATATTCATGCCATTGGATTCTGGCAATGATTCCTTACATATAAGACAAAAGCACAGGCCAAAAAAAGGAAAAAAACACAAAGATGACTTCTCAAAATCAGAAACTATGTATATCAAAGGGCACTTAAGAGAGTAAGAAGAATATCCACAGAAAGGGACAAAATATTGGCAAATCATATACAGGAAATCCTGATTTTATTTTGTTTCACTTTATTGCACTTAGCAGATATTGCGTTTTTTACAAACTGAAGGTTGTGACAACTTTGTGTTGAGCAAGACTATTGGCACCATTTTTCCAACAGCATGCACTTGCTTCATGTTTCTGTGTCGTCTTTTGGTTATACTTGCAATCAATCAATCAATCAATCAATCAATCAATCAACGTTGTGTATGCTGTGACTGCTCTATTGACCAGCCATTCCCCAGTCTCTCTCCCTCTCCTCAGACCTTCCTATTCCCTGAGGCATTGACAATATTGAAATTAGGCCAACTAATAAATAACTCTATAGTGGCCTCTAGGTGTTCAAGTGAAAGGAAGACTTGCATGTCTCTCACTTCACATAAAACCTAGAAATGATTAAGCTTTGTGAAAAAGACATGTAAAAAGTCGAGCTAGGGCAAAAGTTGTGCTAGCTGGCCAAGTTGTGAATTAAAAGGAAAAATTCCTGAGGGACATTAAAAGTATTACTCAAGTGAACACATAAATGATAAAAAAGCAAAACAGCTTTATTGCTGACATGGAGAAAGTCTGAGTACTCTGGATAGAAGATCAAACCAGCCACAACATTTCCTTAAGCCAAAGCCTAATTCAGAGCAAGTCCCTCCCTCTCTTCAATTTTGTGAAGCTGAGGGAGGAGAGGAAGCTACAGAAGAAAAGTTGAAAGCTAGCAGAGGTTGGTTCATGACATTTAAGGAAAGACAAAGTGCAAACTTTTATTTTATGGAATAGCAAGTGCTGATGGAGAAGCTGCAGCAAGTTATCCAGATCTAGCTAAGATCATTGATGAAGGTGGCTACGCTCAACAACACATTTTTATGTAGAAGAAACAGTTTTCCCTTGCAAGAAGATGGCATATAGGACTTTCATAGCTAGAGAGGAGAAGTCAATGCCTGTCTTCAAAGCTTCAAAGGCCAGGCTGACTCTCTTATTAGGGGCTAATGCAACTGGTGACTTTTAAGTTGCAGCCAATGCTCATTGACCATTCTGAAAATCCTAGGGCCCTTGAAAATTATGCTCATCTACTCTGCCTGTGCTCTATAAATGCAACAACAATGCCTGGATAACAGCATATCAAACTATTTAAACCCACTTGAGAGACCTACTGCTCAGAAAAATGACTTTCTTTGAAAATATTACTGCATACATCTGTGTAGTGTATTAACAAAAAAATCTGTTAAAAAGAAAATATCACTGCTCATTGATAATACACCTAGTCACCCACGAGCTCTAATGGAGATGTACAAGGAGATGAATGTTTTTTTCATGTCTCTTAACACAGCATCCATTCCACAGCCCCATAAATCAAGGATTATTTTGACTTTCAAGTTTTATTACTTAAGAAATACACTTTATGTAGCTGCCATAGATAGTGATTCCTCTGATGGATCTGGGGAATCAATTGAAACCTTCTGGAAAGGATCCCCCATTCTAGATGCCATCAGAACATTCTTTTTTTTGGCCAGGTGTGGTGGCTCACGCCTGTAATCCCAACACTTTGGGAGGCTGAGATGGGCAGATCATGAGGTCAGGAGTTTGCGACCAGCCTGGCCAACACAGTGAAACCCTGTCTCTACTAAAAATACAAAAATTAGCCAAGCACGGTGGCACGTGCCTGTAGTCCCAGTTACTTGGGAGGCTGAGGCAGGAGAACAGCATGAACCCGGGGGGCGGTGGTTGCAGTGAGCCAAGATCATGCTACTGCACTCCAGCCTGGGCAACACAGTGAGACTCCATCTCAAAAGCAATAAATAAAGAATAAAATAACTTTTTTTTTTTTTGAGACAGAGTCTCACCCTGTTGCCCAGGCTGGGAGTATAGTGCTACACTCTTGGCTTGCCGGAACCTCTGTCTCCCAGGTTCAAGCAATTCTCGTGCCTCAGCCTCCCAAGTTGCTGGGATTACAGGTGTGTGCCACCGTGCCTGGCTAATGTTTGTATTTTTAGTAGAGACAAGGTTTCGCCACGTTGGCCAGGCTGGTCTCAAACTCCTGGCCTCAAGTGATCTGCCTGCCTCGCCCTCCCAAAGTGCTGGAATTACAGGCATGAGCCACCATGCCCCACCAAAAACATTCTTAATTCATGGGAGGAGATCAAAATATCAACATTAACCGGAGTTTGGAAGAAGTTGACTCCAGCCCTCATGGATGACTTTGAGAGGTTCAGGACTTCAGAGGAAGAAGTCACTGCAGATATGGTGGAAACAGCAAGGAAACTAGAATTAGAAGCGGAGGCCGAAGATGTGACCAAACTGCTGCATCATGACAATACTTGATCAGATGAGGAGTTGCTTCCTATGGATGAGCAAAAGAAGTGGTTTCTCAAGATAGAATCTAATCCTGGTAATGACATTGTGAGCATTGTTGAGATGACAACAAGGGATTTAAAATATTACATAAACGAAGTTGATAGAGCAGAAGCAGTCAGGGTTTGGGAGGACTGACTCCAGTTTTGAAAAGAAAGCCTGTGGATAATAAGCAATCAAACTGCATCACATGCTACATACAGAGAAATCTTTTGTGAAAGGAAAAGTCAGTCAATGTGTCAACTTTATTTGTTGTCTCATTTTAAGAAATTGCCAGCCAGGCGCAGTGGCTCATGCCTGTAATCCCAGCACTTTGGGAGGCTGAGGCGGGCGGATCATGAGGTCAGGAGTTCAAGACAAGCCTGACCAACATGGTGAAACCCCATCTCTATTAAAAATACAAAAATTAGCTGGGCATGGTGGTGCGCACCTGTAATCCCAGCTACTCAGGAGGCTGAGGGAGGAGAATTGCTTGAACCTGGGAGGTGAAGGTTGCAGTGAGCTGAGATCACGCCACTGCACTCCAGCCTGGGCGACAGAATGATACTCTGTCTCAAAAAAAAAGAAACTGCCACAGCCACCTCAACTGTCAGCAACCACCACCCTGATCAGTCAGCAGCTGTTAACATGGAGTCAAGACTCTCCACCAGCAAAAACATTACGACTTGCTGAAGGTTCAGATAGATAACTGTTAGCATTTTTTAGCAATAAAGTATTTTATAATTAAAGTATGTACATTGTTTATTAGACATAGTGCTATTACACACATAGACTATGATATAATGTGAACATAACTTTTATATGCACTAGGGAACCAAAAAATTCATATGACTCACTTTATTCACTTTATTGTGGTGGTCTGAAACCAAACCTGAAATATCTATGGGGTATGACTGTATCTGATAATAATATCAGAATATATATAGAACACTTATAACTCAAAAACAAAAAAGTAAACAACCCGATTCAAAAATGGGCAATGGTCTTGAATAGTCAATTCTCCATAGAAGACAGACAAACTGCCAGGTGTGGCGGTGCGCACCTGTAGTCCCAGTTACTCAGGAGGCTGAGGCAGGAGAATTGTTTGAGCCCAGGACTTCTAAGCTGTAATGCAATATGCCACTTGGGTGTCTGCACTAACTTTGGCATCAATATGATGACGTCCCAGGAGCAGGGGCCCATCAGGTTGCCTAAGGAGGAGTGAATTGGCCCAGGATGAAAACAGAGCAGGTCAAAACTCTGGTGTTGCTATTTACAGGAGCAAAGACATGGAATCAACCTACATGACCATCAATGGTAGACTAGATAAAGAAAATGTGGTACATATACACCATAGAATACTACGCACCCATAAAAAGGAAAGAATGCAGCAACATGGATGCAGCTGCAGGTCATTTTCCTAAGTGAATTAATATAGAAACAGAAAACCAAATACTAGGGCCAGGAGCAGTGGCTCATGCCTGTAACTTCCGCACTTTGGGAGGCTGAGGTGGGCAGATCACTTGAGCCCTGGAATTTGAGACCAGCCTGGGCAACATGGTGAAACACTGTTTCTACAAAAAATACAAAAATTAGTTGGGCATGGTGGTGCACACCTATCATCCCAGCTACCCGGGAGGCTGAGGTGGGAGGATCACTTGAGCCTGGGAGATTGAGGCTGCAGTGAGCCATAATCACGCCACTATACTCTAGCCTGGGCAACAGAGTAAGACCCTATCTCAAAAAGAAACCTCAAAAACCAGATAGACGAATGGCCACTAACCATGTGAAGTGATGCTGAACATCATTACTCAGTAGGGAAATACAAATCAAAACCACAGTGAGTTACTACTTCATACCTATTATGGATAGTTATTATTAAAAAAAACACACACACATAGGGAACAACAGTGTTGGCAAGGAAGTAGAGAAACTGCCATGGTGCCTTGCTGGTGGGAATATAAAGCAGGGCAGCTGCTGTGGGAAACAGTCTGGAGGTTCCTTAAAATGTTAAACATAGAAATTACTTTATGACCCAGAAATTCCAGTTGAAAACACAGACTCAAACAGATACTTGTACACCAGTGTTCCTAGCAGCATTATTCACAACAGCCAAAAGGTGGGAGTAACCCAAATGACCACTGACAGATGAATGGAGAAACTAAATATGGTATGTACATACAATGAGAAATTTTAAATTTTAATATTTCTTAGAGACAAGGTCTTGCTCTGTTGTCCAGGCTAGTCTCAAACTCCTGGCCCAAGCAATCTTCCCACCTCAGCCTCCCAAAGTGCTAGGATTACAGGTGTGAGCACCATACCCAATGAAATATTATTTAGCGATAAAAAAGAAGGAAATTCTAATACGTGTTACAACATAAATGAACTTTGAAAATATTATGCTAAGTGAAACAAGTTAAACACAAAAGAACAAATACTGTATGATTCTACTTTATGAGGTGCATAAAATCGGCTCATTAATGGAGACACAAAGTAGAACACAGGTTACCCAGAGCTGAACCATGGGAGTTGCTACTTAGATGGGCATAAAGTTTCTGTTAGGGAAGATTAAACACCACATGATCAGGCCGGGCACAGTGGCTCACACCTGTAATCCCAGAAATTTGGGAGGATGAGGTGGGTGGATTGCTTGAGCCCAGGAGTTCAAGACCAGTCTGGGCAACATGGCGAAACCTTGTCTCTACCAAAAATACAAAAAAATAGCTGGCCATGGCGGTGTGTGCCTGTGGTCTCAGCTAAATGGGAGGCTGAGGCGAGAGGATCATTTGAGCCTGGGGGGCGAAGGTTGCAGTGAGACAAGATGGTGCCACTGCACTCCAGCCTGGGCACCAAGAGAGAACCTGTCTCAAGAGAAAAAAAAAAGAGAAATCACATGTTCTGACTTATAAGTGGGAGCTAAACATAAAGATGGAAATAATAGACATCAGGAACTTCAGTGGGGAGACTGAAAGGGGGCAAGGGTTGAAATACTACCTATTGAGTACAGTGTTCACTATTTGGGTGATGGGTTCACTAGAAGCCATCACTATTACGCAACATACCCATGTAAAAGACCTGCACACACACCCCCAAAATCTAAAATTTAAAAATAAAAAAATAAAGTTTGGGATGATGAGGAAGTTCTAGAAGTAGATGGTGATGATGGTTACACAACAATGTGAATGTACTTAACGCCACGGAATTACACACTTAAAAATGGTCTGAATTAGCCAGGCATGGTGGCGCGTGCCTGTAGTCCCAGCTACTCAGGAGGCTGAGGCAGAAGAATCGCTTGAACCCGGGAGGCGGAGCTTGCAGTGAGCCGAGATTGCGCCACTGCACTCCAGCCTAGGTGACAGAGTGAGACTCTGTCTCAGAAAAAAAAAAAAAAAAAAAAAAAGGTCTAGGCATGACCTATAATCACACCTATAATCCCAGCACTTTGGGAGGCCAAGGCAGAAGAATCACTTGAGACCAGGAGTTCAAGACCAGCCTGACCAGCATAGTGAGAACCTGTCTCTACTAAAAAAATAAAATAAAATATTTTTTAAAAAGTTTAACATGATAAATTTTGTTATGTATATTTTACCACAAAACCAAAACAAAATTAATTATAATGACTAAAAATCATTAAATAAATTACAAAAAAGAGACTTGTCTGAATTTTAAACTACAAATGCCACCCCTTCCCCAATACATCATGATTCCCTCAGTAATCACGATTATTTCACTGATTACCTCAGACAATGTCCAAGTAACCGGGAGCACATTATGTAACTTGAAAAGATGTCACTGTAGGCTGAGTAAAAATTTCATCATTTATCTCCACCCACTGTTCCAGTGGCCCCAGTTCTGCCCACTGCGCCTGGCAGAATAAATTTAATTCTTTTTTTTTCTTTTTTTTGAGATGGAGTTTCGCTCTTGTCACCCAGGCTGGAGTACAGTGGCGTGATCTCGGCTCACAGCAACCTCTGCCTCCCAGGTTCAGGAGATTCTCCTGACTCAGCCTCCGAGTAGCTAGCTGGGGTTATAGGGGCCCACAACCACACCCACCTAATTTTTATATTTTTAGTAGAGATGGGGTTTCACAATGTTGGTCAGGCTGGTCTCGAACTCCTGACCTCCAGCCATCCATCCACCTCAGCCTCCCAAAGTGCTAGGATTACAGGCATGAGCCACTGAGCCTGGCTCTAATTCTTTTTTTTTCTATTGCTGCTGCACAAATTAAAATTTTAATTCTTTAACAAGACCAAGCCCTCATCACAAAGACAGTTTTATTGTCCAAGAGTCCCTTCCCTAAGCTAGACATCCCTCCTTCCTTCAAGCATTTTATATGATTTGTTTCCACAGCTTTCCCTATTTTGACAGTCTCCCCTGAATGTTTTCCAGCTTAAAATGCTAGTCCCAAACTGAACATAATGCAGATTTGACCTTTAGCTATTAATTTTATAAAAGTAGCCTATACAGTTTTCAGCATCTACAATATACAATTGCCTTATTAAATGAATTCTTTTTTTTTTTTCTTTTGAGATGGAGTTTTGCTTGTTGCCCAGGCTGGAGTGCAGTGGTGCGATCTCAGCTCACTGCAACCTCTGCTTCCCAGGTTCAAGCGATTCTCCTGCCTCAGCCTCCTGGGTAGGTGGGATTACAGGCACCCACGACCACACCTGGCTAATTTTTGTATTTTGAGTAGAGACGGAGTTTCATCATGTTGGCCAGGCTGGTCTTGAACTCCTGACCTCAGATGATCCGCCTGCCTCAGCCTCCCAAAGTGCTGGAATTACAGGCGCGAGCCACCGCGCCCTGCCTCTCTTTTTAAAAATGCATCTGTGTAACTGAAACTTTGCGCTGTTAGACTATCTTTCCATCGCCTGAGAGCCACCATTCTGCTCTCTGCTTCTGTGAATTCAAATGTTTTATATTTTACAGTTAAGTGGGATCGTGCAGTATTTGTCTTTCTGTGCCTTATTTCAGTTAATATCATGTCCTCCAGGTGCATCCATGTTGTTGAAAATGGCAGAATTTCCTTCCTTCTCAGGGGCTGAAAAGTATTCCATTGTGTATACAGAGAGATCTATATACTCACACCACATTTTCTTCATTCATTCACTAGTGAACACCTAACTTGATTCCATATTTCAGCTACTGTAAATACTGCTGCAATGAACATAGGAACACAGATAAATCTTTTCAACATACTGATGTAATTTCCTTTTGATATATACTACCCTGAAGTGTGATTGCTGGATCATATGGTAGTCCATTTTTAACTTTTTGAGGAACCTTCATACTGTTTTCCACAGCAACTGTACCATTTTATACTCCCCAAAAAAGTGCACCACAGTTCCCTTTGCTCCACACCCTTGCCAATGCTTCTTTCATCTTTATTGTTTTCATCTTTTTGATAACAGCCATCCTAAAAGATAAAAGGTTTTTTCTCATTGTGGTTTTAATTTGCATTTCCCTGGTGATTAGTAATGTTGAGCATTTTTTCATAAACCTTTTGGCCATTTGTATGTCTTCTTTTGAAAGATGTCTATATAGGTCCTTTGTGTATTTTTATTTTTTTGTTTTGTTTTTTCTGAGACAGGGTCTTATTCTGTTGCCCTGGCTGAAATGCAGTGGTATGATCATAGCTCACTGCAGACTTGACTTCCTAGGCTTAAGTGATCTTGCCATCTCAGCCTCCAAGTAGCTGAGACTACAGGATGCACCACCACGCCTGCCTAATTTTAAAATTTTTGGTAGGCCAGGCACGGTGGCTCACGCCTGTAACCCCCCGATTTTGGGAGGCCGAGGTGGGCGAATCAACTGAGGTCAGGAGTTCGAGACCATCCTGGCTAACACGGTGAAACCCCGTCTCTACTAAAAATACAAAAAATTAGCCGGGCGTGGTGGTGGGCACCTGTAGTCCCAGCTACTCAGGAGGCTGAGGCAGGAGAATGGCGTGAACCCGGGAAGTGGAGCTTGCAGTGAGCCGAGATCACGCCACTGCACTCCAGCCTGGGCAACAGAGTGAGACTCGGTCTCAAAAAAAAAAATAATAATAATAATAGAAAAGGCCCAAGGACAGAGCCCTGCAGCAATATACAATGTCCTTCTATTTGGTGTATATTAAAACATTAGTCAGGAATCCTAAGAACAACCTGCTTAGTGGAGTTCACTTAACTCTGCTATCATCTAGTCATTATTTCCCCCATGATATCCACAGTGTATCACCAGTATCAATCACTCTGGATTATCACTCTATAAAATACCCGATTGAAATCAAGATAATGTTACCCTAATAAGAGACTATCTTGGATCACTGCAACCTCTGCCTCCCAAGTTCAAGTGATTCTCACGCCTCAGCCGCCCAAGTAGCTGGGATTATAGGCACCTGCCACCATGCCCAGCTAATTTTTGTATTTTTAGTAGAGACGAGGGTTTCACCATGTTGGCCAGGCTAGTCTCGAACTCCTGACCTCAGGTGATCCGCCTGCCTCAGCCTCCCAAGGTGCTGGGATTACCGGCGTGAGCCACCACATCCAGCCTAAATTAATTTTAGAATCAGGTGCAGTGGTGCATACCTGTAGTCCCAGCAACCTGGGAAGCTGGGATGGGAGGACTGCTTGAGTCCAGGAGTTCAAGTCCAACTGGGGCAATGTAGCGAGACCCTGTCTCTAAAATAAATAAATAGGCTGGGCATAGTGGCTCATGAGTGTAATCCCAGCACTTTGGGAGGCTGAGTCGGGTGGTTCACTTGAGGTCAGGAGTTTGAGACCAGCCTGGCCAACCTAGCGAAATCCTGTCTCTACAAAAAAATACAAAAAATTAGGGCCAGGTGCAGTGGCTCAAGCCTGTAATCCCAGCACTTTGGGAGGCTGACGCAGGTGGATCACCTCAGGTCAGGAGTTTGAGACCAGCCTGATCAACATGGAGAAACCCCATCTCTACTAAAAATATAAAATAAGCCGGGCATGGTGGCATGTGCCTGTAATCCCAGCTATTTGGGAGGCTGAGGCAGGAGAATCGCTTGAACCCCAGAGGCAGAGGTTGTGGTGAGCTGAGACAGTGCCATGGCACTCCAGCCTGGACGACACATTGAGACTCCGTCTCAAAAAATAAATAAATAAATAAATAAGTAAAAAAATTAATTCTAATATTAGTTCCCTTTTTACTATACAAGTCTTTTTTTGCCTCAATTTTTCCATTTAAAACTGAAAGTATTTTGCACTTATCATCTATATCACCTACAAGTTGATGGATTTAATTATGGAAATTAAAGTTTTTTAAATTGCCATACGCCAATAGAAAGTACTAATATTTTATTCAAAATGTGGATGATAAATTTAATTATTATTTGGTAAGACAGCTGATGACAGGAAATATATGTTAGCATTCAAAGCCCCGTGGAAAATAAAATACCTTAGTAAACATCTACAATCACTGAGATCTGTTACTTGCTGTTCATATTAAGTATTATACATTATTAGGGGTCAAAAAGTCAGCAGCCCTTGCAAATCTACTCAATTCTTTTGTCCTTAAATCTCACCTGAAAAGTGCATATACCAGGGTAGCAATCAAAGCGAAACTGACCACAACTGCCACAAGTACTTGGTCGCTTACTCCTTCTATAACTGAATCATCATCCAGTTTCAAACTTTGAACTTCACCTTGATATTTGGCCATTCCAGGTCTAAAATAAGAAGAAACAAGATGAGAGTTACAAATGACACAGTGAAAATGAAATATACTAATAAAAGCAATGTAAATATAACTGACTTCTAATATATTTGGTTTCTGATAGGCTGCAATTAAGTACAACTCCAGTGGGGACTGATGGAGTTCTTTAAAATTTGCCAGACACATTATTTTGTGGAGAACAAAATTCTATTTCTATTTTTTTTGGATGGAGTCTCTTGCTCTGTTGCCAGGCTGGAGTGCAGTGATGCGGATCTCAGCTCACTGCAACGTCCGCCTCCCGGGTTCAAGCAATTCCCCTCCCTCAGCCTCCCAAGTAGCTGGGACTACAGGCGCGCACCACTACGCCTGGCTAATTTTTTGTATTTTAGTAGAGACAGGGTTTCACCGTGTTAGCCAGGATGGTCTTGATCTCCTGACCTCGTGATCCACCTGCCTCGGCCTCCCAAAGTGCCGGGATTACAGGCATGAGCCACTGCACCCAGCCAAATTCTATTTCTTTTAAGGAAAACAATTACTATAATTTATCATTTATTTATGTATTTTTTAAAAATGTTTTTTCCTCTTCAAGCTTAACCCCTTTAAAAAAAAAAAGCCATTCTTGGGCCAGATGCAGTGGCTCACGCCTGTAATCCCAGCATTATGGGAGGCTGAGGCAGGCGGATCACCTGAGGTCAGAAGTTCGAGACCAGCCTGGTCAACATGGTGAAACCCCGTCTCTACTAAAAATACAAAATTTAGCCGGGTGACGTGTGCCTGTAATGTCAGCTACTCTGGAGGCTAAGGCAGGAGAATCGCTTGAACCTGGGAGGCAGAGGTTGTAGTGAGGCCCAGAGAGCGCCACTGTACTCCAGCCTGGGAGACAGAGCAAGACCCTGTCCCCCGCCCCCCAACCTCCCCACCCCCCAACCAAAAACAATAAATAAATAAAAGCCATTCTTATCCAACTGCTCTCTTCTTATTCCTGAATACCAAATAAGTTCTCTAAATAGATCAGATCCCTTTTCCCCCTCACAGCATGTGTATATCTTGTGGCATTTCCCATGTATTGATAGGAAAGGAAATATATTATAGTTTTCTGTAAGCATTCTCATATTCTCTAGCATATGCCTTGTACACAATAGGACCTAATAGATATCTGTTTAAATAAAAGTGACTTACCATACTTACAGTGTTGTAATTTGAAAAGTAAAAGACATTTAGGCTATAGAACATTTATAGCTATACTAAAACTACTTGAAATAATGAAAATTCTGGTGCTTGAAAAACTATTTGTCCACCTGAAACTAAGCTCAGCTTATGGTTCAGAATTCTTTGAACTGCTTGGAATATAGAATCACTCTGATGCTGCATTTCCTTATGAAGAGAAAAGGGAGGATAAGAAACTTTCCTTCCTACACTCTAAACTAGAGAAAAATGGTAGTACCTAATTCTATAGGTATGAGGGGAGATAGCCCAGCCACACTGGAGTCCAAATATCACAGGTAATTCACATTTTTTTCAGACAAAACAGGAAGTGTCAAAGTCTTATAAGACACCTAAAGAGAAATTAAGGAATATATATTCAATTAAATATATATGAATAATTAAAATAAAGTTCTGCATTTATGTAACTTATTGAGCTGAAAAAAGTTTTATTCAATATCATCACTAATCAGGTATTTTGAGTATAGACGTCTTAATACCTTTGAAAATCATCTGAACTGGCTGCAAGAAAATTACCACTCATGGAAGAAACCTACGCAAACAGATGAAAGGCAGCTTTCATCAGCTTTACACGGACTAATCGCCTGATATATGGAACTTTTAATGACTGGTTTCAAGTAACTATTACGAAGGTGCACACCAGGAAACTCACAGAAACAGCTCTAATTGCAGTATTTTCATTCAAAAGAACAGTTAAATGAGCTGCCAACTGAACTGAAGAGCCTCAAATAAGCTAGGGGTGGGCCACGGAGTCAATTTAGGTTTTTATTTCATCAGGTTTCCTCTCTTAAAATTAGAGGTGCTGTAGCTGTTTCAAAAGTCCTAAGGGCACTGAGAACTACTTGCATCTGCTCAAAGATAACCCAAATGTTATCCCCTGTGTCAAGATTTCCAACCTCTAATTACCTCACAGAGCTGTGAAGGTTAAAACAAATGAACAGAGGTGAAAGTGCTTTGTAAGTTAAGTCTATCAACAAATGCATTGTAATTATTCCTACTCACATTTTCCTCTATGCTATACATTTAGGCCGTTTATTATTTTGTACTTAAAAAAATGCATTGCATTTGTTTCTATGTCCTTCAAGGTGCAATCAATGGTAATGCGAATAAATTATACTGTACAACATATATATAATATATATTATATATAAATATTTGACTACTATGTGATTATATTCTTTTTTTTTTTTGAGACTTTTTTTTTTCTTTTTTTGAGACGGAGTCTTGCTCTGTCGCCCAGGCTGGAGTGCAGCAACGCGATCTCGGCTCACTGCAAGCTCTGCCTCCCGGGTTCTCGTCATTCTCTTGCCTCAGTCTCCCGAGTAGCTGGGACTACAGGCGCCCCCCACCACACCCGGCTAATTTTTTCTGTTTTTAGTAGAGATGGGGTTTCACTGTGTTAGCCAGGATGGTCTTGATCTCCTGACCTCGTGATACACCCACTTCAGCCTCCCAAAGTGCTGGGATTACAGGTGTGAGCCACTGCACCCGGCCTGTGATTATACTCTTAAGATATTGCTTCATGTACATTTCCAAGAGCTCAGAGATCCAGGATATTTAAGTATTGCATGTCCATATTATTTTATTTGCATCATTTGACAGCAGATATTCTCAGCGGTGTTGAGAGGAAAAGGGAAGGGCACTGCATTTTCTTGTCCCATGGAAATCCCAACAAAAGCCAGGCTGTCAAATGGAGATCTACTAATGCCATTTGACCTGCTTGTTGGGGGCTTCGACAGCACAACTTCTGCCATAGTTTCTCATAAAATTGGAGTAAAAAAGCAACTGCAGGTGCTAGTGGCTCAAAAATGAGGTATTGTACCATCACTTCAGTTTGGAAAGAGGCTGGTCTGATTTATAACTCCAGAAGATAAACAGGAAACAAAATTTCCTACTTGGGGAGATGACATAATACCTCAGTCCTGAAAATGAATTCCAAAATCAAGGACTTCTGTTCTCCAACTTTTGTTGTTCACAGTCAGTGATTATCCAGAACTAAACAGTGCTGCTGATTCTGTCCAACCATACAGGCTCTAAACTGAAGCCCAAGCAGTTGTTGCTTGGACATGAGGAGCCCTGAATTTTAGTTCCAATTCTGTTACAACAACTGTGTAAAAGTAAATAAAATTCAAACGTTTTTAGAACCTCCAAAGCACCTTAAGCCTTGAAAGAGATATGACTATGATCTGGGTCACGTAACATGTTTACAATTCTGTTTCTTAGATTTTTAGCTTAACTCTTCCTCATTGTTCTTGTTCTATAAACAACTAAAAAAAGACTAAGTCTTTTTTTTAAAAGAGACCAGATCTCCTCCTTCTAATTGCTGATTTTTATTACAGATTAACTGCCTCCTTTATTGTCCTGTACCTAACTCAGACCAGATGGTGCCCCAAACAGGGGTCTCATGACAGTTACATTCTTTCTTCCCTAAAAAACGCACCTTGACTAATCAGATCATTATAACTGTACATTAAGCCTTACATTAAGATATTAAAATTCTGTTAAATGTCCCTAAATTTTGTCTATATAAACAATCCCAAATGTCTATACTGACGAGCACTGACTTCCATGCTTTTAAATCTGTCCTTTCCCAGGTGGCCTGTCCTCAACCTTTACACTTAAACTCTCTTTAAACTCGATTTTGACCTTTTAAATTATTTTAGGTTAACAACTGTGACTTTATTTCTTCACTTCCTTCTACTGCTAAATTTCTCTGATT
Organism: Homo sapiens; assembly: GCF_000001405.40. Lineage (NCBI taxonomy): Eukaryota > Metazoa > Chordata > Mammalia > Primates > Hominidae > Homo > Homo sapiens. The sequence continues at coordinate 42,891,802 of NC_000008.11, forward strand.
CAGAGTTTCGGAATAGAGAAAAAGCCACATCAAAGCTAACATTAGAGTGGTTATCAGTGAGAAGCTGGACTGGCAAAACCAGACCATCACCCTCCCTAGGACACAGTTTCACAGTTTCAATTCTTTCAAGTATGAATTACTTTAACAAGAAAAATAAAGCCAATACTTGCTTCCTCTCTCGATATGCAAACTGAGCTTCAATGCCCGGTCAATGCCCATTCTCATCTACCACCCAGTCGCTCAGTTTCCTGACGGTGCCTACTCCGGAGGCACCTACACTGACCTAAGTGGCATGACTGGCATGTCAACTGCTAAACACTCTCACTACACCACAAATTTCCTTCTTGAAAAACAGATATTGCTCAAATTAATGTTTATAAATTTTTAAAATTTATTTTTTGAGACAGGGTCTTGTTCTGTCACCCAGGCTGGAGTGCAGTGGTGCACCCTTGGCTCACTGCAGCCTCGACCTCCCAGGCTCAATCAGTCTTCCTGCTGTGACTACAGGTGTGCACCACTAAGCTCAGTTAAATGTTTTATTTTTTGTAGAGATGGGTTTCACCATCTTGCCCAAGCTGGTCTCCAACTCCTGGGGTCAAGGAATTTACCCACCTAGGCCTCCCAAAGTGCTAGGATTATAGGCGTGAGGTAGCACGCCCAGCCAAAAATTAATGTTTATTGGTGCCAAATATTTACAGAATCCACAAGTGACTACAGTTCAGTTTTAGAATATGTAGATACTGTGCTCAATTGCTTCACCCTCAAAATTTTATTATTATTAATCACAGAATGTTAAGCACTTAGTTCCAAGCATATAAAGTAATATCTTACTGGATTTATTTTTTCATGTTATTTGGAGGCTCTGTTGCAGCGTTTTTTTTTTTTTTTTTAAACCCTAGATTCAGGCCAGTGCTGTGATTCACGCCTGTAATCACAGCATTTTGGGATGCCAAGGTGGGTGGATCACTTGAAGCCAGGAGTTTGAGACCAGCCTGGCCAACATGGTGAAACGCCATCTTTACTAAAAATACAAAAATTAGCCAGACGTGGTGGCACACGCCTGTGATCCCAGCTACTCGGGAGGCTGAGGCATGAGAATTGCTTGAACCTGGGGGGCAGAGGTTGCAGTGAGCCAAGATCGCACCACTGCACTCCAGCCTCGGTGACAGAACAAGACCTTGTCTCAAAAAACTGCCCAGATTTGATCATTACACATTGTACATATTTGTATAAAAATACCACAGGTACCCCATAAATATGTACAACTATTATACATCTATAAAAATTAAAAATACATTTTTAAAGAATGAATTCCTTTCAGTCAGGAATCATATCTTATTACTGTTAGTAGTGCGCAGGGTCTTACATGTTGTAGTGGCCACTAAAGGTTGTTTACATTAAACCCAAAAACAAGGTTATTAAATGTATAGAACATGGGATGTAATCTATTTCATGGTATCCTGTAAAATATGAAAAGAAGAGTTACTAATACTCGGTTTTGAACTGTTTAAGATTCACAAAAACTGAACCCCATCCATCTTGGAAACTGTGCAGTGTAACTGATAGAAGTTTGCAGAGAAACTGGCTTTGCTATTGCTCAGCTGGCTACATCTTATTGAGCAGTATCTTCAGACAGCAAACAAGCACAAGTTCCAGAGTCAGACAGCCCTGGACTTACATAAAGTTTCAGTCTCAGCTTCCTCATACGTAAAAGGCATTAGGTTGAACCATATCAAACTGCCACTCTTTTTTGGGGCGGGTGTGGCAGGGGAAGTGCTTTGCCTTGTGAAGTTTATAATGAGATAATGAAGGTAAGGCATTTAGCATACTGCTTGGCACATCATATAGGCTCTCAGTAAATGGAAGCTACAGTGTTTGGTTAATATTATTAACAACCGCCAAGGAATCATGATAAAACTAGCCATGTTTTGATATGATAAAAACTAGCCATGCCTGCCCCAGAGCTGCTCCACATAGCATCTCAAACTCTCTTTAATCACAGCTCTAAGTATGTGTTCCCTGGGAAGACAGGATGCAATCTGGAGCACTGTCACACAGGACATGCCCTCTTTAATCTGATAAGCAGCTGTGGGTGAGAACTAGCCTCCAACTAACCGGAGTAACCAGACAGCTAAGACAAGTTCAACTCACCTCTCCTCAGGCATTTCCAAAGCTTTCAGGGAAGGAAAAAAAATAAAACACACAGAGAAAATAGAAAAATAGGAAATTCCGGGACTTCCTGGAACAAAGGAGAGAATCTCAGTGTCTTTTTACCCCAAGGCTTACGTAGAAACTCAGCAGCCACATGGCTTCTGCAATTACTCACATCCAAAAAGTTTTTACTAATTTCTTTCATCAAAGGTAACTGGAATTACAAAATGAAACCTCCAGAACAACGTAACATCATGCACAAAAGCACTGTGGATATGCAGCCAAGCTTGAAAAAGGAGACTTTAGGTCCATTGTGTCAAAGCCTTGAAAACCGGGGCCACTGGAGGAAGGGTGCTCAGGACGGCACAACCACAGTCGCTCCAGTAGGGCCAGCATCTTATCTGCCCATCTAAAGACAAGCTGCATGTGAGTCAGGAGTAAGTCAATGTGACATATACTCACTGACTTCATTCACTTGCCTACAAGATTATACGTCACTTAAAAGTGCTAGAGATTCGACAGAAATAACCTGATAAGGAATGTAGGAACTCTAGTTTGACAAATATCCAGAGGCACCAACACAGGAACCAAACACAGGCGAGACACACATGTGTAATTTTTTTTTTCTTTTGAGACAGATTCTCGTTCTGTCGTCAGGATGGAGTGCAGTGGCGCGATCTCGGCTCACTGCAACCTCAGCCTCCCGCGTTCAAGCGATTCTCCTGCCTCAGCCTCCCGAGTAGCTGGGACTACAGGAGCCCGCCACCACGCCCGGCTAATTTTTGTATTTTTAGTAGAGACGGGGTTTCACCATGTTGGCCAGGATCTCTTGACATCGTGATCCGCTCGCCTCGGCCTCCCAAAGTGCTGGGATTACAGGCGCGAGACACCGCGCCTGGCCACGTATGTGTAATTTCTAAAGGTTTCTCTGCCCTTGGTGTAGGGAAGAATGTTTGAAAAAAAGACCATTGAGAATACTTCAGGTAAGTTTTTTTTTTTTTACACTTACAAAATGCTAAATGATCAGGGGTCAACTATCAAGTGGTACTCTGTAAGGCAACCTTAAAAACTCACTGCTGACCCAGGCTCGGTGGCTCACACTTTTGATCCCAGCACTTTTGGGAGGCTAAGGCGGGCGGATCACTTGAGCCCAGGAATTTGAGACCAGCCTGGGCAACATAGCGAGACCCCCTCTCTACAAAAAATAAGAAAATTAGCTGAGCATCGTGGCCTGCACCTGTGGTTCCAGCTACTTGGGAGGCTGAGGTAGGAGGATCACTTGAGCCCAGGAGGCAGAGGTTGCAGTGAACCAAGATTGCGCCACTGCACTCCAGAACGAGACCCTTTCTCAAAAACCACCATCAACAACAACAAAAAACCCCACTCAATGCTGTCTTGGCAGTTTTCAGTGCTCAATGAGAAAACCTACTCTTAATGGAAAAAAAGTGGGGGAAAGGGGTTCCAGGAACTACAAAGCAAAGTGTGTCTTGGGAAGTTAGCTTTGTTGCACTCCAAATAAAAATTTGGCATTGGGTGGTAGTTATGCATACTCTACGCATCGACAATTCTCTAAGGACTCCAAAGTGCATGTCCTGGAAATTCCAACATATTTGCACTACGTTCCAGGTACACTAGAATGTTTATAGCCATGTTCTGAGTGGCCTCAGTCTGAACAAAATGCCCAACCAGAGTAGAATGGATTCACTGTTCTATTCACACTGGAATACTAGGCAACAATTAAAATTACCTATACATACACAGTACACCAATTTAATACTGATTGAAAACCACAAAACAACACACTGTGATCCACCCGCAAAAGTTCAAAAACAGGCAAAGGAAAACGACATCGCATGCACACATAGATGGTAAAGCTGTAAGGAAATGATCACACTAGTCAGGCTAGGAGACAATCAGGCTCCGAAAGGAGCACAGGGCATGGGTGAGAAACTCCTGGGGTGCCGGTAATGCCCTTTTCGTTTTTATCTGGGTGTTTTATTAATTCTTCTTTAAACGTGTATGTCGTATGCACTTTTCTGCGTATGCTATATCTGTTAAAAATTTATCGGCAGCCCAGCAGACAGATTCGTGCCTCTAAAGAGGTGGAAGCTCCAGAACGATCCGCCTCGCCATTAAGCGAAGGCAACTCCGAACGCTGAGAAACGCAGGCCCGGGGTCGGCCGGTGTCCTTACGGATTGGCGAGCGGGCGCACACCCCTCCTGCATTAAGGAGAGTTCTCAGGGTCACGCTCCGAGCGACCCTAGAGGGAGCGGCGGTGTCCTCGCCGCCGCCAAACCCACCTAGAGCCGCTCTCCGCGTCGGCCCCTCCACCGTCGCCGGCGACTCCGGACAGCCGCGGGGCGATTCTGGGGCTTCCAGACGAGGGAGGGGCCCGGGGGGAAGGAGGCGGCGACTCCCGCCGCCCCGCAGAGCCTCGGCGGCCAGAGCTACCCCAAGAAGGCCAGACCCCGCCGTCCGCGGCTCCGCGGGCCCCGATAGGGTGGGCGTGGCCGCCGCGCGCCGGACGTACCTCTCCACCGCGAAGGAACTACCTCGCCAGTTCCCGGCGACAGAGGACAGATTATTTCCAGGACCGCTCCCGCCACCCCTCCCGGGCAACCCACTAGACGTCCCCTTTCTAATTTGGAGTGCGGGTGCGGGCGCACGCGCACTGCCGAGCTTCCGCGAGGGCGCGACCGGACGGCGGAGGAGGACCCGTCGCCGCAGCCTCCAGGGCGGAGCGCGTGCTCGCCTCGACACGCAGCGAACTGGTGGCGGGGGCGCGCCCGGCGGCAGCGGCGGCGGCGGCGGCGGCGGCGGCGGCGCGGCGGCGCGGGTCGGCCGGGGCGCGAGCGTGCGCAGTGGCTCCTCGGCCTCGGCTCCAGCCAGGGCGGCGGCGCTGGGGAGGAGCGGTGTGGGCGGCCGGGGGCGGGGACGCGGGGCGGCGGGCGTGTCCGAAGTCGCGCGCGGCTGGCGCGCGGTCCCGAGTGAAAGGAGAAGGAGGGGCGCTGGGGGTGACGGTGCGGAGCCGCTGCCAGCGCTGGGCGAGAGTCGGCGGCCGGATCCGAGGAGCAGGCGGGCCTGAGGCCGAGTCAGCTGCGCGGGCCCCCGGATCCCCCGACAGAGCGGCGGCGGTGTCTGGCCAGGCGGTAGGCGCTGCCTGGCCGCGGCGGGGAAGATGTTCAGCGTAGAGTCGCTGGAGCGGGCGGAGCTGTGCGAGAGCCTCCTCACTTGGGTACGTGGGGGCCGCGGGCCGGCGGGAAGACCCCCTCCCCCCGCCACCTACCGGGACCCTCCACGCGCGGCCCGTGGGGCGAGCGCTGCGGGCGACGGTGCCGTCACATCCGGGGCCTGGGGCGGGCGGGGCGAGGAGGCTCGGCCCAGGGTCCGAGAGAGACTTGCCGGGCCTGAGGCGTCGCTGTTCCGGGCGGACCCCGGCCGGGGCTGGGCTGGGAACGCGGCGGGCGACTCTGGGATCCGTGCGGCTGCTCGCAGCTGGGGCTGCGCTGCGCTCTGGGGGTGGCCGAGCCTGACTGCCCCGCGTCCAGGACCCGCCGCCGCTCCTCGCCTTTGTTGCCGCGTTCGCGGAGGACGGGCCCGGCTCCGGCCCGGGAACTGAAAGGACCTGTGAGGGAGCGTGGGGAGAATGCGGGAGGCGCCCGGGGACCCCGTTTCGGATGCAAGGCACCGCTGGCGGTGGGAGTGCGCGAGGGGCGGACGCCTGTCAGAGGCGTCGGGCAGACGTTTAAAGGAGTCTGGAGGTGTCTGGGCGTCAACAATGGAACTCGAAGGCCTTGGGGGACAGAGTCGTGGGATTCTGATTTTGAATTCTTAAACGGTTTTAGATTCCTCATACTTTGAAGTAAATACATGTTCACCTCTCACGTCAGCTGCCGCGCCTTCCTGAAGCCGGGTCTTCAGGACGCGGCAGGGGAACCGACGCCCGGGTTCCAGTCGTTCTCGCCGCGGCGCGGCCGGGGAGGGGGAGGGATGCGCAGAGCCCGGGCGGACCCCGCGCTGCCTTCGGGAGCCTCCGTTTCACTCATTGCTGAGAATGTTAATTAAATGTTTACGGATGTGTTTATGAAGGCTACTACAGCATTTGTATTACTTTTAAAGGTAAAACACGAATGTGAGAGAAATTCTCTTTAGCGGTGTCTTGGGTTACGAGTCAGGATCCCTGGAGTGTAGACGTCACGATCCTGTGCAAGGCACTTTGCTGGAAAGGCTGGAGAAGTATTGCCTTACGTTGGTTGTTAAAAAAATTAATAAAAATAGTCTGAGGTTTTTATAGTTTGGCTACGTCACGAATCAATTTCTGTCCTCTGAAACAGACTTGGTAGAGCTTGAGTAGCCAGTTGCATATCAGACCATTTAGGGGATTTCAGATCGTTAGCAGTAGTATGTAGTTAGCGTGCAGCTTACCCTTCTGATGAGTTCTCCCTCCAGGCAAGGAGATGGCTTTCACTGCTGTATTTCAGAAAAGAGGAAGACTGGTAAGTTGTATAATGTGGCTGAGGTTTCTGACTAGGCAGGGGAGAGAGAGAGAGGAAAGAATTACTAAATTCTTTGATGTTGTGGAAGGAATAGATTTGGCAGAATCTGTACATCTGTAAACAGAATGCTGAGGAACTTAAGATTTAAGTTTTTGAGACTGTGCAAGTAGTGCTTCCCTTTATGCTAGAAGAAGCAGCCAGAAGGCAAAGATGAAGCTAATTGAATCTAAGTAGGGCTACATTGTTTAAAATCTAGGGAGAAAGAAGACATGGAAATAAAGAGGTGTACAGAGGCTCCTTAACTTGCGATGGGGTTACATCCCGGTAAACCCATCATAAGTTGAAAATACCGTAAGTTGAAAATGCATTTCATACGCCTAACCGTCCAAACGGTAGCTTAGCTTGGTCTACCTTAAACGTGCTCAGAACACTTACCTTAGCCTACAATTGGGCAAAATCATCTACCACAAAACGTGTTTTATAATAAATTGTTGAATATCTAATGCAATTTATTGAACACTGTACTGAAAATGAAAAATATAATGGTTGTATGGGCACTCAGAGTATGGTTTCTACTGAATGTGTATCTTGCATCATTGTAAAGTTGAAAAGTCTTAAGTTAAACCATCCTAAGTTGGGGACCGTCTGTATTTGAAGGGTATCCACAAAATATGGTAGGTAGTAATTGCATTTATTTAAGTGAGAAATGCTGATAAAAATATACAGGAGAAATCTTAGAAGTTTGAAGGCCTGCTGACAGAACCTGACAACATGAGAGAATCTATTTAGAATCTCCTAAAATGTCAAGAAAACGAGTAATCCACATTATCAGCTGTAGAGAGGTCAGGGAGTATAGTATTGTAGAATAGGCTTTTTGAAATGTCACTGGAAACTCATCAATGAGAATTTCTGGATAAGATTAGAGATTATCAGTGACAAAATTGGAGGGCAGTGTTCATGAAGATGTACAGTTCTAAAATTTGGAAACACTTTAAAAGACATGTTTCAAAATAGAGTTTAAATGCTGGGTTTGTTCTCTTTTAGCTGTCATTATAAAAAGCAGAATAAATGTTTCAATGAGCAATGTTTGATGACATTTAAATGTATAATATCACCCCTCCTATCTGTAAGCCAGATTAATGCTAAGCACAATTCTAAAACCAAATGCAAGCAAAAATGTACACATACACTCCAAAGAAAAGACTCATTTAGATTAGTTTTCTTGATTTTATGTCAGCTTCTAGTCAGTTTGGTTGTGTGGGGGGTTTTGCTCTCACACAGTAAGCTAGAAGGTGACTGACACTCAGCAAAATGCAGACAACTGTCAGTGACAGACAAGATCTAAGAGCTGAATGATTCCGTCTTTGGGATGACAGCCTTATGTACTTCTAGAGCCTCCCTGTTCAAGTTTTGAAGATCATAATTATATTCCTGAGTATCAGATAAAAGTTTGTTTTCACTACATAGCATTTAGTTTGAGATTGGAGAGATGTATATAGTACATTTTAGAAATTATTCCACTAGAAATGGCTAAAGTAATAAAAGCTCAAGTACTTAAAGGGATGATTCTGTCACCTATACAGAACTCAATGGAACGTCTCATTGCCTCATATGCTAGATAAATTGCCCTTTTATCAGACAGCCTACTAGCCCAAGAACCATATGTTCCAAATTTTTTCGAAAGAGAGAGTTACAAAAAGAGTTAAGTATCATCTTACCAAGGGGAAACATCTTAAGCTTAAATTCCAAATCAAAGTTTATGCAAACAAGTTCAGCAGGACATGCTTGAAAATTTCCACTGTGCCTCCTCTCTCCACCCTCTGAGTCAAAATTTGCCCTGCCAATTACACCTGTGAAGCCTAATTTCTTGAACTGTATGTGAATCTCGATGAAAAGATAGCACTTTTCCAGGTTTTAGAGACTGAAAAACGAAGTCTACAATGCTACCAAGTTATGACAAAAAAAGTCATCACATAGGCTCGGTACACTTTGGGATAACCTAGCAACATTAATATGTCCTTATTGTTTTCATATTACTTATTTGGCAGCCTATAAAATGCATACTAGTATATAGAATTGGGGGTGGTATAATTATTATGGTGGTATCTCCCCCATTCCATTCTCCTCTGCCTAACTCGATTCTGCCAACAATTTTTGTCCTCTAATGGAAGAATAAGTCACTGATGTACAAAAGTTAAAGTACTTAAAAAGATAGTATAGCATAAGAGTACATACAGGTTCTGACATTAGGCAGCCTGGGTTCAAATCCTAGTTTTGTTCTATACTAACTGATGTGACTTTGTAACTTCACCTCTGTGTTTTGATTGCATTGATATTTAACTTTATGTTTGCTAACTTCACCAGAGATTCTCATGCTTTAGTGTTGATCTGCATCATCTGGAGAGCTTGCTAAAACACAGATGCCCAGAGTTGCTAGTTCTGTAGGTCTGGGCTGGGCCTGAGATTTTGTATTTCTAATAGGTTCCCAGGTGATGCCATTGTTGGTGACATAGGGACCACATTTTGAGGACCATGGCTCTAGAAAATTATTTGACATTTTGCGCTGGACAGTTCTTTGCTGTGTGGGCACTGCACTATGCGCTATGTTTAATAGTAGCATCCCATTGCCTCAACCAGCTAGATGACAATAGCACCCAACTCACAGCCAAAAATGTCTCCTCGGGAGCAAAATTATCCATTGCTCTAGAGATAGTAATTCCAGGTGATCTCATGCTTTACTCTTCTCATGCTTTTGTTGGGGAGGGGGAGGTAGAGGTTGGGTGGTGGTAATAGAGCTTCTTGGAATTAAAAGAAAGATTATAACCCTTCAGGTAGAGTTTCATGCCTTAATGCAGTTAAGTGCAATTGTCTTTCAGTTTTATTGTACTGCTATCCTGAAATAGATGTTAGCTCAGAGAACTGGTATGTGACAGATTTTTAAAAATTAAGGTACGGTTTACATACCCATAAAATTCATCCTTTTAAAGTGTATAATTTTTTTGGTTTTTAGTATGATCACAAGATTGTGCAGTCATCATGACTATCTAGTTCCAAGAACATTTTCATCACCCCAAAAATAAACTAGGGGATAAATTTTCTTTAGGATCTGTTTCACTTTGGTCTTGCAGCAGAGGTGGACATCTCTGACCCTTATGAGCAACTATGTACCTCAAGGGCTAATACAGAGAAAATAATTGAATAAAGCCATGTTTTAAAAACAAAAATGAAAATTTAGCTTCCCTAAATCCCAAGAGAAAAAAACAAATCAAGTCTTTTTTTGGAGGTGGAGTCTTGCTCTGTTGCCCAGGCTGGAGTGCAGTGGCACAATCTCGGCTCACTGCAACCTCCACCTCCTGGGTTCAAGCAATTCTGCCTCAGCCTCCCTAGTAGCTGGGATTACAGGCACGCACCACCACGCCCGGCTAATTTTTGTATTTTTTAGTAGAGACGGGGTTTCACTATGTTGGTCAGGCTGGTCTTGAACTCCTGACCTCAAGATCCACCCGCCTCGGCTTCCAAATGTTCTGGGATTACAGGCGTGAGCCACCGTGCCAGGCCCAGATCAAGTCTTAACAACTAAGTTACTTGCTTTTTTGAATTACCTGCTTTGTTGAGTTGCTTCTTCTGATTGGCCAGAGGCTGTTTTCCAATCTTGCATCCCTTCCCTTTCATAGTGCTTTGGATCATAGGATTCCAAATGCCAAACCAGTGCCCAGCTGTGTAAGAATTATTTGATGAACTTGTTAAAAATAGATCCCCAGCTTCCTACACACAGATTCTGATTCAGTAGGGGGAGCCAAGAAATGTGTATTCTCTCTCTCTCTCTCTTTTTTTTTTTTTAAGACAGGGTCTCACTCTGTTGCCCAGGCTGGAGTGCCGTGGAGCAGTCACAGCTCACTGCAGTCCCGACCCCCCAGGCTCAAGTGATCCTCCCACCTCCGCCTCCTGAATAGCTGGGACTACAGGCGTGACCCACCATACCCAGCTAATTTTTGTATTTTTTGTAGAGACAGAATTTTGCCATGTTTTTCAGCATGGTCTCGAATTCCTGGGCTCAAGTGATCCTCCAGCTTTGACCTCCCATAGTGCTGAGGTAACAGGTATAAGCCACCACGCCCTGCCAAAATGTGTATTTTCAAACCCCCCCAGATGATTCCCCTACACACCAGGTTTGGGACCATTGCTTTAGACTTTGCAAAATACCTCATGGGCATTCATTTTCTCATTCATTCTGAAGCAACACACCCTTCTATAGGCTATTTTTCCCCAATCTTTCTTTATATGGAAAAACTGATATTGAGAGAGATGAAACATCCTGTCTAAATTTACAGGGCAAAACTAGGGATTAGAATTAGCTCCTTTCATTCAAAGTGGCGTCCACTGAGGGCTTGTTCGTATCAGGCATTGTGCTGAGGTCAGTGATAAAGAGAAGAATGAGACATAGTCCTCACTGCTGCCTCTATTTTTCCTTCTAAACAAACCTACAAGAAAGATTGGGTTTTCTTTTTTGAAAATGGGCCATTGACTTGGCAACTGTAGAATGGAAGCAAGTGCTTATTTCTTTTAAGTGCTTATTTCTTTTACTAATGAGCAGGCAGCTGGAGATAGTATGGAGTAAAATTCAAAATCAGTTCCCGCAGATGGTGTTTATTTGTTTCATGTATTCATTTACTAATCATTTATTGCACCTCTACCAGGTGTTTGGTTTGTGTCAGGGCAGCTTGGAAGGATCCTCTTATCAGCTTTCCCAAATAGACACTTAAGTAAAAACTTGCTATGAGGATCTTTAAGATAATTCCCTGGGCCTCTACCACCATAACCGTCTCTACCTGCAAAACTCTCCTGTATTATATACAAAGAAGCTACTGACTGTACTGTTAATAGTTGTCTTTTTTTTTTTTTTTTTTTTTTTTGAGACGGAGTCTCGCTCTGTGGCCCAGGTTGGAGTGCAGTGGCGCGATCTCGGCTCACTGCAAGCTCCACCTCCCGAGTTCCCACCATTCTCCTGCTTCAGCCTCCCGAGTAGCTGGGACTACAGGCGCCCGCCACAGCGCCCGACTAATTTTTTGTATTTTTAGTAGAGACGGGGTTTCACCGTGTTGGCCAGGATGGTCTCATCTCCTGACCTCGTGATCCACTCTCTTCGGCCTCCCAAAGTGCTGGGATTACAGACATGAGCCACCGTGCCCGGCCAATAGTTGTCTTTTAAAGATTTGATAAATGAGGTCGGGCGTGGTGGCTCAAACGCCTGTAATCCCAGCACTTTGGGAGGCTAAGGCGGGCGGATGACGAGGTCAGAGATGAGGACATCCTGGCCAACACGGTGAAACCCTGTCTCTACTTAAAATACAAAAAAGTTAGCCGGGCATGGTAGCGGGCGCCTGTATTCCCAGCTACTCGGGGGGCTGAGGCAGGAGAATGGCGTGAACCCGGGAGGCGGAGCTTGCAGTGAGCCGATATCGCGCCACTGCACTCCAGCCTGGGCGACAGAGTGAGACTCCGTCTGAAAAACAAAACAAAACAAAAAGATTTGATAAATGATACGGTGCGGAGAAGTAGCCACTCACCCACCGTTAGTAAGAGAATAAATTGCTACAGTATATATTTAGGGCAGTTTGACAGTTTTATCAAAAACCGTAAAATGTTCATACACTTTTTGACCTAGCAGTTTTACTTCTTTTCTAACCCAATAAATAAAAATTTGTGTGAAGACATATGGTCACCTGAGTGTTATTCCCAGTATTCTCATTGTCTGTACTGAGTTTAGCTTCATCCGTGTTAGTATATAAACCTACTCAAATGGGTCTTCCTGTCTCTTTCCCTCCACTCCTTCCTTCATACTGCAGCCGGTATGATCTTTTTTTTTTTTTTTTTTTTTGAGACGGAGTCTCGCTCTGTCGCCCAGGCTGGAGTGCAGTGGCATGATCTTGGCTCACTGCAACCTCCGCCTCCCGGGTTCAAGCGATTCTCCTGCATCAGCCTCCAGTGTAGCTTGGACTACAGGTGTGTGCCATCAGGCCTGGTTAATTTTTTGTATTTTTAGTGAAGAGACAGGATTTCACTGTGTTAGTCAGGATGGTTCTGATCTCCAGACCTCGTGATCCATCCGACTCCGCCTCCCAAAGTGCTGGGATTACAGGCATGAGCCACCGCCCCCGGCCAGATCTTATATTAATACAATGCAAACCTCATGGCTCACTCCCCTGGTTCAAATCCTTTGCTTACTTTATTCATAGAATAAGGTCCTAATGTGGCTTCTAAGGTTTTACATGTTAATTCTTCAGTTTTTTGCCCTGTCTTTCACCGTTTTAATTCTCCCCTGTTCTGTTTCTTCCTCCAATTCTTACCCCTACTCGATCTGTACCAAGCTGCTCTTCATACCTAAATTGCATCCCACTCTCACTTCTCATCTTTATGCCTGCTGTTGACACTTCTATTATACTGTTTCATTTTTCCTAGTTGTAAGTTCTATGAGAGGATGGCCTGTGTCTGTCTGTTCTCAGGGATTGATTTCCGTCTAAATCCTGAGTACACTACTGGGTAGCTGGCTCAGCTACATTTTCTTACTTTGAGAGAGAATTTATACTATTAGGGAAAGTACATTTCTTGGCTACATCATGTTGATTAGTACAAAGTTTCAGAATATATTTGAAATCAAAATGAAGTGAATATCTAACCTAACCATTCTAAGTGTGACTTCTACATCTGTGTAAAGATATTTGGCCTCCGAGTAACAGAAACTGCAACCTCACCAGATGTAAAGAATAAATGAATTCATCTCACATACCGGGAGGCATCAAGATTTTTAAATTCAGTAGTTCAGTTTTTACCTTTAGGACATAGTTCTTTTTTTTTTTTTTTCCTGTTTCTTTTTTTGGGGGGGGGGGTGCCGTGGTGGAGGGGATATAGTTCTTTCTAGCTCTTCTCTCTGCCTTTCACTGCATTGGCCTAATCTTAAGATGATTGCCTTTGTAGTCATGAGATGACGGCTCACAGTAATGGAGGCAGCATACTTAAATCAACAGGAGATTGGCTTTTCTTTCCCAGAAGCATCTCCTTATCTCTCTTTAGTCCAAATTGTCTTTTCCCTGTGTGTCCCTGAGTCAGTCACTGGTAGAGGGGATGAACGTGCCGTGATTTTCATAGATTGATCTTGTGTGAGTAGAATGGATGCTGGGAAGCCACCCAGTATCCACCACGATTTCTCTTTTACCAGTGGGGAAGAATTACAGTAATACTTGGCAGGACATTTCCCTTAAAGGCAAAAGTTTCCAATTAGACTTCTTTTTAAAATTTATTCCAATCCCTAAGATGAGATAATCACCAAAAAAAAAAAAAAGCCTAAGAAATTTTCAGCCAGGTGCGGTGGCTCACACCTGTAATCCCAGCACTTCAGGAGGCCGAGGCGGGCAGATCACCTGAGGTCAGGGGTACAAGACCAGCCTGGCCAACATAGTGAAACCCTGTATCTACTAAAGATACAGAAAATTAGCAGGGCGTGGTAGTGCGTTCCTGTAATCCCAGCTACTTGGGAGGCTGAGGCAGGAGAATCACTTGAACCTGGGAGGTGGAGGTTGCAGTGAGCCAAGATGGGGCCATTGCACTCCAGCCTGGGTGACAGGGCTAGACTCCGTCTCCAAAAAAAAAAAAAAAAAAGGCCTAAGAAATTTTCTACAGAGGTAACCACAGAATCTCTCCCCCCCCCCTCTTTTTTTCCCTTCAGATCCAGACATTTAATGTGGATGCACCATGCCAGACCGTGGAAGATTTAACGAATGGGGTTGTGATGGCCCAGGTTCTTCAAAAGATGTAAGAATAAATTGCTTATCTTTATGTGTATTCTTATGCATGGATATTTGTTAGGTTGAAAACATGGATTAAAAAAGTACTTACATGAAACGTGTGTAGAGTAAGAGTTGTAGGCGGCAGCAGCACTAGTTTTAATGGAATGTACTTATTAGGTATAGATTGGGTTGCAAGTTTAATAAGGGCTGTGATTGTGTTAGTACTCTAATGGTTTTAGCAGAATTATTCTTGTATTTTTTGGCATATGCTTGGCAGAAATTTTCTTGTTAGTGGCCAGATTTTGCTGTTACAGGGGTATCTAAGATGCTTACTCCATTTTTCTTTAGGATTTTGCTGAAATATCATCTCATCAGTGGCACCTGCCCTGAGTACCCATATAAAATAGCAACGACAATTCCCTTATACTTTCTATCCCACTTAAGCTTTTGTGTTCTTCTTTCAAGTTTGTGACACCATCTGATATACCATATATTTGGTTGTTCATTCATCTGCCCCAACATCCCCAAACACATATACACAGAATGTAAACTCCACATGGAGCCAGGGAATTTGTTTTCACTGTTGTATCCAAGCAACAGGCGAATGCGTGGTTTTATGTTGAACCATATGAAATTGCTCTTCCTTATAGGTCAAAATGATCAAAATCAGCAGTTCCTCCTAGTTTAATATGCATTGTGGGTGTTTATGTTTGTTGAGTGACTAAAGGAAGGAGTATTTGGGATAAATAAAGCATACCCAATTCTTCTGAGTACTTTGAAAACATAATAGTTATGAAATTGATATTATATGACTATCAGCTTTTGACCTAGGAATTTTTTAAAATAAAGGATTATGTGTGAATTTAAGAAGTCATGGAGGGTTTGTTGTAATTTGCAGATACTTTTATATTTTGAAGCCCTGAACACTTGTCAGCCTGATGATTTTAAAAGATTTACATGTCACTAGCTGGGTTGCCCTGCATTTCTGTTGAAAATCAGTGTCATTATTAAATGAATTATTGGTTTTCTTTGCAATTAGCTACATAGAGTTGCCATAGAGCTCAGATGCCAACATTTCAGATTATCTGTCTCTTTGCCTTTAGAACTGGGGACTCGTGTTTGAACATTACAGCTTGTTTTTACTTTCTTCTATAACTTAAAATGCATGGTACATTTTTCCAGATATATAGGCACACAGATTTTTTAATGAAGCTCAAGAAGGCTCATTGGGAACCTGGCCTGCCCTGGTTTGAGCACTCTGAGAAGAGTCATCTTGTCATTTTCATGGTCCCCTCTGAGTGGTGCCCTAATTTTAGCTTTCCCATTGTCTAGAACGTTTCACTCTAGAAGTTCTTAATAAAAATTGTTTGAGACTGTGGGCCTAGCTAAGTGAACTTTACAGGTGTAGTTCAATACATGATTTTTTTGCCTAAGCTAGTTTGAGTAGGATCTTTATCACTTAGAGAAACCAGAAGAAAGAAAGTATATATATATATTGTTTCATCAAAACAAGATTTCAGGAACCAGACAAGGATGTCGACTCTGCCAGTTCTGTTCAACAGTCTTTACCGGAGCAACGAGGCAAAAAAAAAAAAAAAAAAAAAAACAGTAAAAGGTGTCTAAATAGGAAAGGAAGATGTGAAATTATCACTGTTACCTGACAATGTGACGTTACATACAAAAAGCCACAAAGACTCCAGAAAAAAACTATTAGACCTGGTAAATGAATACAGTAAAGTTGCAGGATACAAAATCAACCTACAAAAAATCAGTAGTGTTTCTAAGTACTAACAACAAACTATCTGAAAAAGAAATCAAGAAAACAATACCATTTATAATAGCTACCAAGTAAAATAAAATACGTAGGAATACATTTAACCAACAAGGTGAAAGAGCCATACATTGAAAACTGTAAAACATTGATGAAAGAAGTTGAAGTCTGCAATAAAGGAAAGATACTCTGTATTCATAGATTAGAAGAAGAATTGTTAAAATGCCCATACTACTGAAAGTGATTTGCAGATTCAATGCATTCCCTATAAAAACTCCAATAACCTTTTTCACAGAAATAAGAAACAAACCTAAAATTCATATGAAATGACAAAAGACCCCAAATAACCAAAGCAATCATGAGAAAAAGAACAAAGCTGGAGAAATCTCACTACCCGATTTTAAACTCTGTTGCAAAGCTGTGGTAATTAAAACACAGTGCTGGCATAAAAATAGACACAATGACCAGTGGAACAGTATAGAAATTCCAGAAAGGAACCCATACATCTATAGTCAGTTGATTTTCCACAAAGGTGCCACAAACACCCAATGAGAAAAGGACAAGTCTCTTCAGTAAAGGGTGTTGGGAAAAGTGGATATCTACATGCAGAAGAATAAAGTTAGACCCTTATCTCACGCCACATGCAAAAATCAATTCAGAATGGATTAAAGACTTTTAAACATACCTACTGAATTTGAAAAACTACTGTAAGGAAACATAGGGGGAGAGCTTCTTGTTATTGGTCTGGGGGATGATTTTTTGAATTTGACCCCAAAACAGGCAACAAAAGCAAAAACAGACAAATGGGATTACATCAAACTGAAAACTTTTGCATGACAAAGGAAACAAGCAACAGAGTAAAGAGACAAACTACAGATTGGGAGAAAATATTTGCAAGCCATACATCTAATAAGAGGTTACTATCCAGTCTGTATAAGAAACTTAAGCACCTGAATATCAAGAGAACAGATAACTGAATTTAAAAAAGCATGAAGGACTTGAATAAACATTTTCAAAAGAAGATATACAGATGGTTAACAGGCATATGAAAAAATGCTCATCACTGATCACCAGGGAAATATAAATTAAAACCGCAATGAGGTGTCACCTCACACCTATCAGAATGGCTGTTATCAAAAAGATGAAAGATACGTGTTGGTGAAGATGTGGAGCAGAGGGAACCCTTGTACACTGTTTTTGGGAATGTAAATTAGTACAGCCATTATGGAAAACTGTACAAAAAGCTAAAAATAGAATTACCATATGATCCAGCAATCCCACTTTTGTGTATATAGCCAAAGGATTTGAAACTGGTATGTTGAGGAGATACCTGCACTTCCACATTTCTTGCAGCATTATTCAAGGTACCCAATTTATGGAAGCAACATAAGTGCCTATTAGCGAATGGATCGATGAGAAAGATGTGGTGTATATGTACACAATGAAATACTGTTCAGCCTTTATTAATTGATTGATCGAGACAGGGTCTCACTCTGTCACTCAGGCTGGAGTGCAGTGGATTGACCAGGGCTCACTGCAGCCTCAAACTCCCAGGCTCAGATGATCCTCCCACCATAGTCTCCCTTGTAGCTTCTGGGAGCACAGGCACGCACACACCCAGCCTTTTTTGTTGTTGTTGTTGTAGAGATGGGGTCTCACTGTGTGGCCCAGGCTGGTCTTGAACTCCTGGGCTCAAGCAATCCTCCTGCCTTGGCCTGACAAAGTGCTGAGATTAAAGGCGTAAAACAACATGCCCATGTCCCCAAAGAAGGAAATTCTGTCATTTTCAACAACGTGGACAAACCTGAAGGACATTGTGCTAAGTAAATAAGCCAGGGACAGAAAGACAAACACCATCTCACTTATGTGGAATCTAAAACAATTGAACTCATAGAAGCAGAGAGTAGAATGGTGTTTACCAGAGGCGGGGGGCCGAGGGGAATGGAGGAGATGATAGTCAGAGGGCATGAAGTTTCTGTTAGGAGGAATACATTTTTTTGAGATTTATTGCAAAGCATGGTGACCATAGTTGTTAATACTGTGTATTTTGCAATTCTGAGGGAGCAGATTTCAAATGTTCTCACCATAAAACATAAAAATTTGAGGCAATGGATACTAATTAGCTTGATTTAATGTGTCCACATTGTATACGATATCATAACATCAGTTTTGTACCCATAAATATAGTTTGTCAATGTAAATTTTGAAAATTTTTTTTCATGAATTGAAGTAAACAAGATCATAATATACATTGTGTTTTGCAAAGTGGTCTTTTCATTTACCAAAGTCTTATGGGCATATTTCTTATTGATACTTAGTTTTCAGTCTTTCTTTCTTCCTAGAATGCCTTCCTTTTTTTTTCCTTTTGTTGAGATATGTCACACACAGAAGAGCATTCTACAAAGAGTGATAATTTTGCATATATGTTTTGCGTATCTCCTATAACGTCCACTCAGATTGAGATACAGAACTTTCCAGCTCCTCGCTACTCAATACCGCTATGCCAAAGATAGCCATGATTCTGACTTCAGTGCCATTAATTAGTTTTGCCTGTTGTTGAATGTCTTGTAAGTAGAATCATACAGTATGTACTCTTGTGTTTGTCTTAAAGTCAACATAATGTCTGTGAGATTTATCCATATTGTTACACAGTATCTATTTTAAATAGTTGTATGATGTATACAACCTCACCAACATTGATTCTTTCTTTGTCAATTTGATATTTATTGAATGGCTACTTTGTGTCCAGCATGGCTGATAAAACTACCAGCCACATAGACATGGTGTCCACCCTCAGGAGGTTGGTAAGTGGGGAAAACATTTTAATTAACTAAGAGAACAAAACTGTTGTAACAAGTGGTACAGAGAAGTACACAATGTTACGAAAGTTTACACAAGGTATATTTTTAACTCGGTTTAGGAGGTCATGAACATTTTACCTGACAAAGTAAAGGTAATTTAAATCTAAAAGTCACAGATTTCTTCACGGAGGGAAGAGCTTACTCAAAGGCCCTGCAGGATGGTGGAATATGGTGAGCACTGCTATGGAAAGGAAAGGTGCGAGTGGTTACTGCACAGAGAGGGTGGGCATGGTACAGATCAGGATGAAAAGGTAGATGGAGCCAGACCATGCAGAGCTGTGTCTTTATTCTAAGAGCTGTAAGAGGTCGGGTGCGGTGGCTCACGCCTGTAATCCCAGCACTTTGGGAGGCCGAGGCGGGTGGATCACCTGAGGTCAGGAGTTCAAGACCAGCCTGACCAACATGGTGAAACTCCGTCTCTACAAAAGTACAAAAATTAGCCAGGCATGGTGGCGCATGCCTGTAATCCCAGCTACTAGGGAGACTGAGGAAGGAGAATTGCTTGAACCGGGAAAGTGGAGGTTGCAGTGAGCCGAGATTGTGCCATTGCACTCCAGCCTGGGCGACAGAGTGAGACTCTGTCTCAAAAAAAAGACATAATCTAAGGGCTATAAGAAGCAGTTGAAGGCTTTGGCGGTGGGTGGGGGGATTAACAAATTGGATTTACATTTTGAAAAATATTCTGGCTGCAGGTATAAAATGAATTGGAAGAGGCCAGGGTGATGATTAGTTAGAAAGAAATTTGTAGTAATTCAGAAGGAAGATAATGGTACCTTAGACTAGGAGGTGCTGAAGAATATGAAGACAAGTGGGTGGACTCAAAATGGTATATAAAATCAGCATATTTTGATGGTTGGTATGTGGGGGAGTTGACTTTTAGGTTTTTAACTTAAGCAAATACACTGAAGACAGTATCCACCGAAGAGAGTATAAACCACTGATATTGGAACACTGAAAGAAGATCTGCTGTGGAAGGAAGCTGGATGTGTCATGAGTGTAGTTTGGGGGACATCAAATCCGAGTGGTATTGAAAAATCAAGAGGAAATGTGAAGTTGACAGTCTAGAGTTCAGAAGAGGAGTCCAAACTGGAGATATCTATTTGAATATCCTTAATTGAAGCTGTAAGTGTGGATTAAATCACTTTAGGGGAGAATATTGGGCAAGAAGGAAAAAATGTGTACCCTGAGCCTTGAAGTTTGGCCTTTAATTGTTGGGTAGAGGAGCAACTGGCAGAGCAGCCAGAGGGGTAGGAGGAAAGCCAGGTGAGTGTGGGTGCCAAAAAGAGGATTTTACTGGAAACATCAGTCCTTCTCATTTTGTCTGAGCTGACAAGTGAGAAGCTACATCATTTTGTAGTTTTAGGAGAAATTTGAAATGTGAATGGATCTAAGTATGCTTTTTGTTAGTGTAAGTTTTTATATCTGTTTGGTCTTTTAAGTTGTTTTGTTTGTTTTATCTGATTTACAGCCTTCAAAATTTTATTGCTGTTGACATCTCTCTTTGTCTATGTAGATTCATTCATGTCTCCTACTTAGGTTTTTAAAAATTGATAGACTTTTTAAGAGCTGTTTTACCTTCAGAGCAAAATTGAGTGGAAAAGAGTTTCAATATGGGATGGTGAAAAAGTTCTGGAGATGGGTGGTGGTGATGGTTGTGCAACAATGTGAATGTATTTGATACCACTGAACTGTGCACTTAAAAATGGTTAAAATGGTAAATTTTATGTTGTGTACATTTTACAATTTTTAAAAAGTTTTTAAAATATCAGCAAGAAAATACAGTGAGTTCCCACATCCTCCTTGCCCACCACACACTCCTTGCCCACCACACACTGCCTTCCCCCACCACAATGGTATATTTGTTACAATAGATAAACCAGCACTGGCACATCAATACTGCTCAAAGGCCGTCGTTAACGTTAGTGTTCACTCTTGGTGTTGTACATCCTATGGGTTTTGACAAATGCGTTTTATGTATCTACCATGGTAGTATAACAGAATAGTTTCTCTGCCATAACTATCCTCTGTGTTCCGCCTATTTATCCCTCTCTCCAAACCCGGGAAACCCTAATCTTTTTACTTACTGTCTGCATAGTTTTGCCTTTTCTGGAATGTCATATAGTTGGAACCATACACCATGTAACCTTTTCAGATTGACTTCTTTAACTTACAGTATGCATTTTAGGTTCCTCCGTGTCTTTTTGTGACTTGATGGCTCATTTTTTTTTAGAGCTTCCCACTTTTTTTTTCAGCTTTATTGAGATGAAAGTGACATATAATAAATGCACATTTTAAAAAGGATACAATTTGATAAATTTTGACCTATGTATATGCCTGTGAAGCTATCCCCACAATCAAGGCAATGAATGCATCCATCACTTCTAAAAGTATCCTCATGTCCCTTTGTAACCCCTTCTTTCCTGCTACCCTCTTTCCCATCCCCAAGCAAACACTGCTCTGCTTTCTGTCATTATAGATTAATTTGCATTTTCTAAATTTTATATAAATGGACTCAGTATGTTTTGAGGGAAGAAATGTGACTCTTCTTTCATGTAGTATAATTTTGTGATTCATTCATGTTGTTATCTGTATTAATACTTCGTACATTTCCCATTGTATGGATATACCACAATTTACATATCCATTCATCTGTTGATGAACATGTGGGCTATTTCCAGTGGGGCTGTTACAGATAAAGGTGCTTTGAACATTAGTGTACAATTCTTTGTATGAACATATGCTTCAGTTTCCCTTGGGTTTATTCTGTTTCACCTAGGAGAGGAGTGGCTGGATCATATGGTAGGTCTATGCTTAATATTCAAGAAACTGACAAACTGTTTCCAAAGCCAATGTGACATTTACATTTACATCAACAGTGTATGAGGATTCCTGTTGCTCCACAGTCTCACCAACACTTGCTAAGGTCAGTCTTTTCATTTTAGCCATTCTAGTGGCTGTCTAGTGGTTTTAATTTTCATTTCAATAATGATTAATGATGTTTCCTTTGCCAGTCATTAAAAAAAAAGAATTTAAATTCATTGTTGATGCTGTAGAACTTGTAGTTAGTTCTTGGTGAGCCTACACAGTACATATGCCAGAAAAACGGTAAATGCTTTGCGCTGATTCATCTTTGGTTCCCTTTACCTTGATCTGAAAGACATCTGGTTCTCTCCTAACAGCACTGCTTTGTCAGGCTTCTCAAGTGGTGGCTGTTGTTTCTCCCACAGGCTTCATATACCAGGAAACTCATGGTCGTGCTCCTCCATACTGCTTCTAGCCACACCTTCATTTTTCCTAAAGCCCTATAATTTTGAATCTTGTGACAACATTCTCTGCCCTTCATTGTTACTGTAATTCTCCCTCATTTCCCAACAATTTGGGTGGATATAGTACTCTTGTCTAAACTCTTAGTGATTTAAGTATGCACCTAGATGATTTTTCATATTGTTGCCTCTCAGTTTCTTGAGCTCTTCTCCATTAATCTTGTCTTGCACCCAACTTCATCTTCACTTACTCATTCCCATGATTATGCCCTATACCTTATAATTATGAATAATATGTAATCCATCCACAATCTGTTTTCTATTTACCACTATTTAATCACTACTTCCTGTCATTCCCTGTAACTTGCTCTGGTACCAAGATGCCAAGAATTCTTCAGTTCTCTAGCACTGATGGGACTTCAATATGGCCCTTCACCTGCATGCTGTTGTGTCTCTTTCCTCTTAGTCAGCTGAGATTCCATGGCCAATCATATTCACTCCTTGTACACATTTTTAGTTCCTTGGCCCTTCTTGTATTTCTTTGTATTTGTTTGACAATACCACAACTCTGGTTAAATCTACTCAAGATCATCACTTTACCAGTTCTCCCCTCTTTCTTGCATCATCATTTGCCCCTCCTCTACTGGATCATATCCTTAAGCATAGAAGCAAACTGTTACTTCTTTTATCTTTAAAAATATTTCTCCACCGGGCGCCGTGGCTCATGCCTGTAATCCCAGCACTTTGGGAGGTGGAGATGGGCGGATCACTTGAGGTCAGGACTTCAAGATCAGCCTGGCTAACATGGGAACCTGAAACCCCATCATTTGAGTTTCAGTATGGCATTCCAGAGATGTATAGAAATTACTCATAAAAGTTGAAAGAGGCCAAGAGCCAGATGCCGACTTTAGATACTAGGGAAGTTTAATTCCTTCTAATTTTCCCTAGATAAGGAGTTTTGCCTCCTGGTGGCCTGTTTGTTAGTCACTGGGTGGACTTTGCTCCCTTCTAAATTCCTCAGATAAGGAGTTTTTGTCTCCAGGGACTGTCCGATGGTCACCAGGTGATTTTCACTTTCCTCAGTCTCTACAAAAATATAATTAGCTGGGCATGGTGGCGCATACTTGTAGTCCTAACCTCCCATACCTGGGAGGCTGAGGCAGGAGGATCACTGAGTCTCAAAGTCGGATTGTGTTACGGCACTCCAGGCTGAGCAACAGAGCTGGACTCTGTCTCAAAACAAAACAAGACCCAAAAAACCTGCACTTGTCAGGGCTACCGTGATGTAGATATTGCCTGTTATTATTATTATTATTTTTAAAGACAGAGTCTTGCTCTTGTTGCCCAGGTCGGAGAGCAATGGTGCGATTTCGGCTCACTGCAACCTCCACTTTCCAGGTTCAAGCGATTCTCCTGCCCCAGCCTCCCAGTTAGCTGGGATTACAGGTGCCCACCACCATGCCCAGCTAATTTTTGTATTTTTAGTAGAGACGGGGTTTCACTATGTTGGCCAGACTGCTCTCGAACTGCTGACCTCAGGAGGTCCGCCTGTCTCGGCTTCTCAAAGTGCTGGGATTACAGGCATGAGCCACCATGCCTGGCCATATAGTGTTAATTTTAATGGTCCATTCTCAGTTCTTCTCCTAACCTGTCAGCGTCATTTGATAACACTTACCATGTTTATCTCCTTGTAACACTTCTAAAATTTGGCTTCCAGGATACTGAAGTGGTTCTTTAGTAAATCAGATTTGCTCCTGAGAACCCTGCATTAGTGTCCCATTTCACTCAGGCTAAGAATCAAAGTACTTACAGTAGTACATGAGATCCTAAGTGATGTGGGCCACTTGTCACCACTCTGGCCTCATTCACCCAGCATTCTTTCCCACAGCAGCTCCCTGGCTCATCCCAGGCCCACCAAATATCTCCTGCCTAAATGCTTTGGCATGGCAGATCCTCTGCCTCTCCATCAGATGTTCCCTTCCCACTCTCCTCACCACCTTCCAGCACCCCTGACATTGGTCAGTTTTTCAGTGGAGCCTGCCCTGCCCACCCTTTTTAATATTGCCGCCGCCTCTTATCCTGCTCTATTGTAGGTGTCCAGAAAATATTTGTTGAATAAATGAATGTGGAATTATACAATTTAACTGTAAAGTTAAAAGAAAGCTAATTTATCTTTTTTTGGCTTTTTGTTTTCAAGAAGGGTTTACCACTGTTGTTTTCCGTCAACATTTTCTCTGACACCAATTAGGTGCCCTGTAGTTCCATTGGATTCTGATGCTAACTACCTGAGTTAGCTCAGACCTCACAAGTTAAGGGCATAGTCCTTCAATTCTGACAGGAACTACCCAGAATTACTATTGAGAAAAGAACTTTTATCTGAGGAATGAGTCCTTTTAAATTATAAGACCCAGAGAGACATTAAGATGCGTCAGCAGTCACATCCTATTCCCACTTTGCACTGTGTGTTCACCTCTTGAAAGTGCTTGCTGTTGACACAAGTAGCTGTACATTAACCTAATAAAGCTGCACCAGACAGTATAATCCACACCTGTAGCTTAAAGGTGTCTAGCCAGTCACTAATCAATGCTATTTCTGTAAATCAGTGAGAATTTCTAACAACTTTGTATCAACCTACTGTCTGTCTCCCCACCCCCCTTTTCTGAAACCTTTAAATACAAACCTGCACATAACAAAGGCCAAATGGAGCTCATATCCAAGGTTACTTGGGTCTAAGTCTTTTCGGCAGCTGTCTTTGCTTTGGCTCAGGTAAACTCTTTAAATCGTATTTTGTGCTTCATCCTCTTCCTTTTGGGTTGACAGTACAGACCCCACAAATTAAAGTTAAGGTCCCAGTGCCAAAAGACAGCTAGTTGGAAATAGTCCTCAGTGCAGCTGTACTTCTACCCAGCCAACCACAGATTCAAGGGTTCCCATGACCCCGTGCTCCCTTAAGTTGGATAATTTGTTAGAATGACTCACAGCACTCCAGAAAGCACTATAATTACAATCAGTTTTATTATAAATGATACAGCTTGGTAACAGCCAGTGGAAAAGAAGCATATGGCAGAAAACAAAACTAGGGGCAGTGCAGAGCTTCCCTTCCCTTTCTGGGCATGCATCTCACTGAGCGCGTTGAGGTGATCATCAGCCTGGGAGCTCGCTAAACCCTGTTGTTAATGGTTTTTATTTGGGATCTCATTACATAGGCATGATTGAAGTCATTGGTCATGTGATTGAGCTCAGTCTCCGGTACCTCTCCCTTTCCCTTTGGGGCTGAATGTTCCAACCTCTAATAAATCGGTTGGTTCCTCTGTGACCAGCCCCCATCCTAAAGCAATAAAGGGGCCCACAATGAATCCCCTCGTTAGTATAAACTCTGGTATGGTTTAAAGGAGCTCCTTATGAATTACAAAAGACACTCCACTCAGGAAATTCCAAGAGTTTAGGAGATCAGTGCCAGGAAATAAGGGACAGAGACCAAATATATTTTTTATTATAACACAACCACATGCTGATTGAAAGAGTAAGGTCAGAAGTGCCAAGTTGTGCCTCCAAGTGCCATTGGTTTTTGTTTTCAAAGTTCGAGAAGGGGAAAAAGAAAATAGGATGAAGGTCAAGCTGTGGACCCTGCTGGAATGTCTCATAAATGGATATTTTTTATAGTACACTAAGTTGTCTGTTGGAATCTATCCATTATGTACCTGTATTGTTTATTTTGACTTAGGGGCTTAGTGTAAATTCATTATGGATGTGAAATTTTATCATAGTCAACTCTAACACACATTTAATGGCAGAGGACCAAGATTATTTTAGGTCATTAAATGATTATTAGGAAATAGTCATGCCTAAGAATCAATGTATCTGTAAAAAACACTAAAATTTGCTAGTAAAGATGCCATGTTAAGAAATGAAACCAAATACGTTTGTTTTGGATCCCATCTTAATTTGCTTTCATTAAGAAAATTACATTGGGCCGAGGCAGGCAAATTACTTGAGGTTAGGAGTTCGAGACCAGCCTGGCCAACATGGTGAAACCCTGTCTCTACTAAAAATGCAAAAATTAGCCTGGCCTGGTGGTGGATGATTGTAGTCCCAGCTACTAGGGAGGCTGAGGTGGGAGGATCACTTGAACCCAGGAGGCGGAGGTTGCAGTGAGCTGAGATCGCACCATTGCACTCCAGCCTGGGCAACAAAGCGAGACATTCTCTCTCTCAAAAAAAAGAAAAAAGAAAAAATTACATTGCTTCAATAATTCTAGCAGTAGCAATAAAATTTAGGTGTTTTTTTTAACATTTTTTTTTAAATTTTTTTAGTATTTATTGATCATTCTTGGGTGTTTCTCGGAGAGGGGGATTTGGCAGGGTCATAGGACAAAAGTGGAGGGAAGGTCAACAGATAAACATGTGAACAAAGGTCTCTGGTTTTCCTAGGCAGAGGGCCCTGCCGCCTTCCGCAGTGTTTGTGTCCCTGGGTACTTGAGATTAGGGAGTGGTGATGACTCTTAACGAGTATGCTGCCTTCAAGCATCTGTTTAACAAAGCACATCTTGCACCGCCCTTGATCCATTTAACCCTTAGTGAACACAGCACATGTTTCAGAGAGCAAGGGGTTGGGGGTAAGGTTATAGATTAACAGCATCCCAAGGCAGAAGAATTTTTCTTAGTACAGAACAAAATGGAGTCTCCTATGTCTACTTCTACACAGACACAGTAACAATCTGATCTCTCTTTTCCCCACATTTCCCCCTTTTCTATTCGACAAAACCGCCATCGTCATCATGGCCCGTTCTCAATGAGCTGTTGGGTACACCTCCCAGGCGGGGTGGCGGCCGGGCAGAGGGGCTCCTCACTTCCCAGACGGGGCGGCCGGGCAGAGGCGCCCCCCACCTCCTGGATGGGGTGGCTGGCCGGGCGGGGGCTGCCCCCCACCTCCCGGACGGGGCGGCTGGCCGGGCGGGGGCTGCCCCCCATCACCCAGACAGGGCGGCTGCCGGGTGGAGACGCTCCTCACTTCCCAGACGGGGCGGCTGCCGGGCAGAGGGGCTCCTCACTTCACAGACGGGCGGCTGCTGGGCAGAGGGGCTCCTCACTTCACAGACGGGGCGGCTTCCGGGCAGAGGGGCTCCTCACTTCTCAGACGGGGCGGCCAGTCAGAGACGCTCCTCACCTCCCAGACGGGGTGGCGGCGGGGCAGAGACACTCCTCAGATCCCAGACGGGGTCGTGGCCGGGCAGAGGCGCTCTTCACATCTCAGACGGGGTGGCAGGGCAGAGGCGCTCCCCACATCCCAGACGATGGGCGGCTGGGCAGAGACGCTCCTCACTTCCCAGACTGGGCGGCCGGGCAGAGGGGCTCCTCACATCCCAGACGATGGGCGGCCAGGCAGAGACGCTCCTCACTTCCTAGACGGGGTGGCGGCCGGGCAGAGGCTGCAATCTCGGCATTTTGGGTGGCCAAGGCAGGCGGCTGGGAGGTGGAGGTTGTAGCCAGCCGAGATTACGCCACTGCACTCCAGCCTGGGCAACATTGAGCACTGAGTGAGCGAGACTCCGTCTGCAATCCCGGCACCTCGGGAGGCTGAGGCTGGCAGATCACTCGCGGTCAGGAGCTGGAGACCAGCCCAGCCAACACGGTGAAACCCTGTCTCCACCAAAAAATATGAAAACCAGTCAGGCGTGGCGGTGCGCGCCTGCAATCCCAGGCACTCGGCAGGCTGAGGCAGGAGAATCAGGCAGGGAGGTTGCAGTGAGTCGAGATGGCAGCAGTACAGTCCAGCCTTGGCTCGGCATCAGAGGGAGACCATACAAAAAGGGGAGAGGGAGAGGGTTTTTTTTTTTTTCTGTGAAGGCATTTGACATAAGACAATATACTTCTGGAATTATTCTAAGAATTAAAATTAGTGGGCTTTTCCTTTAGCTTAAGCTGTGAGTGGTACAAAAGTTATAAACAAGTAAATGTGTTACTGGCAAATTAAGGAAATGATTTTGTATATTTTCTCTTAGCAGGAGTTAGGACATAGCGAGCAGCTAATAATAGCATCTTACTCATGAAGAGCTTCTCCAGTAAGATTACCACTTGTTATTTACATATCTATGCAGAACTGTCATCTCTTCCTAGTTTTGAGAAAGTTACCTTTATATTGTTTTATTCGAGCCTGCGACCATTAATTAAGGGGTCTTTAGAAAACATTACTGAAATTGTAAAGTACTTATGGCAATGGAAGCTACGGTTAAATGCCTGCGTATATGGCTTCAAAGTTTACCAGGGAAAGTAATACTGAATATGAGAAGTCTAAAGACTACTATTCTTAGTATATTTTGCCTAAGTAGTAGATTGGAAACTTACTAAGTGCTGTCCCTTTAAGCAAATTTACTGAGAAGCTGCTATGTACCAGCCACGGGGGATTGGGAAGGATAGCAGTGAATAAGAGGAAATGCCTGCCCTTCATGAACAAGAAGGTGATGAATGACGCTGGTCTTTTTCTACTTGTGACCTAGTTTACAGAGTATGAAGGGGATAATTAGCCACAGGGCCTTAGTGTTTTGCTAGAACTGGTTATGTGTTGAACTCTCCTGATCTGTTTTAACAAAAATGATTGTACTGTCAACTCTGACAGTTAACTGTCTGATTGAGCTTGGGAAAATTACTTAATTTCTGAGTCTGATGTTCCTTAACTATAACATAAGGATAATAATACCTACCTTCCCTGCAGTGGTTTTGTGAATGCGCAGTGCCTGGTTCAATGCCTGGTATGTTGCTGATATAATACAGATGTTACTGGTGTCATACATGGTGTATATGATAGTAGCAGCTGATTTTGTTGTCTTCCCTTCTGAACTCAGACATGATCCTTAGGTTTTGATTTGGTAATCTTTTAAGGAATAAGCAGGCTGTATCATGATGCCTGATGTGAAACATTGTATTTGAACTTCTCTGAGTTCTTTTATTCATAAGGTGTATTACTCTAAATTGCACATGAAGTATTTTATAACCTTGGAGATCTTGGAGTATATAATTTCTTGGACATTTTAAAGTTTTTTTTTTTTTTAAAGTAAGGGATTTTCTGGTGAGAGAAACACTAAATCTTTCAGCTGAATGAAACTGACTTGCCGCTTGGGTGGTAGGTTCTGGTGGGTTCATGCCTTTCTTTGGCTTTGGATAGTCATCAGCTGCAGGGCACCAGATTCATGTGTGAGTCTTTTTTAGTTGGAAAGCAATACTTGATTGCTAATGATTGTGCTTTTTAAGTGATAGCTTTTTAGGTTAAGGATCAAAAATAATATTGAATATTTTTTGACTTCTGAATTGATTTTTATAACTCTTTAATGTTTTAGTAGAAATCACTTCAGTTGTTTTTCTTTTGATTATCTATTTTTCTAAGTTTTAAGCAAAGAGAACACTTTTGGGGGTTGTCTGTTTCTTTGAGAAGTCAGAGAACCTCAGAACTCAGTTCTCTCCTGACCAGCATGGTCCCTAAAGTTCTGTGTGTCCTCCTTGCAGCCCCTATCCTTTTGGCTACCTATAATTGGACCAGGAATGAAAAAGAGACTCTTTGGATCATTGAGGTTTTCCTGGGGATTTAGAATTGGGACCAAATGACAGCTGGTCTTTAAACAAATTGCTTGGACTGAAGTGATACAGGCTTGGAACATACCTGCAGCCATTTTTAGTGTTGTTTATGGAGGAATAGGAAAAGGCTGGTGTATGGAGAGAAAATGGTGTAGATGGATAGAAAGAAAGAAAGATGAAAGTCAGAGAGTATTGTCCAGTACTTGGTGAGGCCCAGCTATCTTAAGTACCATAACATCAGTGATCTTACAGTAAGTTGCCTTTTTTGCAGAAGTTTGCTCAAATTGGTTTCTCTTAATAACACAAAAGAACCTCAACTAAAGTAGCTTAAAACAAAAATAGGTAAGTATGATTATCCACGTGCTAAACAATGAAGTTATCTCCCTTTCTTACACCATGCAAAAATTGATTATAGACCTAAATATAAGAGCTAAGTTATGTAAAACTTTTAAAAGAAAATATACCAATAAATCTTCATGACTCTCGATTAGGCAGGAGCTTCTTAGATATGACACAGAAAGTTCAAGATAGATAAATTGAACCTCATCAAAATTTAAAACTTTGACCTGGTATGGTGGCTCATGCCTGTGATCTCAGCACTTTGGGAGGCCAAGGCAGGAGAATCACTTGAGGCCAGGAGTTTGAGACCAGCCTGAGCAACATGGTGAGACTCCATCTCTACCAAAAAAAAAAAGAAAGAAAAAAATTTTATCCAGGCACTGTGATGTGTCTTAGCACTAGCTACTCTGGAGGCTGAGGTGGGAAGATGGCTTGAGCCCAGGAATACAAGTACAAGGTTATAGTGAACTGTGATCATGCCATTTCACTCCAGCCTGGGCAACAGAGTGGGAACCTGTCTCTTAAAAAAAAAATTAAAAACTTTGTTTGCAAAATATGCCATCAAGAAAGTGGAAAAACATGGCCGGGCATAGTGGCTCAAGCCTCTAATCCCAGCATTTTGGGAGGCTGAGGTGGGCGGATCACTTGAGGTCAGGAGTTCAAGACCAGCCTGGCCAACATGGTGAAACCCTGTCTCTACTAAAAAATACAAAAATTAGCTGGGCATGGTGGTGCACGCCTGTAAGCCCAGCTACTTGGGAGGCTGAGGCAGGAGAATTGGTTGCAGTGAGCTGAGATTGTGTCACTGCACCCCAGCCTGGGCAACAGAGTGAGACTCTGTCTCAAAAAAAAAAAAAAAGAAGGAAAGAAAGTGGAAAACCAGCCTACAAAATGGGAGAAAATATTCACACATCATATGTCTGTTAAGAGGCTGGTATCCTGAATATTAAAACAAAATACCAAAACTCTTACAATTCAATAAAAAAGACAACACAGTTTTTCAAAGTGCAAATAATTTGAATAGGCTTTTTTCCCAGAGAGGATATACAATGGCCAATAAGCACATGTGAAGATGCTCAGCATCATTAGCCATTAGGGAAATGCAAATCAAAACCATGGTGAGACACCACTTCACAACCACTAGGAGGGCTATAACTAAAAAGACAGATAATAACGAGTATTGGCAAGGCTGTAGAGAACATACATTGCTGGTGAGGATGCAAAATATAGCTGCTTTGGAAGAGTTTGGCCTTGCCTCACATGACCCATCAGTTTCACCCCTAGGCATATACCCAAATGAAACAAATGTCCCCACAGAAACTAGTACAGCAGTGTTCAAGGCATCATTATTCATAATGGCCCCAAAGTGGAAATAGCCCAAGTTACATCAGCTACTAAATGAATAAACAAAATGTGATATATCTATAAATGGAATATTATTTAGCCACAAAAAGGAATGAAGCACTGATACATGCTGCAGTATGGATAAACCTTAAAAAACATGCTAATTGAAAGAAGCCAGACACAAAAGACCACATAGTATATGATTTTATTTCTGTGAAATGTCCAGGATAGACAAATTCATAGAGACAGAAAATAGATTACTGGTTTTCAGGGGCTGGAGAGAAGAGGAAACAGGAGTGATGGCTAATGGAGATAGGGTTTCTTTTTGGAAAGATGGAAGTGCTCTGAGACTAGATTGTGGTGATAGTTGTACCACTCTGGCTATACTAAAATGCATTGTGTACTGTAAATGGGTAAATTGTGTCGTGAGTTATTTCTCAATAAAGCTGTTTCTAAAAGTAAATAGATAATGAAGTTAATATGTTATCCAATGATATGATACAGGCTTCAAAAATAATCATAACAGATTTGTATAGAGGTAACTTAGTTGTAACTTTAAAAAAATATACTTACTACCTAAATAATTTTTCTTTTTTCAGAATAGGTAAAAATTCTGAATATCATGTTGCTTCATTTTAAGCTAATTTGAGTAAAATTTAATACTGATTGTGTATTTATCAGTATGAGTTACAGTAAAAGTTGAAACATACATTTTTTTCTTAACCTTTCAGTCTCATTGTCATTCTGTTTTTTTTTGAGGTGAATAGAGGCAGTTGTGGTGTTATGGAAAGATTTTTGGACTTAGCAATTGCTCAAGCAGGACAAACTTAGGTGTTCTGTGTGTGGCCTTAGATATGTAATTTAATTTTTAGAGGATCAATTTCAAAACCTGTAAAATGGGGCTCATGCTGGGTTTGAAAAGTTTTGTCCTCCCTCCCTCCCTCCCTCCCTTCCTCCCTTCCTTCCTTCCTAGTGTTTATTAGAAATATGGGAAATTTTCCCATAGAAAATTTTTCTAGGAAAATATAAAGGATATTCAGATTCTATCCTCGTTTCAATATGTTTGTCCACACCAGTGTTTTATCTTAAATTTTAAGTCTTTTGTAAACAGCAATGGTGTTCAGATGTGTCCAAAACCTAGTACTACATCTGAGAAAATAGATTCTCGGTATATATTATTTGAAGAAATCAGAATTTAGTGATGTTATTGGTGACCTTTGAAGTATTAGGTGGTGGAGTTCATTGAAATATTAACTGAAAAAGTTATTTTAACTTTCTTTATATATTTATCAGTTTAAAGACTGTGTCACTGGCCAGGGGTGATGGCTCACGCCTGTAATCCCAGCACTTTGGGAGGCCGAGGTGGACGAATCACCTGAGGTCAGGAGTTGAAGACCGGCCTGGCCAACATGGTGAAACCACGTCTCTACTAAAAATAGAAAAATTATCCAGGTGTGGTGGTGTGGGCCTATAATCCTAGCTACTTGGGAGGCTGAGGCGGGAGAATCGCTTAAACCTGGGAGGTAGAGGTTGCAGTGAGCCGAGATCACACCATTGCACTCCAGCCTGCCTGAGTGACGGAGCGAGACTCTGTCTCAAAAAAAAAAACCCAAAAACTATGTCATTGATTATGTGTTAACAGTCAAGTTGACTTCTAGAAAATCTGCAATTATGGTAGATTCTTGACTGTTTTTTTGTTGTTGTTGTTTTTGTTCGGTTTTTTGTTTGTTTGTTTTGAGACAGGGTCTCACTCTGTTGCCCAGGCTGGAGTGCAGTGGTGTAATCTTGGCTTGCTGCAACCTCTGCCTCCCGGGTTCAAGGGATTCTCCCACCTCAGCCTCCTCAGTAGCTGGGATTACAGGCATGTCCCACCACACCCGGCTAATTTTTGTAATTCTAGTAGAGACAAGGTTTCACCATGTTGGCCAGGTGTGGTCTTGAACTCCTGACCTCAAGTGATCTGCCCACCTCAGCCTCCCAAAGTGCTGGGATTACAGGATGAGCCACCATACCTGGCCAACTTGACTGTTAGTAACACGAAAGTTATTTCGTGGCTGATATGTGTCAAATACATTTTTATGTTGCAGTTAAGTGATTATATGGGATGAGATTCAATTTTCTTTGTTTAGCTTGATAGCTACATGATTTTAATATGTAAGCTTTTTCTTATTTTGCAGAGATCCTGCATATTTTGATGAAAATTGGCTAAACAGAATCAAAACTGAAGTAGGAGATAATTGGAGGCTAAAGGTATTTTATTTTTCCACCTGTTAAATCTTTAAATATTTGTATGTGTATAATATCTGTTGATTTTTTTTTGTCTGATGTGTCCAGTGAGCTTTAGAAGCTTAGGTAGCCTGTAATGAAATAATGTAGAATTGAAGATTGAACTCACCTGGAGTTGTACACCTAGGCATAACATAATATGAGTCAGTAACGCATAGCAACCAAGGGCATGGAGCCAGTGTGCCTGTGTCCACATCATAGCTCTGCCATTTACTGTCTATGGGGAAGTGTTGTGACCTTCCTTTGCCTTGGTTTCCCCATTTGTAAAATGAGGATTAATATAGCTTCTACCTCACAGAAATGAGTTAATATTATGCCAAGTACTTAGAATAGTGCACGTGGTAGTTATAATGAGATAACACTGATCATTATTAACTGTATCGTAAACACTCAGAGAATGAAACATTTTCATTTCCTTCCTAGTAACCTTTAAGTATTTTACAAGTTTCTTTAACCAAAACTTACAATAAGAAAAAAAGTTTACATTGCAACCAATTTCCTACCTAAATGTGTGTGTGTATATAGCTGAACAGGTTTTTATCCTTACATTAGGCAGTGATGTTTTCATTTTATTTTTAAAAATGTTTGCGTAATCCACCAAATTATTTTTTTAACTTTATGTTTTGTTTTTTGTTTTTTGAGATGGAGTCTTCTCTGTCCCCCAGGCTGGAAAGCAGTGGTGCAATCTTCGCTCACTGCAACCTTTGCCTCCCTGGTTCAAGTGATTCTCCTGCCTTAGCCTTCCAAGGAGCTTAGGATTACAGGCATCCGCCACCACACCCAGCTAATTTTTGCATTTTTGTAGAGACGGGGTTTCACCCTGTTGACCAGGCTGGTCTCAAACTCCTGATCTCAGGTGATCTGCCCACCTTGGCCTCTCAAAGTGCTGGAATTACAAGCATCAGCCATCAAGCCCGGCCTATATTTTGAAATAATTATAGATTCACAAGGAGTTGCAAAAAATGTGTACTAAGAGGTTATGTGTACCTTTTACCCAGTTTCTCCAGTGGTAACATCTTGCGTAACTATAATACAATATCAAAACTAGGGAACTTGCATTGGTACAGTCCATATTTTATTCAAATTTCACCAAGGTTACTTGCACTCTATGTTAGTGTGTGCAGTTCTGTGTAGCTCTGTCTCATGTGTAGCTTTGTGTAACTACCACCACAGTGAAAGACCCAGAACTATTCCGTCACCACACAGCTTCCTGTGCTGCTTCTATAACCACATCCACACCACCCCTAATCCCGTGCAACCCCTAATTTGTTCTCCATCTCTGTGATTTTGTTAACATTAAATTGATTGTTTTGACCCAGTGATTGTCATTTCTGGCAGTGTGGAGAAACCTGCGACCATTTCTTTTTGATACAGACTGGCAAAGACTCAGACATACAAATGATTTAACCATGCGAGGCCCCTGAACTTAAGACATGTTCAGTTTGAGTTGTCTTTGTATTTTCCCCAAGAAACATGTTTGATAAGAAAAGTATTTATTTGTTGCTTAAGTATTGGGTTTGCCAAAATCTAATTCCTTCTTTTTACTAAGCTAGTGAATGAAAACCGTTTAATGGCACTGGTTTTTTTTTTTTTTTGGTTTTTTTTTTTTTGGAGACAGTCTCACCTTGTCACCCAGGCTGTAGTGCAGTGGTGCAATCTCGGCTCGCTGCAACCTCCGCCTCCCGAGTTCAAAAGATTCTCCTGCCTCGGTCTCCCGAGTAGCTGGGATTACAGGCGCACGCCATGATGCCTGGCTAATTTTTGTATTTTTCAGTAGAGATGGTTTCGTCATGTTGGCTAGGCTGGTCTTGAACTCCTAACCTCAGGTGATCTGCCCGCCTTGGCCTCCCAAAGTGCTGGGTTTACAGGCGTGAGCCACTGTGCCCGGCCGGCCCTGTTTTAATTTCTAAACAGTCTTTCAAGGACAGGCAATTTATTTATTTTTATTTACTTTTTTTTGAGACAGGGTCTCACTCTCACCCAGGATAGAGTATAGTGGCACAGTCTCAGCTCACTGCAACCTCCACCTCCTGAGCTCAACCAATCCTCCTACCTCAGCCTTTCAAATAGCTGGGACTACAGGTGCAGGCCAACACACCAGGCTAATGTTTTAAATTTTTGTAGGGATGAGGTCATGCTATATGCTCAGTCCGGTCTCGAACTCCTGGGCTCAAGCCATCCTCCTGCCTCAACCTGGCAGGCCAGGCGTGGTGGCTTACGCCTGTAATCCCAGCACTTTGGGAGGTCAAGGCGGGTGGATCACTTGCGGTCAGGAGTTCGAGACCAGCCTGGCCAACATGGTGAATCCCCGTTTCTAGTAAAAATAGAAAAATTAGGCCCGGCATGATGGGTCATGTCTGTAATCCCAGCACTTTGGGAGGGTGAGGTGGGTGGATCATAGGTCAAGAGATCGAGACCATCCTGGCCAACATGGTGAAACCCCATTGTACTAAAAATACAAAAATTAGCTGGACATGGTGTTGCACGCCTATAGTCCCAGCTACTCGGGAGGCTGAGGCAAGAGAATCACTTGAACCTGGGAGGTGGAGGTTGCAGTGAGCCAAGATGGCGCCACTGCACTCCAGCCTGGCGACAGAGCAAAACTCTGTCTCAGAAAAAAAAAAAGAAAAACAAAATTAGTCAGGTGTGGTGCCGGGCGCCTGTAATTCCAGCTACCTGGGAGGCTGAGGCATGAGAATTGCTTGAACCCAGGAGGCGGAGGTTGCAGTGAGCCGAGATTGCGCCACTGTACTCCAGCCTGGGCGACAGAGCAAGACTCAGTCTCAAAAAAAAAAAAGATTATTTTTTAATGTTACAGCATGTTTAAAACAATTTATGATGTTTCAAATAATGCTACTGATCATTTTGTGTCTGCTTACTGGCTTGATCAGAGAGAGTTGTATATCTCCTCCCAGCAGGCACACAGATAGATACACATATACTGTCTCCAGTGTCATGAGTAAGGCAGTGGTAGTATATGGAGATGGGTAGAAAAGTTTATCATAGTCTTAATATTCAGGACTGAACTTCTTATTCTCTATATTTTATGCTTTACTTCAGTTTTATGATGCCATTGATTAAAGACAAGATATACGACCGGGCACAGTGGCTCATGCCTGTAATCTCAACATTTTGGGAGGCCAAGGTGGGCGAATCACCTGAGGTCAGAAGTTCGAGACCAGCCTGGCCAACATGGTGAAACCCCGTCTCTACTAAAAATACAAAAATTAGCCAGGTGTGGTGGCAGGCGCCTGTAATCCCAGCTACTCAGAAAGCTGAGGCACGAGAATTGCTTGAACCTGGGAGGCAGAGGTTGCAGTGAGCCAAGATTGCGCCATTGCACTCCAGCCTGCCTGGGCAACAGAGGGAGACTCTGTCTCAAAAAAATAAATACATAAATAAAGATAAGATGTAGCTTTTTGTGATGTGATTTAAAAAACTACCATTTTAAATGAATGGTAGTTGATTTTCAAGGCATCTAATTTCAAATATTAAAAATACGGGAAAATGAACATCCTAGAATGAAAGAAAGCATATTATATGCATTTTCCATATCTGCAAATTTTTGTAGATGTTTAAGCATGTTAATTTTATGAGACCTGTAAAGATAAATAAGCAAGTTTTCAGTTTATTTTCTTCCTTACAAATAAATATGCCTTTAATTAAGTACTGGATCACATTGCTGTGATTCAGGCTCTTATTTGAAAGCCTCAGTCCCTACTAGCTTCTTTTCTAGGATGTCTCAACTACAGACACCACCCAGGGACAGCTAGATCAATAAAATAATCAATAGAACTATATCACATACCCATTTAACCTAACAAAACTGTATGAGTTGGGTCAAACAGAAAGAAAAAAATTATAGTTTACAATAAATAGGGCAGGTGATTCTGCCCATTCTTCACCTAACATTATGGCTCATAAATACTTACTTTGATGTTTGACTAAAGAAACAATAGTTTTTTTTTCTGGTAGGGGAAGAATTTAGAGACATTATACTTCAT
This sequence comes from Homo sapiens, assembly GCF_000001405.40. NCBI lineage: Eukaryota > Metazoa > Chordata > Mammalia > Primates > Hominidae > Homo > Homo sapiens. The sequence goes on from NC_000008.11 coordinate 42,929,670, forward strand.
GGGTTATTTTAAAGATTATTTTACTATAATTTTTGCCTAATACTCTCTTTAGAACTTAATTTCTATATAGATGCAGTTTGACTTTTCTAGGGAGAATAGCTCTGAACTCAAGTCTTCATTAAGGATGGCATATTTTTACTTTACCCACAGAAAACCTAAATAATTTAATCTTATTGTTAAGTCTCATTCAGTTACCCTCCAGTTGTTTTCAGTGTGGTCATAACATTGAAAATTCTACATAATTGGAGACATAATTTGTTTTATAAATCTCTTGGATTATATAGTAGTACTTTTTGATGATGATGATAATTCAAATATGCTTTTGAATTTTATTTGTTAATATTTACTTTATGATTAACTGCAGTGATTGGTTGGCTCAGAAATTTTTTATGTTAAATTATGTTTTGATCTGTCTTGCCTTTTACCCAGTTGTTTTCTCTCTCTTTAAACAGATAAGCAATTTAAAGAAAATTTTAAAAGGAATCTTGGATTATAATCATGAGGTAAAGACTTTTTTCTCATTCTGCTTAGAAGTGTTACTATCGGATAGTTTAATTTTATAATAGTTTCAAGTTAAGGAAAAATTGCTTTCAAAATTAATAATCAGTTTGTCGTTCATTTTATAGTTTCTATAATAGGATGATGGTTCAACCAACCATCTGTCAGTCAGTTAATAGATGGATGATCCTTTTCACTGTATTATAGGTAGTTTGTAGATGATTTATAATTAATGTCAAATTTTACTTTATGTCATCTATTAATTCTGTCTTTTTTCCTTTACTTGTGAAGATAGTTTTAGAGTTCATGCACCATTGTCTACTTTCATTTTATTCCTTGGCAAACCCCCCACCCCTAGATGAACTCAGTTTGTCCTCTGAGTCTGCATCAGAACAGTCAGACATTGCTGGGGAAGAAATCAGGCAGTGGAAATAACTAGTTTTAGTTTAAATTTTGTGATCAAAGATGCCAAATGGACACAACACCATACCCTAGTTATTTCCCTACTGTGTTTTCCTACAAGCTTACCTGCATTTAGTACCCATGTTTATACCCGTAGCACTGATCTTCCCCATCTCAGTAAGTGACCCTACCATTCACCCTATTACTCAAGCCCAGAACCTAGAAAGCCTCCTACAGTCCTTCTTTCTTCTAATATCATCTGTAAGACCCATTAGTCAAACCTTCAAAATAGATCTTTCTCCATCTGTGCGGCCACCAACTATGCCAAGCCATCATTCACTCTTGCTTAGATTACTAAAGTAGTCTCGCTGGTGACCCTGATTTTACTGTTGCATTATTTTTAAAAATTTAAAGGTGATCACATCAGTCTCCTCCTTAAAGTCCTCTGTGGTTTCCCCTTGCATTGAGAATCATATCCACATTCTTACCATGAACGACTTCCTAACTACTTTTCCCGCACCTAAGGCACTGGAGCCACATTCTCTGCTTCTGTGCCTGAAATCTGCTAAGTCCTTTTCTTCCGTAGCCTTTGCCCCACTGCTGTTGCTGTATGCAGTGTTCTTCCCTCAGCTCCTGGCATTTCTTGTTCTTGCTTTTTTGCACTTTCTGTTACCTCCTTACAGAGACTTTCTCTGAGCATGTGCTGTCTCAGCCAGGGCCACATTCACCCCTCAGCCCCATTATTCAGTCACATCACCCTGTTTATTGTTTATTCCCTTTAATCCTGGCCATATCAGCAGTCTCCTTATTTGTTGGTTTATTTGGTTGTCTCACCCCATTATATTCTTCTCTTCTCTTTTTTTTTTTTTTTTTTTTTTTTGAGACGGAGTCTCGCTCTGTCACCCAGTGTGGAGTGCAGTGGCGCAATCTCAGCTCACTGCAAGCTCTGCCTCCCGGGTTCATGCCATTCTCCTGCCTCAGCCTCCCAAGTAGCTGGGACTACAGGTGCCTGCCACCATGCCCGGCTAATTTTTTTGTATTTTTAGTAGAGATGGGGTTTCACTGTGTTAGCCAGGATGGTCTCGATCTCCTGACCTCGTGATCTGCCCGCCTCGGCCTCCCAGAGTGCTGAGATTACAGGCATGAGCCACCGCACCTTCCCTTCCCTTCCCTCTTCCCTCTTCCCATCCCGTCCTTTCTTTTTTGACAGATTCTCGCTGTGTCGCCCAGGGTAGAGTGCAGTAGCGCGATCTCAGCTCACTGCAACCTCCGCCTCCTGGGTTCACGCCATTCTCCTGTCTCAGCTTCCCGAGAAGCTGGGACTACAGGTGCGTACCACCACATCCAGCTAATTTTTGTATTTTTGGTAGAGACAGGGTTTCACCATATTGGCCAGGCTGGTCTCAAACTCCTGACCTTGTGATCCACCAACCTTGGCCTCCCAAAGTGCCTGAGCCACTGTGCCTGGCCACCCCATTATATTATTAGAGCCATGAAATGAGGTTGGAGCCAGACCTCATGTAGTCATTGGTACATCCCAGCCATCAGGACAGTGCTATTACACTGCAGGCACTCAGAGTTTCCTAATCATGTCAAATAAATATTAATTTCCAAGAAAAACATGATATTTAAGATACATATGAATGCGAACATAGGGTTGGTATTAGACACGTTGACAAAATGTTTTTTTCCTTCGACCAGAAGTACTTATATTTACTAGATCTTTTGGGCTTAGAAGAGGTGATTGGTTTTGTTCTGAGCATCATGCCTATTACATAAAAAAAAAGTAGTTTTTAATAAAGTATTACGATAAAAAAGAATAGAAAATGTATGGCATTGAAGATAGTGATGCTGTTTCAGGAGTGTCATCCTGAGCCAGGTCTCACTCAGTGGAAGCCACCCAGAGGAAATCCGAGCCATTATCCTCGTCTCATACATGAGAAGCCAAGGCTCATATGCACCTCTTTCTCTTCCCTTCTTGTAATTTTTCTTTTTTTTCTCCCCCTCACCCAGCCCCCTGACATTTTTGGGTCCTAGGCCTACTGGTGTTACCTGTAGCCCCACATAGCATCCCCTAGCCTGAGCGTGCCTGAGAGGAAGAAGAAATCCAGTCTCTGAAAATGGTGTGGTGTCTTTGGAACTTATGCCCTTTTAGAAACCTAATTATATTCATTACTACATGATTAGGAGAAAGAGTTGGAGCAGGAGTAAAACTAAAATCAGTACGTGTGGTTGGAGTTTGCCTAATTTGAGCCTACACTGCCGTTCAGTGAGCCCATACCTATATGATTCAGTATCAGTTTCCCCATTTATTCTCATAGCCCAAGGTTCTTTTCCTTCTTACTGCCTACTGTGATTTATATTATATATTTCTTTGTGCATTTAGTAATTCATTTTATGTGTTATACTTCATAAACTAGATGAAGGTACTTGCCTATATATTTAAACATTTTGCAAATGCACACCCCTTTGACACCATAGTTCTATTTCTAGAAATTGGTCTTTAAGAACTACATTAGGCTATCCACCTCATCATTATTTCATAGTAGGCAAAAATTGAATATAACCCAAGGTCTAACAATAGAAAATTATGAAACATGTTGTAGGACAAATGCCATTCAGCCATGAAAATACATATTTATAAATACTCTTTAATAATATAAAAGTGTGAGATTGTATATGCCATATGATACCAGTTTTACATGAATATACATAAATGTGTTTATAAAAATGTGTATGTAGGTCCACAATTTCAGATCCCAATCCTTTAGGCCAGATTCATTTTGGAATTCAGAGTTTTTCAGATTTTTGGAAAGGTAACATGATGCATACACTACGTATTGTGTAAATAACCCAGTGGGGCCTGGGGTTACACCATTATTCCATTATATTAACATTTCTGCAGCAAAACATAAGATTATTCACTCTAGGATAAACAAGAAGAATAAATTCATGGTTCTGTCATTGCCTTTCACCCTCCTTCTGGGAATTCCTTTGTCTTTCTCCTATCTTATTTTGTTTGCTGAATTCGGTGTATTTCTCTTTTTTGGTTTACTTTCATGTTTTGGTAGAGCCCATTTTCTAGTGGCATCTTCAGAAAAATACATGAGAGATACTTATTTTAAGCCCCACAAATCTGAAAATAATCTTAGTTCTCTTTACACTGTGGTTTAGTTGAATATGGAATTCCAGGTTGGAAGTCATTCCTCTGTATTTTGAAATCATTGCTCCATGCCCTGTGGCTTCCAGTGCTGCTGCTGACATCTCTCATGTGGACTCCCACTCCCTGTTGGTAACTTGTTCACTTTCTGGGACCTTTTAGGTCCTTTTTATCTCCATGTTCATGCTGCTGTGCTTTGGTATGAGAAGGAGTTTTTTTGTTGTTCTTTTCTTTTGTTTTATTGCGCTTGGCACTTAGCACACCCTTAAAATCTGAATGCCTACTAGCTTTAGTTTTAGGAAATTTTCATCTTATTATTATTTATTTTATCTCATTTATTTATTTATTTATTTTATTACTTTACTTTTCTTTACTTTATCCTCTTTCTGAACTATTTAGCTATTGAACCGCCTGGGTTAATCCTTTAATTATCTAACCCTTTCTCTCGTTTTTTCTCTCTTGTGTTTTTGCTCTACTTACTGAGATGATTATACACCTTCTTCTAGCTTGCCTGTTGAATTTTTTCATTTCTGCTATCACATTTTTAATTTGCAAGAGCGCTTTATGTTTTCTGAATGTAACTTTTATATCCTCTTCTTGCTTATGAATATGTTTCTCTTATCTCTATGAGAATATTAATCATAGATTTTTTTTACTTTCATATGTTTTTTTAATTATTACACTTTAAGTTCTGAGATACATGTGCAGAACGTGCAGGTTTGTTACATAGCTATACACGTGCCATGGTGGTTTGCTGCACCCATCAACCCATCATCTATATTAGGTATTTCTCCTAATGCTATCCCTCCCCTAGCCCCCCTCCCCCGCACCAGGCCCCAGTGGGTGATGTTCCCTCCGTGTGTCCATGTGTTCTCACTGTTCAGTTCCCACCCATGAGTGAGAACATGCGGTGTTTGGTTTTCTGTCCTTGTGATAGTTTGCTCAGAATGATGGTTTCTGAGCTTCATTCATGTCCCTGCAAAGGACATGAACTCATCCTTTTTTATGGCTGCATGGTATTCCATGGTGTATATGTGCCACATTTTCTTTATCCAGTCTATCATTGATGGGCATTTGGGTTGGTTCCAAGTCTTTGCTATTGTGAATAGTGCTGCAATAAACATGTGTGCATGTGTCTTTATAGTACATTGATTTATAATCCTTTGGGTATATACCCAGTAATGGGATTGCTGGGTCAAATAGTATTTCTGGTTCTAGATCCTTGAGGAATCACCACACTGTCTTCCACAATGGTTGAACTAATTTACAGTCCCACCAACAGTGTAAAAGCATTCCTATTTCTCCATATCCTCTCCAGCATCTATTGTTTCCTTACTTTTTAATGATCGCCATTCTAACTGGTGTGAGATGGTATCTCATTGTGGTTTTGATTTGCATTTCTCTAATGACCAATGATGGTGAGCTTTTTTTCATATGTTTATTGGCCATATAAATGTCTTCTTTCGAGAAGTGTCTGTTCATACCCTTCGCCCACTTTTTGATGGGGTTGTTTTTTTTTCTTGTACATTTGTTTAAGTTCCTTGTGGATTCTGGATATTAGCCCTTTGTCAGATGGATAGATTGCAGAAATTTTCTCCCATTCTGTAGGTTGCCTTTTCACTCTGAGGATAGTTTCTTTTGCTGTGCAGAGGCTCTTTAGTTTTCTTAGATCTCATTTGTCAATTTTGGCTTTTGTTGCAGTTGCTTTTGGTGTTTTAGTCATGAAGTCTTTGCCCATGCCTGTGTCCTGAATGGTATTGCCTAGGTTTTCTTCTAGGGTTTTTATGGTTTTAGGTCTTACATTTAAGTCTTTAATCCATCTTGAGTTAATTTTTGTATAAGGTGTAAGGAAGGGGTCCAGTTTCAGTTTTCTGCATATGACTAGCCAGTTTTCCCAGCACCATTTATTAAATAGGGAATCCTTTTCCCATTGCTTGTTTTTGTCAGGTTTGTCAAAGATCAGATGGTTGTAGATGTGTGGCATTATTTCTGAGGCCTCTGTTCTGTTCCATTGGTCTGTATATCTGCTTTGGTACCAGTACCATGCTGTTTTGGTTACTGTAGCCTTGTAGTATAGTTTGAAGTCAGGTATTGTGATGCCTCCAACTTTGTTCTTTTTGCTTAAGATGGTCTTGGCTATACTGGCTCTTTTTTGGTTCCATATGAAATTTAAAGTAGTTTTTTCTAATTCTTTGAAGAAAGTCAGTGGTAGCTGTATGGGGATACCATTGAATCTATAAATTGCTTTGGGCAGGATGGCCATTTTCACGACATTGATTCTTCCTATCCATGAGCATGGAATATTTGTTCATTTGTTTGTGTCCTCTCTTATTTCCTTGAGCAGTGGTTTGTAGTTCTCCTTGAAGAGGTCCTTCACATCCCTTGTGAGTTGTGTATTCCTAGGTATTTTATTCTCTTAGTAGCAGTTGCAAATGGGAGTTGACTTATGATTTGGTTATTTGTCTGTTATTGGTGTATAGGAATGCTTGTGATTTTTGCACATTGATTTTGTATCCTGAGACTTTGCTGAAGTTGCTTATCAGCTTAAGGAGATTTTGGGCTGAGATGATGGGGTTTTCTAAATATACAATCATGTCATCTGCAAACAGAGACAATTTGGCTTCCTCTCTTTCTATTTGAATATCCTTTATTTCTTTTTCTTGCCTGATTGCCCTGGCCAGAACTTCCAATACTATGTTGAATAGGAGTGGTGAGAGAGGACATCCTTGTCTTGTGCCAGTTTTCAAAGGGAATGCTTCCAGCTTTTGCCCATTCAGTATGATATTGGCTGTGGGTTTGTCATAAGTAGCTGTTACTATTTTGAGATACATTCCATCAATACCTAGTTTATTGAGAGTTTTTAGCATGAAGGGGTGTTGAATTTTATCGAAGGCCTTTTCTGCATCTATTGAGATAATTGTACGGTTTTTGTCATTGGTTCTGTTTATGTGATGTATTATGTTTACTGATTTGAGTATGTTGAACCAGCCTTACATCCCAGGGATGAAGCCAACTTGATGGTGGTGGATAAGCTTTTTGATGTGCTGCTGGATTCAGTTTGTCAGTATTTTATTGAGGATTTTTTCATCGATGTTCATCAGAGATATTGGCCTGAAATTTTCTTTTTTTCTTGTGTCTCTGTCAGGTTTTGGTGTCAGGATGATGCTGGCCTCATCAAATGAGTTAGGGAGGAGTACCTCTTTTTCTGTTGTTTGGAATAGTTTCAGAAGGAATGGTACCAGCTCCTCTTTGTACCTCTGGTAGAATTCAGCTGTGAATCCATCTGGTCCTGGGCTTTTTTTGGTTGGTAAGGTATTACTGCCTTAATTTCAGAACTTGTTATTGGTGTATTCAGGGATTTGACTTCTTTCCTGGTTTAGTGTTTAGAGGATGTATGTGTCTAGGAATTTATCCATTTCTTCTAGATTTTCTAGTTTATTTGCATAGAGGTGTTTACAGTATTCTCTGATGGTAGTTTGTATTTCTGTGGGATCAGTGGTGATATCCTATTTATCATTTTTTATTGTGTCTATTTGATTCTTCTCTCTTTTCTTCTTTATTAGTCTGGCCAGTGGTCTATTTTGTTAATCTTTTAAAAAAAAACCAGCTCCTGGATTCATTGATTTTTTTTTTTTTTTTTGGAAGGGTTTTTCATGTCCTTCAGTTCTGCTCTGATCTTAGTTATTTCTTGTCTTCTGCTAGCTTTTGAAATTGTTTGCTCTTGCTTCTCTAGTTCTTTAAATTGTGATGTTAGGGTGTCGATTTCAGATCTTTCCTGCTTTCTCCTATGGGCATTTAGTGCTATAAATTTCCCTCTAAACACTGCTTTAGCTGTGTCCCAGAGATTCTGGTACATTGTGTCTTTGTTCTCATTGATTTCAGAGAACTTACTTATTTCTGCCTTCATTTCATTATGTACCCAGTAGTCATTCAGGAGCAGGTTGTTCAGTTTCCATGTAGTTGTGCGGTTTTGAATGAGTTTTTAATCCTCAGTTCTAATCTGATTGCACTGTGGTCTGAGAAACTGTTTGTTATGATTTCTGTTCTTTTGCATTTACTGAGGAGTGTTTTACTTCCAATTATGTGGTCAATTTTAGAATAAGTGCAATGTGGTGCTGAGAAGAATGTATATTCTGTTGATTTGGGGTGGAGAGTTCTGTAGATGTCTATTAGGTCTGCTTGGTCCAGAGCTGAGTTCAAGTCCTGAATATCCTTGTTAATTTTCTGTCTCATTAATCTGTCTAATATTGACAGTGGGGTGTTAAAGTCTCCCACTATTGTTGTGTGGGAGTCTAAGTCTCTTTATAGGTCTCTAAGAACTTGCTTTATGAATCTGGGTGCTCCTGTATTGGGTGCATATATATTTAGGATAGCTAGCTCTTCTTGTTGAATTGATCCCTTTACCGTTATGTAATGGCCTTCTTTGTCTCTTTTGATCTTTGTTGGTTTATAGTCTGTTTTATCAGAGACTAGCATTGCAACCCCTGCTTTTTTTTTTTTTTTGCTTTCCATTTGCTTGGTAAATCTTCCTGCATCCCTTTATTTTGAGCCTATATGTGTCTTTGCATGTGAGATGAGTTTCCTGAATACAGCACACTGATGGGTCTTGACTCTTCATCCAATTTGCTAGTCTGTGCCTTTAAATTGGGGCATTTAGCCCATTTACATTTAAGGTTAATACTATGTGTGAATTTGATCCTGTCATTATGATGCTAGTGGTTATTTTGCCTATTAGTTGATGCAGTTTCTTCATGGTGTTGATGGTCTTTACAATTTCGTATGTTTTTGCAGTGGCTGGTACCAGTTTTTCCTTGCCATATTTAGTGCTTCCTTCAGGAGCTCTTGAAAGGCAGGCCTGGTGGTGACAAAATCTCTCAGCATTTGCTTGTCTGTAAAGGGTTTTATTTCTCCTTCACTTGTGAAGCTTAGTTTGGCTGGGTATGAAATTCTGGGTTGAAAATGCTTTTCTTTTATTTATTTATTTATTTATTTATTTATTTATTTTTATTGATCATTCTTGGGTGTTTCTCGCAGAGGGGGATTTGGCAGGGTCACAGGACAATAGTGGAGGGAAGATCAGCAGATAAACAAGTGAACAAAGGTCTCTGGTTTTCCTAGGCAGAGGACCCTGCTGCATTCCGCAGTGTTTGTGTCCCTGGGTACTTGAGATTAGCGAGTGGTGATGACTCTTAACGAGCATGCTGCCTTCAAGCATCTGTTTAACAAAGCACATCTTGCACCGCCCTTAATCCATTTAACCCTGAGTGGATACAGCACATGTTTCAGAGAGCACAGGGTTGGGGGTAAGGTCACAGATCAACAGGATCCCAAGGCAGAAGAATTTTTCTTAGTACAGAACAAAATGAAAAGTCTCCCATGTCTACCTCTTTCTACACAGACAACGGCAACCATCTGATTTCTCACTCTTTTCCCCACCTTTCCCCCCTTTCTATTCCACAAAACCGCCATTGTCATCATGGCCCGTTCTCAATGAGCTATTGGGTACACCTCCCAGACGGGGTGGTGGCCGGGAAGAGGGGCTCCTCACTTCCCAGTAGGGGCGGCCGGGCAGAGGCGCCCCTCACCTCCCGGACGGGGCGGCTGGTCGGGCGGGGGGCTGACCTTCCCACCTCCCTCCTGGACGGGGCGGCTGGCCGGGCGGGGGGCTGACCCCCCTACCTCCCTCCCGGATGGGGCAGCTGGCCGGGCAGAGGGGCTCCTCACTTCCCAGTAGGGGCGGCCGGGCAGAGGCGCCCCTCACCTCCCGGACGGGGCGGCTGGCCGGGCGGGGGGCTGATCCCCCCACCTCCCTCCCGGACAGGGCGGCTGGCCGAGCGGGGGGCTGACCCCCCCACCTCCCTCCCGGACGGGCTGGCTGGCCGGGCGGGGGGCTGACCCCCCCACCTCCCTCCCGGACGGGGTGGCTGCCGGGCAGAGACGCTCCTCACTCCCCAGACTGGGTGGCTGCTGGGCGGAGGGGCTCCTCACTTCTCAGACGGGGCGGCTGCCGGGCGGAGGGGCTCCTCACTTCTCAGATGGGGCAGCTGCCGGGCAGAGGGTCTCCTCACTTCTCAGACGGGGCGGCCGGGCAGAGACGCTCCTCACATCCCGGACGGGGCGGCAGGGCAGAGGCGCTCCCCACATCTCAGACGATGGGCGGCCGGGCAGAGACACTCCTCACTTCCTAGATGGGATGGCGGCCGGGAAGAGGCGCTCCTCACTTCCTAGATGGGATGGCGGCCGGGCAGAGACACTCCTCACTTTCCAGACTGGGCAGCCAGGCAGAGGGGCTCCTCACATCCCAGACGGTGGGCGGCCAGGCAGAGACGCTCCTCACTTCCCAGACGGGGCGGCGGCCGGGCAGAGGCTGCAATCTCGGCACTTTGGGAGGCCAAGGCAGGCCGCCGGGAGGTGGAGGCTGCAGCGAGCTGAGATCACGCCACTGCACTCCAGCCCAGGCACCATTGGCACTGAGTGAACGAGACTCCGTCTGCAATCCCGGCACCTCGGGAGGCCGAGGCTGGCGGATCACTCGCGGCTAGGAGCTGGAGACCAGCCCGGCCAACACAGCGAAACCCCGTCTCCACCAAAAAAACACGAAAACCAGTCAGGCGTGGCGGCGCGCGCCCGCAATCGCAGGCACTCGGCAGGCCAAGGCAGGAGAATCAGGCAGGGAGGTTGCAGTGAGCCGAGATGGCAGCAGTACAGTCCAGCCTCGGCTCGGCATCAGAGGGAGACCGTGGAAAGAGAGGGAGAGGGAGACCGTGGGGACAGGGACAGGGACAGGGACAGGGAGAGGGAGAGGGAGAGCGAAAATGCTTTTCTTTAGTAATGTTGAATATTAGCTCCCACTCTCTTCTGGCTTGTGGGGTTTCTGCAGAGAGATCTGCTGTTAGTCTGATGGGCTTCCCTTTGTGGGCAACCCGACTTTTCTCTCTGGATGCCCTTAACATTTTTTTCTTCATTTCAACCTTGGTGAATCTGACGATTATGTGTCTTGGGGTTGCTCTTCTTGAGGAATATCTTTGTGGTGTTTTCTATATTTCCTGAATTTGAACGTTGGCCTGTCTTGCTAGGTTGGGGAAGTTTTCCTAGATAATATCCTGAAGAGTGTTTTCCAACTTGGTTCCATTCTCCCTGTCGGTTTCAGGTACACCAATCAAACATAAGTTTGGTCTTTTCATTTTGTTTATTTTATTTATTTATTTATTTATTTACTTACTTATTTTTGAGATGGAGTCTCACTCTGGCATCCAGGCCGGAGTGAGTGCAGTGGCACGACCTCGGCTCACTGGCAACCTCCACCTCCCAGGTTCAAGTAATTCTCCTCTCTTGGCCTCCCAAGTAGCTAGGACCACAGTCTCCTGCCACCACACCCAGCTAATTTTTGTATTTTTAGTAGAGACGGGATTTTACTATGTTGGCCAGGCTGGTTTCAAACTCCTGACCTCAGGTGATCCGCCCGCCTTGGCCTCCCGAAGTGCTGGGATTAAAGGCATGAGCCGGCTGGGCGCAGTGGCTCACACCTGTAATCCCAGCACTTTGGGAGGCCGAGGCGGGCGGATCACGAGGTCAGGAGATCTAGACCATCCTGGCTAACACGGTGAAACCCCATCTCTACTAAAAATACAAAAAAAAATTAGGTGGGTGTGGTGGTGGGCGCTTGTAGTCCCAGCTACTCGGGAGGCTGAGGCACGAGAATGGTGTGAACCCGGGAGGCAGAGGTTGCAGTGAGCCAAGGTCGCGCCACTGCACTCCAGCCTGGGCGATAGAGCGAGACTCCGTCTCAAAAAAAAAAAAAAAAAAAAAAAGAGGCATGAGCCACTGTGTCTGGCCAGTATTTTCTTTTATGTCCTTCTAGGAATTGATTTTCCTATTCAAGGAGAAAAATTTAATTTAATCTGGTTGGTGGTATATTTCTATTCATTTAATTCAATTTGTTTTCCTTATTATTTAGAATAAAACTCACATCCTTGACATAACTTATGAGGACCTAAGTGACATGCCTCCCCCATCCTGACCCCTGGACCTTGTCTTCCACTCCTTCCCCAGCCAAGTGTGGGGAAGGACCCTACTGTTTTTGGAGTTTATCAAGTGCACTCCTACCTGACGACTTTGCCCATGGTAACCTCTGTGTCGTATCCCCCCACCTATAACTATATGGTCTGCCTCTTCATTCCAGGATTCTGCTCAGTTTTTGACTTAGCATAGAGGGCTTCTTTGACCATCCATCTAAAATACCAATCTTGGCCAGGTACGGTGACTCACGCCTGTAATCTCAGCACTTTCAGAGCCCAGGCAGGTGGATTACTTGAGGTCAGGAGTTTGAGACCAGCCTGACCAACATGGTGAAATCCCGTCTCTACTAAAAATACAAAATTAGCTGGGTGTGGTGGCACACGCCTGTAATCCCAGCTACTTGGGAGGCTGAGGCAGGAGAATAGCTTGAACTTGGGAGGTTGCAGTGAGCCGAGATCATGCCATTGCACTCCAGCCTGGGCAACAAGAGTGAAACTCCATCTCAAAAAAATAAAGAAAGAAAAAGTAAAATACCAGTCCCGCTCCTCCAAAACCCCTATTACTTTTTCATTGTAGAATAAATGTGCATTCAGAAAAGCATACCATATGTATATGTACATTTTAAAGGTAATTGTGAAGTGAACAGCCATGTAACATAGGTTGGTTGAATGTCACCAGCACCTACCAGGGCTTGTGTTTACCTTCTTGATCACAACCTCTTTCCTCACCTCCTGTCCAGGGAAAACCATGATTCCCAGGTTTTTAAATAATTGTTTTCTTGTTTGTGTTGATAGTTTTACCACCTGTATGTCATCTAGTTATAGGATGTTTAAAATTTTATTTTCTTTCATTTGCTTCATTATTTGCTTTTTTCTGAGTTTGCTTTCATTGTTTTTGCCTATTTTTAATGTTGGAGACTTCTCAAATGTTTTAATGGTCCTTGGTTGGTTGTTGACATTTAAAAGTAAACCACTATCAAAAGCTGATTGGAATCTGAGTTGGGGGTGCTTTTTGAGTGGTACATTTCACTGTAGGATTGTCAGGCAGAGACCTGCCCATTTGTCTGCATATGAATCATTTCATGTGGGAACAGTCAGTTTCCGTATAAAGAAATTTCATGCTCCTTCCTGACGTAGGTATTTTGCTGCCGGTGTTTTGGGAATCAAGTGGGAATCAAGGTGGCTAGTGAGAATCTTACTGTTGGGGACATGAATTTATATTTAATCTTAGCTCTTTCTGGTGCCCCCTAGTTCATAACCATTTTAGTTCTACTTCTTCAAAGAGTATACACCTATTTCTTCTGGGAGTACTCAGGGTTTTTTTGTTTGTTTTGTTTTTTTTGCTCGATGTACATGCCACATACCAGAGTAGGGACTAAGTTGCTGTGACTCAAGATAGTTATGATTTAGGTATGGGAGGTAGAAATAGAAATTGGGAGTGAAATGGAACATAATCACTCTGTCCTTGGCAATGAGTTTCTGGTAATAACAAACCTCGATCAAGTTTTTTTTTTTTTTGGTCATATAAATGTAAATGCAATTATAATCCTTTTATCTCCATTCAGATTTTAGGACAGCAAATTAATGACTTTACCCTTCCTGATGTGAACCTTATTGGGGAGCATTCTGATGCAGCAGAGCTTGGAAGGATGCTTCAGCTCATCTTAGGCTGTGCTGTGAACTGTGAACAGAAGCAAGGTAATTTGTTTCAAGTTAGTGTTTGCATTTAAAATAATGAAGGAAAGTAGTGTATATTTTATATTTTATATATAAATCACCAGTACCAACAGTAACATCTGTTTAAGGTCACCCCCAAAGAATGCCATTTTCTACAGTTTTACTAGTAATTTGTTTTTAAGCTTAAATGAATTTTGCACATTAAAATAAATTTGACTGGGGTGATATTTTTTCTTTTGTGCAATACCACATAATTCCTTGAGTAGATAACTACACTGAATGCAGTGAAATTTGCTGTTAATTTGACAACATCTACCTAATCTGGAAAAAATGAGCAGAGACATACAGCAGTTTAATAGATATTCAGGTCTGCCTTCCCAACATATATCTGTAACAGATGCCTTCAGCTTCTCCTTTTTCTTTTTTTAGGCATATTGTATTTGGAAAACATTTGCAAGTTTGCCTCTACTGTGGGGAAAAAGAGAGGGAAGAGTATCATTATATGCAATGTTTAAATAATAAAAATAAATTTTGAATTGGGTTTCCTACCCCAAAATCTGGCAGATACTTTTCCTTAAGAAATCACTCCCTGACTTAAATTTTAGATAGTGCCTTGACTATCTTTTAAAGGAAGGAATAGTATTACATATATCAAAATTGTTTCATTTATTTTTAAATAATTGTAAAACTCTTAGAAATACCACAGGAGGCTGGGTACGGTGGCTCATGCCTGTGATCCCAGCACTTTGGGAGGCCACGGTGGGCGGATCACTTGAGGCCAGGAGTTGGAGACCAGCTTGACCAATATGGTGAAACCCCATCTCTACCAGAAAAAAAAAAAATTAGCTGAGTGTGGAGGCACACTCCTGTAATCCCAGCTACTCAGGTGTCTGAGGCATGAGAATCACTTGAACCTGGGAGGCAGAGGTTGCAATGAGCCAAGATCGCATCACTGCACTCCAGCCTGGGCGACAGAGCAAGACCCTGTCTCAAAAAAAGAGAAAAATGCCACAGGATATTTTGTAGTAACATACTCTGGCAAGAAAACATTGAAAAACCTGGAAAACCTTGGGATTAATTTTCACATCGATAAACAGGCTTGTAAAATTAATGGGGCCGGGCGCAGTGGCTCACGCCTGTAATCCCAGCACTTTGGGAGGGTGAGGCAGGTGGATCACAAAGTCAGGAGTTTGAGACCAGCCTGGCCAAGATGGTGAAACCCCATCTCTACTAAAAATACAAAAATTAGCCGGGCGCGGTGGTGGGCGCCTGTAATCCCAGCTGCTTGCGAGGCTGAGGCAGGAGAATCACTTGAACCTGGGAGGCGGAGGTTGCATTGAGCCAAGATTGTGCCACTGCACTTTAGCCTGGGCAATAGATCAAGACTTTTTCTCAGAAAAAAAAAATAATAAAATAACTTAATGGTATCTATCACTGCTAGAAAAATTTCTCGCTAAGCATGTAAATCTGAAAACTGTCTTTTATTTTTTCCCATGTCCTTTGTATTGCAATCTAAAATACCCCATTTTAAGCTCCCAGAGCTGAAATGACCCAATATATTATATCATTATTATTACGTTGAAATATGAGATTAAGAGCATGAGCTGCAGTGTGCATCAACCCATGAATTTCAACTCGTTTCCACCTCTCGCAGGCAATCTCAAGGACTTGGAGTAGATCACTTAACCTCTGTATTTTAGTTTTTTAGTAAAATAGAGATTCATTATAGTACCTACCTCCTAAGGTTATTGTGGAAACTAAATGAGATCATGTATATAGAACAGTACAGTGTCTTGCACATAGTAGTGGTTCACAAAACATTAGTTATTACTAGGAAACATGAAAACATAAGTTTTACATATAGTATTTTATTTTATTTTATTCTATTTTATTTTATTTTTTCGAGATGGAGTCTTGCTCTGTTGCCCAGGCTGGAGTGCAGTGGCATGATCTCAGCTCACTGCAACCTCCACCTCCTGGGTTCAAGCGATTCTCCTGCCTCAGCCTCTTGAGTAGCTGGGATTACAGATGTGCACCACCATGCCTGGCTAATGCTTTGTGTTTTTAGTAGAGGCAGGGTTTCATCATGTTGGTCAGGCTGGTCTCAAACTCCTGACCTCAAGTGATCCACCCGCCTTGGCTTCCCAAAGTGCTAGGATTACAGGCATGAGCCACCACCCCAGCCTATATATAGTATTTTAAAACATTTTCATTCAGTTATTTTATTGTGTGCTTTTGTGAACTTTAAGGTAGCCGCAGTTTTTTAAATGTCATTAGGTGGTGTTCAATGATTATATTTATTTTATCAATAAATGGAATGTAAATTAGTAAAACCACTAACATAGAATTAGAGAAGGCTATTCTCAGTAAGTTAACTTTTAATTTACAGCTTTTGTTAGTTAAGTGTATTTTTGTGTATACAGCAAGTCCAAGTTGACAGATTTGAACTTTGTTGAAGTTACTTGAAGACCAGCTTTGATATATAGATAATAATATAATTAATATCTTTTTTATAGTTCTTCCAAAGTGCTTATCTAATCTTAAATAGCTTTTTTCTCTATTGACAACTACTGATTTGCATAGAAATCACTTGTTTTCTAAAAGCTGTAGTTCAAATTTATCATGCAATAAAGCAGATAAATTTTACCTTAAATTCATTTTCTCTTCTATATTCAATTTATTTCATAAATATTGAACTTATACATTACTAGGGGCTAGGAACACAGTGTTAGAACAGACAAGTACCTGCCCTCAAGGAACTTGAGTGGAAGGACATTAAATAATGCCACAGATACCCGTATGATGAACGCAGAGGTGAGTGTTCCTCAGCTGCAGCTTAAAGGGGGACAGCCTGGGTTTGGGGTCAGGGAAGTTATTTAAGCAAAGCTATGGAAGACAATGGGTTAAGAGTAATGTAAATAGTAGAAGCTGAATGTAGGAAAGACCTAGGTTATCTCTGAGGAATTAAAAAACCCACCACACTATAATTGGAGTATAGTGAGAAAAGGATGAAGGAAAATACGGCAGGAGATAGGGGCTATTATAAATGATGACAGCACAGTATGTTACTATTACTTATGTTGAAGACGATGAATTTTTTTTTTTAAGCCCAAAGGTTTTTTTCTTGTTTCCCCACTGTTTACCCCTTATAGTGCAAAACAGATTTCTATTAACTTGTTGTTTGTACTTTTTTGGTGTTCCATGGTAAGTTTAATAATAGCATTATTTTCTTGAAGTTATGACTAATTTTATTGGTCTCCAATTCAGTATTTTTTAAAACAATATATTTCTTTTCTCTAGCCCCATTCCTATTTTATCATACCATTTTCTCTTTCTTTCTTTTTTTTTTTTTTTTTTTTTCTGGGACAGATTCTCACTCTGTCACCCAGGCTGGAGTCCAGTGGTGTGATCTCGGCTCATTGCAACCTCTGCCTCCCAGGTTCAAGCAATTCTCCTGCCTCAGCCTCCTGAGTAGCTGGGATTACAGGTGCACGTGCCACCACGCCCGGCTAATTTTTGTATTTTTAGTAGAGACGGGTTTTTACCATGTTGGTCAGGCTGGTCTCGAGCTCCTGACCTCATGATCCGCCTGCCTCGGCCTCCCAAAGCTCTGGGATTACAGGCATGAGCCACTGCGCCTGGCCACCATTTTCTTATAGGTAAATTTTAGTTTGCTTATTCAGTTTAGCTCAAGAATTAAATATGGAATTTTCTGCAGTTGTGATCTATGTATATTCCTGGAGTGTCTAACAAGTGTTCTGTCAAAGATTAGGAGATTGGTATACCTAAGATTTGAGACATTAAATCTCTAAGTAGATGCTTCGATTTTAAGGTGGAAAATAGAAATTATTTAATTGAAGTTGATTGATATCAGATAATAACTTCTTATGTATCCTTTTAGGAAATTCATTGACTTCTGGAATTCTCCTTAATATGTAGGGGGTCTTTGGAAGTGCACAACTGTTGAGAGTCAGCTAATTGTATTTACTACAGAATAGGACTAGGAAAAGACAAAGATGTTACCTATATGCATATTCCTGTGGGAAAGAAGATAGTCAATTATAATATTTATTGAAGTTCTCACTCAGACCAAATGTTCTGTAGAAACACCTAGATTGAGTTTCCCCCCAAAATTGTATAAATGATGGAAACTTATTGAACAAAATTTTAACATCTCATTTGTCTAGATTTAGGACATCCTCTGCTCTCAGGAACATAGTAGAGTGCTAAGAATCAAGTACATGAGTGTCTGAGTGGTTAAATATTAGCTGTCACTGCATATTTATGGTATATAATGTAAAACTCACTAAAGCAGTTCTGCTGTTTACTACCTGACTCGCTTGGGATGAGATACTTAGCCTGTGTTGTTGTCTGCAAAATAAGGATGTAAAAGCTGGTTGTCATGAGGAGTGAATGAAATTGTGTGTGTGTGTGTGTATGTGTGTGCTTTGTACTCCATAAAGCAGTGTACAGATTAAAAGAGGCTTATGTTTAAATGTGTTTCCTAATTAGAAGAAGTGAGGAGCATCTGCTAGGGATGTTGACTCAGTGCACATTTGTCTTGGCTATCTTACTTCTCAAATTGGGGCAAATAAAATGGTGGTAAGTTTGAAAAAACAAAGATTAGTAGTAGAAGACACACTAATAATAATTATTTATTATTTCCCTTCTCTCTGGTACCAAAAAATGGTTTTTACAGACTAGGAAGCTGGGACTTGTAAGTGTTATGTGACTTGCCCAATACTTCCTACCTGTGAGAGGCTAGACAAGGACAAAAACTCATGTTTCTTCCACATTTAAACTTAATACTCCCTGTGATAAACTATGCTGTGAATTTTAAACAGTGAAGGCTTCAGGATAAGCTACCTCACATAGCAAATCTCATTCTCCAGCATTGCCTCATAGACACACACCCGGTAATAGCATATCATTTGTATTTTGGACTTTTAAAGATTCATAAATTTTTTTATTTAAAAAACTGTACAGTAATTTAGTTCTCATCATCATTTTATCATTTAGCATTTTACGGTGTTCGCGGGGAAGGGCCTTGACGTGGCAACACCGCTTCTTAACTAACGCTTCCCCTCTCACACCTACTAACCCCTCACCCCTCGAGTCCACTGTTATTTCCTTCACTTTCAATAGGCTGTCATTAAATTCTCCTTCCCCATTATCAGTGCCACTGCTTCTTCTCTTCCATGTTCACAGTCTTACTTTTAGAGCTGTTTAGTCATCCTACCTATGCTGGTTTCTCCATAGCCTTTGAATTCTGTGTTTGATACTTTTGAACAGAACATCTAAAAGCTCCCTTTCTGTATTCCAACACTCATAGGGTGATTCTCATTAAGAAAACAAAACCAAAAATTGAGCTCAGACTAAAGGAATTCTTTTTTGACTAAATAGTGATTAAGTTATGATATTCCTGTTGGCCTAAGAACAATGCCTATGATTTAGTTGTGTTATGTATATTTGTACTTATAACCAAACAATCGATTGGGTACAAGTAGCCTTAGGGCAATACTTCCTTAAAAACATGTTTCTGATAAACTAAAGCTTTAGCATTAACCAGAAGTCATAATTTAATAGTATTGTAAAAATACCTCATTTATTTTAAATCCTGTGTTGGGTAGAGGATTACAGTTGTCATTTCAAATACATGAATCTCTTGTCAAAAGAGTACTTTGACAGTTTCATGGTAAGACCCCTTCATATACTACCTCAAGGAGTGAGATTTTTATTGTGCATGTTGTTTGGATGTATGGGGTTGGAGAGGTAGGTTGAGCCTAAAATTTCCTAATTACTTTACTCTTTTACGTGTTTCTTATTGCAAAGGCAAGAAATTGTTTTCAAGTTTGTCATTACTAATAACAAAGAGATCTTTTTGTTTTTTGGCAGTGGTGAGGATGAGATTGATGGAGTTGCTGCTTTAGCTTATTGGAGGTGTGGATCATTTTATTTTTTGTGTTTGACCGGTCAAGTGACTTAGTGAGAAGGGGGAAGTAGTAGAACAAGGAGTTCCATCTGTAACTGTGAACAGTCAATTGTGATAACTCACTACCTTTAGACCAGTCAATAATTATTTTAAAGCCTGGGATTATACAATATTTGTTTAACTATGGTATCAATTTGTAACTTAAATTCATCTCAATTCTTTGTCCTAAGCAGCTCTCAGTTTCATTTTTTTTGTTTGCTGTAGAAGAAAATATTAAGCCAGGCTGGGCACGGTGGCTCACGCCTGTAATCCCAGCACTTTGGGAGGCCGAGGCAGGCGGATCACGAGGTCAAGAGATTGAGACCATCCTGGCCAACATGGTGAAAACCGGTCTCTACTAAAATACAAAAATTAGTTGGGTGTGGTGGCGCACGCCTGTAGTCCCAGCTACTCGGGAGGCTGAGGCAGGAGAGTGGCGTGAACCTGGGAGGCGGAGGTTGCAGTGAGCCGAGATGGCGCCACTGCACTCCAGCCTGGCGACAGAGTGAGACTCTGTCTAAAAAAAAAAAAAAAGGAAATATTAAGGCAGAATAATGCAGCACGTTGATGTCACATAAAAATAAAGCACAGAGTTCAAAGTTTTTTTTGTTTAACTGCATAGCAAAGAGTAATGTGAAAGATAATTTTTAGATTTTAGAAAAAAGTAATACAGAGATTTTTCCATCTTGGTTTCAGGCTTTACCATTTCATCGTTTTACATTGGCACATACTCATGCCAATATTCCATTCTCGTGACCTGTAGCTGTAGCCTCAACTTTAGAAGGAATGTTGAAAAGGCAAGAAAAGATCTTAAGGAAAGATAAATAGTGTGATTTTCGGACTTTACCAATACATTTAATGGTGTATGTGGGATTCCTAGGAGGAATCAAAACACAGGGAAATGACTTATAAGAATTTATGAAGTATGAGCCTTGATTCCCTTGACCATCTTTAACTTGAACAGTGACATTCTAGATTGTTCTTGTTTTCAGAGTACATCCAAGCCATTATGATGATGGAGGAATCTGTTCAACATGTTGTCATGACAGCCATTCAAGAGGTATGTTGGAGCTTCATGCTTATAGTTTATGAAAAATTAAAGGAGTAAACATGAGTATGAATAATACAAGTGGAAAATTTTAAGAGATTCTCCTCATTTTTAAAGAGTTTTTACTTTGCATTTATGATATAGCTTTTCTTGTTTTTATTCTAAAAAATCATACTCATTTAAATTTTCCAATTTTATTTAAATCTTAAACATTTATTTTGCAGGTATAGATATAACTATTCCTAAATTTTTTTTTTTTTGAGACGGAGTCTCACTCTGTCACCCAGGCTAGAGTGCAGTGGTACAATCTGGGCTCACTGCAACTTCCACCTCCTGGGTTCAAGTGATTCTCCTGCCTCACTCTCCCGAATAGCTGGGACTACAGGTGTGTGCCACCATGCCCAGCTAATTTTTTGTATTTTTAGTAAAGATGGGGTTTCACTTTGTTAGCCAGAATGGTCTCGATCTCCTGACCTCATGATCTGCCCGCCTTGGCCTCCCAAAGTGCTGGGATTACAGGCGTGAGCCATCACGCCCGGCCGACTATTCCTAATTTTTTAAAGTGCCCTTAATGAAATAGTAATAGCAGACTAATTCCTAAAGCTAATAATAAATAATATCTATTATTTATTTATTTATTTGTTTGACCAAGTCTCACTCTGTCGTCCAGGCAATGGTGTGATCTTGGCTCACTGCAACCTCCACCACCCAGGTTCAAGCAATTCTCCTGTCTCAGCCTCCTGAGTAGCTGGGACTACAAGCACATGCCACCACGCCTGGCTAGTTTTTGTATTTTTAATAGAGACAGGGTTTCACCATATTGGTCAGGCTGGTCTCGAACTCCTGAGCCTCAGGTGATCCGCCCTCCCCAGCCTCCCAAAGTGCTAGGATTACAGGCGTGAGCCACGGCGCCCGGCCAAATAATATCTATCTTAAACCAGCAGTCTTCCTCACACTTAACTGGTGGTTTCCTGTTTGGCAGAAAATGGATCTTC
This sequence comes from Homo sapiens, assembly GCF_000001405.40. Classification (NCBI taxonomy): domain Eukaryota; kingdom Metazoa; phylum Chordata; class Mammalia; order Primates; family Hominidae; genus Homo; species Homo sapiens. Next base: position 42,951,439 of record NC_000008.11, read on the forward strand.
ACCTCCAGCCATTCCCAAAGCAATTTCTAGATGAATATTTACGTTTTAAATGTAAAACATAAAACTGTAAAAGTAAAAGTAAAACAGAGACTAATAGCTGGTCAAGTTCAGGATGTGAGAATGTTTTTAATCATAAAAGCAGTGGAAGAAACCCTTAAGAGAAATAGAAAAGCGTATGCAGGACATGAATATGCACCTAACATAGAAAAATACAGAAGACAGGCCGGGTGCGGTGGCCTCACACCTGTAATCCCAGCAGTTTGGGAGGCCGAGGCAGGCGGATCACGAGGTCAAGAGATTGAGACCATCCTGGCCAACATGGTGAAACTTCGTCTGTACTAAAAATACAAAAATTATCTGGGCATGGTGGCACATGCCTGTAGTCCCAGCTTCTCGGGAGGCTGAGGCAGGAAAATTGCTTGAACTTAGGAGGCAGAGGTTGGAGTGAGTTGAGATCGCACCACTGTACTCCAGCGTGGCGACAGCGAGACTCCGTCTCAAAAAAAAAAAGAAAAATACAAAAGAAAAACATGAAAAATATTCAATTAAATGCAAATTAAGATGAAATTGTGCTTAAAAAATCTTGCAATGACTTCTGACACCAACTACCCAAAGTTGGGCCAAACTTCACAGATTTAAAGGCATCATTCTCCACAGACTGCCCACAGTTCAGACACCAGCTCCAGGCTCAGGGGTCTCCAGGCCACCCTGTCATCTGACCAACTGCCTACAAATTCAAGGATTCCCACTATCCTTGTACATTGTGTAATTTACTAGAACAACTCACAGAAGTCAGGAATGATAACAGCTTTATTACAGCAAATGGATACAAATCAAATTAAATGCGTTTCTGGATTGTTAAGTTTCTGTTAAACCAAAAAATGCATAGGGTGAGGTCAGGGAAGGTCCCAAATGCAGTTTTGTTTTGTCCCCACCCCATGGTAGCAATATGCAGAGTATTGCCAACCAGAGAAGCTTACCTGAGCCTTTATATCCAGATTCTTTGTTGGGGTTTCATTACATGGGTATGTTTGATTGAATCAGTGACCATGATGTCCAAATCAATTTTCAGCCTCCTTTGTTTCCCAGAGGTCAGGCCGATAACAAAGCCCCAACCTTCTAATCACATGATTGGTCTTTCTGGAGTGGCCAGCTGCCATCTGGAGTCATCTCCTTAGCTTAAACTATCTAAGGGCCCACTGTGAATAGCAAAGACAACTCCTATCTCTAGGGAAATTCTTTATTACCCAGCAAAGCTTTTAAAGAGTTCATTGGTTTAGCAGTCAGCACTGATGGCAGGAATGCAAACTGGTATATCTTTTAAAAATGTTATCCCCTTTTATATCATATAAGATTAGATTGGTCATGTTAAAATACCAAAACTACAGTTACCCAAGCAAGATATGAGTTTAATTTGCTCTCAAGTGGTCCTGGGTTGGTGTGGAGGCTCTATAGTCATCAGGAACCCAACTTTCTTCCATCTTGCTGCTGTGCCGTTCTTAATACATGATTCCCAGCTAGTGGTGCAGTGCTGGCTTTCATGTTTATATTTCTAGCCGGCAGAAAGGATTGAGGAAAGAGTTATCCACCTCCTGCAAGTAGATTTGCAGGAATTCTCACTCCTGTTAGCCAGATATTACCCACCTAGCCACATGGGGGAGTCTGGGAAATGGGGTCCTTATTCTAGATAGTCATGGACCCAACCAAAATTCCAGGCTTCTGTTACTAAGCAAGAGCAGGGAAAAGAATAAGAGGACCGCCAACCATTCTGCCTTAGTGTAGTTGATCCTGTAATTCTACTTTTAGGAGTTTATCCTAAAAAAAAAAAAAAAAAAAGTAAAATACGGCCAGGCGCGGTGGCTCATGCCTGTAATCCCAGCACATTGGGAGGTTGAGGTGGGTGGATCACGAGGTCAGGAGTTCAAGACCAGCCTGACCAACACAGTGAAACCCTGTCTGTACTCAAAATACAAATATTAGCCGGGCGTGGTGGCACGTACCTGTAATCCCAGCTACTTGGGTGGCTGAGGCAGGAGAATGGCTTCAATTTGGGAGCCGGAGGTTGTAGTGAGCTGAGATTGCGCCACTGCACTCCAGCCTGGGTGATAGTGCCAGACTCCATCTCAGAAAAAAAAAAAAAGTAAAATACAAAGATACATAATAGTAGTCATAACAAGCATTTATCTAGCATCTACTATATACTAGATTGGGCTGTGAGTAAGCAATTTCCATTTGTTAGCAAATTCCATTTAAATTTCTGTACACTTGCAAGTAATGCCTCTGAATTTATACTTAAAGTGGTTAAAATGGCAATTTTTGTTAGGTATATTTATCACAATATAAAGGAAAATTCACTACAATCCTGTGAGGTGTATATTATTGTCTTCATTTTATAAAAAGAAACAGAGAGTTTGAGTAACTTGCTCAGGTTCGCATAGAAGTAGTGACCGAGATAGCACTCAGGTCTAAGCAGTGCAGAGCCCATACCTACAACCATTGTGCCGTATCCCTTCAATATAGTGTGCTTCAGTATTATTTCCTAGTACTGAAGCATTAGAAATAACTACCCAGTAGTAGGGCAATGGATAAATAAATTATGGTATACTAGTATACTGGCATATTACATAGGCATTGAAGCATATCTTTGAAAAATATTTAATGACATAAGGGAAAGCTCATATTAGGTTTAAAAAGGTAGATAGAAAGCACATGAACAATATTATGATCCCATTTCTGTCAAAAATAAAAATTAAGATGAGGGAAAACAAATAAACTTGCTTAATGTTAACTCTCCAAATAGCTGAATTTTCTTTACCCTTTTCTATATTTTTAAATTTTTCTATAATAACAGGTGGTATATCTATAACCAGGAATGTTTTTTAAATTAAATCTGTGACCAAGTGACTTTCTATGAACCTATCCCAAAGAATTATTTAAAAACTCAGACCAAGACTGGACACAACAATGTTTATCAAACTATTTTATATTAACAGAAATATGAAAACAATGTATATCCATTAGTAAGCTAGTGTTTAAATTGTGGTATGTCCATATGATGGAATATTACATAGTTGATAAAAATGTGTAAAAGGGTATCTTAGGACAGAAGGAAAAATTTTAAATGTCAAATGACCAGAACAAGATATAAAGTTGTATGTAAAAGAGAATCCAAATTAGATTTTTAATATGTCTATTATTTGCATATTCATTTAGCAAATACTTATTGAGTACCCAGTATGTACCAAGCACTGTAGTCAGCACTAGGGATACAACCATGAAAAAGATAGACATGGTCTCTTTCCTCACAAAGCATAAGTCTCATAGGAGATGCTGGAAGAGATGGAGTTGAAAGCACAGTTGGGGATTAGCCTTGGGTGAGAAGAAGAGCCCTTGTGTTGTAACAGAAATGAAGAAAGGAAGGGGTGGGCATGCCTGTCACTAAGTTTGTAAATTAGGGTAGGGGAAATTCTTATCTGAAGGCAAGATAGTCTGATGATGAGTGTGGGTGAGTTGGTGAGGTTCGAGAAGCAGGAACAGTGTGGAATAATCTCTGATGAAAATGAGGCTGCTGGCTGGGGAAAACAGCTCTGCTTTTTGAGTAGCACTGAAGGCCCAGTTGAGATTGGGAACTTTATTAATAGTGACACCAGTTTTGTGGTTTTTAAATTTCTTTTACCCTCTCAATACAGTTGACCCTTAAACAACACAGGTCTACTTTTATGCAGGTTTGTATTGCACAGGTCTACTTTTGTGCAGTTCTTTTTTTACAACCAAACACAGATGGAATATACAGTCTTTGCAGGATGTGAAACTCACATGTACAGAGACCAACTTTTCACATAGGGAGGTTCTGCAGGGCTGCCTGTGGGTCTTGAGTGTGTGTGCATGTTGGTATATGCCTGAGTCCTACAACTAGTTCCCCATCTATACCGTGGGATGACTTTAGCAGTCAGGGTATAGGTAGCATATAGGCAGTTGTAGCTGGATTAATCTTGGATTGAGATTTTTGCCAGTAAGAAAAAATGAGGTAAGAGGAGAGTAGAGAATATTGACAAAAGTCATAGAAAGACATGAAATCTAGAGAAAATAATTGATTAAACAAATGAACCTAGGAATCGAAAGTAGGGAGGGGGCAATGGTAGACAATGTTAGCAGAAGAAACAGGAGTAAACTTCAGGCAGGCAAAATCAACTGCGTTCACTATCAAGTCTGAGCTAAGTGAGGAAGAAAGTGAAATGATGGGCTAAGACTGAAAGACAAGAAGAAAGTACAGAGGGGTGGGGCCTAGAAGTCTTCCTGATGTTGAGGAACAGATAAAATTTAATGAGAGGCCTACAATGAGAGATGGTTGTGCTCAGAGTAGGATACCTAGATTTTTATTGAGAGCTGTTGCTGGAATCACAAGATCTCAACAGTACATCCTTTTGCCTCTTTTTCTTTTAAGAGATGTGGTCTTGTTACATCGCCCAGGCTAGAGTGCAGTGGCTATTCCCAGGTGTGATCACAGTATTCTCCAACTCCTGGGCTCAAGCATTCCATCCACCCCAGCCTCCCGAGTAGCTGGAACTAAAGGATGCTTACCACCACACCCAGTTATACATCCCCACATTACTGATTGTCCCTCTCCCTTTTGTCTTTAAAACAGAATATAAGAAGGAAACAACAGAAGACTGGGGCCATTTGAGTCTCTCCCTGACAGTTGTCATAACCAGAATTCTGTTCCCTTCTCCCCAGAGATCCGGAAGATCTCTGGATCTTCTCTCTTTGCAACATAAGGATTAGGGCGTGTGTGTGTGTGTGTGTGTGTGTGTGTGTGTGTGTGTGTGTTATCATTAAACATTAGCCAGTAATTTTCGCTAATACTGATGTTGTCCACATTTATTCTTTAGAAATAAATAGTATTGCTATTTTTAGTGAGAAGCCACTATTTTTAAGTATGTAGCCACATTTTAATTTTAATGATTTGTCATTTTTGTGATAAGAATAAGTAATACTAGATTCTTATTACTAGGCTTGCGGTGAAAATGAGCATCAGAATTTAGACCTCTAATTCAATTTATTATTTTATTTACTTTTTTTCTCTTGCCGTGTCTTATGGTGCTGATAGACCTTTAATTTTATTTATTTATTTGTTTATTTTAATTTTGTTTTTTGTTTTTTGTTTTGAGAGGAATCTCGCCCTGTCGCCCAGACTAGAGTGCAATGGCACCATCTCGGCTCACTGCAACCTCCGCCTCCCAGGTTCAAGTGATTCTACTGCCTCAGCCTCCTGAGTAGCTACGATTACAGGCAGGCGCCACCATGCCCAGCTAATTTTTGTATTTTTAGTAGAGATGGGTTTCTCCATGTTGGTCAGGCTGGTCTTGAACTCCTGACCTCATGATCCGCCCACCTCGGCCTCCCAAAGTGCAGGGATTACAGGCGTGAGCCACCGCGCCCAGCCAGCCCTCTAATTTTAAATGAAGGCATTATTCTGGAGTGGGGACAAAAAAAGTTCCGGACTCAGAAGCTTTAATGCAAAGTGTTTTACATGCATGTTTTCATTTTAATTTTTATATTTCTATAGTGGCTGGGTATTCATTTTCTTATGTTAAGTATTTTATGTAGAATGTCTTTTTTGCCTCATAGTTATAATCATTTAAATCTTGATTTCAGCTGATGAGTAAAGAATCTCCTGTCTCTGCTGGAAATGATGCCTATGTTGACCTTGATCGTCAGGTATATAATTTTACATTGTTTTTATTCATGAAAAGGTTGAAAAGGATAAGCATCAGATGTTAATGAGAAGAATGGGTTAAAATTGCTTTTTATTATATTGGTTTAATTCTTTATATTTTACCTAAAATTTTAAGAACATAAGCTGTTTTACTAGTGGAATTTACACATTTATAATTAAGTTTATAATTTGTAATAAAATGCATTTGCAATTAAAATGCTGTTGCATAACCTACTTTGAAATAGGTTAATTTTTTTAGTTTATTGTGACTCCTGTTTTCTAGTCATGAATTTTTATTTTTCTGTTAGTGATATCAGTGTGCCACATTTAACACAATAGATGTTACAGCTTATGATTATATGAATCATAAGAATAAGTTCATGTCATTTTCTTGTAAAATGAAATATACAGTTGTCATTTTCTTGGAAAATGACATGTCAAATTCCTGGAAAATGACATGAATTTATTTTTATGGTTTGTATATAATGCAAAAGATACTTACCTTTTATTTCTTTTCGTCAGTTGAAGATGTCTTCTCGATCCCACCCCTCATTTCTGTAAAGTAGTGAATAATTAAATGCTCTAAGAACTACTGTATTTTTAAAGGAATCCCGCAATGTATTTTTGTGATTTTAACAGAAAAGTTACTTTGTACTTTTAAATATCTCTTCCTTTTTTTTTTTTTTTTTGTTTGACACGGAGTCTTGGTCTATCGCCCAGGCTGGAGTGCAGTGGCGCAATCTCGGCTCACTGCAAGCTTCACCTCCCGGGTTCTCACCATTCTCCTGCCTCAGCCTCCCAAGTAGCTGGGACTACAGGCACCTGCCACCATGCCCAGCTAATTTTTTTTTGTATTTTTAGTAGAGACGGGGTTTCACCATGTTAGCCAGGATGGTCTCGATCTCCTGACCTTGTGATCCACCAGCCTCGGCTTCCCAAAGTGCTGGGGTTACAGGCGTGAGCCACCGCGCCCCGCCTAAATATCGCTTCTTAATGAAGTGTTAATTACATTGTCAGGTTCTGTGTTCAAGCTATTTTGTACATCTCATGCAATACATGAATAGAAATCTTTGTATTCTTTGACTTCTTTCACTTCCTTCTTTCTAAATGTTTTGCAGGAAAATCTTTGGACATGTTGCAATTTTAACCCAAGCTTTAATTTTTTTTTATCTACCACACAGAGGTTTGGTCACATGAAATGAAGAGACAATAAAATTTTCTTTTAATCAATTTTTTTTCATACTTTGCTAATTTAGAGTTTATATAGTAATGAGATACAACTCAGGAATGTTTGGTTTATGTTGAGAGTAAACAAATTTTTTAACGGTGCTGTACAAAATTAACATAAGGTTTTTTGCTTCAGTAATATTTTTGTTTTCTTAATCTCAGGAGATGCAAAATTTTCGTCGTATTCTAACTATTTTCACAACAGTTTTTGATAGTTTTTTTTTTTTTTTTTTTTTTTAAGTTCTGAGATACCTGTGCAGAATGTGCAGGTTTGTTACATAGGTACACATGTGCCATGGTGGTTTGCTGTACCTATCAACCCATCATCTAGGTTTTAAGGCCAACACTCATTAGGTATTTGTCCTAATGCTATCCCTCCCCTTGCCTTGCCATAAGGTTTTAATATGACTCTCCTTCCCCCACCCCCCAGCATAAGGTTTTAATATAACGAAAACACTTGTGTTGAAATGTTCTAGCTGCATATTTTAACAATTAAAATCCCTATTCCCCTAGCACATACATATTTTATGAAGGTAAAATTTCTCAGTTATTAAAGAATTATCCTTACCAAGAACCAGGTAGTGTAGATCAAAAAAGACGCATAAGAAAACTTGATATGGGGAATGAGCCAAATTCAAAGGACAGAAAAATCAAGACTTAGAGTAAAAGAAATTAATTTAAAGTTAAAAGTGCTGTGTTTGTACTCTTCCACAGGATTCTTGATTTCCTCTTGCACCCTTCCCTCTTCAGGAAAGACAGGGGGGAGATGTTTTAATTCTGTGTTGAACATACGAATTATTAATTGTTACCACTTCATATTAAAATGTTTATCTCTTTGTTTCTAACCAGCTGAAGAAAACTACAGAGGAACTAAATGAAGCTTTGTCAGCAAAGGAAGAAATTGCTCAAAGATGCCATGAACTGGATATGCAGGTAAGAGATTTGTTCTGTGCACCACCTCTTTGAAACATACCACTGTAAATACCACCAAATGTGCTGTGTACTGTCATACAGTACATCTTAACTATAACGCAACCCTTTTTTAGGGAAAAAATGGCTGGGCGCAGTGGCTCACACCTGTAATCCCAGCACTTCGGGAGGCTGAGGGTGGCGGGTCACTTGAGCTCAAGAATTCGAGACCAGCCTGGCCAACATGGTGAAACCCCATCTCTACTAAAATACAAAAAATTAGCCGGGTGTGATGGCGGGCGCCTGTAATCCCAGCTACTTGGGAGGCTGAGGCAGGAGAATTGCTTGAACCTGGGAGGCAGAGGTTGCAGTGAGCCGAGATTGTGCCACTGCACTCCAGCCTGGGTGACAGAGCAAGACTACATCTGAAAAAAAAAAAAAAAAAAAAAAAAAATTCAAGAGCATAATTAAAGGTAAAGTTGAGAATACCTTTCACAAATAACAGACAAAAATAAGATTATTTGTCTGGAATTTACTTTGACTAAAGAGGGGGACATACATGGGAGACATAGTTGGCCATGTTTTGATACTTGTTAAAACTGGGTTATGCATATGTAGAGTTCATAATACTTGGTAATAGAAGAGGCATTTTGCTTTGAAAGGCATATGAGTTGGTCATTGCATTGGATGCATATTGAAGAAGGTAATCACATCACACTTGTTGGGTTATCTAGGAAATAATATTTACAAAGTCGTAATGTAAGTGCCATTAATTGCATTTCAGATTTTAGAATTTATATACAAATGCTAAGAGTTATACTAATAAGATTTCATTATTTTTATAAGCAGAATATAAGTATCTTTAGTAATATAAAATTAAATTTGTATACTGGATTGGCAAACTGTGGCTTGCTTTCTGTTTTTACAAATACAATTTTATCATGGCTCCTTTATGTATTGTCTGTGGCTGCTTTCAGGCTTCAATGACAGAGTGGAGTACTTGCCTAAAACATTTACAGTATGGTCCTTTACACCAGAACAGTTTGCCAATCCCAGGTATGGACAGATTGCAAAATGAATGATAGTGTTGCAGAGAGGTTATGAGAAGAGAAGAGGTAGCCCTACAGCATGTTTTGCTGTGGAGAAAACAGCAACACAGTCATAAGCATGTAATGTTTAATGTAAACCTTATTGGTTTTCAACATTTAGAATTCCTACAGAGAAACACTATTGTAAAAGTTAAGATGCCAATGATAGAGTTTGAGAAGTAAAACAGGAGTGATGAAGGAAAGGGAGAGCCAGAAATGATGGCTTTCATCTTAACCAAGTAGGGCATCTAGAACCACTTCTACAGGGAGACAATCATTACATGGCTGGCTGCTCCTTGTCATCCAACCTCAGCTCAAAAATCACCTGATTTATTTGTCATAAAGTGTCAGGCACTGGGATGCATCAGGCACTGAAGTAGGTCTAAAGTAGGTCTCTTCAGGAAGGCCTTCCATGGTTGAGTAATCCCAAATAATCACCCAGTCTTTTTTGTTGTTCTTATTTTAACCCTCTGTGTACTAGGCAGTTTTTGTATTGTTGTAAAGAAATACCCAAGGCTGCATAATTTATAAAGAAAAAAGACGTTTAATTGGCTCACGGTTCTGCAGGCTTTCCAGCATGGCTCCAGCATCTGCTTCTGGTGAGGGCCTCAGGAAGCTTCCAATCATGGCAGAAGGCAAAGGGGAAGCAGCTGTGTCACATGGCAAGAGTAGGAGCAAGGGGTGGAAAGGTGCCATACACTTTTAAACAACCAGGTCTTGCAAAAATTCCCTCACTTGTGAGGACACTACCAAGCCATTCATGAGTGATCCAGTGCTGTGATCCAAACACCTCCCACCAGGCCCCACCTCCAACATTTGGGACTACATTTCAACATGAGATTTGGAGGGGATAAATATCCAAACCATATCACTCTGCATAGCACTTTATATTCTGGTTTTTACATGTATTTATTAATTTACTTTCTTGTGCAATGATTTGTTTTTACTTATAATTTGTTTTGAATATATAACACATGAGTAAGAACTTCCCTTTTTTCATCACTGTATCCCTTGCACTTAGAAAACTGCAACCATACCTAGCACATAGTAGGTGAGTGAGTGAATGAGTGGGTGGGTGACTGAGTGAAATGAATCAGTAAGTAGTTTAAAGTTGCAGAGGTGATCAATGAAAGAAGTGAGAACAGTGATTAACTATATTTATGGTAGGAAGGAATGACTCAAGTTGCTATAATCAAACATGTCAGAGGAGAGAGTCACTAGATAATGTCTAAGGTTGATAAGTCAAGAAATAATTGTGTAACATTATTTAGATATGTAAAGTGACAACCAAAAGCAATAAAATTAGGAACCGTAAAAATATTCTCTGGAGAGTGGGAAAACTCCATAGGAAACTAGGTTTTTGTTATAAGCCCCTTTGCTTTGTTATTTTCTTAAATAATCATGTTTATGTTTTGTTTTGTTTTTTGAGACAGGGTCTCACTCTGTCACCCAGGCTAGAGTGCAGTGGTGCAATCTTGGCTCACTGCAACCTCCGCCTCCTGGGCTAAAGCAATCCTCCCACCTCATCCTCCCGAGTAGCAGGGACTGCAAGCGCATGCCACCACACCCAGCTAATTCTTTTATGTTTCGTAGAGTTGGGGTTTTGCCATATTGCCCAGGCTGGTCTTAAACTCCTGAGCTCCGGTGATCTGCCCACCTCCGTCTCCCAAAGTGCTGGGATTACAGGTGTGAGCCACCTCATCTGGCTCATTGTTTTGTTTTTTGAGACAGGGTCATGCTGTGTCATTTAGGCTGAAGTGCAGTGGCATGATCACAGCTTGCTGCACTCAACTTCCTGGGCTTAAGTGATCCTCCCACCTCAGCCTTCCAAATAGCTGGGGCCACAGGTGCCTACCACTAGGCTTGGCTAAAATTTTCATTTCTTTTTTTTTTTTTTTTTTTGGTAGAAATGGGGTCTTGTTATGCTACCCAGGCTGGTCTCAAAACTCCTGGCCCCAAGCAGTCCTACCAACTTGGCCTCCCAAAGTGCTTGGATTAAAGGCGTGACCCACTGCACCTGGCCCGTGTGTTTTTTTTTTTTTTTTTGAAATAGAGTCTTGCTTTGTCGTCCAGGATGGAGTGCAGTGGTGTGATCGTGGCTCACTATAGCCTCGACCTCTTGGACTCGAGTGATCCTCCTGCCTCAGCCTCCCAAGTAGTGGGGACCATAGGCATTCACCACCACACCCAGCTAATTTTTTATTTTTTGTGGAGACAGGGTCTCACTGTGTTGCCCAGGCTGTTCTCCAACTCCTAGCTCAAGTAATCCTCCTCCCTCAGTCTCCCAAAGTGCTAGGATTACAGGCAGGAGCCACCATGCCAGCCATGTTTATGTTTTGAAAATTAGATTCTTTTTGTCTGTGTGTAAAAAGGAGTTCTGCCAAATATATTGACTTTTTTTGGTCTGACTTCTTCTTCTTTTTTTTTTTTTTTTTTTTTTGAGACAAAGTCTCGCTCTTGTCCCCCAGTCTGGAGTGCAATGGCACGATCTTAGCTCACTGCAACTTCTGCCTCCCAGGTTCAAGCTATTCTCTTGCCTCAGCCTCCTGAGTAGCTGGGATTACAGGCGTTTGCCACCACGCCTGGCTAATTTTTGTATTTTTAGTAGAGATGGGGTTTCACCATGTTGGCCAGGCTGGTCTCGAACTCCTGACCTCAGGTGATCCACCCACCTCGGCCTCCCAAAGTGCTGGGATTACAGGTGTGAGCTGCTGCACCCAGCCTTTTGTCTGACTTCTTACGTTATTTTGAGATTCATCTATGTTGTAGCTGTAAATTGTTAATTCTTTCTTATTGCTGAGTAGTAGTACAGGTTGAGTATTCCATATATGAAATTCGGGATATTTTTGGATTTGGGGATATTCGCATTATATGCTTACTGGTTGAGCATCCTAAATCCAAAAATCCAAAAGCTGAAATGGCTCCAATGAACATTTCTTTTGAGTGTCATGTAGGTGCTCAGAAACATTCAGATTTTGAAGCATTTCTGAGTTTGGATTTTTGGATTTGGGATGCAAATCATTTATCCATTTGCTTGTTGGCAAACGTTTGGATTGTTTCCAGTTTTCTTCTATTACAAATGAAGCTGCTATAAACATTGTTCCTAAGTCTTCGTGTGGGCGTATGCTTTTATTTCTCTGAGTAAATACCTAGGAGTAGGATGGCTAAATCAGTCATGTGGTAGTTGCATGTTTAATTCTTTAAGAAATTGCTAAACTATTTTCCAAAATGTTTGAAACATTTTATATTCTCACCACAAGTTTCTTTGCCAACATTTGGTACAGTCAGTCTTTTTAATTTTATTTATTCTAGTGGGAGTGTAGTTATATAATAATGTGATTTTAATTTGCATTTCCTTGATAACTAATGATTATTTATTAGTGTGCTTCTTTGCCATCTCTATATCTTGTCTGGTGAGGTGTTTCTTCAAATATGAAATAAGAATGAATTGTTACTCTTACATCTTGCTCTGCACGTGCAGTATTCCAAAATGATGTAAATGTTTTAAGTAGAGATTGATTGTACTTCTTTAAAAATAGGCTTTAATGGCCGGGCGCAGTGGCTCACGCCTGTAATCCCAGCACTTTGGGAGGCCGAGGCAGGCGGATCATGAGGTCAAGAGATCAAGACCATTCTGGCTAACATGGTGAAACCACATCTCTACTAAAAACAGAAAAAATTAGCCAGGCGTGGTGGTGGGCGCCTGTAGTCCCAGCTACTCGGGAGGCTAAGGCAAAAGAATGGCGTGAACCCAGGAGGCGGAGCTTTCAGTGAGCCGAGATTGCGCCACTGCACTCCAGCCTGGGCGACAGTGAGACTCCGCCTCAAAAAATCTATATATAGGCTTTAATTTGTAATGGTAATTCACAAGTGATTGAGCTGATGCCAGTGTAGTTGGAAGAAATAACTGCCGTCGTCCTATATTCCAACAGGTTGCAGCATTGCAGGAAGAGAAAAGTAGTTTGTTGGCAGAGAATCAGGTATTAATGGAAAGACTCAATCAATCTGATTCTATAGAAGACCCTAACAGTCCAGCAGGAAGAAGGCATTTGCAGCTCCAGACTCAATTAGAACAGCTCCAAGAAGAAACATTCAGGTAAAAGACAACTCATTAAAATCTGATTTTTAAAAATTTGTTAGCTGTCATTTAAAGTTAAGAGTATATTGGCCAGGCACATTGGTCCATGCCTGGAATCCCAGCACTTTGGGAGGCTGAGGCGGGCTGATCACTTGAGGTCGGGGATTCAAAATCAGCTTGGCTAACATGAGGAAACCCCATCTCTACTAAAAATACAAAAATTAGCCAGGCATGATGGCAGGTGCCTGTAATCCTAGCTACTCGGGAGGCTGAGAAATGAGAATCGCGTGAACTGGGGGTGTGGAGATTTCGGTGAGCCGAGATCGTGCCACTGCACCCCAGCCTGGGCAACAGAACGCGACTTTGTCTCAAAAAAAAAAAAGAAAAAAAAAATATAATGTTAGGACTTCTGGGAAACTGCAGTCCATTGAGGCTCCAAATAAACAACTCAGAATCTCCTCACACAACATGAAACTACTTCACGTCTAGGAAGTGTTCTATCAGAGCGCCACCCTCCTTATTGTTTGAAGGCAGAATGCCGCAACTATAGGATACCTGAGTGAGAGGGAGTACCCCACACCTGCCCCTCTGTGGGAAACAAAGGCGACTGAGGAAACTTTCAAGAAAGACCGAGGAAGAACATTTGTGAAGGGGCCTGAAGGCGAGTTGACATGATCACCAGAAAGATTAAATTTCACTGAAAATCTGAAATGACTTTGGTTTGGAAAAGTAATGGTCAGAGCAGACCATAAACCACAGATTAGGGATTTCAAAATAAGCACATCTTCGGGAAGGGCCAGATGACATGAAAAGTTACAGGCAGGGATTTTTAAAAGACAGATGCATTTATAGACTTATAGAAATCTATATACGTGTGTGTGTGTGTATGTGTGTGTTTATAGAGATAGACTTATTTAAAGGGGTGAGCTGATTTAAAAGGACAGGCGAGATTTAAAGGAACAATCTTCCAGACATCTTCTGTGGGAAGAAAAGCCCAAAAGGAAGGAAGAAGGGCCCTTTGACCTTTGGGTGGTGAAAGGAAAAAGAAGAAAAAGGAAAATATGTCCTGCAAGATAAGACGGAAGCACAAAATCGAAAGACAAGAGTATGATGAAAATATTTTGTTACGGTTTACTAAAAAGTGCGTCATCACTTGTTTCTTCCCTAGCCATAGATTTCTAGTGTTAAAACAGAAATTAAACATCAATTAGATTTTTACTTTACTGAGTAACTGAGTGTGGTAACATAACTATTCTTGTTATTCCTCAGTGAAATGTTTCTGGATTTTTTTTTTTCTTTTACCTTAACAGGAAAAAGTAATAAACTTTTCTTAGGCTCCTTAGAAACCTTAGAAACAGTCCATTCCCTTTGGTCCACGTCAGCAGTTCAAAGAATGGTCGAGGCTCCTGGAGGTCCTCTGATAACCATTTTGGAGAATCTGCAAGACCCTCTCTTTCCCGACTATGTGTCTGCAAGGCTGGATTTTCTTCATATGCTTCAGCCAAAAAACAACATGTCACCAACAGATGAATGTAGAAACAAATATGAGAACCCAGCTGTCTTCTATTAAAACAGATAATAGAATCACAAAAATATAAAACAGTGCCACTCTTCTCACTTTTTTTGTTTTAGAAAATAGTTATTTTTCATAAAGAGTATGTTGTTTTTATTAACATAATGGGTTTATTACTGTAATCCACTGTGCCAGACCATATGTGTTAATTTTATAATAAAAAAAGCCCTTAAATTGTATCTGCAATATTTCAGAAAAATGTTGCATGATGTCTTGCTTTCTGGTAGGGAAATAGTAACCAGTTGTCACCGTTCCCAAGACTTGGGACAGTGGAGTTCATTTTTATGACAGTTAGTGCTTGAGAATGCAGCTTGTGGCCACTAACATGGGAGACATACTCAAGAAGGCTTTATTCTCATGCTTTATATCTTTCTTTTACTGTTCTAAGGAGAATGAGGAGGCAGTAAATAGTGCTTTCTTGGTCTATTTTATATCGGTTACAGACTAGAAGCAGCCAAAGATGATTATCGAATACGTTGTGAAGAGTTAGAAAAGGAGATCTCTGAACTTCGGCAACAGAATGATGAACTGACCACTTTGGCAGATGAAGCTCAGTCTCTGAAAGATGAGATCGACGTGCTGAGGTAAAAACCTCACCTTCACCGCCCAGCACAGTTTGGCTCTGGTGTTAGAAACTCTAGGGTTTCTGAGGATCTAGCAAACTTAAGAGCCAGGCTACCTGGGCTGGGATCCCGGGTCTACTGCTTATGCAACCTCTGTATGGCTGTTTTCTCATCTGCAAAATGGAAACAATACACATGCCTACCTCAGGTTTATATGAGGAGTTGAGTGAATTTATATTTGTAAACACTTGCAACAGTGTCTGGCAATTAAGCGATACACAAGTGTTTGTAAAATAGAAATTGTGACCATCACTTCTTACTTGTACAGCTCTGGAGCTGTTCTTCCGCCACGCCCGCAAGGCCTCATTTTCTTGCTGGGCCTTGTTATTACCCCTTCAGTTCTCTCATGAGGTGCCTCACTCCCTGTCACCTCATTTTTTCACCCCTCTGCTTGTACAGTCTCCTATCCTCTGTTGATTATCTCAACCATCTACATTTTCCACTTTTGCTCTTTGAATACTGAGAACAGGGGAAATGCATAATTGATAGTTTTGTGCTCCTGCCAATTGGTGGCTTCCTTCTGAGCTGGGTTCTTCCCAATGGCCCGCCCTCCCCTTGCTCATTGTCTCACTCATAGCCATTCTGATTCCTCAGGATTCTACTCCCCGGCTGCCCTCCACACACACCTCCCATGACTTAGTCTCAATAGATGACCTTGTCTCCTATAGCAGCGAAGAAAGAGGCCGTGAACTGCTGAACTCTCCATGTCTTTTGTCTCCAAAACCTCTAAACTTCCCTGGGTTCCCACCCACCCTTTCTTTAGTGAGTGTAGACCTGTTATTCTTCCTCCTGTTCAGGGCTAATTCCTTCTTCAGTGTTCTGGACCTCTACCTTTCTGGCCTACGCGGGGACTGTGTTACATCAATCCTCATTTCTTTTGCCTTTTGAATCTCTCTCCTTCATACACATGCACACGCGCATTTAGGTCTCTTTAATCTTAAAAAGAGAGGGAGTTATTACTCTCTCCTTCCCACTAGAACCAAACTTAGATTACATAAGGTAAAATTGACATTCTCTCCTCAACCCCACTATCTGCCCACACTACCCCACTGAAGCTGCTATTCTGGTGGTCACTGATAATTGCCAAATTATTCGGACACTGTTAAACTTACTTTTCTTTTGTGCCACATGTGACTCTGCTGGCTGCCCTCTCCTGCTTGGTTTCCTTAAATTATTATTCTCCATTAAACATTTAGTTGTAACTTAGGTCATATTTGTTAACCTGTGCAGAAAATTAACCTGGAATCACTTTTGTCTTATTTCATTAGATGTGTGTTTCCTGGCAATCCTTCTTAACACTGAAACAACTTTACAAGTGTGGATGTGTTTCTGATTTTTTTAATTTCCCATCTAATTCTAGACATTCTTCTGATAAAGTATCTAAACTAGAAGGTCAAGTAGAATCTTATAAAAAGAAGCTAGAAGACCTTGGTGATTTAAGGCGGCAGGTTAAACTCTTAGAAGAGAAGAATACCATGTATATGCAGAATACTGTCAGTCTAGAGGAAGAGTTAAGAAAGGCCAACGCAGCGCGAAGTCAACTTGAAACCTACAAGAGACAGGTAAAAGAAACACAGCATCTTGATGATGGTTTCAGGCAAGCTCTCAGTTATGACATGTAGCTTACCAAAATTACTAATTTGTTTTCATGGTATTCTGTTTTTTACCTTTTCTTTATTGTATTGATTCATTTAGGAGACTGAGTCTCACTCTGTCACCCAGCCTGGAGTGCAGTGGCATGATCTCAGCTCACTGCAACCTCCACCTCCCAGGTTCAAGCTATTCTTCTGCCCCAGCCTCCTGAGTAGCTGGAACTACAGACGCATGCTGCCACACCTGGCTAATTTTTTGTATTTTGGTAAAGACAGGGTTTCACTGTGTTGCCCAGGCTGGTCTTGTACTCCTGAGCTCAAGTGATCCACCAGCCTCAGCCTTCCAAAGTGCTAGGATTACAAGCGTGAGCCACTGTGAGCCACCATGCCTGGCCTATTGTATTTATTTATATTTATCTAATATTTAAAGAGCTTTAAACTCTCCATAGCAGGTACTTTTATTTTATTTACTTATTTTTATTTAGTTAGTTATTTATTAGGTAATACTTAAGAAATATACAAATGTAAAAGCATAGTTCAGTAAATATTCATGCTTGAATAAAACATGCTCTCCCCCTCCTCGTTACAGGCAGCCTCCATGCTGCGGCTTTCATTCCCATTCGTCTCTCTATACTTTTGCTACATATATATATTTATCCCTAAAAATTTATAGCACTTTGACATGTTCCAGAACTTTATATAAATGATACAGTGAAAGCACTCTTTGTAATTTTTTTTTCTTTTGCTCAGTGAGACTTGTTTATCATGATAGGTATAGCTTTATAACATTCATTTCTGCTGCTCTCTCAGTTAGTCTCTGTACCAAAATTTATCTATTTTCCTGTTAAGAGACCTACAGGATGTTTCAGCTTTTTTTTCTATGTTAAAAGAAATGCCATATAAATAGTATTGTACAGGTCCTCTACTATATATGTGTGAAGGTTTTACAACTTGATGGACTTTCTGTCTAAGAGTATCTTCAATGTAGTTAGATATTAGCAGATTGTTCCTTAAAGTGATTGTGCTACCAACAAGCAGTTTATATTCCTGTTGCTTCACATCATCACCAGCACACAGTATTGGCAAACTAAATTTTGCTGGCCTGGCACAGTGTCTCACGCCTGTAATCTCAACACTTTGGGAGGCTGAGGCAGGAGAGTGGCTTGAGCCCAGGAGTTCCAAACCAACCTGGGAAACATAGCAAGACCCCATCTCTAAAAATAACTTTAAGTTAGCTGGGCATGGTGGCATGAACCTGTGGTCCCAGCTATTTGGGAGGATGAGGTTGAAGAATCGCTTGAGCCTGGGCCTCAGAGGCTACAGTGAGCTATGATTGCACCACTGCATTCCAGCTTTGCTTTTGTGCCGCATGTGACTCTGCTGGCAACATGAGACATGTAAGACCTTGTCTTGAGAAAAGAAAAATAAGTAAAATTTGCCAATTAGATGGGTATAAAATGGTGTCTCCTTTTAATTATACTTCATGTTACCCTGATTACAAATATATTTACTGACCATATTTCTTTTGTAAATTTCCTATTTTTATCTTTTACCCACTTAAAAAATTGAATCATTTCTTTTACTGATTTCTAAAGGTTGTTTATATGTTCTAGATGTTCTTTATCACTTGCACATATTTTTACTTAATCTCCTATGGATCTATGACTTGTCCTTTTACTTTTTTGAGGTTGATAATTTCAGCATAATGAACTTAAAGTACTTTTATGATTTGTACTTTTTATATTTTAAGAAATTATTTCCTATATAAGGTTATAGTCTAATCTTCTCTATTTTCTTTACAAAGATTTAAAGTTTGTTTTGCACATTTAGGTATTTAATCCACTTGGAATTAATTTTTGTGTAGGGTGTGAAGTAGGGATCCCTTTGAGACTCTTTTTGTCTGTGTGGATAACCAGTCAGCCTACCACCATTTATTTAATAGTCCTTTCTTCCACAATGACCTGCAATTCTACCTTGTATATCTAAAATATCCATGTTGTATATGGGTTTATTTCTGGACACTTTCTTCTGTTCCCTTGGTATATTTATCTCTTCCTACACCAATATCACACTCATGTTTTACAAATTTTTAGCAATTTTGATAGGTGGTAGTGCAGACTCTCATACTTTGTCCTTTTTCAAAAGTGTCTGTTCTCAGCCCTTTGCTTTCCCTTTAAACTCCAAACTCTTGGGAATTGGAATTACATTGACTGTCGATCAATTTGGGGAGAGCTGTTTCTGTCTGAACATGATACCTTTCCGTGGTCTTCCATGTCTTTGGGTTAAGTTTATTAATGTTCTTCTAAAGATTTTGTGCATATTTCATTGTAGTTACTGTTGGGTACTTTTGTGTTTGGGGTTGCTTTTTAAATGCAGTTAGATAGATTCCATTTTCACTTTATTGCTAATTTATATGAATGAAATTGACTTTTATATGTTGATTCTGCAACCTTGCCAAATTCTCATATTACTTCTGATAATGTCTGTAGATTCTCTTGTCAGAAGGGATATAGTAAAGAAATAAAAGGAATTTGGGTCTTTTTTTTTTTTTTTTTTTTTCTGAGACAGGGTTTCACTCTGTCATCCAGGCTAGAGTGCAGTGGTGCAGTCATGGCTCACTGCAGCCTCGACCCCCCAGGCTCAGGTGATCCTTCCATCTCAGCCTGCCAAATAGCTAGGACCACAAGTGTGTGCCGCCACACTCAGCTAATTTTGTAATTTTTGTAGAATTGGGGTTTCTCCATGTTGCCCAGGCCGGTCTCAAATACCTGGGCTCAAGACATCCTCCTGCCTCGGCCTCCCAAAGTGCTGGGATTATAGGTGTGAGCCGCTGCACCCAGCCCAATTTCTCCCTTTCTATTCCATATCCTTTTTTTTCTTCTTAATCAGCATAACTGGACTTCAGTACAACTTGGAGTAAAAATAATGGTGGGAAAGCATTCCTTGTTGATTACATACAGAATGTTTTATTTTGCCAGTATATTACAAAGATTGCTATATGTTGTGTGTTTTTTGTTTTTGTTTTTGTTTTCTGGAGACAGAGTCAGAGTCTCGCTCTGTCGCTCAGGCTAGAGTGCAGTGGTGCGATCTCAGCTTATCGCAACCTCCACCTCCCAGGTTCAAGCGATTCTCCTGCCTCAGCCTCCCGAGTAGCTGGGATTACAGGCACCTGCCACCATGCCTGGCTAATTTTTGTGTATTTTTAGTAGAGACAGGGTGTCACTATGTTGGCCAGGCTGGTCTTGAACTTCTGACTTCAGGTGATCCACCTGCCTTGGCCTCCCAAAGTGCTGGGATTACAGGCGTGAGCCACTGTGCCTGGCCACTTTATTTTTTAAATGATAATATTTCATCTACAAGCCTTCTTTGTGTGCTTTTTCAAATCTCCCTGGTTATTTTTGATGGTCTCTTACTCCTTTTTGTTTTTTATTTTATTAATTAATTTATTTATTTTGAGGCAGAGTCTGGCTCTGTGGCCCAGGTTGGAGTGCAGTGGTGCAATCTCAGCTCACTGCAACCTCCACCTCCCGGGTTCAAGCAATTCTCCTGCCACAGTCTCCCGAGTAGCTGGGATTACAGGAGTGCACCACCAAGCCCGGCTAAATTTTCATATTTTAGTGGATACAGGGTTTCACCATGTTGCCCCCAGGGTGATCTGGAACTTCTGAGCTCAGGCAATCTGCCCACCTCAGTCACCCAAAGTGCTAGGCTTACAGGTGTGAGCCGCCGTGCCTGGCCTCTTAACTCCTTTTAAAATTTAGATTTCCTCTTTACTTTTTTAAGTATGTATATTTTGTATCTGATAATTCCAATCTGAAATCCTTGGAGATCTTATTCTGTTATTTTTTGGTTGTTATTGCTGTTAATGTTTTCCATAGAGTCTTGTTCGTTGTGGCATTTTCTTTATGGCCTTTGTAATTTTGGATTTTGCTCTTTCATTAGCTCATCTTTACATTGGGGAATCCTGAGGCTCATGGGTTGAGGTTTTGTTTCTGTGGTCAATATGTGTGTTTGTTTATGGCAGATTTTCCACAGCATTACCAGCTAATACCCCTCTAATTGCTTGGCTTAGGTTTTCCCAGACAATGCAAGTAGTAAAAATTCAAACACAAGTCCATGTATTATTAACAGGCTGTCATTACAAACTTCCAAGTTACCCCTTTTTTCTTTCTTACTTTTTTTTTAAAGACAGGATCTCACTCTGTTTCCTAGGCTGGAGTGCAATGGTATGATCATAGCTCACTGCAATCTTGAACTCCTGGGCTCAAGTGATCTTCCCACCTCAGCCTCCTGAGGAACTATGACATGTGCCACCACACCCAGCTAGTTTTTAAATTGTAGAGACTGGGTCTCACTATGCTGCCTTGTCTGGTCTCAAATTTTGGGTTCAAGCCATCCTCCCACCTCAGCTTCCCAAAGTGCTGGGATTACAGGCGTGAGCCACTGCACTTAGCCCCCAAGTTATGCTTTTTTAATCCCAAAGCACTCAGTTTATTTTTCCAGCTGATGAAATTTTTTTTTCTAATCCACCTATTTGCTGATTTGCTACCTTTTAGAGCCCAGGGTGGTTCAACAACCACTCATCTCCTTTTAAAGCTCTAGGTTCCTGTTATCGGCAGTTGACACCTCATGGTACCCAGAGCATCTGCATGAACTTCTCATTCTGGTTTTAATCTCTGAGGATTTCCCTTATTTTCTTGTAAGCTTAGCTATGCAATTAGAATCGCCCTGCCCCACCCCAGCATTTATTTTGTTTTATACAAAAAGAATTTCAGACTACCTGGTTATCTCTATTGCTAGAAATGAAAATCCTATAGATTCGTTTATGATTTTGAACATTGTTACACTGGATGATTCTGGTTGGGACCGAATAGTAACCGGGCAGGTTTTTATTCCTAGTTCTCTCCACTGTGTTAGACTGCTGGATCATATGCATTTGAGTACTGGTGGGAGAGATTTTGGTTTTCTTAAACCTGTAGAAGAAAATAAGGATAATTTCTAATGTCTCAGATTATGTATAAGTAATGGTATCTTTCTGTATCAGGTAGTAGAACTACAAAACAGATTATCCGAAGAATCAAAGAAAGCAGATAAACTAGATTTTGAATATAAGCGGCTAAAAGAAAAAGTTGACAGTCTTCAAAAAGAAAAGGACGTGAGTATATATATTAGGCATTTTGGTTTTGAGCACTGCTAAAATTAAGGCGATTATGTTTAATTCATGTTTGGCCACATTCATTTAAGTTATGAATTTAAAAATTAGAAATCCTATTTATTTTTAAGCTGTAGGAGAATTCCATTTGTGTTTCAGAAATAAGGCAAAAAAGTGGAAAGAATATTTTTATAATACTTCCATTCAGATTTCTTTTTTATATAGTTATCTTTTCTACCACTGTTGCCTCCTTTACGTTGTTCTGCTCATGACTTTCTATAAGTTTGTGTAGCTTTCTTGTTTTCTGTATGATTAATAGAGGACTTTTTGTTGTTCAGCATATTTCAAATCTTTTAAAAATATTTCTACTTTTTCATGATTTATGAATATTTATTGTCTTTGTTCTCCAATGTTTTATGTCTAGTGAAAAGAATGTTAAGAAATTAGTTACTAATTGTTAAAGATGGAGTAGACAGTTTTGTTTAACTATGGATAGCATATTGCCCTGCACATAGTAGATATTCAGTATTGTTAAATGGGAAAAATTGTTTTAATCTTTTCCTCCTTCTATGATCTTTCCATAGAAAAGCAAAAGGTAAAACATGTTCATGTTCACTATTGTTTATCATTCTATTAGGTAAGGCAGAGGCCACTGATGAATAAATTCTTAAAACGTGAAGCTAACCCTCCATGTTTTTGTGTCTCTCCAGAGGCTGAGAACAGAAAGGGATTCTCTGAAGGAAACCATTGAAGAGCTTCGTTGTGTACAAGCTCAAGAAGGGCAGCTCACAACACAAGGTAAAAACGTTTTGCGAGTACAAACCAGATGATTTCTTTTTTTTTTGAGACGGGAGTTTCACTCTTATTGCCCAGGCTGGAGTGCAATGGCACTGTCTTGGCTCACTGCAACCTCTGCCTCCTGGAACCTCTGCCTCCTGGATTCAAGCGATTCTCCTGCCTCAGCCTCCCAAGTAGTTGGGATTACAGCCACACCACCACGCCCAGCTAATTTTTGTATTTTTAGTAGAGATGGGGTTTCACCATGTTGGCCAGGCTGGTCTGGAACTCCTGACCTCAGGTAATCCCACCCGCCTTGGCTCCCAAAGTGCTGGGATTATAGGCGTGAGCCACCACGCCCAGCCAGATGATTTATTTCTAGTAGTATAAATAAAACTATTTGGTTCACTTGAACATGATTGTGCTGATAGATAAAAATGAAACATTGGGCCCACGTGCGCTCCTCCTCGCAAAGCCCGGGCTCCAGCGATTGCCTTTTCTTATTGGTCCAGATGGTGGTCCGAACCCTTAGTCACTGAGCCAATTTCCAAATTAGTCACACCTGCCTTTTTAAGATGAATGCGCAAAAAGGGGAAGAGGAATCTGAAAAGCAGTTCGTCTTAGAAAATGGCCAAACCCAGACAGTCTCTGCGGCTCCCTTCCATTCTGAGAGGACCGTGCCCCCTTATTTTTGACCTCTAAGCCGTGGGTAAAACAAGAACCCTAAGGAATCGCCTGGCAGTCCAGCTGTCTGTGTGGATGCCGAGTCCCTCCTGAATTGCAGGGCCTGGCTACTGATTGGCCAAGAAAGGCCTCCTAGGCCCTCACTAGAGGATATGAACTCCCCTCCTTGGCGTAGCGACGGGAAGGGGTGGCTCTGGGGTGGACAAGCAGCGGGCTGGGGAGAGGCGGCTACGGGTGGGGCGCACCCAGGAGCGGGAACCTGGGAGGCCAGGCTCTTGAGGGGTTGCGGGGAGGAGAGAGCCCGCCTGTTTCCTAACAATGAAAACACCACCAAGCCCTCAGCGCCGCCGGGCTGGGACACCTGCCTGACCTGTGTTCCCTTAAGGAGGATTCTGTGCTGTTAGGGATTATTTTTATTCCAGCCCTTGACATTTCCGTACTTCATTTCTCAGTCAGCATTGATTTTTAAAACTCCCGGCCTAGTCTCTTGCCATGGCCTCATTCATCCCGCAGTTACTGAGCACCTGCTGTTTGCCAGGCACTGTGTCTATTAGTAGAGCTGGAGATACAAAAATAAATTAGGCAACGTGGTACAAGATGATAGGTGCTATAATTGAAACGTGTGCAAGGGCTGGTAGTGACGTAAAGGATCTTCCTTGTGGATAGATTTACCCAGAAAGGCTTCCCAAAGACACGGGATGAGTCAAGAAGGAATGATAGGGCTTTATCAAGCCCATGAAAAAAGTGGACGTGACTTCTCCAGCTATCGAATTAGATGACGCTGCCGTGCTAATTTCTCCAAAGGAGAAACAAAAGTAGTGTAATAGAGGTATTCTAATACTTACCTTAAGATAGATACATATGTTGAGACGGAGTCTCGCTCTGTCACCCAGGCTGGAGTGCAGTGGCGAGATCTTGGCTCAGTGCAACCTCCGCCTCCCAGGTTCAAGCGATACTCCTGCCACAGCCTCCCTAGTAGCTGGGACTACAGGGGTGTGCCACCACGCCCGGCTAATTTTTTGTATTTTTAGTAGAGACAGGGTTTCACCGTGTTAGCCAGGATGGTCTCAATCTCCTGACCATGTGATCTGCCCACCTCGGCCTCCCACAGTGCTGAGATTACAGGCGTGAGCCACCGCGCCCAGCCAAGATGTAGATGTAGATGTGTGTGTGTATATATATATGTGTGTGTGTGTGTGTGTGTGTATATATATGTATATATATTTTTTAATCCAAGTGCCATAAGAGGTGATTTAAGTCTAATTCCTACTTTGTTGTAAATTGCTTTGGGCAGACAATTTAAGCCTAGACCCAACAGTGCTATTCAGGTTAGGGGCTGTCAGTGTTTGGTAGAAAAGGGCAAATTTAGGCCAGGCATGGTGGTCATGCCTGTAATCTAACCCTTGGGGAGGCTGAGGTGGACAGAGGGCTTGAGTTCACAAGTTCAAGAGCAGCCTGGGCAACATAGCAAGACACCCCACCCCAACAAAAAAAATTTAAAAATTAGCTGGGTATGGTGGTGTGTGCCTGTGGGCCCAACTACTCAGGAGACTAAGGCAGAAGGATGACTTGAGCCTGGGAGGCAGAGGCTCCAGTGAGCTGAGGTCGCACTACTGCATTCCAGCCTGGACAACAAAAAGGAAAAGAAAAGGGCCAATTTAGTAATAGGACAATTTGGTAAGGATGACAGAAACAAAGACTTAATTGCAATTTGAGTTTTTTAAACCTCATCAAGTTTGTATAAGAATGGTGTTTCTTGGCCAGGCACAGTGGCTCATGCCTGTAATCTCAGCACTTTGGGAGGCCGAGGCAGGTGGATCACAAGGTCAGGAGATCGAGACCATCCTGGCTAACACGGTGAAACCCCGTCTCTACTAAAAATACAAAAAATTAGCCGGGCATGGTGGCGGGTGCCTATAGTCCCAGCTACTCAGGAGGCTGAGGCATGAGAATGGCGTGAACCCGGGAGGCAGAGCTTGCAGTGAGCTGAGATCGCGCCACTGCACTCCAGCCTAGGGACAAAACAAAGAAAGAATGGTGTTTCTTACTGCATGGTGAATAGTGTTAGAATCACCTGGGATGCAGATTCCCAGGTCCACTCATGCCTACAAATCAGGGACTCTGGGGACATGGCTCAGAAAGGTGAATTTTAAAATAGTGCCCCAGATGTTTCTTGTGCACATCAATATTTTAGGCCCTCTGGCATAGGATAATGGAGGCAGATGTAAAGTAAAATTCATTTCCTCACTTTGCATGTTGGGAGAACATATTTATATCTCACCTTTCTGTCATCCCCTTTATTACCAGTGTGAGATCATACAGTCCTCAAGAAGTATTAATGAAATGACTTACAGAAAAAATTTTCTTAAATAACACTCTTGCCTGACACCTCTTATATAAGCAGAAAGGAGTCTGGGACCTCAGCTTCTAAAATGGGAACCATGCTAAGGATCAAAAAGTGAAGACACCTGGGGACTCCCTGTCTTGCAAATACAACCAACCACAGAAGGGTGTGAGAGTAGTTTCTTGGCTTGCTTGACTTCCTTCTCACTTTCCCTTGGTTGACCCAAAAAGACCCAAAGCTCAATCATTTAGGTGGGCTGATGATTCCATATAATTCAAACTTTCAATCACTAAGAGGAAAAAAAAAGATGTATGGAGATACCCCAAAACATATTTAGGTTAACTTTATCGTATGCTTTATTTGATTAAAACACTTAACCATTAGGCTGGGCACAGTGGCTCACACCTGTGGTCCCAGCATTTTGGGAGGCCAAGGCAGGCAGATCACTTGAGGCCAGGAGTCGGAGACCAGCCTGGCCAACATAGCAAAACTCCGCCTCTACTAAAAATAGAAAAATTAGCCAGGCATGGTGGTGCGTGCCTGTAATCCTAGCTACTCGAGAGGCTAAGGCACAAAAATTGCTTGAACTCGGGAGGTGGATGCCACAGTGAGCTGAAATAGCACCACTGCACTGCAGCCTGGGCGACAGAGTGAGACTCTGTCTCCAAAAAAAGAAAAAACAAACAAAAAACAAAAACACTTAACCATTAAAGAAGGCCCAAAAAGATTCACAACTTTAAAAAGAAAACTGGTGTGTACTATCATAAACATTGAATACCATCATAATGGGCTCTGCTGCTAACTAGCTGTGCAGCTCGAGCTAGTAACTAAACTGTCCAAGACTTGGTTTGTTCTGCGAAATGAGAATCATAACTTATTTCTCCAGAGCCAGATGAAGAGTTTTAGATGGTCTTAAATGCAAAGCACTCCGCAATATGTAATTTTAAATGAAAACAGTATTAAATGTAATATAGAAAAAGTTGTGTTTTTTCCTATGTTGGCTGTAATACTCTGATATTCTTTCTTAAGAAGATATCAGATAACCATTTTCTTTTTTTGAGATGGAGTTTCGCTCTTGTCACTCAGGCTGGAGTGCAATGGCATGATCTCGGCCTTGCTGCAACCTCTGCCTACCGGGTTCAAGTGATTCTCTTGCCTCAGCCTCCTGAGTAGCTGGGATTACAGGTGCCTACCACCATGCCTGGCTAATTTTTTTTTTTTTTTTTCAGATGAAGTCTCACTCTTGTCCCCCAGGCTGGAGTGCAATGGCGCTATCTAAGCTCAGTGTAACCTCCGCCTCTCGGTTTCAAGCGATTCTCCTGCCTTAGCCTCCTGAGTACCTGGGATTACAGGCACCTGCCACCACACCCGGCTAGTTTTTGTATTTTTTTTAGTAGAAACAGGGTTTCACCATGTTGGCCAGGCTGGTTTCGAACTCCTGACCTCAGGTGATCCACCCACCTCGGCTTCCCAAAGTGCTGGGATTACAGCCATGAGCCACCACACACAGTCACTTCTTGTATTTTTGATAGAGAAGGGGTTTCATCATGTTGGCCAGGCTGATCTTGAACTCCTGGCCTCAGGTGATCTGCCCACCATGGCCTCCCAAAGTGCTGGGATTACAGGCATGTGCTACCGCGCCCAGCCAGATAACCATTTTCTCTTGACAGATTAGAGTGACCTAGTTTTCCTGGTGATCTAAGCTCATACCTAGTGGCAGGTAATTTAGTGTTGCACACTTAACACAATTATTTCAAAGATTAAATAGGATATGGGCCAGGCATGGTGGCTCTTGCCTGTCATCCTAGCACTTTGGGAGGCCAAGGAAGGAAGATTTCTTGAGTCCAGGAGCTTGAGTTTAGCCTGGCCAACACATTGAGACTCCATCTGTCTCTAAATATATATTATAAAAATAAAAATAATGGCTGGGTGCAGTGGCTCATGCCTGTAGTCCCAGCTACTTGGAAGGCTCAGATGGGAGGATCACTTGAGCCCAGGAGTTTGAGGTTACAGTGAGCCAAAATTGTGCCGGTTCACTCCAGCATAGGTGACCGAGCGATACCCTGTCTCTAAAAGGAAATGATCCTTTTCTTTTAAGTACATCAGACTTCCTAAAGCAGTGAATTTTTTTCAACTGAGAAAAGTTGGGTTGGTGTCACTCCATTAAGGAACTTAGATCCTAAGGAGAAAACTGCTCTTTCTCCTAGGAAAAGAACCACACTTCGCTCAAGGTTTACCCCTCCCACTCCTTTGTTATCAGCTGGGGATGGTGGAGGCTGATGGATTGCTTGTTTGGCTTCACAGTTCACTCCCAGACTAGTAACCAGCTTGTGGCTTTTCAGTTACCTGAAACTGGAATTTTTCTTTTCCTCTGACTACAACATTCTTTTTTCCCTGCTCCTCTCCTTCATTTCACCTCCTAGCCCTCTCTCTGTTTTCTTATTAATCAGCTCTCTTCTTGCTTCATTTTCTAGTTTACCCAGCTGCACAGAAACCATTTTCACTTTGTTCTCACCACCACTCTCCTTCGTTATTCTCTTTACCGTTTCTAGACCAAGCTTGTCAAACCCTAATTGAAATATCCTAATTTTTTTTCCCTATTCCAGATTACCAAGGACGACTGAAGGAAATTATTATATATCTTTCTTGTTTTCACCAAAAATATATCGTTTGTGATTATAACAGCATCCTCATTGCTGCCTTGCTGTTCTTTCACATATCTCTAATCATCTCTACATGAGTTTTGTTTTTTCTTTTTCTTTTCTTTTTTTTTTTTTTTGAGATGGAGTTTTGCTCTTTTTGCCCAGGCTGGAGCGCAATGGTGCGATCTCTGCTCACTGCAACCTCCACCTCCCAGGTTCAAGTGATCTCCTGCCTCAGCCTCCAGAGTAGCTGGAATTACAGGCGCCTGCCACCATGCCCGGCTAATTTTTTGTATTTTTAGTAGAGACCATGTTGGCCAGCTGGTCTTGAACTCCTGACCTCAGGTGATCCACCTGGCTCGGCCTCCCAAAGTGCTGGGATTACAGGTGTGAGCCACTGCACCCGACCTCTACATGAGTTTTTATACAATTTTAAGAATCTAACCTGAAATTTAACCCTTTTTCTCTCAGCTCTGATATCATCAAGAAACCATAAGGCCTTTCACGTAAACTATCACATTTGTTTCTTTGCACCTGTAAACCTATAGGTTTTAACCTTGCCGCTATAGTTTGAATGTCCCCTCTGAAACTCATGTTGAAAGTTAATACCCAATGTGGTAGTTTTGAGAGGTGAGGCCTTCAAGAGGTGATTAAAGCATGAGGACTCTGCCCTCAGGGATGGATTAATCCATCCATGGATTAATATGTTAATGGAGTAATGGTCATCATGGGAGTGGGACTGGTGGCTTTATAAGAAAAAGAGGGCCTGGTGCAGTGGCTCACACCTGTAATCCCAGCACTTTGAAAGTCCCAAGGCGGGTGGATCACCTGAGGTCAGGAGACCATCCTGGCTGACATGGTGAAAACCCGTCTCTACTAAAATTACAAGAACTATCTGGGTGTGGAGACGGGTGCCTGTAATCCCAGCTACTGGGGAGGCTGAGGCAGGAGAATCACTTGAACCTGAGAGGAGGAGGTTGCAGTGAGCCGAGATCGCGCCACTGCACTCCAGCCTGGGTGACAAGAGTGAAACTCCTCAATAAAAAGAAAAAGAGACCTGAGCGAACAAGTGAGCATGCTCAACCCCTTCATCATGTGATGCCCTGTGTTGCCTCGGGACTCTGCAGAGAGTCCCCACCAGCAGGCAGGCTCTTACCAGATGTGCCCCTTCAGTCTTGGACTTCTCTGCCTCTAGAATTGTAAATAATAATTTTTTTTTTTTTTTTGAGATGAGGTCTCACTCCTTTACCCAGGCTGGAGTGCAGTGGCACGATCTCAACTCACTGCAGCCTCTGCCTCCTGGGCTCAAGTGATCCTCCCACCTCAGCCTCCCAAGTAGCTGGGAGTACAGGCATGCATCACCATGCCTGGCTAATTTTTTGTATTTTTGGTGGAGATGGGGTTTCACCTTGTTGTTCAGGCTGGTCTCGAGCTCCTGAGCTCAATCGATCCGCCCACCTCGGCCTCCCAAAGTGCTGGGGTTACAGGCATGAGCCACCACACCCAGCCAAAAATAGTGTTTCTTATAAATTACTGAGTTTCAGTTATTCTGTTATAAGCAACAGAAAAAGGACTAGGACACCTTTCTTGTGTATGTATCCTTTGACCTAGCACTTTTGCTCTAGGAATTAAATTTACCCTAATGAATTAAAGCATTGTTTCTACTAGTGAGATTTTGAAACAGTGTGAAAGTTCAGCAATACAGGAATAGTATTCTTATTCAACTGTATACAGTAGAGCCATTTAAAAGAATAAGGTGGCCAGGTGTGGTGGCTCACGCCTTTAATCCCAGCACTTTGGGAGGCTGAGGCGGGCAGATCGCCTTAGGTCAGGAGTTTGAGACCAGCCTGGCCAACATGGTGAAACCCCATCTCTACTACAAATGCAAAAATTAGCTGGGCGTGGTGGTGGGCACCTGTAATCCCAGCTACTCAGCAGGCTGAGGTAGGAGAATTGCTTGAACCCAGGAGACAGAGGTTGCAGTGAGCCAAGATCATACCACTACACTCCAGCCTGGGCGACAGAGTGAGACTCTGTCTCAAAAAAAAAAAAAAAAAGAATAAGGAATATTTTCTATAAACCTGACAGAGAGAAATATGTATGTTACATCTTTACATTTAAAAAGTAAGGCTGGGCACAGTGGCTCACGCCTGTAATCCCAGCACTTTGGGAGGCTGAGGTGGGAGGATCACCTGAAGTCAGGAGTTCAAGACCAGCCTGGCCAATGTGGTGAAACCCCATCTCTTCTAAAAATACAAAAAATTAGCTGGGCGTGGTGGCGGGCGCCTGTAATCCCAGCTACTTGGGAGGCTGAGACAAAAGAATTGCCTGACCCCAGGAGGCAGAGGTTGCAGTGAGCCAAGATCGTGCCATTGCATTCCAGCCTGGGCAACAGAGTGAGACTCTGTCTTAAAAAAAAAAAAAAAAGAAAAAAAAAAAGAAAAAAGGTAGAATAGAATAGAGGTTACCAGGGGATAGGGGAGGGAGGCATAGGGAATTGGTTACAGAGTTTGTGATTTGGATGATGAAAAAGTTTTGAAAATAGGTAGTAGTGATGGTTACACAACATTGTGAATATACTGAATGCCATTCTGTTGCACACTTAAAAATGCTTAAAATGGTAAAATAATAATACTTAATAATATTTTAAGACCACTGTGACGTGGTCCTTTACTTGAAAATGATTTTTGCTGTTAAAATTAATGCTCAAAGTAGGGTTTCATATCGAAAGTTGTGTAACTGTGTTTTCCATTAGCCTTATATTTATGTTTGTATATTTACAGGGTTAATGCCTCTTGGAAGTCAGGAGTCTTCAGACAGTCTAGCTGCAGAGATTGTTACACCTGAAATCAGGTAAGGAGATTGTGGTGTTCACACTTACACTGCACAGTATTCTTGGAGAAAACGTACTTCTCTACAATATGAAGAAGATAATTTCCTTATTCTTTCTCACCGACACTTTCAACATGAACTCAGTGTTAAATTTTTATGTTTTCAACATGTTAAAAGCTTTCTTCCACTGGCCTACGGAAAATTGATTTGCTCACTTCAATAAGACAATCTTTCACACATATAAAGCCAATTGTTATGTCCAAAGCTTGAGTATCCTCAGCAGACATTAAGCAATGAATACATTTGGCCTGTAGACAATAGTTATGCTTAGCTATAAGCATGCAAAATTATTAGTTATTAAGATTTATCTGCTAACCAGCTGGGCTTGGTGGCTCACGCCTGCAATCCCAGCACTTTGTGAGGCTGAGGCGGGTGGATCACAAGGTCAGGAGATCGAGACCATCCTAGCTAACACGGTGAAACCCTGTCTCTACAAAAAATACAAAAAATTAGCCATGTGTGGTGGCGGGTGCCTGTAGTCCCAGCTACTCGGGAGGCTGAGGCGGGAGAATGGTGTGAACTCAGGAGGCGTAGCTTGCAGTGAGCTGAAGTTGCGCCACTGCACTCCAGCCTGGGGGACAGAGTGAGACTCTGTCTCAAAAAAAAAAAAAAAAAGGTTTATCTGCTAACCACACGGAAAGGTCTGGGAAAGATAATAATGCTATAGACAGGAGGAAATGACTCCCCATCTTAACTATTCTTCCCTCAATCATACCTTATATTTTTAATCATAGCATTTTAAAAATTCCATTTATTTATTTATTTAGAGGCAAGGTCTTGCTCTGTCACCCAGGCTGGAGTGCAGTGGCACAGTCACGGCTCACTGCAGCCTTGACCTTCTGGGCTCAAGCAATCCTCCTACCTCAGCCTGCTTAGTAGTTGGGATCTCAGGCGCGTGCCACCACGCCTGGCTATTTTTTGTAGAGACTGGGTTTTGCCATGTTTCCCAGGCTGGTCTTGAACTCCTTGAGCTGAAGTGATCTGCCTGCCTTGCCCTCCCAAAGTGCTGGGATTACAGGTGTAAGCCGCCGCACCCAGCCAGTTTCATTTATTTTTATGCATAACTAGCTTTATGTGTAAAAATGAAAAATAAGTGGGGGAGACACCAATTGTCCATTAAAAGGAGACTGATTAATTCTGAATATTGCTTTTTACCTTTTTGGGGCCTATTTGCCCCTTTTCAAAATGGACACTGGCCTTGCTTCTTCATAAACTCCTTGGTGGATATTAAATAACAATTGTGTAAGGGTTTCATACACTGTAAAAGTTGAAATAAGCATTCAAATATTTTTTGCATAAATGGAAACAATTTGTAGTTGTTGGTTAGCATTTGTTTAAGAAGGACAAATGGGCTGGGCACGGTGGCTCACTCCTGTAATCCTAGCACTTTGGGAGGCCAAAGTGGGTGGATCACCTGAGGTCAGGAGTTCAAGACCAGCCTGACCAACATGGCGAAACCCTGTCTCTACTAAAAAGTACAAAATTAACTGGGCTTGGTGATGCATGCCGGTAATCCCAGCTACTCGGGAGGGTGAGGTAGGAGAATCACTTGAACCCAGGAGGCAGAGGTTGCGGTGAGCCGAGATCGCGCCATTGCACTCCAGTCTGGGCAACAAGAGTGAAACTCCATCTCAAAAAAAAAAAAAATAAGAAGTACAAACAAAAGGCGTGTTAAGGCAGCACCAAATCTGGAAGTATTTTGTGTACCTTTTTCTTTTCTGCCATCTGATATGCTACTTTATAATTGAACCAATAAGATTTGTTGAATAAATGAACACGTATTTATGAACATTTATAAATAAGTGGTTATGTCCAAAACAACTCACAATTTTTAAGGAAACTTATTGGTAATACAGTTGGTTTTTTAAACTAAGAACAATGATAGGCCAGGTGTGGTGGCTCACATCCAAAATGCCAGCGCTTCGGGAGGCCAAGGCAGGCGGATCACTTGAGGCCAGGAGTTCAAGACCATCCTGGCCAACATGGCAAAACCCTGTCACTGCTAAAAATACAAAAAAATTAGCTGGGTGTGCTAGCACACGCCTGTAATCCCAGCTACTCAGGAAACTGAGGCACGAGAATCATTTGAACCCAGGAGGCAGGGTTGCAGTGAGCCTAGATTGCGCCACAGTCCTCCAGCCTGGGCGACAGCTAGATTCTGTCTGAAAAAAAAGAACAATGATGATAAAGATTCAGCAAATATGGCTTTTCTGAGTATGACTAGATACGGATTAAAATATGCTCTGTGTCCAGAAGAGAGCTATCAAGGAAAAATGATAAACTGGGACGAAAATTTTGCAACATGTTTTAGACAGTGGGTTAATATTTGATACTTTTCATTGATGTTAAGAGTGTGGACAAATTGGAGATCTCATAAACTGAAGGGAAAAGATTAAAGTGGTACAACCTTTCTTTTGGGGAGACTGGCAGGATGTGTCTGTTGTCTAAAAATGCACCTATCTTTTGATCCAAAAATTACTTTTCTGGGAGTTTAATCCTAAGGAAAACCAAGGATATACAGAGAAGTATATTTATAAAGCTAATCTTATTGACTTGTTAAAGCTCAAAATTGGCAGCAATCTAAATGCCCAATAATTGGGGGTTTATTAAATAAGTAACGATTTTAATGTCATGTCATTTAAAATATTCAAGTATATTTAATGATATAAAAAGATTGTGAAATTTTAGGTGTAAATAGCAGGTACCAATGTACATGTACTGTGTGATCCCATTTGAAAAATGTTTGCATGTGAGTATACGTGCATAGAATTAGAAGGCTATATTTCAGCAGTAGTCATTTTGTGCTATAGTTATGGAGGGTTTATATTTTCTTTTCATTTGTCTTCTTTTCCGTACAATGTATGTGTTTACTTTGTAACTGAAAAATATACGGTCCATGTTGCCCATACTGAGGCAGAAGAATTGCTTGAACCCAGGAGGTGGAGGTGGCAGTGAGCTGAGATCGTACCACTGCACTTCAGCCTGGGTGACAGAGACCCCGTCTCAAAAAAAAAAAAAAGTCCATGTTGCCCATAATAAAATACATCAAATTCTAAATAGTTGCTTGAATTAGATCACAGATTTGGTTCATCTTTTCAGTAGCAAAAGTAAAAGATTTATTGTGTTTACAAAATAAGAGCAATGCGTGTGTGTCTATGTTTCTTTCTTTCTTTGATTTTTCTTTATCCACAAGAAGCTTTTCCACAGCTTTTCATAGTGTTTGGTATCTGTTCATACTATCTTCATGGGGCCCTCTAAAGATGACCCTGTGTAAAGAAAAGAATGAATTATATCTTCAACAAGTATGTCTTCATATGAACTAACATTTAATTATATTGTCCCTGCAGTAAATATGGTGGCAAGTTCTGTATGGATACTGTTTTTAATATCCCTTAATGTAAGTTTTTGGCTTATACAGAGTCCAAAACAGTGCAGTCCAGTAACCTGATTGTAATGATCTGGCTTGTTTCAAGAATTTAATTTTACATATTTCAGGAATGGGTAGACTGAATGTCTTGAAGTGATTCTTGTCAAATATAGTATCTTGCCACCAAATGATTGATAATTTAAGATCATAGCATCATTAGAGATTATGTTCTCTGATAAGAATCAGATAAATAAATAAATGCATTCATAGTTTAAATATTTAAATCAGGGAAGAAATAGGATTTTGAAATCATATTTATGACAAATCATGATATTTAGAGACTGTATTATTTCTATAAAGAAAATATTTAAAACCTGAAATGTAATGTCTTTACCAGCTATAATAGCTGAATTTGTTGCAGGTTCTTTATTTTTCATTTCTGTTCTGGTATTAAATTTGTAAGAGTGCTTAGCTGGATTTGATACCTGTGTTGTATATTAATGCACCAAATGACTGTGTATATAATATTTAGTTTTTATTTTGTTCATTCAGGGAGAAACTTATTCGTCTTCAGCATGAGAATAAGATGTTAAAGCTTAACCAAGAAGGTTCGGACAATGAAAAAATAGCCTTATTGCAGAGCCTTCTAGATGATGCAAATCTACGCAAGAATGAACTGGAGACAGAGAATAGGTAGAGTATTATAGGTGGCCGCATCTGGCTATAAGTTTTCCCTATTTGCCTTGATTCTGAATCCCTTAAACAAAGAACTGGCAGGGCATGGTGGCTCACGCCTGTAATCCCAGCACTTTGGGAGGCCCAGGAGGGCAGATCGCTTGAGCTCGGGAGTTCAAGACCAGCCTGGGCAACATGGTGAATGAAACTCCATCTCTACAAAAAAATGCAAAAATTAGCCAGGCATGGTGGTGCATGCCTGTGGTCCCAGCTACTCAGGAGGCAGAGGTAGAAGGATCATTTGAGCCCAGGAGGCAGAGGTTGCAGTGAGCCAAGGCCACACCACTGCACTCCAGCTTGGGCAATAGAGCAAAACTCTGTCTCAAAACAAACAAACAAACAAAAAAACCAACAACAAAGATCTGAATTGTAGTTTGAAAAATGGCCATGTGCTGTTCTCTTTCCCTTTTAGAGAACTTGAATCCGTTTCTCCACTTTTGGGCAGACTTGCCAAAAAACATTGGGCCTTTTTAGAATGGTGTTGTCCTCTTTACTTCTTCATGCAAAATGATACCAGAGCTCTACCATTTACCCTTTCTAATCACTAATTAAAACTAGAGGATTTTTAAAAATCCGATAATTCAGTCTTTCACAAGAATTTCAATTCACAGTTGTTGTCGGGCTAATAGAGTTTACCATTTCCACAGGCCAGTGTGTTGGAGCTCTGTTGGTGTGGGGAGAGCAGTAGCTCCCTCGTAATTGGATTGACAAAGCATTTTTCTTCTAATCTGTTATTTATTGTGACCCTAAAAGGAAATGATTCATCTTAGGAACAACTGACTTATTTTGAGAATTTAGAATTTGCAAAATTAACAGGAAAATCACTTTTCTGCTTGTAAGTTTTCAGCAACATGGTGCTATTCACTCAAAGTCAGTCACTTTAAAATCAGTGATTTACTCTGACAAGGGTTACATTTATATTTTGTTGTGACTGTCTTTTTGTTCTTTTCCTTTTTGGAAATGTTTCTTAGATCACAAACATACAGTTTTTTTTTCTTTTTTTGTTTTGTTTTGCGCTGTTTTTGTTTTACTGCAGTGATACTCTGTCATTTTTTAAGGATTTGACGTTTTTATTAATAGCTTCATAGCTCACCTGACATTACAGATTATTTGTTTATTTTGAGTGATTGATTTGGCTTCTCCCAGTTGGAGGTCAATCTTAGGAGTCACAATTGCTGTGACAGTTGTATCCATCCTACCCTTTTTCCTATAGCTTTACATTTTAAAGCTACTGAGATAGAATCAACAAACAGTGTAAATCAGTATAAATGCTAGAGTGATTATAAGAGCACCATCAAGCATAAACAGAAGGAGAAAATTTTACATCAACTCTGAGGAGTCTAGAGAAATGAGGGATTTTTTAAAGTACTCAGAAAAAGTGGGAAATGGAGACAGTGGAGCGGAGGAGATTGCGGGAGCAGCTGGCGGGTGGGCAGTCCCTCTGGTGCAAGTGTCTTGATGTTCGCCTCATTCATCCTTTGCCTCTGGGCTGTATTTTAGCCATTTTAGACAGAAAAGTCTCTCCCTACCCTAGTATTTTTTTAGTGAGAAAGCACCCACAACTTTCTTCATACTGCTTTGTGTTGTTTCTCACAGGCTTTATAATTGTTGCTCTTTTTCCCAGAGACAGGACAGCCAATTGTCATTTATACAGTGTCCATGTCTGTGGATGACTAATCACCACCCAAGTTCCTGTGTGACTTACCGCTGGTACAACTTAGTGTTGTGATTGTTTCTTAAATTACAACACTGACGATGAATAACTTAGATTATGGCTGCCTATGATCTATAACGATAATAACAGGTAATATTTACTAAGCACCTGTTTGTCTCAGGCATTGTGCTGGGTGTCTTAAATATGCTTTCTTACTTTATGAAAGTTTTACAGATGAGGGAACTCAGACTCAAGACCCTGGCTGCCTGACTCCAAAGCCTCCATACCTAGTCCATACCCTCTTTCTTGCCAATTTATCTTCTACTATGTTTGCACAATATTTATTCCTTTTCCTGTCTTCCTCTCACAGGATGTTTTTTCTCCTAAATGACTTACCCTAAGTTTGTTCTTACTGAATTTAATGAGTATTTATATTACCTTGACTCTAACTTAATATCCTACTAGTTGACAACATTGGGTCCCACTGAGTCTGTTACAGTTTGCTCACTGCCCATGTATGTCACCTGTCAGAAAGCAAAGTCTGTCGTAGACCTCTGAAGTCCTTTCCAATTAGTTTTCCCAAGAGTGAGCACTTTAGTGTATCTGTAATACCTGCCAATCCTCAAACAATATTAGAAGAGGGTGGAGGGTTGAGGGGGAAGCCACATCAGGATTCCCCAGGAATTCTGTCAAAGTAGACCTGATCTTGTTTCTGTACCTCTCAGACTGTGCTATAATCTCAAGCTCACCCTGTCCCTGCATCCCACAGCTGTATATATTCAGCAATTAGACTTTGATTAAAATGTTAACTATCTCAATCCCTGAAGTGGGAGAAAGAAGGTAGAGGCAATTCACATTGATAGAATACCTGCAATATGCAGGGACTCTGCTAGGCACACTTAAGTCTTTTAAACAACCCCATGAGGTAGGCATTATAATCCTCATTTATTTTGTAGATGAACTTTTTATTTTTTTTATTTTTGTGGGTACATAGTAGGTATATATATTTATGAGTTACATGAGATAGTTTGATACAGGCATGCAGTGCATAATAATCATATTGGGGTAAATGGGTTATCCATCCTCTCAAGCATTTATCATTTATGTTACGAACAATCCCATTATACTCTTTAGTTATTTTTAAATGTACAATTACATTATTTTTTACTATAGTCACTTTGTTGCGCTAGGAAATACTAGGTCTTATTCATTCTTTCTATTTTTATGTACCCATTAACCTCTCCCCACTACCCTTCCCAGCCTCTGGTAACCATCCCATCTACTCTCAAGCTCCATGAGTTTAATTTTTTTAATTTTTAGCTCCCACAAATAAGTGAGAGCATGTGAAGTTTGTCTTCCTGTGCCTGTTATTTCACTTAACATAATGACCTTCAGTTTCATGCATGTTTTTGCAAATGACAGGATTTCATTCT
The DNA here is from genome assembly GCF_000001405.40 of Homo sapiens. Lineage (NCBI taxonomy): Eukaryota > Metazoa > Chordata > Mammalia > Primates > Hominidae > Homo > Homo sapiens. Next base: position 42,989,925 of record NC_000008.11, read on the forward strand.
TTTTTATGGCTAAATAGTGCTACATTGTCTACATCTACATATACCACATTTTCTGTGCCTATTAATTTTTTTATTTTATTTTATTTTTTTGAGACAGGATCTTACTCTGTCGCCCAGGCTGGACTGCAGTGGTATGATCACAGCTCACTGTAGACTCAACCTCCCAGGCTCAAACTGTCCTTCCATGTCAGCCTCTAAGTAGCTGGAACTATAGGTACACACCACCATGCCTGGCTGATTTTTTAATTTTCTGGAGAGACAGGGTCTCCCTATGTTGCCCAGGCTGGTTTCAAACTCCTGGACTCAAGGGATCCTCCCACCTCAGCTTCCGAAAGTGCTGGGATTATAGGCATGAACCACCATATCCAGCCTCTTTTGAGAAATAAATATCTGTTTAGATCTTTTTTTTTTTTTTTTTTTTTTTTTTTTTTTTTTTTTGAGGATCTCACTCCTTCACCCAGGCTGGAATGCAGTGGCACAATCACAGCTCACTGCAGCCTTGACAGCCCGGGCTCAAGCGATCTTCCCACCTCATCTTCCAAGTAGCTGAGATTACAGGCATGTCCACCATGGCTAGCTAATTTTTTCTATTTTTTTGTAGAGATGGGGTTTCGCCATGTTGCCCAGGCTAGTCTTAAACTCCTGGGCTCAAGCAATCCACCCACCTCAGCCTCCCAAAGTGCTGGGATTACAGGGATGAGACACCATGCCCAGCTCTCCTTGTGCCTATTTTTAAAATCGGATTATTGGAGTTTTTCCTGTAGAGTTGTTTGAGCTCCTTATATATTCTGGTTAGTCATCCCTTGTGAGATGGGGAGTTTGCATGTATTTTCACCCATTCTGTCGGTTGTCTCTCACTTTGTTGATTGTTTCCTTTGCTATGCAGAAGCTTTTTAACTTGATGTGATCCCATTTGCTCCTTTTTCCTTTGGTTCCTTGGGCTTATGGAGTATTACTCAAGAAATCTTTGCCCACACCAATGTCCAGTTTTGTTTTATTATTTTCAGGTCTGAGATTTAAATCTTTGATCCATTTTGATTGGATCTTTGCATATGGCAAGAGATAGGGGGTCTAGTTTCATTATTTTGCATAATGATATCCAGTACCTTTTATCAAAGAGACTGCCCTTTCCCCAGAGTATGTTCTTGGCATCTTTGTCAAAATAAGTTCACTGTAGGTGTATAGATTTATCTCTGACTTCTCTTTTCTGTTCCACTGGTCTATGTGTCTGTTTTTATGTAAGTGCCATGCTGTTTTGGTTACTATAGCTCTGTAGTATAATTTGAAGTCAGGTAACATGATTCCTCTAGTTTTGTTCTTTTTGCTTAGAATAGCTTTGGTTATTCTGGGTATTCTGTGGTTCCATATAAATTTTAGGATTGTTTTTTCTATTTCTGTGAAGAATATCATTGTTATTTTGATAGGGATTGTTTTGAATCTGTAGATAGATAGCTTTGGATAGTATGGACCTTTTTTTTTTTTTTTTTTTCCTTTTGGAGATAGAGTCTGTCTCTGTCACCCAGGCTGGAGTGCACTGGCACTATCTCAGCTCATTGCAACCTCCACCTCCCAGGTTCAAGCAATTCTCTTCCCTCAGCCTTCTGAGTAGCTGGGACTACAGGCATGAGCCACCACGCCCAGTTAATTTTTGTATTTTAGTAGAGACAGGGTTTTGCCCGGTTGGCTGGGCTGGTCTCGAACTCCTGACCTCAGGTGATCCACCCACCTCAGCCTCCCAAAGTGCTGGGATTACAGGCGTGAGCCACTGCGTCTGGCCAACAATATGCCAACACATGGCACTTGGACATACTGAGTACTTTGTTTTTGTTTTTTTTTTCCTTTTAGTGGAGAACTGGGTCTCACTAAATTGCCCAGGCAGGTCTCACACCCCTGGGCTCAGGCTATCCTCCTGCCTTTGCCTCCCTAAGAGCTAGGATTACAGATGTGAGCCACCGCACCCAGCATGGACATTTTAACAATACTGATTCTTCTAATTCATGAACATAGAATATCTTTCCATTTTTTTGTGTCTTCAATTTCTTGCATCAGTGTTTTTTAGTTTTAATTGTAGAGCTCATTCACTTCTTTGCTTAATTCCTAGGTATTTTATTTTATCTGTAGTGATCATAAATGGGATTCTTGATTTCTTTTTCAGATTGTTTGCTGTTGGCCTATAGAAATGTTACTGATTTTTGGCTGGGCCCGGTGTTTCATGCCTGTAATCCCAGCACTTTGGGAGGCCGAGGCGGGTGGATCACGAGGTCAGGAGATTGAGACCATCCTGGCGAACACGGTGAAACCCCGTCTCTGCTAAAAATACAAAAAATTAGCTAGGCGTGGTGGTGAGCGCCTGTAGTCCCAACTACTCAGGAGGCTGAGGCAGGAGAATTGCATGAACCTGGGAGGTGCAGCTTGCAGTGAGCTGAGATCATGCCACTGCACTCCAGCCTGGGCGACAGAGTGAGACTCTGTCTCAAAAAAAAAAAAAAAAAAAAAAAGTTACTGATTTTTGGCCAGGTGCGGTGGCTCTTCCCTGTAATCCCAGCACTTTGGGAGGCTGAGGCGGGCGGATCACAAGGTCAGGAGATTGAGACCATCCTGGCCAACATGGTGAAACCCCGTCTCTGCTAAAAATACAAAAATTAGCTGGGTGTGGTGGTGCACACCTGTAGTCCCAGCTACTCAGAGGGCTGAGGCAGGAGAATTGCTTGAATGCAGGAGGTGGAGGTTGTAGTGAGCTGAGATCACGCCACTGCCCTGCAGCCTGGTGACAGAGACTCCATCTCAAAAAAAAAAAAAAAAAAAAAGAAATGTTACTGATTTTTGTATGTTGATTTGTAATTTGACTTCTTCCTTTCTAATTTAGATGCCCTTTATTTCTTTCTCTTGTCTGATTGCTCTGGCTAGGACTTCTAGTACTGTGTTGAATAACAGGGTGAAAGTGAGCATCCTTGTCCTGTTCCTGATCTTAGAGGAGAGACTTTCAGTTTTTCCCCATTCAGTATGATACTAGCTATGGGTCTCTCGTATGTAACTTTTATTATGTTGAGGTATGTTCCTTTTATACCTAGTTTTTTGAGAGTTTTTATCATGAATTGTCATTGAATTTTATCAAATGCTTTTTCAACATCAATTGAAATGATCATATGGTCTTTGTCCTTTATTCTATTGATATAATGTGTCACATTAGTTGGTATGAGGATGTTGAACCATCCTTGCATACCTGGGATCAATCCCATTTGGTCATAATAAATGATCTTTTTAATGTGTTGTTGAATTTGGTTTGCAGTATTTTATTGAGGATTTTTGCATCAATATTCATTAGTTATATTGGCCTATACTTATATATATATTTTTAAGACAGGGTCTTACTCTGTCGCCCAAGCTGGAGTGCAGTAGCTTAGTAGAGCCAGGTTTTCACCGTGTTGGCCAGGCTGGTCTCGAACTCTTGACATCAGGTGATCCACCTGCCTTGGCCTCCCAAAGTGTTGGGATTACAGGCGTGAGCCACTATGCCTGGCCTATAGTTTTGTTTTGTTTTTTTTCTTTTGATGTGTCTTTGTTTCGTTTTGGTATCAGGGTAATATTTGCCACATAGAATGAGTTTGGAGGTATTCCTTCTTCCTCTGTTTTTCAGAATAGTTTGAGTAGGATTGGTATAAGTTCTTCTTTAAATGTTTTGTAGAATTTGCCAGTGAAGTCATCGGATCTGGGGCCTTTATTGGTAGACTTTTTATTATGGCTTCAATCTCATTACTTGCTATTGGTCTGTTCAGGTTTTGGATTTCTTCATGATTCAATCTTGGTAGATCATATGTGTCTAGGAATTTATCCATTTCTTCTAGATTTTTCAATTTTTTGGCATATAGTTGCTCATAATAACCAGTAATCCTTTGAATTTCTCCGGTATCAGTTGTAATGTCTCGTTTTTTTGTCTCTGATTTTATTTATTTGGGTCTTCTCTCTTTTTTTCTTAGTCTGGCTAAAGGTTTGTCAATTTATCTTTTCAAAAAACTGGTTTTTGTTTTGTTGCTCTTTTGTATTGTTTTCTTCATTTCAAATTCATTTATTTCTGCTCTGATCCTTATTTTTTATCTATTTGTTTATTTAGAGACAGAGTCTCACTCTGTCACCCAGGCTGGAGTGTAGTGGCGCGATCTCGGCTCATGCAACCTCCACCTCCTGGGTTCAAGTGATTCTCCTGCCTCAGCCTCCAGAGTAGCTGGGACTATAGGCGTGCACCACCACCCCCGGCTAATTTTTGTATTTTTAGTAGAGATGGAGTTTCACCATGTTGGCCAGGCTTGTCTCAAACTCCTAACCTCAAGTGATCCACCCACATTGGCCTCCCAAAGTGCTGGGGTTATAGATGTGAGCCACCACACCCAGCCTGCTCTTATCTTTATTATTTCTTCTACTAATTTTGGGTTTGGTTTGCTCTTCCTTTTCTAGTTCATTCAGTGGCATCGTTAGGTTGTTTATTTGAAGGTTTTCTCTTTTTTGATGTAGGTACTTGTGCCCATAAATTTCCCTCTTACTACGGCTTTTGCTGTATCCCATAGATTTCGGTATGTTGTGTTTCCATTATCATTTGTTTCAATAAATTTTTCAGTTTCCTTGTTGATTTCTTCACTGACCCACTGGTCATTCAGGAACATATTGTTGAATTTCCATGTGTTTGTATAGTTTGTAAAATTTCTTTTGTTAACTGATTTCTAGTTTTATTGTGTTCAGAGAAGATACTTGATATTATTTCAATTTTTTGAGTATTTTCTAGATGTACTTTTTTCATAAATATTTTCTTATATTTATGTTGCTTACATACTGCATACTTTAACAGTTACATTACTATTTTTGCTCACCTATTCCCCATTGAGAGAATTTAGCTGTTTTTAAACCATTCCAAAGAACATCTTGGTACATACTGGATTGTGTTTTATGATGTTTACAATGGCTTCCGCCTAGTTGGCTTACAGTATTGTTTGATGAAATAATCTCAAAAATGACTAAGATGGATAGTTGAAATAATCTTTTAGTTGAATACATATTTCCATTTTGCTTTCTGAAAAGAGTGAACAGTATTGTGGTATTACTAGTAATGTGTTTATGGACCTGTGTCCCCATATTGAATGTGGATTTTTCAGGTAATTTATTCTTTTGTTACTCAAAACCACTCAGATTTTTTTACCTTGATGTGAAAAAGTTATAGCTTTAATTAAATTTTTACTGTGATCCTTTCTAAATTATAAACCTATAATTTCTTATAATTTAAGTAAAAGCATTTCTTATTAAACTGTTTGGCTGTTTGGATTCTAAACACTCATTGTCTTGTTTTCTCCTTAATTTGGAGCAGTCTGGCTTCTGCTACTACCATTTCACGAAAGTATTTCTTACTAAGATAACTGGTCATCTCTTAAATGGCCAATCCCATAGCAGCACTCAAGACTTTTATCTTTCCTCACCTTTCTACTATATTCAGTGTTGTTATTCAGTTCCCCCTTCTTCAAATTTTTTATTTCAATAATACCCATCTCTTACATTCTCTCTCATTCTCTGATATTCTTCAGGGTGAGGTTCCTCTTTCTACCCCTTGATTGATCCGCCATGGGCCTTCTTTGTTAGTCTTTTACACTGTTTTTCACATTCTTTCTAGACAATATCATTTTTGCTCATGGCCTCAGTTAACTCCACATGGCTCCCAAATCTGTATGTTCAACTCAGGCTTCTCTCTGCTTTAGATTGAGGTATCTAGCTGTTTGACAAATTTCTAGGCATTTCATTTTCAACAAATGTAAAATCAGATTCCTATATTTCTTTCTTATCCTATTCCTTTTGTCTTCCCTTCTCAGCGAATACCAAAATCCTTATATTCTTTTGCCTTTTCTCAAGATAGTTCGTCTGTCCCTTTCTATTTCCTCCTCTGTCCCTTTCTATTTCAGGCATATTTAGTAATAATAATAATAATAGCCTTCTCTCATCTTCATGCCTGCTCTTGAACCTTTTTGATACTATCTTCCATTTTAAAACCAAAGTGATCTGTCTGACATACTACCTGTGTGGTCTGTCTGACCATGTTTTCCCTTCTTGCAATCCTTCAGTATCACCCAAGACCTTGGGAGGTAAGCTGGTCTCCTGAATGTTGCATCATGACCTAGAGAATTTATGAAAGTCAAGCCATGGGCCAGGCGCGGTGGCTCATGCCTGTAATCCCAGCACTTTGGGAGGCCGAGGCAGGTGGATCACCTGAGGTCAGGAGTTCGAGACCACCCTGATCAACATAGTGAAACCCCGTCTCTACTAAAAATACAAAAATTAGCCAGGCATGGTGGTGCGCATCTGTAATCCCAACTACTCAGGAGGCTGAGGCACGAGGATTGCTTGAGCCTGGGAGGCGGAGGTTGCAGTGAGCTGAGATTGCACCATTGCACTCCAGCCTGGGCAACAGAAGGAGACTCCGTCTCAAAAAAAAAAAAAAAAAAGAAAAAGAAAAAGAAAAAAGAAAGTCAAGCCGTGGAATCAGCGTTATTTAAGGTTATCTGAGTTGTTCCAGTTTCAGCCTGACTTGAGGCTTGCTGATTACAGGATAATCCCAGCAGACACTTTGTATTCCATACAGGGTTGTGCTGATCTCCTTTTCCCCCAGTTTCTCTCCGGCCTTTCTTCCTCTCATAACATACTCATCATCTATACCATTCCTGAATTCACTGCATCCTCTTATTTTTCTGCATACTTTGGACATACTGACCTCTGTCTTGAATCTCCTTTCCACCCTTAACTCATAGATGTTTTATTTATTGTTCTAGTCTCATTTCAAGCCCAGAGTATTTTAACTCCTCCAGAGAGTTATTGCTTCTTTGACCATCATTTTTATATGCATCTATGTACTACTTTGAAGTTTTTATCTGATTGTATTTTATTTGTTTACACTTTTTCCTCCCCACTAGACTTTAATTCCGTGAGGGCAGGGATCTTTTTTTTTTTTTTTTTTTTTTTTTTTTGGGAGGCAGGGTCTCACTGTGTTGCCCAGACTGGAGTGCAGTGGCACGAACACAGCTCACTTCAGCCTCGACCTCCTGGGCTCAAGCGATCCTCCTACCTCATCCCCACAAGTAGCTGGGACTTACAGGTGCTTACCACCATGCCTGGCTAATTTTTCTATTTTTGGTAGAGATGGAGTTTCACCATGCTGGCCAGGCTGGCCTCAAACTCCTGAGCTCATGCAGTCCATCCACCTTGGCCTCCCAAAGTGCTGGCATGGGCCACCACCCACTTCCTGAGTGCAGAGATCTTTTAATACTAGTGCTGAGCACAGTCCTTGAGACATAGTCTTCATAAACATGTATTGAAGTGAATTTCAGAGAAATTAATATGCATAAGTACATTGGTTCTAAAATATGTGCCCACCCAAACACTGTGTTAGAAGTCATCATTCGAAATTTCAAGCAATACCAAAAATAATCAGAAAAGTAAGCTGCCACTCATGACATTAGGCCACTACTATACTACTACTGCTATAACATGAGACTTGATTTTGCTAATTATACTTTCTAACTAATATGACAACCTAGGGAAAAAAGGCATACGTAACTCACCACTTGGAAAATTAATGTACATTTCATTTCTAGGCTGGTGAATCAAAGACTTCTGGAAGTACAGTCACAAGTTGAAGAATTACAAAAATCTTTACAGGATCAAGGCTCAAAAGCAGAAGATGTAAGTTTTAATATGTACCAACGATGGTCCATCAGTTTCACAATGTTGAGAAATAACTTTTATTTTTTATTTGATGTTTTTTGTCAAAATAATTTAGTATTATATTGGTTATAGAAAAGAAATAGTGTTTTCCTTTTTACTAACATTCCTTATAAAAAGGACCAGATAGTACTTTATTGTCTCTTCAGATTCGCTCTGCTGGGAATTAGAAGTTCATTTCTAGTTACCAACTGAAGAATTAATTGAGGCTTTATGTTTTAAATGTGCTCAACTCAGTGTTCAAAGATGAAGTGTAGGGTTTTTCCCCTTTGGCCAAAAAAAAAATTGCTAGTGGGAATTTGGAGTGTTCAAGTAGAAATTTTTAATGTAACAGTGACTTTAAGAAAATACTGCCGTCCCTAGTATTGCATTTTCTCTAAATCTCTGAATCCCTCTTACTCCTTCTGTTCCCCGACACTGGCCCTTTTTTGCACATCCCCCAGCACTCTGCATCTCTGTCACAGCTCTGCACACTTGCACTAGAATAGTGTAAATGTATTAGCCAAGGACTGCCTTTCTTCACACCTGCGTGTTAACCTTCTATCACAGTACTCAGGTAGCACATAGTCGTCTATCTCCGGCAAAAGTGTAAGTAAGTCAAATTTTGCAAATCCTTTATGTTTAATGAACAGTAAACAACCGAGCTAAGACTTAGAGTGTTCAAAAATAGTGTAAAGAGGAGAAAAAACAAAATTTTGGTGATCAGTCTTTGCTTCAACCAGATGTTTTGTTTTTTTCCTGTTACCAATGTAATTTGCTGTAAACTCTGGCATTTGAGCATAAACGTTTGTTTCCATTGATAGAGTCATTTTGGAGGATTAACTTCAAAACTATAGATGTAGCCAATTCCATTTCGCCTTATTAACATAAGAGGATATAAAAACAAAAGGAACCGAAGAAAGGGAGTTAAGTATGTTACTTAAAACTTGTGAATACTAGATATAGAAAGCTCATCCATGGCCTAGCTTAATGAGTTTCTCCAGACATCATCTCATGTATATTGGCAACATGTCCTTCATTCTAACATGGGTGATGTTAGCTCATCCCTTAATCAATGTGTTGGCAGTCCTTGTTAGATTCCCAGATTGATTTCTGATTCCTAAAACTGTCACCAACATTTAAACTTCCTTATGCCCTTATTAAAATTTAAAACATGTTTTTATTCAAAATGCGAAATCACAAAGAGGTGAAACAAAACTACCATTAGTGTATTGAAATATTATTAAGCCTAATTAAGTATCTTAGAGATGAACTGAATGGGGCAACATTTCTTAATTCAGTGAAATCACTAGGTCCTTTAAACTGAGAAAAACGTAAAATCCATTCTGGTCTCTAAAAGTCTGAGGAGACTTTTATTGATTTGTTATGGGAGTGAGGGAAGGGCATGTGGTACATAGGAAGTAAAAATGGTGAAATATCAGAATCAGCTTAAACTTCAGTGTTACAATGATGGCCATTGTGCATGGTTCTCTTACATTAAAACATAAATAAAAGCATTTATTCTTCAAAAGATAATTTGGCATAGCTTGATTAGGTATCGCTATGGTAATCAAATCTAATTAAATATGCTGTGGGCCATTACTTTAACAGAACGTATTTCAGAAGTGAGATGCTAGCCCTGTCAAGTACTATTTACATAAACTAGTCCATTTATTTGACTGTCCAGATGCCAATGTCTTGCTGTAAACTAAGCAGAACTTTGCTCTGAGTTCTTTTCTATATGTAGAAAAGATTCAGATAGCTGAAACTGTGCCTCCAAATGGCTTAGAGAAATAAGTAGTACAATACAGGATATATGGTTCTTGCCCCAGCAAATATTTTTATGTTTTTGTCTTACCTTTCTCTTTCTCTAACTTAAAGTGTTGCATCTCGGGAATGTGCAACACATAAAGCAACCTGCCAAAGGAAGTGGTCCCCTCTGGAGAAGAACAACATAATTTCTGCCAGCTTCTGTTATCAAAAGCACAGTCCTTTCATGTGATCTTAAGTCGGAGTAGAAGGGGTTGCACATTTTTATTATTATTTTTATGTAATTTGTTTTTAGCATGGAAGCAGAAAAACATTGTTATATCCAGCCATATGGATAATTTGAGCTAGCCACAATATATAAAACTTCAGAGAACAAGACAGGATGAGGAGACGGTAGAAAAAAGAAAAATGTACATTTCTTTTAAAAGTGCATATCTTGGGCTGGGCACAGTGGCTCATGCCTGTAATCCTAGCACTTTGGGAGGCCGAGGCGGGCAGATCACGAGGTCAGGAGATCGAGATCATCCTGACTAACATGGTGAAACCCCATCTCTACTAAAAATACAAAAAAAATTAGCCAGGCATGGTGGCGGGTACCTGTAGTCCCAGCTACTCGGGAAGCTGAGGCAGGGGAATGGCATGAACCTGGGTGGCGGAGCTTGCAGTGAGCAGAGATTGCGCCACTACACTCCAGCCTGGGCAACAGAGCGAGACTCCGTCTGAAAAAAGAAAGTACTTATCTTTTACTTCTGTTCATGAATTACTAAATCGTTGCTTCTCTTGGCTGCTGTGTTTGCTTCATACTAATTTGTCCTCTCTGTCTCTTGGCATGGTTTCTGCTCAAGGCTATTGTAAGTATGGCTTCCTTTTCATTTTTATATAGTGAGCAGTTTTTGGATTTAGACTGCCATCATAGTTGATGGTGTGGAAAATTTTATTAAGGTAGTTTTGTGCAAAACGAATATCTGGATTACTTGCCTCATAGGTTTAAGACCTTTACAATTAAGATACTCAAAGGATATCGAGCTCTTAAAGAGTCAGCCAACAAGAAGTCTGCTCTTGGTTTTATTCCCCATTCCACTCCTGTTCCATCCCATTATTATAATTAATTCACTTATATAAATTATCTTGATACAGTCTATCCCCCTCCTGCCCCATGCTTTGGTAGGAACAGTCTTCAGTTTGGAGAGGCACTGCAGCATAGGAAGCATAGAGGTGAAGGACATGCATGGACTCTGGGGTCTGGCAGACCTGGGTTTTGGATCTGCCACTTAAAAGCTACTAAATGTTCTCCAGCCTGCCCTTCCTCAACTGTAAGATGGGGCTATTGTTACACAGGCTGTGAGGTTTACATATGACAGTGTCTATGACATGATTTAGAGCATTGTTTGGCATATTAACCATCCATTTAACTATGTTACTACATATCTTCTCAGAGTTAAAGTTTTGCTAGAGTCTAATCAAAACATAAGCACAGAATTAAAGTTTCTAAAATGTATTTACATTTTACCCCTGTGCTAAAGAAGGAATGAGCAATAATCGAAAGTTAATAGAGTTGGCCGGGCACAGTGGCTCACACCTGTAATCCCAGCACTTTGGGAGGCCGAGGTGGGAGGAGGATCACTGAGGCCCACAAGTTTGAGACCAACCTGGGCAACAAAGTGAGATCCTGTCTCTATTTTTTTTTTTTTAATTTTTTATAAAACAAAGGTAACAGGGTTATCTTTTTGTATATTTGGGAAGCGGTGATAGAGGACATGTGGATCTACTGAGGTAACTATAGTTAACATATTGAGGAAAGAAGTGAAATTTGAAGTATTATAGAGCTGTGTTAGAATGGAAGTGAATACAAAATTGTGGTAATTATTATCAAAAGAACTTAGTGTGAGGGTTCCTTTTCCCTTATCACTGGCATTGATTGGACAATTTGTTTTATAAGCCTATATTAATTGGGTTTTGACTGAATTAATTATATAACCATTTATCTCAAAATGAAATGTTCCATAAAATTTATTAATAGTATATACTGTATAAGTGTTAAATTATGAAATTTAGTGGTCTTATAGAGAATGTCTTTATTGTTTATTTTTAGGTCAATTTTGATCTCCTGCTTTTCAGGAGACTTTTTTTTTTTTTACCCAGTGAAAGCTACATTCTCCAACATATTAAAGGCTGTGCATCTGCCATCCTTCACATTCCCATACCACTGCATAAATTATTTGTAACCTGTGCATTTTCATAAGTCACTGATTAAGTCAGACATATTTATAGAAGCTGGCCCAATACTTTATCATGACTCAAGGAAAATAGTATAGCAGATAAGTGTCTTAAAGGAAGTCTATTATTACTAGGGTCCTGTCTGCCTGCCAAATCCAGGAATATTAGGTCTATAATTAAGTGACTTTTTCATTCCTATTTTATTCATCTGCCCGACTATAAATAGAGAATTCATATATATCCAGGTTGTGGGTATTTCATACTGATTGTCATCCCTTAGGGGCTGTGCTCTCCCTTTATTAAAGAGATTTAAACTGGGGTACATTGTGTGTTTTCAGCTCTTTGACCAAACAAATTACTGAAAGCTCACTCAAAATTAATGACTATTGTACTTTTAACTTAAAAGAAAATACTATTTTAGTTAAAATGTGAGGTAATAAACTAATTTTGTTTTTCATTTTTAGTCAGTCCTTCTAAAAAAGAAGCTTGAAGAACATCTGTAAGTATAAAAGCTGTTGAGGCTGATTCTTCTATAGTGGAACACATGTGCTTTGTGTTAGGTAGTTACGGTGTGTCTGGGCGTTGGCACAGGTGGCCCTTGAAGAAATAGAAAATTATAATACATATTATGAGAGTCTGAAGGGTCACTTCTCCCCAAGGTTCTCAGGTCAGAATGATGACTGCTTTAGAACTGCCTTCTCAAGTGAGACTTCAGGGTTTTCTGTCTTTGTGATAATCATAGTTAGGAGTTTGAGACACTCTAGATCATGGGTCAGACACCTCTTTCTATAAGGGGTCAGATAGTAATTGCTTTTTAGGAGTTGAAAGCTGGTCTCTGTCACAGCCACTCAGCTCTGCAGTTGTAGCTTGAAAACAGCCATAGACAATACATCAATTAATGGTTGTGACCATGTTGTAGTAAAACTTTATAGATACGAACAGGCAGCAGTCTGGTTTTGGCCCATGGGCTATAGCTTGCCAGCTCTAAAGTATTGCCAGCTTAATCTATTTATTTAAAAATAAAAGTTAAGAGACAAGGTCTTTTAAAAAAGAGACCCTGTCTTTAAGAGACTTTAAGGTCTTTAAGAGGCAGGGTCACTATGTTTCCCAGGCTGGACTTGAACTCCTGGTCTCAAGTGATCCTCCTGCTGCAGCCTTCTGAGTAGCTGGCATTACAAGTACATGCCAGCACACCCAGTCTAATCTTCTTTCTTAAGTAAATTTTTTAAAGTCTATAAAAGCTTGTCAGTAGATTTTCAAATATTTCCTGGAATTACAAACAAGGACTTTGTGGTATAAAAGATGAAGTAAATTTTAAAATATTCACATATTTTTTTTCATGAAGAAGAAGTCTTCTCTCTTTATCTTTAACTGAGGTTGACCATATTAGAGATGTTTCATAATTTTTCTTGCACCCAGTAACAACCTTAATCCTTCTCATCCTTTTCTAGCAAAACTCCGGGCAAGCATTGAATTAGTGACTGTGAATTAATAGCCTGTTAAAGTGTTACAACTTTACACTGTGCTAAACCAGACATCCTCAGTACCACAAAGATAATTTGGATTTATTCTACTAGGATGCGAAAGAAATTCTCTTCTGGCAATTTGCCTCATGCTATCCAGTTTGTGTTTTTGTGTTTTAAATGATAAATGTGGGAGACACAAGATACTCCTGGCGACAGATTTGCTAGCAATTCAAGCAGTGGGCAGATTCTTAATGTACTAGAACAGAAAATATTACTTTTGCCTTTTGTGAGATTACCTGCAATGAGAGTTTAGTACTGAATTCTGTCCTTTAAAAAAAAAATTCTCATTCCTTTATGGCAAAAAATATAATACCTGTCATTTCATAGAACTACCAACTGACCATTATTCTGTGCGCAGTCATTTACATGGTGAAAAATCTTCATCAGAAAGGATTTATTAGTGAAGATGGAGCCTGTATTAGTTCTTATAGCTACCATGTCAAATTACCATACACTAGGTGGTTTATGGCAGCATAAATTTATTCTCTCATAGTTCTGGAGGCTAGAAGAACCAAGGTGGCAGCAGGCTGGTTCCTTCTTGAGGTTTGGAGGGACAATCTGCTCTGTGATCCTTCTTGTGGCTGGTAACCGCCAGCAGTCCTGATGTTTTTGGTTGTAGACAGATCACTCCAGTCTCTTTCTCCACCTTCACATGTCATTCTTTTCTCTGTATGTCTGTGTCTAATGACCTTCTTATAAGGATGCCAATCATTGGATTTAGGGCCTTCCCTGATCCAGCGTGCCCTCATCTTAGCTACTTACACCTGTAAACACCCAATTTCCAAATACTGTCACATTCATATATCCTAGGAGTTAAAACTCCAATTTTTCTTTTTAGGAGACACAATTCAGCCCACCACAGGAGCCACAGATATCTCCAAATATGGCCAGCCTCATGCATATTTAAAATGACAGTGGTCCAGGTGTGGTGGCTCACGCCTGTAATCCCAGCACTTTGGGAGGCCAAGCAGGTCAATCACTTGAGGTCAGGAGTTTGAGACCAGCCTGGCCAACATGGTGAAACTCTGTCTCTACTAAAAATACAAAAATTAGTGGGGCATGGTGGCGTGCACCTGTAATCCTAGCTACTCAGGAGGCTGAGGCAGTAGAATCACTTGAACCCAGAAACCAGAGGTTGCAGTGAGCCGAGATCACACCACTGCACTCCAGCCTGAGCAACAGAGCAAGACTCTGTCTCAAAAAAAAAAAAAAAGAAAGAAAAGAAAAAAAAGTCAGGTGCGGTGGCTCACACCTGTAATCCCAGCACTTTGGGAGGCCGAGGCAGGTGGATCACTCAAGGTCAGGAGTTCGAGACCAGCCTGGACAACATGGTGAAGCCTCATCTCTACTAGAAATACAAAAATTAGCCAGGCATGGTGGCGCATGCCTGTAATCCCAGCTACTTGCAAGGCTGAGGCAGGATAATTGCTTGAACCTGGGAGGCAGAGGTTGCAGTGAGCCGAGGTCATGTCACTGCACTGCAGCCTGGGAGGCAGAGCAAGACTCCATCTAAAAAAAAAAAAAAAAAAAAAAACTACAATGGAGACCATTTTACACATCAAATTGTTAACATTTAAAAAATCCAACATACTGAGTATTGCCGAAGATGTTGAGCAATGGCAATTCTCATCCATTGCTGGTAGGAGCATACATCAGTCTGCTTAGTAAACCTGGACATGCCACATACTCTGTGACCTCTCAGTTCTACTATATATATCCAAGATTCCTAGAAATATTGTCCGTGCATACCAGGAGGCATTTAAAAGAAAGTATGGAAGAGCATTGTAATCACAGAAAAGTAAAAATAATATGCAAATGTTCACCAATTGGAAAATGATTGAATGAGGTATATTCAAACAATAGAATACCAAACAATAGGGGAAATGTGAAATAAACCATGGCTAATACATCAACACAGATGAACCTCAAGAACATAGTGTTTAGTGAAAGATGCAAGTCAGAATAATACGTAATGATTAATGTATAAAATTTAAATTGCACAAAATTAAGTGCTCTCTCTCTCTCTCTCTCTATATATATATATAATTTTTTTTTTTTTTTTTTTTTTTTGAGACGGAGTCTCGCTCTGTCCCCCAGGCTGGAGTGCAGTGGCGCCATCTCAGCTCACTGCAAGCTCCGCTTCCCGGGTTCACGACATTCTCCTGCCTCAGCCTCCCGAGTAGCTAGGACCACAGTCATCTGCCACCACGCCTGGCTCATTTTTTGTGTGTTTTTAGTAGAGACAAGGTTTCACCATCTTAGCCAGGATGGGCTTGATCTCCTGACCTCGTGATCCGCCTGCCTCGGCCTTCCAAAGTGCTGGGATTACAGATGTGAGCCACCGCGCCTGGCCTAAGCAATATATTTTTTAGGAATAGCACAAAGACAATAAAACCATCATGAATTTAATGAGAATGATTCAAATTCTGACTTTGGTTACCTCTGGGAAGAATATAGAGACATGCATGACTACTAAGTTTTGGGGATGATTTGTATTTATTTTTATTTTTATGTTTTTAAACTATATTTATTTATTTATTTATTTTGAGACGGAGTTTCACTCTGTCACCCAGGCTGGACTGCAGTGGCATGATCTCGGCTCACTTCAACCTCTGCCTCCCGGGTTCAAGCAGGTCTCTGCCTTGGCCTCCCAAGTAGCTGGGATTACAGGCCCCCCCCCACCACACCCAGCTCATTTTTGTACTTTTAGTAGAGACGGGGTTTCACCATGTTGGACAGGCTGGTCTTGAACTCCTGACCTTGTGATCCACCCGCCTTGGCCTCTCAAAGTGCTGGGATTACAGGTGTGAGCCACCGCACCTGGTCTATTTATTTATTTATTTATTTATTTATTTATTTTTATTTATTTTGAGATGGAGTCTCGCTCTGTCGCCCAGGCTGGAGTGCAGTGGTGTGATCTCGGCTCACTGCAAGCTCCGCCTCCCGGGTTCACGCCATTCTCCTGCCTCAGCCTCCCGAGTAGCTGGGACTACAGGCGCCCACCACCACGCCCAGCTAATTTTTTGTATTTTTAGTAGAGATGGGGTTTCACCGTGTTAGCCAGGATGGTCTTGTTCTCCTGACCTCGTGATCCGCCTGCCTCAGCCTCCCAAAGTGCTGGGATTACAGGTGTTAGCCACTGCGCCCAGCCTATTTATTTTTTTGAGACGGAGTCTCACTCTGTTGCCCAGGCTGGAGTGCAGTGGCACAATCTCGGCTCACTGCAACCTCCGCCTCCCAGGTTCAAGCAATTCTCCCACCTTAGCCTCCCGAGTAGCTGAGTAGCTGGGACTACAGGCAAACACCACCATGCCCGGCTAATTTTTTGTATTTTAGTAGAGATGGGGTTTCACCATGTTGCCCAGGCTGGTCTCGAACTCCTGAGCTCAGGCAGTCTACCCACCTTGGCCTCCCAAAGTGCTAGGATTACAGGCATGAACCACTGTGCCCAGCCAATTTCTATTTTTTAACATGGTAGTGATTCATTGGGCTTAGTTGTATTATTCTTTTAACTGTTATATTGTATATGTTCTTTGTCATAGGTCATAAATGCATACAAGTCTCATCTTCAAAAAATTTATTGAGAAAGAAAAAGGTTTATTAAAGCATCATGCATAGAAAAGATCAGAAAGACGTAAAGTGCTTTTTTTTAATTAGTGATTTTCTCTATCTTCCCATTTTTGCAGCCTTTTTTCCTAGTTATGTTACATAGTGCCATATTAAATATGATAAAGGGAAAATTACACATATTATCAAATACCAGGGGAAAATATCTCACTTTCAGTTAATTATTTAAATACCTTTATATTGGAATATAACATATAAAGTACACGTCTTAAGTTCCTAGATTTTTTTTTTTTTTTTTTTTTTTTTTTTGAGATGGAGTCTCACTCTGTCATCCAGGCTGGAGTACAGTGGCACCATCTTGGCTCACTGCAACCTCTGCCTCCCAGGTTCAAGCGATTCTCCCTCCCATGTAGCTGGGATTACAAGCACCCACCACCACACCCGGCTAATTTTTCTATTTTTAGCAGAGACTGGGTTTTGCCATGTTGGCCAGGCTGGCCTTGAACTTGTGATGTCAAGTGATCCGCCTGCCAAGGCCTCCCAAACCTAGGTGACCCGGATCGGTTCTTCATTCTTCCTCCCAGTAGATTGACCACAAAACTAGCCACACAGCTGATCTGTATCACCTTCCACTCATTTTAACATCAGTGTACGTAACAGAATCGTACATTGTTACCGCTTTGACTTCCTTTGTTCGACATTCTGTGAGATCTATTCATGTGGTTGAGTATATCATTAGTTCATTTTTTTATTGATAGGTAGTGTTCTATTTGTTAATTCTTATTTTTAGAACTTCATTTTTTTGCAACAAGATTTTGCATGGTAAAACCTTTGCAAAGTTATCTAAATATTCCTAGAAAAAATGTATACCCTCTCTTTATGCAGGTCTATCTAAACTAAATGACTACTTTTTCAAACAGAGGAATTTTTTTGTCTTTATTTTTTACTTATTTTTTAAATATATTAAATTTGTGTTTTGTCTTTTCATATATGTTTCATATCACTTGCATGCAATGCAAGTGTAATCCAAATATAAGGAACTCAGATCTTTAATTTGAACTGGAAAAAATTACAGAAGCAGTAGTAGGTGATGTTTACCTGTTTGTTACAGAGAGAAGCTGCATGAGGCCAATAATGAACTACAGAAGAAGAGAGCCATTATTGAAGATCTCGAGCCAAGATTTAACAACAGCTGTGAGTTTTCCTAATTAGGATAGTTTTTAAGTGGGCTTGCTGTATACTGCCATAGTGATAGTGAGTTTACATAATTTTTAATTATTTATTTTTTATTTTTATTTTTTTTGAGATGAAGTCTCACTCTCACCCAGGCTGGAGTGCAGTGGTGCGATTTTGGCTCACTGCAAGCTTTGCCTTTTGGGTTCTTGCCATTCTCCTGCCTCAGCCTCCTGAGTAGCTGGGACTACAGGTGCCCGCCACTACGCCCGGCTAATTTTTTGTATTTTTAGTAGAGATGGGGTTTCACCATGTTAGCCAGGATGGTTTCGATCTCCTGACCTCGTGATCTGCCCGCCTCGGCCTCCCAAAGTGCTGAGATTACAGACATGAGCCACTGTGCCCAGCCTGTTTATTTATTTTTGAGATAGGGTCTGGCTGTGTTGCCCAGACTGGAGTAAATGGTATGATCACAGCTCACTGCAGCAGTCTTGACCTCCCATGCTCAAGCCATCCTTCTACCTAACCACCCCGCCAATAGCTGTGATACAGGCATGAGCCACCCTGCCCGGCTAATTTTTATAATTTTTTGTAGAGACGGGATTTTGCCATGTTGCCCAGGCTAGTTTTGAACTTCTGAGCTCAAGTCACTTGCCCACCTCAGTCTCCCAAAGTACTGGGATTACAGATGTGAGCAACCATACCTGGCCTATATTAAATTTTTATTTTTATTTTTATTTTTATTTTTATTTTTATTTTTTTTTTTTTTGAGACGGAGTCTCGCTCTGTCGCCCAGGCTGGAGTGCAGTGGCGGGATCTCGGCTCACTGCAAGCTCCACCTCCCGGGTTCACGCCATTCTCCTGCCTCAGCCTCCCAAGTAGCTGGGACTACAGGCGCCCGCCACTACGCCCGGCTAATTTTTTGTATTTTTAGTAGAGACGGGGTTTCACCGTTTTAGCCGGGATGGTCTCGATCTCCTGACCTCGTGATCCGCCCGCCTCGGCCTCCCAAAGTGCTGGGATTACAGGCGTGAGCCACCGCGCCCGGCCTAAATTTTTATTTAAGAAATAGGCTCTATTGGCTGGGTATGGTAGCTCATGCCTGTAATCCTAGCAATTTGGCAGGCCAAGGTAGGAGGATTGCTTGAGCCCAGGAGTTCAAGACCAGCCTGGGGAACACAGCAAGACCCTGTCTCACAAAAAAGAAAGAAGGCCAGCAACGGTGGCTCACTCCTGTAATCCTAGCACTTATTTGGGAGGCCGAGGTGGGTGGATTGCCTGAGCTCAGGAGTTTGAGACCAGCCTGGGCGACGTGGTAAAAGCCCATCTCTACTAAAAATACAAAAAATTAGCCGGGGGTGGTGGCAAACACCTGTAGACCCAGCTACTCGGGAGGCTGAGGCAGGAGAATCGCTTGAGCCCAGGAGGCAGAGGTTGGAGTGAGCCGAGATCTCGCCACTGTGCTCCAGTGAGACTGTCTCCAAAAAAAAAAAGAAAGAAAGAAATAGGCTCTATTTACATATAGGGAGTATATAATCATCTTTATAATGTCTTTCTGATTGTACTTTGAATTTTTCGTTAACTCTGTATTCTAATGAATATTATATGATGTTAAGATATTTTCATAATGTAGTTCCATGTAAGTCATCCAGACCTGTGCTTCCCAAATATTTACTCCTGTAGGTAGCTTGATTTTGTTAATTCTTTTGTATTAATAAAGAGATAAGAGGTGAGAGAACAGACTTATTTTTATTATGGTAAAATATACAAAACACACCCATTTTAAGCCATTTTTAGTGTATAGTCCAGTGACATTAAGGACATTCACATAGCACAACTCTCACTTTTACCCATCTACAAAACTGTATCATCTCAAACCGAAGTTCTCTATCATTAAACAATAACTCTCCCTTCCTTCCTCTCCCCAGCCGCTAATAACTGCTATTCCATTTTCTGTCTCTGAATTTGACTATTCTAGGTCACTCATATAAGTAGAATCATATAATATTTGTCCTTTTGTATCTGGTTTATTTCACTTAACATAATGTCTCCATATCATAGCATGTGTCATAACTAAGGCTGAATAATATTATATCTATGTACTACATTTTGTTTATCCATTCATCCCTCATGGATTCTTTATTTATGTACTTCCATACTGGAGTTTTTATTTATTTATAAGAAAATCTTTTTGTAAAAAAAAAAAAAAAAATTCTGAATTTTTTTAAAATAAAATTATGTGTAAAAATAGACCAGTCTCTCAAAGCTGTTAACTATTTGTTATTAGTCAATTAAAATATTTTTAAAATTGTGGTAATCTAAAATAAATTTATTTATATTATAACAATTTATATATATTATCTAAATATATATATTTTACTGTGTCTCATCTGCAGCCTTAAAAATTGAAGAATTACAAGAAGCTTTACGAAAGAAAGAGGAAGAAATGAAGCAAATGGAAGAACGATACAAAAAATACTTAGAGAAAGCCAAAAGTGTAAGTATGAATTTTGTAGGCATCTCACTCTACCTTCTGATCACATTTCAGTGAAGTCTCAAATATAATGGACGGACACTACAGCAACTTCTTAATGCAGAAAACTCTCAGGAGAAGAACAAATCTTATAACAAATAAAAAGAACCTGAGCAACAAGCAGTGCTCAAAATAGGTCATTCCATGGATTACTTACTAATTACCAAGAGGAAAATGTACTTTGTGTGGGAAATGAGTGGCACTTGCCACCTTATTAGTCATCAAAATTAACAACACCAATTAATGATAGGACAGCCGATATCCTGTGCCTCTTGATGGAGTATCGTTGTAAATAATAGTTAACCTGAATTTAAGCAACCTTCTATTTCCAGTTCACAGGCAAAATAAGGTTTATTGGAACAAGCTAAATAACACGTTCAGGAAACCATCAGGTAAATTCAAAATTTGGAATAGAAGTCACTGTCATGAAAACAAGAACAGGCCGTGGATTGTGGGAGAGCACAGGACCCATTCTAATTGAAAAGAGCCCCCTGCTAATTGCCAAATCAAGGCATTCATCTCTGAGTCCTGGACTGGGGGTTAAGGGGGTCCATTTTCTTTTTTTTTTTGAGATGGAGTCTCGCTCTGTCGCCCAGGCTGGAGTACAGTGGCACGATCTTGGCTCACTGCAAGCTCCGCCTCCCGGGTTCACGCCATTCTCCTGCCTCAGCCTCCCGAGTAGCTAGGACTACAGGCGCCTGCCACCACACTCGGCTAATTTTTTGTATTTTTTAGTAGAGACAGGGTTTCACTGTGTTAGCCAGGATGGGCTTGATCTCCTGACCTCGTGATCCGCCCGCCTCGGCCTCCCAAAGTGCTGGGATTACAGGTGTGAGCCACCGTGCCTGGCCAAGGGGGTCAGTTTTCTTACAGATGATAATGCTTTGTGATTATGTAAGTTAATATCTTTAAGGAGATTTGTGCTCAAGTATTTAAAGGTTATGCATTATGAGGCCTGAATAACTTATTTGGGAGACTTTAAAATAGCCTCCCAAATAAGTAACAGCATGTGTGTGTGTGTGTGTGTGGAGAGAAATCAAATATGGCAGTGAAGCAATTGGTGAGTCTAGGTTAAAGGTAAATGGATTTTTATTCTACCCTTTCAAGTTTTCTATGGGCTTGAACATTTTGATAGTAAAAGTATTAGGGGAGCTGGGCACAGTGGCTCACGCCTGTAATCCTGTCGCTGTAGGAGGTCAAGGCTGGAGGATTGCTTTAGCCCAGGAGTTTGAGGTCAGTCTGGGCAACATATCCAGACTCCGTCTCTACAAAAAAAAGTTTTAAAAAATTAGCTGGTCATGGTGGCATGCACCTGTAATCCTAGCTGTTCAGGAGGCTGGGGCAGGAAAATCACTTGAGCCCTGTGGTTCAAGGCTGCAGTGGGCTATGATCACATCACCGCACTCCAGCCTAGGTGACAGAGCAAGGCTCTGTCTTTAAAAATAAAATAAAACTAAATAAAAATATTGGGTGGAGAAGTAAAAAGACCTTTCCCAGTAGTCCTCTAGTTGGCCAGCCAGAATCACATCCAATGTCCATGCCCAAACAGGATTGCCAGCAGAGGAAGAAATGGGGCCACAGTGATAGGCTTACACCAGTCAGGACCCTCTCCCCAAAGTACGTATCTGATCAGAGACAGAAGTCTAGCAGACCAGATCAGAGGAAAGAAAAAGAGTAGACCACTGTCAGTAGTGTCCGCTGTACAGACACATGTCATTTAATAACAGGGACACGTTCTGAGAAATGCATCCTTAGGTGATTTTGTCATTGTGCAAACATTGTAGAGTGTACTTATGCAAAACTGTATGCTATAGTTTAGTACACAACTAGGCGATATGGTATGGAGTATTGCTTCTAGGTACAAACCTGTACAGCACATTACTGTACTGAATAGTATAAGGAAATAGTTACACAATGTTATTTTTGTGATAGGACTTTTTCAGCTCCTTATAATCTTACGGGACCACCATCATATATGTGGTTCATCGTTGACTGAAACATCATTATGTGGTACATGACTGCATTTATTAATTTTAAGCCAGAATTACTTTTTATAATTGGTTCTTTATATAAGTAAAAAGTTTTATGTTTGTACAAATATTATGTACCCATAAAAAATTTTTACTTCAAGTTACAACAATTAATACTATTTCATACATTTACTTTTAATTTTTTTTAGACAGATTCTTGCTCTGTTGCCCAGGCTGGAGCACAGTGACATGATCTCAGCTCACTGCAGCCTCAACCTCCCAGGCTCAAGTGATCGTCCTGCCTCAGCCTCCAGAGTAGCTGGGACTATAGGGGTGCACCACCACACCCAGCTAATTTTTTAAACACTTTTTGTAGAGATGGTTCTCACTATGTTGCCCAGGCTGGTCTCAAACTCCTGAGCTAAAGTGATCCACCTGCCTCAGCCTCCCAAAGTGCTGTGATTACAGGCATGAGCCACCACTCCAGGCCGCATTTACTTTTTAAAATACCCTTGTAAGATAACCTTTGATTTTTCATAAGTTTATCCTTTTATTTTAAAAAAATAGTCATTCTTTTCTTAAACGTTACATTCTTTAAGTTTGAGACTTTTTAAATTTTTCTTTTATTATTTTTTGCAGGTCATCCGTACTTTAGATCCTAAACAGAATCAAGGAGCAGCACCAGAAATACAAGCTCTTAAAAATCAGCTCCAGGAACGAGACCGACTGTTCCACTCATTAGAGGTAGTTTACTATACTGTACAATAAAATAATTGTGTTTTGATTTTAATGTTTTGGGAGCCTTGTTATATTTTACAATTGTGTTCATGAGTTTTAACAATTAATTGTAAGTATTTTATTTATATTGAGTTATTTTATATCTTTACATATTTACATGTGCTTTTTTTTTTTTTTAGAAAGAATATGAGAAAACAAAGAGTCAGAGAGAGATGGAAGAGAAATATATTGTTAGTGCCTGGTACAATATGGTAAGAAAATAGTACTTTGGAGCATAATGAAAACTTCAATGAATATGTAATACTTATTATATTCCCTTTACTGTAGAAGTCACTCTACCAAATGAATCTGAAAGTAACTGCTATCCTAACATACACTAACAGAATCTTAATGTTATTTCTGAACTGAAAAGCAACTATGAGAACCACTGTAAACAGGGTTAGAGCATTTTGAAAACATTATTTCTAGAGGATAGAAAGATAAATGTCAGTCTAATTTCTGTCCCTCAGAGACTTTATTGTAAGAGAAGGGACATTAATACCATCTAAACACAGATGCAATAGTTTTTGTTTTGTGGGATTATTTCAGTGTCTTTGCAGGATGGTATTTGATTGAGGGTAGTTTATCTCATGGGGTTTGGAAAATGTTCACAATGTCAGACCCTGAACCACTGCAGGTTTTGAAATTGAATATCCCAACACAAAAACTAATGCTCATCAGCATCCTGGTTGGGATGTGAATAGTTACGGATTTTAAAGAGTGCTGCACTTCTGAAGTATTTTTTCAAGACTTTCTGTCTTCCTTTTGTTTTTTGTTCTTCCCAATAAGACCACTTCTGCTTTTAAAAAATGTTAGTTGGCCAGGCGTGATGGCTCACTTCTGTAATCCCAGCATTTTGGGAGGCCAGGTGGGCGGATCACGAGGTCAGAAGTTTGAGACCAGCCTGGACAACGTGGTGAAACCCTGTCTCTACTAAAAATACAAAAATTAGCTGGGCATGGTGGCACATGCTTGTAATCCCAGCTACTTGGGAGGCTGAGGCAGGAGAATCGCTTGAACTTGGGAAGCAGAGGTTGCAATGAGCCGAGATTGTGCCATTGCACTCCAGCCTGGGTGACACAGCAAGACTGTCTCAGAAAAAAAAAAAAAAAAAAAAAAGTTGTCCAAGACAAGAAATGGGACCAGATTCCATTTATTTATTTATTTATTTATTTATTTTTGAGATAGAGTCTCGCTGTGTATCCTAGGCTGGAGTGCAGTGGTGTGATCTCGGCTCACTGCAACCTCCGCCTCCCAGGTTCAAGCGATTCTTCTGCCTCAGCCTTCCAAGTAGCTGGGACTACAGATGCCTGCCAGCACGCCCGAATAATTTTTGTATTTTTAGTAGAGACAGGTTTTCACCATATTGGCCAGGCTGGTCTCGAACTCCTGACCTTGTGATCCACCTGCCTTGGCCTCCCAAATGCTGGGATTACAGGCGTGAGCCACCGCACCCAGCCCCAGATTCCTTTTAACATCCCACTGTGACCCTGTAGCTCTGTTACTGGCACAGTACCATTGTTTTTGTTTTACAGTTATAATTGATAACTGCCTCTTAAAGGTTAGTGTCCCTGGCCTCTGAACACTGTGATTTGATCTTTGTCAAAAATTCATAAATTTCATTATATATTATTTTCACATCTGTATTTGCCTTGGTCAAAACTGTGTAACGATGGCTCGGTGCGGTGGCTAATGCCTGTAATCATGGCACTTTGGGAGTCTGAGGCAGGCAGATCACCTGAGGTCAGGAATTTGAGACCAGCCTGGCCACAACATGGTAAAACCCCGTCTCTACTAAAAATACAAAAATTAGCCAGGCATGGTGGCACATGCCTCTAGTCCCAGCTACTCAGGAGGCTGAGGCACGAGAATCGCTTAAACCCGGGAGGCGGAAGTTGGGATTGCACCACTTTACTCCAGCCTGGGTGACAGAGTGAGACTCTGTCTCAAAAAAAAACAAAAAACAAAAACTGCATATCTAAGATTTTATTGCAATTTTAAAACCAGAGAGGAAATCGTATCAGAGTTAGAATACTATTATTGACAAATATAGGCTATGCACGATGGCTCACACCTGTAATCCCAGCACTTTGGGAGGCCAAGGTGGGCGGGTCACCTGAGCTCAGGAGTTGGAGACCAGCCTGGCCAACATGGTGAAACCCCATCTCTACTAAAAATACAGAAATTAGCAGGTTGTGGTGGCGGGTGCCTGTAATCCCAGGTACTCCGGAGGCTGAAGCAGGAGAATCGCCTGAACCCAGGAGGTGGAGGTTGCAGTGAGCCGAGATCACACCACTGCCCTCCAGCCTTGACGACAGAGCGAGACTCCGTCTCAGAAAACAAACAAACAAATACAGATTTCTTGAAAATTAAAATTCAAGAAATAGAAAAAATAAAACTATATATTTAAAGAAATTCTCTGGGAATTAGTCCTAACTTTTAAACTATTCTGTCTCTTCCCTGTCCTCCTGGAAGCTTAGTGTTAGCAATCTAGGAGCTCTGCATTTCAGGCCTTATTAATAATTTCATATTACTATTATTATTTTTTGAGACGGAGTCTCACTTTGTCACCCAGGCTGGAGTGCAGTGGTGCAATCTTGGCTCACTGCAACCTCCGCCTCCCGGGTTCAAGCAAGTCTCTGCCTTAGCCTCCCGAGTAACTGGGGTTACAGGCGCCCGCCACCACGCCTGGCTAATTTTTGTATTTTTAGTAGAGACAGGGTTTCACCATCTTGGCCAGGCTGTTCTTGAATTCCTGACCTCGTGATTCACCCGCCTCAGTCTCCCAAAGTGCTGGATTACAGGCATGAGCCACCCCACCGAGCCCAATAATCTCATATTCTGGATTGATTTTTATGACTTCACATATTTTGTTTCTTATGGAGCCAGAATGATTTATTCTGTGAAGTGGTACTAAAGAATAGTCCTAATTTGTTTTTTTTTTTTTTAAATGGAGTCTTTCTCTGTCGCCCAGGCTGGAGTGCAGTGGCACGATCTCGGCTCACTGTAAGCTCCGACTCCTGGGTTCACGCCATCCTCTTGCCTCAGCCTCCCGAGTAGCTGGGACTACAGGCGCCCGACACCACGCCTGGCTAATTTTTTGTATTTTGTTTAGTAGAAACAGGGTTTCACCGTTTTAGCCAGGATGGTCTCAATCTCCTGACTTCATGATCCACCCTCCTCGGCCTCCCAAAGTGCTGGGATTACAGGCATGAGCCACCGCGCCCGGCCAGAATAGTCCTAATTTTTAACTCTTCAGAGAGTGAAGGAATAACTCCAAATAGACTCCCAGAAGTTATGTTCAGATAAGTAAACCATCATGCTTACATTCAGAAAGTTCTGCTTCTCAGGTAACTTAAATGGAAATGGAAATGATGAGTGCTGGGAAGAGGTATTAAGTAGCTCAGAGAATGCCCTTGCAATAGACTGAGGTCTTTAACCTATGTGAAGAATTTGAATAAATTGCTTGAAATGTGAAAGTGGAAAAATGAGAATATTTAAATAAAATACAAATTTTTAATATATGTAGCCAAATGTATAAGTTAAAGATTACCAATAAATATTTGTCAATTTTATTCAAAACTTTAAATTCTCTGATTTCAAGTTGAGTTTAAAAACATATTTTAGATTTTTCTTATTTGGAAAATATTATGTATTTGGGTTGATAGAATAGACTGAAATTGTATTAAAAATGCAAAGCTGAGGTTGGGCGCATGGGCTCACGCCTGTAATTCCAGTACTTTGAGTGGCCAAGGTGGGAGGATCTCTTGAACCCAGGAGTTCGAGACCAGCCTGGGCAACATGGCAAGACTCCGTCTAAAAAAAAAATGAAAAAAGATAAAACAATGCAAAGCCATGACTGTTTTCCCTAGAAACCAGCTAGTGATGTATCTTCCAGCCTTCTGTCTTCTGCACATCCTTCATTGCATCCCGTAGTTTGGCTTTTCCACCTGGCTCTCCTTTTGCCTCTTGATTGCTTTTTTCTTCCTTGCTGCCAGCTTCTGCTTATGCCCAGCAGTTTACTTGCATTCAGTCATTGGTGAGATTAAACAGCAGCTCTCAGTTCTTTCATTTTTGTTGTTGTTGTTATCGTTTTTGAGCCAAGTTCTCGCACTGTTCCCATGCTACAGTGCGGTGGTGTAATCACGGCTCACTGCAGCCTCAACCTCCTGGGCTCAAGCGAGCCTCCCACCTCAGCCTTCCAAGTAGCTGGGACTATGGGCATGCCATCATGCCCAGCTAATTTTTTTATTATTTTAGAGAGGGGGTTTCTTGTTATTTTGCTAAGGCTGGTCTTGAGCTTCTAGCCTCAAGTGATCTTCCCACCTTAGCCTCCCAAAGTGCTGGGGTTACAGGCATGAGCCACTACTCAGTTCTTAATGTTTCTCTGGCTAGGATTCTTCATTGTCTTATTAAATGAGTACCAAAAAACTGCTTTTTTCCTGATGTACTCATAGACTTCTGCCTTTAGTAAGTAGTGTCATTATCATATTCTTGTCATTCCTCCGCAGTCAGGTAGTGCCCTGGAGGTTTCCTCCCTCCTGTTAAGGTGCTCTGGGTCCAGCAGTTGCCTCCTCTCCCTTCTAAGTTAGTAGGCGATCCTTCTCCTGTCTTCAAGAAAGACCCCCTTCTCTCATTTGGGCCCTCTGTTGTGGACTGTCAGGAAGTTTTCTTAATTTGTTTGAGAATACAAATCTGCCTTGAAGTGAAGAAAAACAGCATGCTGGTATGTACAGTACCTAGTGTGGCTTTCCATCTTAAGAAACAACACAAGCATTTGTGTTTTTCATTCTAAATAAACCCTGTGATTTCTACCACCTGAGTGAATCAACTGCTACCAATCATACTCTTTTCCTTGGAAAAAAATCACTTTCTACATTTAATTTGAAAGGAAGTATGATTGAGTATGGGTAAAGTCTGTCTCTATCATCTGCTGTATTGTTTATTGTAAAATCAGACAATTAAGCCTGAATTTTTCCAAAAGAAAATTTGTGCCTAATTATGGGAACTAAAATGCCTCTATGAGATTTTAATCTATAGTGAGTAGTATTAACATTCCTAATTGTGCTTTATGATACACTGTAACAAATTCTGCATGATGAAATTTTCTTTTGTGAAGTATGTTCCACTATTTTTTCATTGATTCCTTTTTTTGTTTTAATGTTGCAGGGAATGACCCTGCATAAAAAGGCAGCTGAAGATAGACTGGCAAGCACAGGCTCAGGGCAGTCATTTCTGGCGAGGCAGAGGCAAGCGACCAGCAGCAGAAGATCATACCCAGGCCACGTGCAGCCGGCCACAGCAAGGTAGAGAAGTTGTGCCGCTCAATCACAGACACCTGCACCCACAACATACTTCTGTTACACACAAGAACATTTCAGGAAACTCAGCCAGCTTATTTTTTGTTTCTCTTCTATGTCAATACTTAGTGTTTCTCATTTTGAGGACTTTTTCTCTCTCCTGTATCTTTGTTTTAGTTTCTTTGGTTTTTATTTTGTAGTCCTTTCAGTTATTTTTAATGTGCCAAAAATTTGTACATGTTCAATTAAAAATGTTGTATAATAGTGTAATACTTTTCTTTGTATGAAAATGTCCTCTTCTTCAAAGGTATAGGCTTTGTAATGAATTAGATTTTCTGCCAATAATTGATATACAATTTATATTCTTTATTGTGCCTGTGTGTTACCATGCTAAGAATGTCTTTGTTTAAAGGGAATTAATCTTTTTATGATGTATTAATCTGTGTTTTCAATTGTTTTCCAAGTACAGTTCAAATAACTTGCATATTTACTATACAAAATGGTTGACAAGTGTTCTTTTTGCAAAGACTTGAATACATTGGCAGAGGTGCTAATCACATCTTCCCTAAGGCACCTGGAAGAATTATTTGAGGAAAAAATGAGTTTTCACATTGTTTTATAGGAAATTAAATTTGTCCAAAGATTTGGAGACTATTTTTAAAACATAAATACATAAAATTTCATTATTTCCTGCTATCTTGTTTGCTGGCAGAAGTGAATGTTTGGTGAGGTTATTTTGGGATAAATTACAAAAGAAAAAAAATTAGACACTGCATTAATTTCTTGTTCTTTTGGAATATCTTAGTAACTGAGGATCATTTTCTAACAATGTGGTTGACATACCTTCAGTTGCTTTCCACATCTAAAAGAGTTATCTTTCATATATGTACAAGTTATTGGTAGTCTTATTTTTGGGCTGTTTGTTGACTTATGCCCCATTTGTTTTACTTGTTCTTTAATATAAACCCTTCCATTTTTTAACAATTCCTAACACTTGATATCTTAATATCAGTCACTAACATTAGTAACTTCTTGTATGTTATATTATGGCAGATCTCTTTACGTTTTTTCTCACATCTATCTGCTAGTCCAGGAATTTGTTACTAAATAGATTTTCTTGGATATTTGGTTGCCTCAAAGTGCTTACATTTGTTAACAGATTGTAAACCACATTTATTTACATTGATGAATGGGCTGTTGAATAATCATTGTAAAGCACTTTGTATATATAAGGTGCTATATAAGTGTGAAATATCATTCATTTATAAATGAAATGCCTTCTAACTTTCCATATTGACTTATGTATTTGGTCCCAAATTATATTTAAGTCTTTTTTCTTGCAACGTAGCCCATTTTTTGAAAGCAAAACATTTCTGAAATTAGGTCATGGTTTTTTTGTTTATTTTTAGGTTAGGTCACTTAATATAGGAGGATGTTTTCTCATGTACTTGCTATTTGCAAGTTCAGGTTTCATTTGGTTCTTTATGTTAAATACGAATAAGTAACCTCAAATCAAGCTAAATGTAATTAAGAATTTTCAGCAACTATATTCAAGTGTTTGATTTTTAAATTCTTTCTTTCTTTTTAATAAGAAAGATGACCTAAAAATCAGTGGTATTTGTTTGTCCTCAGAAGCCGTAGTTGAAGAAAGATATTAGAGTATACACAGAACTGGAGCCATACATTGTGCTAATTTTTTACATTAAGTACAGAAGTCTGAGCACAGCATGAATGCTTCTGCCTGACAGGACCACAAAGCAGCAGAAGTTAGGGATAAATGGAGATAGCCATGAGTAGAACTGCTGTAGGGCTTCAGGAGGCTACGCAGACCTGATCAACTGCAAAGTTTCCAAAGTAAAAGATTAAAAACTTTCAGACGGTTCTTACCTCTACCCGTGTTTCACAAATAGCCTGAGGATCCAACTATTTTTAAAGCAAATTGGGGCCAGACGTGGTGCCTCACGCCTGCAATCTCACCATTTGGGAGACCTAGGTGGGGGTGGATCACTTGAGGTCAGGAGTTTGAGACCAGCCTGGCCAACATGGTGAAACCCCATCTCTACTAAATTACAAAAATTAGCTGGGCATGGTGGCATGTGGCTGTAATCCCAGCTACTTGGGAGGCTGAGGCAGGAGAGTCACTTGAACTCAGGAGCCAGAGACTGCAGTGAGCTGAGATCGCACCACTGCATTCCAGCCTGGGCGACAGAGTGAGACTCTGTCTCAATCAGTCAATCAATCAATCAATCAAATTGGAATATGAGCACTAACCTTGGTAAGTTAAAATTTTGGGAAAATTGTACCTGCAGAATATGATGGATGAAAACAACAGCCAGGTGCAGTGGCTCACGCGTATAATCCCAGCACTTTGGGAGGCCGAGACAGGCACATCATCTGAGGTCAGGACTTCCAGACCAGCCTGTCCAACATGGTGAAACTCCGTCTCTACTAAAAATACAAACAATTAGCCAGGCATGGTGGTGTGTGCCTGTAGTCCCAGCTACTTGGGAGGGTGAGGCAGGAGAATTGCTTGAACCTGGGAGACAGAGATTGCAGTGAGCCGAGATGGCGCCATTGCACCCCAGCCTGGCGACAAGAGCGAAACTCTGTCGCAAGAAAAAAAAAAAAAAAAAAAAAAAAAAAAACAGTCTGTGAACTACTCACTGAATGAATTTTGTTCTGTGAGATGAGAGGTTTTCATTTTCATTTTCTATTTACAGCCCCAGTCCTAATCTCCTACCCATCCACCTACCCAGATATTTTTTCTCTATCTGGGTTGGAAAGGCCCCAGGCTTTTAGAGGGGAGTTTTACTTCTGACTTTTTTTTCCCCCCGAGACGGAGCCTCGTTCCGTCACCCAGGCTGTAGTGCCGTGGCATGATCTCGGCTCACTGCAGCCTCTGCCTCCCGGGTTCAAGCAATTCTCCTGCCTCAGCCTCCAGAGTAGCTGGGATTACAGGTGCCCACCACCATGGCTGGCTAATTTTTGTAATTTAGTAGAGATGGTGTTTCACCATGTTGGCCAGGCTGGTCTCAAACTCCTGACCTCGTGATCTACCCACCTCGGCCTCCCAAAGTGCTGAGATTACAGGCACGAGCCACCGCGCCCAGTCGTACTTCTGACTTTTCTTCAGCATCTGTTGTATGCTATTATTTTGATGTTTACATTTATAATTTTCTTTCTTTTTTTTTTTTTTGTGAGATGATGTCTCGCTCTGTCACCCAGGCTGGAGTGCAGTGGCGCGATCTCGGCTCACTGCAAGCTCCGCCTCCCGGGTTCACGCCATTCTCCTGCCTCAGCCTCCTGAGTAGCGGGGACTACAGGCGCCCGCCACTACGCCCGACTAATTTTTTGTATTTTTTAGTAGAGACGGGGTTTCACCATGTTAGCCAGGATGGTCTCGATCTCCTGACCTCGTGATCCACCCGCCTCAGCCTCCCAGAGTGCTGGGATTACAGGCGTGAGCCACCGCGCCCAGCCTACATTTATAATTTTCATTCTCTTTTACCTATAAAATTCAGTGTATTAGTTTCATTACATAGGAGAAATTATATTTCTAAACATTTTATGATGTTTAAAAACAAAACAGGCTGTTGTAAAAAAAAAAAAAAAAAAAACTTCTGAATATACTTTAGGTATCAGAAAGCCAAGAATAAAATTTAGCTCTAACGGTGGCAACTCCATGTCCGGTGTCCAGCTTTGGACAGGGTTTATGACGTTTCTGTTTCTCTAGTAATGATTAATGATTCCTCAGGAGATTCGTGATGTTGTCTGGTCTATCTGGAAATTTAAAGTCACTAGGAGCTTTGCCTCATCGTGAGTGATGCTGTGCTGTATTTTTACAAACTCTCGCATACAGCACCTTCCTGGGGCCACGTTGGCTTGTGCAGTGGAGCTTGTCCAGGCACCAGCATGGAGCAAGTACAGGGTTGCTGTGTTGGGTTGGAGCACACTGTCACCACAGTGTCTGAAGTCTTATAAACAGGAAGATCATTTTCTGTTTTCCTTCTAACCAGGGTGAGAAAATACAAAGTAAAGAACTAAAGAATATTAAAACCTAGCATTTATGTTCCACAGTGTGTATTTCAGAAGTTTGTAATCCAGAAAATATAGTAGTGTATAATATCTGAAAAGAGAATCAAGTATACAATTGTACATATTTTTAAAGAACTTTGAAAAACTCCGTCATATCTTTTACCATTTGTCTATTTGATAGTAATGCAGAAAAAAGTCCCTAAAGACCCTGTGTTCCAAAATTTACCAAGATTGACATTTCTATTAGACATCCTTAACCTAAGTGTTTTAATTAGATTATTAGACTATAATAAGGATGAAATTGCTGTCTGTAATTTTGTTGAGGTTTTATTGTTAATATAATAAAAGCTCAACTGTACAAAATTAAGCTAAATGTTATCCAGTCAGAAACATCAGCCTGTGGCCAGGTGCGGTGGCTCACGCCTGTAATCCCAGCACTTTGGGAGGCCAAGGCAGGCGGATCACCTGAGGTCAGGAGTTCAAGACCAGCCTGGCTAATATGGTGAAACCCC
This sequence comes from Homo sapiens, assembly GCF_000001405.40. Lineage (NCBI taxonomy): Eukaryota > Metazoa > Chordata > Mammalia > Primates > Hominidae > Homo > Homo sapiens. The sequence goes on from NC_000008.11 coordinate 43,023,036, forward strand.
ATCTCTACTAAAAATACAGTATTAGCCAGGCATGGTGGCAGGCGCCTGTGATCCCAGCTACTTGGGAGGCTGAGGCAGGAGAATCATGTGAACCCAGGAGGTGGAGGTTGCAGTAAGCCGAGATTGTGCCACTGCACTCCAGCCTGGGCCACAGAGTGAGACTCCATCTCAAAAAAAAAAAAAAAAAAAAAAAGAAACATCAGCCTGTATATTCCAGTAGTTCTCACAGAAGAATGAAAATCCGTGCTGTGCAAATAGATCAGTAGTGAGTGAGTGTTAAGTGAAAGATGAGCTAGGTTGAAGAAAATATACATTTTATTGATGAGCCACTTTGCTATCTCTCCTTCCTTCCTCCTTCCTTCCTTCCTTCCTTCCTTCCTTCCTTCCCTTCTTTTCTTTTTTCTTTTCTTTTCTTTTCTCCCTCCTTTCTTCCTTCCCTTCCCTTCCCCTCCCCTCCCCCAGGCTGGAGTGCAGAGGCACGATCCTGGCTGACTGCAAACTCTGCCTACCAGGTTCAAGCGATTCTCCTGCCTCATCCTCCCTAGTAGCTAGGATTACAGGCATCTGCCACCACGCCCAGCTAATTTTTGTATTTTTACAAAATACAAAGAGACGGGGTTTCACCATGTTGGCCAGGCTGGTCTCTAACTCCTGACCTCAGGTGATCCGTCCACCTTGGCCTCCCAAAGTGCTGGGATTACAGGCGTGTGTTACTGCCCCAGCCTCCTATTTCCTTTTCGAAAGTAGCAGTTTGGTTTATTCTCGTTTGCTAAGTAATTGTTTGAAATATTTTTCAGCCTCTCCTGCTCCCTCACAAAAATTCACCTGTCATTTTAATGATAACAGCATGTTAAAAACTTGGAAGTCTTTATCCCAATATAAGAATTATCTTGAAACAAAAATCTAAATTACTTTTAAAAATTCTCTTAACTCTGCATTTAGTCTCCTATTATCTAGATCTCTGAGTCCAGGATAACTCCAGTTATCCCCAGTTGGATCATGTGTGATTTATCTGAGAAAGCATCCACAACCCACAGCTAGTGGAAACCGAGCTAGTTTACAGCCACGTGGATAAGAACATCTTTGTTTCTAAAGTGAGAGGAAAGTGCTTGGTATCTTGCTTTTTGCTGAGGGCAAAATAACAACATGAAGACAAAGTGCTTTTTGTTGTCTATTCATGAAACTGTAGAAGAATATTTTGAGTTTTTATTCTTATATTATGAAGGGATTCTTTGCCTAGCAGTGGCCGTCAAACTGATGTAGCATTGTACTTCTCAACAGTGAAGCCTGTGTAATACCATACAGTAGGATGAAAGACTATTCTGAGCAAAATCAAATGGGATGTCAGAATCTTTGAAAATTATTTTATCATTTTTTCTATTTTTTCATTTTTATAAATTAGAAGGATTTTCCATTCAATAAGGATAATCTCTCTTCCTATCATTCTGTCAAAATGGCAGTTTCTTTTGGTAATTATCCAACCTAGTTTCATTACATTTAGAAGGAGGTTTCAGAGCTTATTCTTGATAACTATAATAATGATTTGAATGTTTTATATCATGAAGTTTTTTCTATGAGGAAGGCTATTCTCAATGTATCTGTCGTCTAATTTTTTATTTTCTATCTATAAAGAATATTTAAATAATAATTGGTGTATGTTCCTTTTGTTGAAAATGTTTTATTGTCCAGTTTTAACACAGAAGTGGTCTAAAGTTTTGCAGCAAATGCTGTTCAGTTCCCAGAAGCCTAAAAAACATAACATAATATGCTAACAGAGCTAATTTCCACCCAATCCCTCAAATTACCGAAGTATTAATATTTAGCTTCCTTTCTAGAAAACAAGGGGCAGCACAAATGGGGTGGCATCCATCTCTTTTAAATCACTGATGATTTTCTGGGGAAGTATATATAGATGATTTTATTTTTTAAATAGCCTTTTATCAAACCATTTCACATGTATTATCTATATGACTATAGAAACTTATAAAACATTTAATTCATGTTGACTTAAAACATGGGCATCCTTGGATTCTCCACATTGACTGAAATGATAGAGAAAGGGACATTTGTTTGAGAAACAAGAGACCTGTACCTAATTATGGCAAGTATATGAGTTTTGGTGATTGTGGGGGGTTATAAATGTTTTCCTATGATAGATAAATATATAGATATAGATCAGGAATTACTTGATGTCTCTTCAGAAGTTTTCTGTTTTCTTATAATTTCCAGTAATACTCTGTAAGACTCGGTTTGCATGCTGTGTGTGTTTGCATGAGTATAGAAACCTAAGAACATAATGGAAGGCTATTAAGGCAAATTCATTCCTAGAAAGTGGAGTGGATCATTGGGATAAGAAATAGCCTAATTATAAACAAATATGCAGGCAGAGGGAAGTCCTAATACAATGAAAACTTGCATTATCTAAACAGATGTTCCCAAAGCAATAGTTTGCCTAAAATCCTCTGTATTACATGATTATTCAGTAAAAGAGTAAACAAATATCTAATTTATTTTCTAATTGTCCTTCCCTTCATTGAGTATTAACTAGGTGCATAATGTAGTTGTATATGTTTACTAGTAAAGGGAAAAACACTTATTTTCATTTTGAGACTGTTTGGCTATTACTAAAGCTGAGAAAGTGATTTTAGGTCGCCAAGGATACTATGATTTGATGAGATGAGAAGAAATCTGCGGTGGCTGAAAATCGTGACCAACTTGGTGTTATCTAGATCTGCTTTATCTAGTTTGCAAGCCATAGGCTCAATTTTATGTCCTTCTTACTTACACACAGTAGCCCCACACAGTTTTGTTTTAAATGAAGGCAAAAGTAGACATTTTTAAAGTATATTCAACATTGTGCCATTATTTACCTGATAAAGGTGAAATCAGAGGTGTCCACGGCCTCAAAGTTTGGGCCCATGGGACTATCAAATCCGAATTATATCTACTTAGAGCTTAGAGGAAGAATTAGGTATCATGAGAAAAGCAACTCCTACTTGAGAGAAAGAAGACTACCAAAGCATGTTGAGGCTTTAACATGGGAGACTTCCAGGTAGGCGTTAACACTTGAGTGGTAACTAGCTTGATGAAGGAAAATAATTACTTTAGCAGTTATGTTGTAAAATTAATAAAAAGGACTCATGTTTATTCTGGTGTATTTGTCAACCCATGGGTAGTGATTACTCCGTGTACATTCTATAGTGTGTGTATTTTATTTAGTGTCTTAATATATAGTCTTTATATAGTATCTTAATATTATTTACTGTTACTTCTAGTCATTTATGTAGTATATTTTACTGCAAAATTTGTAGCACTTTACTAATATTAGATCATTATTTTCCCTCTTCCCCTCTACCTTTCTGGCATTTTCTGTTATCTTAGAGTCAGGAATCTAAAGGTCTAAGTCTAGAAATCTGTTGGAAGCTGGGTTGGAGCTACTGGATATGAGTTACTTTTTACATGTCTCCTTAAGAAGACTCTTTTATAATGTAATACTTAGAAGCCAAATCCTTTCAAACGCAAACACCCTTGAAACTTGATGCTTTCTGAAGTTGTATTCATAAAAATTATCCCATCTTACAGTTAATCAGAAGATGTTCTTACCTTTGGTTTGCCTGCCTCCTGAAACACAAACCTGCAGATTGCCCCTAACTTCAGCAGTGCCTCCGTCACTGCATGTACCTAAAAGACAGGAAAGCCAAGTTCTGGGAGCTGTCAAGTCGGAGGATCAGGAAAATGGTGGGGAAGAGGTGACTGGAAAGGCAGGCACTAAAGATGGCAGGCTGCAAAAGCATTCTGAGTTCCCCTGTAACAGATAGGTTTTATGAACTCAGCTGTTTTCTTTTTTCTTTTTTTTTCTTTTGAGATGGAGTCTCACTCTGAGTCTCACTCTGTTGCCCAGGCTGGAGTGCAGTGGCACAATCTCAGCTCACTGCAGCCTCCACCTCCCGGTTTCAAGTGATTCTCCCACCTCAGCCTCCCGAGTAGTTAGGATTACAGGTGCCCACCACCACGCCCAACTAATTTTTGTATTTTTAGTAAAGACAGGGTGTCGCCATATTGGCTAGGCTGGTTTTGAACTCCTGACCTCAGGTAATCCACCCGCCTCAGCCTCCCAAAGTGCTGGGATTATTATAGGCGTGAGCCACCATGCCCAGTGAACTTGGCCATTTTCTTACATTCATATATAGCAAAGTTTTCAACTTGTCTACCGAGAGACTTTCTTTAGGAGCCAGGACTTCTACATTTGTAACTTGAGTATATTAATATTCAAATCATAGTTCAAAAATACTGAAATACTTGTTTATTATGTTACATAAATATGGACACAATTACTGCCAAAGAATAGAGAGATTTGCTTATGAGAACATTCTGTCATTTGTTCTGTTTGTAGATGAGAGACATGCTTTTAAAGTACAAAACGTTTCTCTTCTACCTTACCCCCTGTTCTACTGACGTGCTTTGCATGAGAAGCTCATCTAGAAGAGAGCAACGCTGGAATAGAGAAGTCTAGACCCTGGCCTTTGAGGGAAAGGACTGCTTTTTTTCTCTCCCAAATTAGAAAATTAAAAGTGAAACATAACACATAAGGACGAAATACAATGTTCTGAATATCTTCCACTAATTAATTGTTGAATGATTAAGTCTCTAAGTATCTTAACTTCCATTGTCTTCTTGTTAACCTAGACAAGAGTAGATTATTCAGTAGCCACATGTGACAGTTAAAATTAAGTAAAATTAAAACTATAGTTTCTCAGTGGCCTAGCCACATTTCAAGTGTTCCACAGTCACATGTGGATAGTAGTTACCTATCAGACAGTACAGGTATAGAACATTTCCAGTATTGCCAAAAATGCTATTCAACAGCACTTTTATTGCCCAGAGAGAAAATAAGGACAAAATAAAGGCAGTGAAGTAACTTAAGACAACTCTGAGATTTTACCACCATACTTAGAGAAAGTTTTTCTGTTATAAAAATTAATACTAATCCTTTTTAAAGACCTTGGAAAAAATCAAAACCCCATTCCTTTAAGCTAGTCTTCAGTATATATTTTTCTAAGAACAGATTCTCAATACTTTATTTTTCAAGTGATAAAATCATTTTATAAATCATTTCTTAATATCTTCAGTGTTTTTTCCCTTTTTATGTAAACTCTTTTAAAATTGATATTAGCTGGGCATGGTAGCTCATGCCTGTAGTCCCAGCTACTCCAGAGGTCGAGGCAGGAGCATCGCTTAAGCCCAGGAGGTTCAGGCTGCAGTAAGGTCTGATCACACCTGACTGCACTCCAGCCTGGGTGGCAAAGCAAGACCCCTGTCTCTAAAAAAAAATAATATAAATTGATGTTATATAGTTAACATTTATCAGGCAAATTCATATGAATGCTTATTTCAAATAAAGATTGATAGATTTAATGATATCCTTCCTTTTAAATTTATATAGATCTAATGAACATTGCCAACAGTTTTTTTTGTTTCTGTCCCTTAAACATTTCCCCTGAAAGTCCACCTCAAAGGTACATCAAGATGCAAACAATTTTTTTATCTTCATAACTTCCTGCTCTTATTAACTTGTATTATGAATCAAATTAAGTTTTATGTATAAGGCATTTACTATTCCAGTGACTTAGCTAATGAAAACATTTAAAAATATGTATTAATTTACTTGGCCTGCTACTAAAGTGCTTAACATAACTAAATGGATCTATAGTAACATGTCTAAATTTTTTAATGGAAATAAGGGACTAACCATAATCCTTTTGAGTCAGCTTGGTGCTTACAATTATTTTGTTAGGAAATCTTGATGCTTTCTTCTTTCTCTTTAAATTTTTGTAATCAAGCAACAGACTTGATCCAGCAGTGTCGAATTCCAAGCAAGTTATGATGATTCTTATTGTAGTTCAAGTACAGATGAGTAAGTGGTGTGACTTCAGTTTATTATCTTCTTGGTGACCTACTTTAGTATGTGTTCTGTAGCGATTCATATTAGTTAAGGGACGTTTTCAATATGCTTGAAATAAGAAATAGCATTTTACTCTAAATACAAGAAATGACTGTACACAAATGCTAATCAGTGATTTGGGGCCTTTTAATGTCTTTAACAGCAATCTTTTATTTATTTATTTATTTATTTTTGAGACGGAGTCTTGCTGTGTCACCAGGCTGGAGCAGTGGCACGATCTCGCCTCACTGCAACCTCCGCCTCCCAGGTTCAAGCTATTCTCCTGCCTCAGCCTCCCAAGTAACTGGGACTGCAGGCACATGCCACCACATCCAGCTAATTTTTGTATTTTTAGTAGAGACGGGGTTTCACCTTGTTGGCCAGGATGATCTCGATCTCTTGATCTCGTGATCTGCCCGCATTGGCCTCCTGAAGTGCTGGGATTACAGGCATGAGCCACTGCGCCCGGCCCAAATCTTTTATTTTTTAACAGCCTTAGTTATTTATAATTCAAATGCACTAAAATATCATCGCTGTCATGAACTTTGCTGTTTACAGGTTCTGTGTAATTCAGAATGCTTTGTACTTAGAAAATAATTTCTAGGCTTATCTTGTTTTGCAGTTTTCATGTTTTGACAATTGCCCACCATTTACAATACTCAATTTTTGATTATGAAATGAATAGTAAAATTCAAACATATCTAATAATAATTTGCCTTAGTTTGATTAATAAATTATATCAAAAAACTTGGGGATAGAAAGAGGCTTTTTTTTCCCCCTGTAGTATTTTTAAAACTTTTTAGATGAGCTGGATGAAACCTTAGTACATTGGAGCTGGAGTTGTATTGAGTACAGCCCCAACTCTGAAGCCTTATATTCATGTCTTAAGTACCATTGATTGTTCTGTGAATTGTTGTTAGTTTCATATTTGACATTGTAGTAATCCACCTTGCATTTTAGTCTTTGCAAAAAGGATATTGCTAGGTATATTCTTATTTCTGATTGAGTATTGAATTTACATTTTTCAGAATTTCATTCTTTGTCATTATAATCCAAAAACAATGTCCACATCAGACTTGGAACTTCTCACTTCAAAAATGAAATACAGATTTAGCAGTGTTGTACATAATGATGTCCAAGCATTTTTCCACCTGTTTACTGAGTTTTCCAACCATTTACTATGTGTTGAGATTGGTGGGTTTTCTGGCTGTTTTTCTGAGGTGAATGACTTGTTACAGAGCCTCAGTAAGAAATTTCAACTAAAATCACAAAAACATAAAGTCCAGGAAACCACCAGAAGATGGATTTTTAGTGTTTTTGAAATCTTGTATTTCCTTTTGATATCATTTACTCATTTTAATTTTACGACTGCCAACTTGTTACGGTATTAATTATATGTATGTGTTTATATGTATGCATATAATATATGTATATGTATATGAAGAATAAAGTTAAGATTTGGTCAAACTATATTTTCCCATTCAAGTACAAAAATGTTTTCAAGGCTGCAAAAAGTGTACAGTTGTTAAACAAGTTGTAAATAAAGACTTGTATAAAAATTCAGCCTAGATTTCTTTTTTCTGCTCTTAAACTCTGACAAATATACTTCATAATTGGTGATATTCTTCCACTCACCTTTGAGACTTGCCATTATGTCCTATCAATTTAAAGATTATGTCACTGGCTGGGAGCGGTGGCACATGCCTGTAATCCCAGCACTTTGGGAAGCCAAGACAGGCAGATCACCTGAGGTCAGTAGTTCAAGACCAGCCTGGCCAACACGGTGAAACCCCGTCTCTACTAAAAATACAATTGGCCAGGTGCGGTGGTTCATGCCTGTAATCCCAACACTTTGGGAGGCCGAGGCTGGCGGATTACCTGAGGTCAGGAGTTCAAGACCAGCCTGGCCAATGTGGTGAAACCCTGTCTCTACTAAAAATGCAAAAATTAGCCAGGCTTGGTGGCACGCATCTGTAATCCCAGCTACTCAGGAGGCTGAGGTAGGAGAATTACTTAAACCCAGGAGACGGAGGTTGCAGTGAGCCGAGATTGCGCCACTGCACTCCAGCCAATAAATAAATAAATAAGTAAGTAAATAAATAATCCAAAAATTAGCTGGGCGTGGTGGCATGCATGTGTAGTCCCAACTACTTGGGAAGCTGAGGCAGGAGAATTGCTGAACCCAGGAGGCGGAGGTTGCAGTGAGTGTAAGTCAGGAGTAGTATTTGGTTTTTTTCCAGTACTGGTGGTAGATTTCATGTTGATTTAGGCTGGTATTTTATGTTTGTAAGCTGATTAGCCTTTGAGGATAAAAATGAAACATGGCTGCTTCTCTCTAGAGCTAGCATGTTGCCATGATTGATTTTGCCACAGAGAGTATAGTATTCTTTGTGATAAGGTCACAATGTAAAGCATTGTTGACACCCTATTTAGGCAATAAATGCACTTTTCCTGCCTTCTTAGATCCTTACAATTTATCCTTTTCCCCCAGCTCTCCCCTAGTCATTGAAATCTGGCATCTTTGTTGTTATTTAAAATGGTAGTAGCAGAATGGAAGTGGATTATATTTACATTAAATATCAACTTGTTAGTTCCAAAGTGAAGTTAGCAGCAAAATAAAACTAGTATATATTTAGCCAAAATAGTACCCATTTTAATGTCAGAAAAATAAATACAAGTTTTCTTTACTCATTTGCTTGGAGATACCCATATTTTTTTTTTCTTTTAAAAGCTTTTTTATTTTAAATTTTTGTGGGTAAATAGAAGGTGCTTCATGAGCATTCTTCCCCATGTCTGTGGACAACATCTGCAACTACCGATATACCTAAAATTAGAATGCTGAATGGGTAGTCGTACTGGTTTCCAAAGGGGTTACACCAATTTATTTATATTTTATTTTATTTTTTAAAGAGATTCTCTCCATGTTGCCCAGGCTGGTCTCGAACTCCTGAGCTCAAGCAATCTTCCCACCTTGGCCTCCCAAAGTGCTGGGATTACAGACGTGAGCCACTGTGCCTGGCTGATGATACCAATTTATGATTTTACCTGGAATCATCATCTTCTTTAAGTTAAAAATGTCTGGTTTGTTTTTTTTTTTTTAAATCTGTATTGGCCGGGCGCAGTGGATCACGCCTGTAATCCCAGCACTTTGGGAGGCTGAGGGGGGCAGTTCACAAGGTCAGGAGTTTGAGACCAACCCGGCCAACATGGTGAAAACCCATCTCTTTTAAAAATACAAAAATTAGCCAGGCATGGTGGCATGCATCTGTAATCCCAGGTACTCGGGAGGCTGAGGCAGGAGAATCACTTGAACCTGGGAGGTGGAGATTGCAGTGAACCAAGATCGTGCCACTGCACTCCAACCTGGCAACAGAGCAAGACTCCGTCAAAAAAAAAAAAAAAAAATCTGCATTGATTAATTTTTTTTTTTTTTATTGATCATTCTTGGGTGTTTCTCGCAGAGGGGGATTTGGCAGGGTAATAGGACAATAGTGGAGGGAAGGTCAGCAGATAAACAAGTGAACAAAGGTCTCTGGTTTTCCTAGGCAGAGGACCCTGCGGCCTTCCGCAGTGTTTGTGTCCCTGGGTACTTGAGATTAGGGAGTGGTGATGACTCTTAACGAGCATGCTGCCTTCAAGCATCTGTTTAACAAAGCACATCTTGCACCACCCTTAATCCATTTAACCCTGAGTGGACACAGCACATGTTTCAGAGAGCACAGGGTTGGGGGTAAGGTCACAGATCAACAGGATCCCAAGGCAGAAGAATTTTTCTTAGTACAGAACAAAATGAAAAGTCTCCCATGTCTACTTCTTTCTACACAGACATGGCAACCATCCGATTTCTCAATCTTTTCCCCACCTTTCCCCCCTTTCTATTCCACAAAACCGCCATTGTCATCATGGCCCGTTCTCAATGAGCTGTTGGGTACACCTCCCAGACGGGGTGGCGGCTGGGCAGAGGGGCTCTTCACTTCCCAGTAGGGGCGGCCGGGCAGAGGCGCCCCTCATCTCCCTCCCGGACGGGGCGGCTGGCCGGGCGGGGGGCTGACCCCACCACCTCCCTCCCGGGCGGGGCGGCTGGGGGGGGTGGGGGGCTGACCCCGCCACCTCCCTCCCGGACGGGGCGGCTGCCAGGCGGAGACGCTCCTGACTTCCCAGACGGGGCGGCTGCCAGGCAGAGGGTCTCCTCACTTCTCAGACGGGGCGGCCGGGCAGAGACGCCCCTCACCTCCCAGACAGGGTCGCGGCCGGGCAGAGGCGCTCCTCACATCCCAGACGGGGCGGCGGGGCAGAGGCGCTCCCCACATCTCAGACGATGGGCGGCCGGGCAGAGATGCTCCTCACTTCCTAGACGGGGATGGCGGCCGGGAAGAGGCGCTCCTCGCTTCCTAGATGGGATGGCGGCCGGGCAGAGAAGCTCCTCACTTTCCAGACTGGGCAGCCAGGCAGAGGGGCTCCTCACATCCCAGACGGGGCGGCGGGGCAGAGGCGCTCCCCACATCTCAGACGATGGGCGGCCGGGCAGAGACGCTCCTCACTTCCTAGATGGGGATGGCGGCCAGGCAGAGACGCTCCTCACTTCCCAGACGGGGTGGCGGCCGGGCAGAGGCTGCAATCTCGGCACTTTGGGAGGCCAAGGCAGGCGGCTGGGAGGTGGAGGTTGTAGCGAGCCGAGATCACGCCACTGCACTCCAGCCTGGGCACCATTGAGCACTGAGTGAACGAGACTCCGTCTGCAATCCCGGCACCTCGGGAGGCCGAGGCTGGCGGATCACTCGCGGTTAGGAGCTGGAGACCGGCCCCGCCAACACAGCGAAACCCCGTCTCCACCAAAAAAATACGAAAACCAGTCAGGTGTGGCGGCACGCGCCTGCAATCCCAGGCACTCGGCAGGCTGAGGCAGGAGAATCAGGCAGGGAGGTTGCAGTGAGCCGAGATGGCAGCAGTACAGTCCAGCTTCGGCTCGGCATCAGAGGGAGACCGTGGAAAGAGAGGGAGAGGGAGACTGTGGGGAGAGGGACAGGGAGAGGGAGACGGGAGAGGGAGAGGGAGAGGTGATTAATTTTTAAGTAGAAAAAAAGTTACCCATGTCCTGTTACTCAGTTACCAAAAAATGATCATTTTCAGCATCTTTTCACTTGTATTTTAACTTTTCCATTCCACATTCTTTCTCCCTTTCAATTAATTTGTTTTCCATACTTTCTTTCACACATCGGAGATACCCATATTAATTAAAGTTCACAATGGAAGTTATGGTGATGCACTAATGTAGTCCCAGCTACTCAGCAAGAGGATCACTTGAGCCCAGGAGGTCGAGGCTGCAAGTGAGCCAAGATCGTGCCACTGCACTCCAGCTTGGGCAACAGAGCAAAACCCTGCAAAAAGAAGTGTTCCCCAGCCAAAGACCTGCCAGGTTTGCCTTAAATACATTTTTGCTACTGTTCTGATTATCTATTGCTGTATCACAAACCACTCCAAAACCTAGGGTCTTCAAACAACTTATTACTATCCCTCCTGAGTCTGGAGACAGGCTCAGGCTCCGCTGTTCTCAGATGGGATCTCCCATTTGGGTGTGGTTAGGTTAGATGACGTGTGAGGCCAGAGTGATCTGAAGACTTGCTCTCCCACATGCCTGGCACCCAGGCTGATATGGATGGCACCTCCAAGGCGCATTGGACATTTCCACACAGCATCATGCCAGGACTTGTTTGGATTTTCTCACAAAATGACTAGGTGAGTTATTCCACGCAGCCAGCTTTCCCTAGAGCAAGAGTCCTAAGAGACCCAGGTGAATGCTTTGCAGCTTCTGTAGCCTTGGAAACCACATGGCATCACGTCTCTTATTTGTCAAAACTGTCATGGACAAGACCAGGTCCATGGGGTGACAGAATACACTGCAATTCTCAGTGGTAGGATGACCAGGTTACACAGCTGCCACTCTGGACTCGAAGGAAAATGTCTGCTATGAGGACCATACTTCTGAGGTAAAATCTTTCCCCATTTTCTGATTTCTATGCCAAGCACGTTCACTGTGCACAACAGTCAGGTACATGACTTCAGTGTGAACAAAACCTGAGGTAGAAACTACACAGAAATCTGGTAGGTTCGAAGCCACAAGTAACACTCGTACTTCTTTTGGTAGGTATCTAATTGCACGTAACATAAGCTATAAAAAAGTTATATATAAAATGTTGGCCGGGCACGGTGGCTCACACCTGTAATCCTAGCACTTTGAGAGGCCGAGGCAGGTGGATCACAAGGTCAGGAGTTTGAGACCAGCCTGGCCAACATAGTGAAACCCCGTCTCTACTAAAAATACAAAAATTTGCTGGGTGTAGTGGCATGCGCCTGTAGTCCCAGCTACCTGGGAGGCTGAGGTGGGAGAATCGCTTGAAACCAGGAGGCAGAGGTTGCAGTGAGCCGAGACCACGCCATTGAATCCCAGCTTGGGCGAGAGTGAGACTCAGTCTCAAAAAAAAATGTTACATATAAAATGTTAAGTACCCTGGTGCCTAATTTGGGGGACTTTATTTGTTCATAAGACAGGGTCTCATTCTGTCACCCAAGCTGGAGTGCAGTGGCGCAAACACTGCTCACTGCAACTTCAAACTCTTGGGCTCAAGCAATCCTTCTGCCTTAGCCTCCTGAGTAGTTAGGACTATAGGTGTGCACCACCACATCTGGCTTATTTATTTATTTATTTTTTCCGAGATGGAGTCTTGCTCTGTCGCCCAGGCTGGAGTGCAGTGGTGTGATCTCAGCTCACTGCAAGCTCTACCTCCTGGGTTCACACCATTCTCCTGCCTCAGCCTACCGAGTAGCTGGGAGTACTGGTGCCCGCCACCACGCCTGACTAATTTTTTTGTATTTTTAGGAGAGACGGGGTTTCACCAGGTTAGCCAGGATGGTCTCCATCTCCTGACCTCATGATCCGCCCGCCTCGGCCTTCCAAAGTGCTGTGCTGGGATTACAGGCTTGAGCCACTGCGCCCAGCCCACCCCGCTCCCTCTTTTTTTGTTTTGTTTTTTTTTTTGAGACAGAGTCTCACTCTGTTGCCCAGGCTGGAGTCCAGTGGCATGATCTCGGCTCACTGCAACCTCCACCTCCCAGGTTCAAGAGAGTCTCTTGCCTCAGCCTCCCGAACAGCTGGGATTACGGGCATGTGTTACCACTCCCGGCTAATTGTTGTATTTTTAGTAGAGAAGGGGTCTCCCCATGTTGCCCAGGCTGGTATCAAAACTCTTAAACTCAAGGGATCTGCCTGCCTCAACCTCCCAAAGTCCTGGGATTACAAGTGAGCCACCGCGCCCAGCTTGGGGGACTATATTTTAAGGATATTGTCCAAAATAAGAATACACGTATGTGTGGTGATGAACTGTTCATACTCCCAGTTAAGGTTTGCTCAGGCCCCTTTGTCATTCCTCTGGTCCCTCCAAGCTCCCATGTACTCACCCCCATTTCCAGGCAATGATTTATCTGCTTTCTGTCACTAGATTATTTGGCATAGTCTATAATTTTATGTAAATGGAATCATATAGTATGTACTCATTTTGTCTGGCTTCTTTTACTCAACATAATTATTTTGAAATTCATCCATGCGAGCTGGGCGCGGCGGCTTACGCCTGTAATCCCAGCACTTTGGAAGGTCGAGGAGGGCGGATCACGAGGTCAGGAGATCGAGACTATCCTGGCTAACACGGTGAAACCCCGTCTCTACTAAAAATACAAAAAATTAGCTGGGTGTGGTGGCGGGCACGTGTAGTCCCAGCTACCCGGGAGGATGAGGCAGGAGAATGGCATGAACCCGGGAGGCGGAGCTTGCAGTGAGCCGAGATGGGGCCACCGCACTCCAGCCTGGGTGACAGAGCAAGACACTCCAGCCTGGGTGACAGAGCAAGACTACGTCTCAAAAAAAAAAAAAAAAAAAATTATCCATGCCGTATACACCCATAGTTCATTTCTTTTAACTGCTCAGTAGGATCCATTGTATGGGTACTACTATGAATGCACAATCTATGCATTTGCCTGTGGTAGACATTTGAGTTGTTTCCAGTTTTGGGGCTGTTACAAATAAAGTTGTTTTAAATGTTTGTTTATAAGCATTCCTATGAACATGTGCTTTCATTTCTCTTGGGTAAACACCTAGGAGTGGAATGGCTAGGTCATATGCTTAATTTTTTTTTAATTTTTTTTTTTTTTTTGAGATGGAGTCTTGCTCTGTTGCCAGGCTAGAGTGCAGTGGCGCGATCTCAGCTCATTGCAACCTCTGCCTCCTGGGTTCAAGCAATTCTCCTGCCTCGGCCTCCCGAATAGCTGGGATTACAGGCATGTGCCACCACGCCCAGCTAATTTTTGTATTTTCAGTAGAGAAGAGGTTTCACCATGTTGGCAGGATGGTCTCGATCTCCTGACCTCGTGATACACCCGCCTCAGCCTCCCAAAATTGTGGGATTACAGGCCTCAGCCGCTGTGCCCAGCCTATGCTTAACTATGTCACCCAGGCTGGAGTGCAATGGCGAGATCTTGGCTCACTGCAACCTCCGCTTCCCAGGTTCAAGCGATTCTCCTGCCTCAGCCTCCTGAATAGCTGGGATAACAGAAGGCTGCCACCACACTCGGCTAATTTTTGTATTTTTTTAGTAGAGACAGAGTTTTACTATGTTGGCCAGGCTGGTCTCAAACTCCTGACTTCAGGTAATCCATACACCTTGGCCTCCTGAAGTGCTGGGATTACAGGTGTGAGCTACCACACCGCCCATGTTTTACAAACCACCAAACTATATTATGATCTGGTTGTATATTTTACATTCCCAACAGCAGTACAGGAGACTTTCAGCTCCTTTACCTCCTTGCCAATACTTGGGTCCATCTGTTTTATTCTAGTCATTCCAGCAGGTGTGAACTGGTATTACTGTGGTTTTGATTTGGTCAGTCTGTTTCACTTTAGCCACTCTAATGGCATATAATGATATCTTGTGGTATTAATGTTCATCCCTCTTGATGAACATTTCATGTTCTTGCCATACATATATCTTTTGATGAAATTATTTTTCAAATTGTTTCCCATTTTTATTGGGTTTATTTTTCTATTATTGATTTTGAAAATTCTGTATGTATTCTAGATGAAAGTTCTTTAAGGCTGCACGCAGTGGCTCATGCCTGTAATCCCAGCACTTTTGGTGGCTGAAGTGGGCGGATCACGAGGTCAGGAGTTAGCGACCAGCCTGCCCAACATGGTGAAACTCCATCTCTACTAAAAATACAAAATTAGCCAGGCATGGTGGCACATGCCTGTAATCCCAGCTACTCGGGAGACTAAGGCAGGAGAATTGCTTGAACCCGGGAGGTGGACATTACAGTGAGCCGAGATCACAGCATTGCACTCCAGCTCTGGGTGACAGAGCAACATTCCATCTTGGGAAAAAAAAAATTCTTTATTAGATAATTGATGTGCAATATATTTTCTCCCAGTCTGTTGCTTGGCTTTCTATTTTCTTAGTAGTGTGTCTTTCAAAGTGCAGAATTTCTTAATTTTCATCTTGGATCTAAGAAATCTTTTTCTAACCTAAGCTTGCAAAGATTTCCTTTTTTTTTTTTAGACGTTTCATAATGTTATATATTACATTTAGGTTTATTATCCATTTCAGCTTAATTTTGGTATATAGTGTAAAATATGGATTGAAGTTTCTTTTCTTTCTTTTTATTTTGTGTGTGGGTATATAAACTGTTCCAGCACCATTTGTTGAAAAGTGGAAATTTGTTCCACTGAACTGCATTGTACATGTTTGTTGGAAATCAATTGAGTATAATGTGTAAGCCTATTTATTTCTGGATTCCTTTTTGGTTCCATTGATCTATATTTCTGTCTTGACACCAGTAACACCCTACCTTGATTGTGGTAGCTTTACAAGAAATGTTGAAGTCACATGGTGTGAGTCCTCCAGTTTCTTTTCCTTTTCAAAATTGTTTTTGTTATTTGGGTTCTTTGCCATATGAATTTTATAATCAGCTCATCAACTTCTACTTTTAAAAAGTTGGAATTTTGGGCCGGGCACAGTGGCTCACGCCTGTAATCCCAGCACTTTGGAAGGCCGTGGCAGGCAGATCACGAGGTCAAGAGATCGAGACCATCCTGGCCAACATGGTGAAGCCCTGTCTCTTCTAAAAACACAAAAATTAGCTGGGTGTGATGGTAGGCGCCTGTAATCTCAGCTACTCAGGAGGCTGAGGCAGGAGAATCACCTGAAACCAGGAGGCAGAATTTTCAGTGAGCCGAGATTGTGCCACTGCACTCCAACCGGGGCTACAGAGTGAGACTCAGTCTCAAAACAAAAACAAAACAAAAAAAACCCTCTCTGTACTACCTTGCCTAAATCTTGCAAATTTTTATATACTATGTTTTTCTTTTTATTCAGTTCAGAATATTTTCTTTTTTCTTTTTTTTTCAGACAGAGTTTTGCTCTGTCGCTCAGGCTGGAGTTCAGTGGCACAATCTTAGCTCACTGCAACCTCCGCCTCCCGGGTTGAAGCAATTCTCCTGCCTCAGCCTCCCGACTAGCTGGGATTACAGGTGCCCACCACCATGTCTGGCTTATTTTTGTATTTTTAGTAGAGACAGGGTTTCACCATGTTGACCAGGCTGGTCTCGAACTGCTGGCCTCAGGTGATCTGCCCGCCAAGGCCTCCCAAAGTGCTGGGATTACAGGGGTGAGCCACTGCACCTGGCCCCATGCTACCCACTTTTAAGTTATCATATCTCACAAGAACTCACTATCTACCTGGAGGACAGTACCAAGGAGCATGGTGCTAAACCATTCATGAGAAATTCACCCCCACGAGTCAATCACTTCCTTCTAGGCCCCACTTGTGACACTGGGGATTACAATTCAATATGAGATTTGTTTAAAGACACAGATCCAAATCATATCCGTGTGTTAGGCCATTTACATTTAATAAAATTGTTTGTATGGCTAGTTTAAAACTGCCATCTTGCTATTTGTTTCTATTTGTTCTATCTGTTCATTGTTCCTTTTTTCTTTTTTTGCCTTCTTTTGGAATAATTGAGTATTTTTTAGTATTCCATTTTATCTCCTTTGTTGACATATTTGTGATAACTCTTTGTTGTGTTGTTTTAGTGGTTGCTTTATGGTTTATAGTTTACATGTTTAACTTACCACAGTTTGCTTTCAAGTGATATTGTACCCCTTCAAGTGTAGCGTAAGAGCCTCCAACAGTATATCTTCATTCTTCCTGCCCATGCTTTATGCTACTATATTTTGAATCTATAACTGTTATTTAAACCCATAATACACTTGTTTTGCTATAAGCAGTCACTTATCTTTTAAAGAGGACTGCATAAGAATAAAAATATTATATTTTACAATACAGTTACCATTTCTGGTGCCCTTCTTTTGTGTAGATTCAGATTTCTGTTTCATATCATTTTCCTTCTGCTTGAAGGATGTCCCTTAACGTATTTCGTACTAAAAGTCTACTGGTGATGAATTCCTTCAGCTTTTCTATAACTTGAAAAGTACTTTGCCACATTTTTGAAACATATTTTTACTGGGGTTTTTCCTTCACTTGTTTAAAGAGGTTGCTCTACTTTCCTCGGCCTTGCATTTTTTCTATATTTCCTCCCTCCCTCCCTGCCTGCCTCCCTGCCTGCCTCCCTGCCTGCCTGCCTCCCTCCCTCCCTCCCTCCCTCCCTTCCTTCCTTCCTTCCTTCCTTCCCTTTCTTTTCAGACGGAGTCTCAGTCTGTCGCCCAGGCTAGACTGCAGTGGCGTGATCTTAGCTCACTGCAACCTCCACCTCCTGGGTTCAAGTGATTTTCCTGCCTCAGGCTGCCGATCAGCTGAGATTACAGGCATGCGCCACCATGCCCGGCTAATTTTGTATTTTTAGTAGAGACAGGGTTTTCCCATGTTGGCCAGTCTGGTCTCAAACCCCTGACCTCAGGTGATCCACCTGCCTCGGCCTCTCAAAATGCCGGGATTACAGGCGTGAGCCACCGTGCCTGGCCTTCTGTATTTCTTTCTTTTTTCTTTTCTTTTTTTTTTTTTTTTGAGACGTAGTCTTGCTCTGTCTCCCAGGCTGGAGTGCAGTGGCGCAATCTCGGCTCACTGCAAGCTCCGCCTCCCGGGTTCACGCCATTCTCCTACCTCAGCCTCCTGAGTAGCTGGGACTACAGGCGCCCGTCACTACGCCCGGCTAATTTTTTGTATTTTTAGTAGAGAGGGGTTTTCACCATGTTAGCCAGGATGGTCTTGATCTCCTGACCTCGTGATCCGCCCTCCTCGGCCTCCCAAAGTGCTGGGATTACAGGCGCGAGCCACCGTGCCCGGCCCCTAGCCTTCTGTATTTCTTATCTATTGCTATGAAATAAATTGCGGCCGGGCACAGTGGCTCACACCTGTAATCCCAGCACTTTGGGAGGCCGAGGCGGGTGGATCACGAGGTCAGGAGCCCGAGACCATCCTGTCCAACATGGTGAAACCCCGTCTCTACTAAAAATACAAAAAATTAGCCGGGCGTGGTGGCTGGCGCCTGTAGTCCCAGCTACTCAGGAGGCTGAGGCAGGAGAACTGCTTGAACCCGGGAGGCGGAGGTTGCAGTGAGCCGAGATCATGCTGCTGCACTCCAGCCTGGGCGACAGAGTGAGACTCCGTCTCAAAAAACAACAACCAAAAAGAAATTAATCCCCAAGTTGGCCACATAAAAGAACACACATTTGTTGGCTCACAGTTTCTGTGGTGCGGGAATGCAGATGCTGCTCAGCTGGTCCCTCCGGCTCAAACTTTCTGACAAAGCTGCAATCCAGGTGCCTGTCCTGGCTGTAGTCATCTCAAAACTGGACTAGGATCTTATTTTCTCAGGTGAATTCCTAGAACGGACTCTCTTCCCATCGCTTCCCCCTAGCAACTAGCATGGGGCTAGGGACAGATAATACTTGTCAGCTGCCACCCACTCCCAGACCCCTACCCTCCCCCATAGGTCGTAGGCCTTGGGGATCAGAATTCCCAACTCCTCAATGCGATCTTTGCTGCTGAACCTCCATCTCCTTTCAACTGAAGATGATCCATTAAAAATTGGAGCAAGAGGCCGGGCGCGGTGGCTCACGCCTGTAATCCCAGCACTTTGAGAGGCCGAGGCGGGCGGATCACGAGGTCAGGAGATCAAGGCCATCCGGGCTAACACGGTGAAACCTCGTCTCTACTAAAAATACAAAAAATTAGCCGGATGTTGTGGCGGGCACCTGTAGTCCCAGCTACTCGGGAGGCTGAGGCAGGAGAATGGTGTGAACCCGGGAGGCGGAGCTTGCAGTGAGCCGATATTGCACCACTGCACTCCAGCCTGGGCGACAGAGCCAGACTCCGTCTCAAAAAAAAAAAAATTGGATCAGGAAGCTGAAAACACATATCCCCCATGACCCAGCCACTCCACTCCTACATATATGCCCAACAGAAAAGCATGCATGTGTTCACTAAAGTTTATATACTAGCATGTTCACAGTAGCACTGTATATAAGAGTCAAAACTGGAGACCACTCATATATCCATTAAAGTAAAATGGATAAAGAGGTTGTGGCACATCCATAAAATAGAACGCTACTCAGCAGTGACAGCAAATGAACTGCTATTACATACAACACAGTTGACTCTGGTAGATACAGTATTGAACAAAAGCCAGATACAAAAATGGATACAGCATGGTCTACACATATAAAGTTCAAAAATGGGCAAAACATAATTACCCTTAGGGGAGTGCCTGGGAGGGGCCACAAGGACAGCTTGGTCGGTGGGAATATTCTGTAATTTGGTGCAGACGTTGGTGTCATGAGAGTGTCTTGTTTATGATCATTGTGTAGCTGTTGACTAACAATTTGTATTTTTCTATATATGTGTTATACTGTCATTAAAATATCACATAAGAATGAGGGAAGACCAGCTGGGCATGGTGGCTCATGCCTGTAATCCCAGCACTTTTGGGAGGCCGAGGCAGTCAGATCACCTGAAGTCAGGACTTTGAGACCAACCTGGCCAACATGGTAAAACCCCGTCACTACTAAAAATACAAAAAATTAGCTGGACGTGGTGACAGACGCCTGTAATCCCAGCTACTCGGGAGGCTGAGGCAGGAAGAATTGCTTGAACCCCAGAGGCGGAGGTTGCAGTGAGCAGAGATCACGCCATTGTACTCTAGCCTGGGCGACAAGGGAGATTCGGTCTCAAAAAAACAAACAAACAAACAAACAAAAACAATGAGGGAAGACCTTAAATAGAGTACAAGATGAATTAAGCAAATTACCTTCACTCATACTCCTCTACTCCTGCAAGGGTGTCTACAACTTTGGTGCCAGGCATGTTCAACACAACTGCCACTCTGGTGCCTTGGTACAACCTCTTTGCAAAAGGAACTTGGCAATATGTGTCAAAGCCTTAAAAAAAATTCAGTAGCTCAAAGAAGTAATCCTACCTGCAGAAAAGTCTTCTATGCATAAAGGGGCATGTCACATTATATAGAGAAAAATAAAAAATAATGTCCATATCCAGCAATAAATAGTTAAATAAAATTTAGTATGTCCCTCCTGATGGGATGTTGTATTTACAATAAATAACATGGGGATATGTCAAGGGACAAGTAGGATGCAAAATTGTATGTAAAATCTGATTATCACCATGTAAAAATTTGTGTTAAAAAACCTCTTAGGAGGAAATATACAAAAATATTACTGACTTTTGATAACGAAAAAAAAAAAAAACAAACCAGTCAGGTAGAATGGCTCACTCCTCTAATCCCAGCACTGTATTTATTTTTTTGAGATGGAGTTTCGTCCTTGTTGCCCAGGCTGGAGTGCAGTGGCACCATCTCAGCTCACTGCAACCTCCGCCTCCCAGGTCCAAGCGATTCTCCTGCTGCAGCCTCCCAAGTAGCTGGGATTACAGGCACCCACCTCCACGTCCAGCTAATTTTGTATTTTTATTTAGGTGGGGTTTCACTATGTTGGTCTGGCTGGTCTCGAACTCCTGACCTTAGGTGATCCGCCCACTTTGGCCTCCCAAGGTGCTGGGATTACAGGCATGAGCCACTGTACCAGGCCAATCCCAGCACTTTAGGAGGCCAAGGTGGGAGGATCTCTTGAGCCCAGGAGTTTGAGACCAGCCTGGTCAGCATAGCGAAAACCCCATCTCTATAAAAAATGTAAAAACCAGTCGTGATGGTGCATGCCTATAGTCTCAGCTACTGGGGAGGCTAAGGCAGGAGGATCACTTGAACCCAAGAGGGAGAGGCGGCAGTGAGATGAGATCGCACCAGTGCACTCCAGCCTGAGCGACAGAGGGAGACCCCGCAAAAAAAAAAAAAAAAAAAAAAAAAGCTGGGCGAAGGGAAGATCTACTTCCAAGTTCACTCACATCACTGTTGGCACACTTCAGGTCCTTACCAACTACCGGCCAGATACGTCAGTTTCCTGCCACGTTGGCCTCTCCGTAGTGCATTTCACAACATGGCCATTTGCTTCCCTCAAAATGAGGGCTCCTAGAGACGTAAGGGCCGGAGCAGGGGGGCCAACATGGTGGAGGTCACAGTCTTGTAATCTCAGGGTGGCATGCTATCACTTTTGCCTTTTTTTTTTTCTTTTTTGAGACAGAGTCTCACTCCATCACCCAGACTGGAGTTCAGGACATGATCATAACTCCCTGCAGCCTCGAACCCCTGGGCTCAAGTGATCCTCCCACATCAGCCTCCCAAGTAGTAGGGACTACAGGTCTGGCCACTTTTGCCATATTCTATTCATTAGAAGCTGGTCATGAGGTCAGCCCACACTCGAGTGGAGGGGACTTTACAAGGGTATGAATTCCAAGAGGTGGGCTCCTTAGGGACCATCTGCAAGACTGCCTACTGCAGCTTCCAGTGAGAATCTGCTGTCATCTATAGGTTTTTGTTTTGTTTTGTTTTTGTTTTTGTTTTTTTGTGATAGAGTCTTACTCTGTCACTTAGGCTGGAGTGCAGTGGCGCGATCTCGGCTCACTGCAACCTCCACCTTCCAGGTTCAAGCGATTCTCCTGCCTCAGTCTCCCGAGTAGCTGGAATTACAGGCGTCCACCACTATGCCTGGCTAATTTTTTTTTTCTTTCTGAGATGGAGTTTCACTCTTGTTGCCCAAGCTGGAGTGCAATGCGCGATCTTGGCTCACCGCATCCTCCACCTCCTGGGTTCAAGCGATTCTCCTGCCTCAGCCTCTGGAGTAGCTGGGATTACAGGCATGCGCCATCACACCTGGCTAATTTTCTTTTTTTGTATTTTTAGTAGAGACGGGGTTTCTCCATGTTGGTCAGGTTGGTCTCGAACTCCCGACCTCAGGTGATCCACCCGCCTCAGCCCCCACAAAGTGCTGGGATTACAGGCGTGAGCCACTGCGCTCGGCCTAATTTTTGTATTTTTAGTAGAGACAGGGTTTCACCATAATGGCCAGGCTGGTCTCAAACTCCTGACCTCAGGTGATCCACCTGCCTCGGCCTCCCAAAGTGCTGGGATTACAGGCGTGAGCCACCTTGCCCAGCCAGGTTTGTTCTTCTATATCTAATGTGTCTTCTTCTTTGGTGGATTTTAAGATTTTCTCTTTATCACTGCTTTTGAGCAATTTGATTTTGATCTGTTATGTATTTTTTGAACATTTCTTGTGCTTGGGCTTCTTTGAGCTTTCTTTGTAGGTTTATAATTTTTCTCCAATTTGGAAAAACTGCAGCCATTATGTCTCCAGATATTTTTTTCTATCCTTCTGCTCCTCTCTGAGAACTCTAGTTACACAGATATTAGTGAGCTAAGGGTGTCTGACAGCTCATGGATGCTCTGTGGATCTCTTTCCAGTCTTTTCTCTCAGTTTCATTTTGGATAATTTCTATTAGTGTCTTCAAATTCACGAATCTTTTTCTCTAGAATGTCTAATCTGCTGCTAATGCCATCCAGTGTATTTTTGAGTCTCTAGAGGTTAAATTTATTTTTTTATTGACATCTTCCATGTCTCTGCTTAACATGTGGAATATTTCTGCTAGCTTCTTGATCATAAGAACACAGTTACAACTGTCTTAGTGCCCATGACTGTTGATTGTAATGTTTGTGTCAGTTCGGGGTTGGTTTTGATAGATAGAATTTTTTCCTGCTCATAATGAGTCAAATTTTCCTACTTCTTTGTGTGCCTGGAAACTTTAAATTGGATGCCAGAAATTGTGAACTTTATTTTATTGGGTGATGGGTATCTTTCTTTTCCTAAAATAATTCTTGAACTTTTTAATAGGGTACAGTTAGGTTAATTGGAAGCAGATTGATCCCTTTGGGTCTTGCCCAACCATGTCCACATTTGGGATAATTTCATCCCACAACTAAGGGAAGACCCTGTTGAGTACTCTACCTGATACTCTGTGAATTTTAAGATTTCTCACTGTAGGTGGTTAAAACGGGCAGTATTTCTTTTTTCGTTTTTGTTGTTGTTGTTGTTGTTGTTGTTTTAAAGACAGAGTCTTGCTCTGTCACCCAGGCTGGAGTGCCGTGGCACGATCATAGCTGACTGCAGCCTCAAACTCCTGGGCCCAAGCAATCCATCTGAACAGGCAGTATTTGTGACCGTGTGTGAGCTTCAGGAATTCTTGCATCTAATCCTTTGTGTGATCCTTTCTCCATCCTTGTTTATTCCTCCAATACATACACTGATCGTTATGCAACTGAATACTTCAGGGCGACCCTCAGCAGGTCTTCAGAATTTTCTCTCTGTAACTGTCTCCTTCAGGTATCCTGCCCTGTAAAAAGTAGCCACACTGGCTTCCTCAATTGTCCAGCACTGCCTCTTCAATTGTGGAGGGGCCGTTGTGCTCTGCCCTCTACATCATGGCCTGCGCATTTTTTTTTTTTTTTAGACAGAGTCTCGCTCTGTTGCCCAGGCTGGAGTGCAGTGGTGTGATCTCAGCTTACTGCAACCTCTGCCTCCTGGGTTCAAGTGATTCTCCTGCCTCAGCCTCCCAAGTAGCTAGAACTACAGGCACGCACCACCACATCTGGGTGATTTTTGTATTTTTTTTAGTAGAGACAGAGTTTCATCATGTTGGCCAGGCTGGTCTCAAACTCCTGGCCTCAAGTGATCTGCCCATCTCAGCCTCCCAAAGTGCTAGGATTACAGGTGTGAACCCCTTTACCCAGCCATGACCTGCACATTTTTAATTAAATTTTTTTAGAGGCAGGGTCTCGCTCTGTCACCCAGGCTAGAGTACAGTGGTGCGATCATAGCTCCTTGCGACCTCGAACTCCTGGGTCCAAGTCATCCTCCCACCTAAGCCTCCCAAGAAGCTGGGACTACAGGTGCACACCACCAAGTCCAACTAATTTTTTTTTTTTTTTTGAGACAGGATCTTGCTATGTTGCCCGGGCTGGTCTCAAATTCCTGATCTCAGGCAATTTAGGAAATTAGAGAGATCTAATCTCCTAAAATGCTGAGATTACAGGTATATAAGGGCTACACCCAGCCCCTAGAATTTTTTTCATAAGCTATAAGCTAAGGCAATTTCAGGATTCTTTTTTTCTTTTTTTTTTTTGAGACAGAGTTTTGCTCTGTTGCCCAGGCTGGAGTGCAGTGGCCCGATCTTAGCTCACTGCAACCTCTGCCTCCCGGGTTCAAGCAATTTTCCTGCCTCAGCCTCCTGAGTAGCTGGGACTACAGGTGCATTCCACCATGCCCAGCTAATTTTTGTATTTTTAGTAGAGACGGGGTTTCACCATGTTGGCCAGGATGATCTTGATCTCCTGACCTCGTGATCCGCCCATGTCAGCCACCCAAAGTGCTGGGATTATAGGTGTGAGCCACCGTGCTTGGCCAGGATTCATCTTTTTTTGTGTCACATGCTTAGAGTTTATGGTTCTTATTTTCCTGATGTCCTGATGAGAACTGTTGTCTCATTTTTTTGGTCCTGCTGTCTTAGTTGTTTCAGTTGGGAGATCCCTGTTACTCCATCTTGGCAGTAGCAGAAAACTTTTTTGTCTTTTTTTTTGAGACAGAGTCTTGCTCTGCTGCCCAGGCTGGAGTGCAGTGGTGCCATCTCTGCTCACTGCAACCTCTGCCTCCCGGGTTCAAGCGATTCCCCCTTCTCAGCCTCCTGAGTCGCTGGGATTACAGGTGCGTGCCACCATGCCCAGCTAATTTTTGTATTTTTAGTAGAGACGGGTTTCACCATGTTGGTCAGGCTGGTCTTGAACTCCTGACTTCAGGTGACCCGCCTGCCTCAGCCCCGCAAAATGCTAGGATTACAGGCATGAGCCACCATGCCCGGCCACAGAAATCTTTATTGTCAATTTTGTAGGCAGGATAATGATAGTTATTTTTTTATATTATAATGATGCTATATGATGTCTTGAATTTGCTTCAAAATATTTCTGTAGGGTGAGAGATTAAGAGAAGAGTATTGGGGCCGAGCGCGGTGGCTCACGCCTGTAATCCCAGGATTTTAGGAGGCCAAGACAGGTGGATCACTTGAGGTTAGCCATTTGAGACCAGCCTGGCCAATATAGTGAAACCCCGTCTCTACTAAAAATACAAAAATTAGCCGGGTCTGGTGGCTCACGCCTGTAATCCCAGCTACTTGGGAGGCTGAGGCAGGAGAATCACTTGAACCCAGGAGGCAG
The DNA here is from genome assembly GCF_000001405.40 of Homo sapiens. Taxonomy (NCBI): domain Eukaryota; kingdom Metazoa; phylum Chordata; class Mammalia; order Primates; family Hominidae; genus Homo; species Homo sapiens. Next base: position 43,048,649 of record NC_000008.11, read on the forward strand.
AGGTTGCAGTGAGCTGAGACCGCATCACTGCACTCCAATCTGGATGACAGAGTGAGACTCTGTCTCAAAAAAAAAAAAAAAAGAAAAAAAAACAGAGAAAAGTATTGAAATCAATATCCTTGAGTTGATGATTGTTTTGGTACTTGGCTGAGAGGATATGAGGGTTTATTGAATTATTTCCCCTATATTTGTGTAGATTGAAATTTTCCATTATAAAAAGTAAATATAAAGGGCTTATACTTGCTGATTTCAAAATTTATGTCAGGCCAGGCACAATGGCTCACGCCTGTAATCTCAGCACTTCGGGAGGCCAAGTCAGGAGGACTGCTTGAACCCAGCCTGGGCAACATAGCAAGATTCTGTCTTTACGAAAATGAAACCAGCCTGGGTAACATAGCAAGATACTCTCTTTACAAAAATTAAAAAAAAAAATCAGCCAGGCATGATGGCACACACCTGTAGTTCCACCTACTTGGGAGGCTGAAGTGGGAAGATTGCTTGAGCCCAGGAGTTCAAGGCTGCAGTGAGCTATGATTGCGCCACTACTCTCCAGCCTGGGTGGCAGTAAGACCCTGTGATGTGCTCCACCTCCATCTCCGACCTCACCTCCTCCCCCACTCCCATCTGGTCACTCCATTCCAGCCACACTGGCCGCCTAGATCCACAGATGCACCAGACTCTCCCTGCTCAGTATCTTTGGACTTCTGCCGGGAATGGTCTAGAAGATCTCCAAGTGGGCTTGCTCATTCATATTCCTCAAATCTTTATTTGACTGTCACCTCCTTAATGAGGACTTTCCCCTAGTGATGAGCTATCACTTATAATCCATCCCTACACTTCCCTGCTTTTCCTTCCTAGCACTTATCACTAGATAATATTCAACAACTATTACACGTTTATCTTCTTTATCTCCCTCACTAGAATAAAAATACCATAAGAGCAGAGTTTTTTTGTTGTTGTTAAAAATTTTGTTTTCACTGCTATATCACCACTGTTGAGAATAGTAGTCCACAATGGTCACAAAATGAATGTTTATTAGATACATTTATTAATATGAAGATACTCATGAATGAAACATTCCAAGTGAGAAATTTGAAACAATGTTAAACATTCAACAATAGATTATTTTTTATTATTAACATTATTATTTTTTTTTTGAGATGGAGTCTCATCCTGTCGCCCAGGCTGGGGTGCAATGACACGATCTCGGCTCACTGCAACCTCCGCCTCCTGGGTTCAAACGATTCTCCTGCCTCAGCCTCCCAAGTAGCTGGGATTACAGGCGTGTGCCACCACACCCTGCTAATTTTTGTATTTTTAGTAGAGATGGGTTTTCACCATCTTGGCCAGGCTCGTCTCAAACTCCTAACCTCATGATCCACCTACCCTGGCCTCCCAAAGTGCTGGGATTACAGGTGTGAGCCATTGTGCCTGGCCAACATTATTATTTTTTAGATCCAGGGTCTCCCTCTGTTGCCCAGGGTGGAGTGCAGTGGCACAGTCATGGCTTACTGCAGCCTCAACTTCCTCGGCTCAAGTGATCCTCCTGCCTCAACCTCCTGAGTAGCTGGGACCAGAAGCACGCGACACCATGCCCAGCTAATTTTTTTTTGTAGCAGTGGGGTTGCCCAGGCTGGTCTCAAACTTGTGAGCCTGTAACTGCTATATAACTATTAACTACTATATAAAGCACAATATCTAAAAGAAATATCATGCAGTCATTAAAAACTATCTGTTTCTGTGGAGGAGACCAAGGTACACATTGTGTTTGGCCAATATATTTCAACATTTGTCTCCAGAGTGTTTAGACAGAAAGAAGCAAGTTGCCTTCATAAAGCTAAAGTCACATTTCTTCCCTTACAGAATTTCAAAACAGCCTTTATGAAAAGTGAGTTATAGAATTTTTTTTTAGTAACAGACAATTGTTTTTAGTGAAGTACAGCTTTTATGCAATATTCTAGAAAAGTGATCACTTTCAAATTAACCTAGCATAAAACCTTTACCTGGTGTACATTCGACATACATGAAACTTGGGAATGCAGACTTCCACGTTTCTCCCTGAGTTACTGATCTAGTGAACACCAGTGTCACTGTGATCCAAGGCAGAAAATCAAACATTGCAAGCACCCTGGGATCCTTACACATGTCCCTTCTCAACCATAACCTGCTCTCCTCCCCTAGAGGTACCTACTAGTCTGAGTTCTATGGTAACGATTTTCTTTATTTGTTTAGTTTTATCTTCAAGTAAAAACAATAGGCTGTAATTTTGCCTGTTACTAAACTCTATGTACATAGAATTATATACTGTGGTTTCTTTTGCTCAGCACTTTGTTTATACAACTGTGGTATTGTGATATAATAAATATGTACTTTGGTCTTTATCTCCAGCTCCTGGCCAGAGAGCCTATAATTCTTTTAATTCCTAAGTGATAAAGGTGAAGGGTGAAAGGAATGTCTTTTTTTTTTTTTTTTTGAGATGGAGTCTCCGTCTGTTCTCAGGCTGGAGTGCAGTGGCGCAATCTTGGCTCACTGCAACTTCCACCTCCCAGGTTCACACAATTCTCCTGTCTCAGCCTCCCGAGTAGCTGGAATTACAGGCATGCACCACCACACTCAGCTAATTTTTGTATTTTTAGTAGAGACGGGGTTTCACCATGTTGGCCAGGCTGGTCTTGAACTCCTGACCACAGATGATCCACCCGACTCGGCCTACCAAAGTGTTAGGATTACAGGTGTGAGCCACCATGTCTGTCCATGTCTTTTGTTATTCATGACAAACCCTTTCAACCAAACCTGAGTTTATGCTAATGAGCTGACTCTTGGAGGGCGGGGGCTGGTTGCCATGTGCTATGGTTTAAATATCTGACCCTCCAAATCTTATGGAGGTGGGGCCTATGGGAGGTGTTTGGGTGATGGGGGTGGATTTTTCTTAGGAATGGCTTGGTGCCATCCTCTCTGTAATGAGTGACTTCTCATTCTATTGATTTCCACAAGAGCTGATTGTTAGGAAGGGATGGGCCCCTCCTGGCCTCCTGCTTCCTCTCTCGCCCTGTGATCTCTGCGCAATGGCTCCCCTTCAGCTTCTGCCATTACTGGAAGCAGCCTGAGGCCCTCACCAGAAGCAGGTGCTGGTACAATGCTTCTTGCACAGCCTGCAGAACCATGACCCAAGTCAACCTCTTTTCCTTATAAATTAGCCAGCTTCAGCTTTTCCTTTATCACAGCATTAAATGGACTAAGACACCAGGGAAGCCAAGCATGTGATTAGAGGATTGGAACTTTCAGCCATCCCCACCTCTGGGAATGGGAGAAGGGCTAGAGGTTGAGTCAATCACCAGTGACCAATGATTTAATCAACTGGGCCTATGTAATGAAGCATCTATAAAAGCCCTAACTGAAGAGGCTCAGAGAGCTTCAGGGTTGCTGAGAAAGGATATATCCACATGCAAGAGGGTAGCAGACCCCAAACTCCATGGGAACAGCAGCTCCCATGCTCAGAACCCTTCCAGACCTCACCCTATGTACCTCCTCACTGGGATCATTTGTAATATCCTTTATAATAAACCAGTAAACATAAGTAATGTGGTTCCCTGCATTCTATGAGCCATTATAGCAAATTGTCAAATGTGGGGTTGCAGGAACCCCTGATTTATAGCCAGTTTGTTAGAAGTTCAGGTGATAACCTGGGACTTGTGACTGGCATCTGAAGTGGGAGAGCAGTCTTGTGGGACAGAGCCCTTAACCTGTGGGGTCTCCACTAGCTCAGGGTAGTTAGTGTCATAACCGAATTGTAGTTTACCCATCTGGTGTCAGTAGGGTTGGATGATTGCTTAATGTGAAGGAAAACCTCACATATTTGGTGTCAGAAGTGTTGTGAGTAGAGGAAACAAGTGTTTTTCTTTTTTTTGAGATAGAGTCTCGCTCTGTCGCCCAGGTTGGAGTGCAGTGGCATGATCTCGGCTCACTGCAACCTCCTCCATCTCCTGGGTTCAAGCAGTTCTCCTACCTCAGCCTCCCAAGAAGCTGGGATTACAGGTGCCTGCCACCATGCCCAGCTAATTTTTGCATTTTTAGTAGACACGGGGTGTCACCATGTTGGCCAGGCTGGTCTCAAACTCCTGACCTCAGGTGATCCGCCTGCCTTGGCCTCCCAGAGTGCTGGGATTACAGGTGTGAGCCACCGCACCTGGCCGTCTTTTTCTTTTTTTATATTTTTTTGAGACAGGCTCTCACTCTGTTGCCCAGGCTGGAGTGCAGTGGTGTGATCATGGCTCATTGTAGCCTTGACTTCCTGAGCTCAAGTGATCCTCCCACCTCAGCTTCCTGAGTACCTGGGATTACAGGCACATGTCACCACGTCCAACTAATTTTTGTATTTTTTTAGAGTTGGGGTCTGGCTATGTTGCCCAGGCTAGTCTCAAACTCCTGGCCTCATGTGATCCTCCTGCTTTGTCCTCCTAAAGTGCTGTAATTACAGATGTGAGCCACTGTGCCCAGCCATGATTTTCTTTTAACCACACTTATTAGTGTATGACCTTTAGTTCATATGTTTCATTTTTGCATAGTATTCCATTATATGACTATACCACATTGTACTCTTGATGAGCATGTTGGTTGTTTCTGGTCTGTGGCTATTACAATGTGTTTCCAGTACTGTTGTTCTGTGTTCTGATGCATGTGAGTGCATCATTTAAAAAAAAAAAATATATATATATATATATATATACATCTGGCCAGGCACGGTCGCTCACGTCTGTAATCCCAGCACTTTGGGAGGCCGAGGCAGCTGGATCATGAGGTCAGGAGTTCGAGACCAGTCTGGCCAACATAGTGAAACCCCATCTCTACTAAAAATACAAAAAATTAACCAGGTGTGGTGGTGTGTGCCTGTAATCCCAGCTACTCGGGAGGCTGAGGGCTGAGGCAGAAGAATCGCGTGAACCTGGGAAGCAGAGGTTGCAGTGAGCCGAGACCATGCCATTGCACTCCAGCCCGGGGAACAGTGTGAGACTCTGTCTCAAAAAAAAAAAAAAAAAAAAAAATATATATATATATATATATATATATGTATCTTAGCATTACTGGGTGTCTTAGTCGTTTTGTGTTACCATAATAGAATACCTGAGGCTGGTAATTTATAAAGAAAAGAGGTTTATTTGACTAATGATTCTGGAGGCCAAAAGGTTCAAGACTGGGTAGCTTTATCTAGTGAGGGCCTCAGGCTGCTTCAACTCATGGGGGGAAAGTGGAAGGGGAGTAGTATGTGCAAGGAGATCACATAGCAAGAGGGGAAGCAAGAGAGAGAAACCAAGGAAGACAGCTAATCTATTCTGCAAGAGCAAGAACCCACTTATCCTTGAGGTAGGGCATTCATCTATTCATGAGGAATGACCCAAACAGCTCCCACTAGGCCCTGCCTCTCAACCCTGAATGAGTTTTGGTAGGGACAAAACACATCCAAACTATAGCACTGGGTGATAACAATGTGTATCTTTAGCTTTCCTACATAATGCCAACCTATTTTCCAAAGCCACTTGGAATTGTTAAGCTTTTCCATTTTTGCCAACGTAGTGGATGTGTATGGTATATAAAGATATTTCTAATTTGCATTTTCTTGATTACTAATGAGATTGATCATCTCTTCATGCATTTATTTGCCATTTTGGGTTTTCTGTTTTGTGCAGAATCTTAAGCTTTTATGTTTTGCCTTTCACATTGAAGTCTATGTAGTATAACGTAGGGATGCAATTTCTTTTCCTCTGTGGGTGCCCAATTGACCCAGCACCATTGTTCAGAACACCGTCCTTTTCTCAATCTTCTGCAATGAAGCCTTTGTCTAGTCTCAAGCATCCACATATGCATGGATCTGTTTGTGAGTTCTCTACTGTGTCCCATTATTTGATGTAGCTATTTCTGCCCTAATACTATACCCTATTTGAACAAAAAGAGGATGATTTAATGCTAATATATGGAGTGGAGAAATTCAACAAGGCCTGTCTGTTCAGGTTTCCTTGGCCTCACTGTTCCTCCCTGCAACACCCAGTGGAAGAGGAGCCCTCTGGAACTAGGGTTTAGTTTCTTTACAGCCAGCTGTCACATAGAAAGGCAGGGCTGGAGGAAGGTTAGAGTAGTATTTTCAGGTGCCACGGCTGGCTTTGGGGGAAAAGGGTTCTGGTTTCTATGACCTGCCAGGGGGAAGAGAGATTCTAGTTGCTGTGGCTTGCTTCAGAGAGGATGAGTGGCCACAGAGAGGAGGGCAGGAGAAGGTCAGAGAGAGACTGTGATTGTGAAGCTGATGCTTAGACCTTCATTTGGGATATTCTTTTCTGAGCCCCAACAACATACATTCATATGACCCATTGTTAATGAAAAGAGTCAAACTCTGGAAAATATTTGAAGAGATTTATTCTGAGCCAAATATGAGTGATTAATGGCCTGTGACACAGCCCTTAAGAGATCCTGAGAACATGTGCCCAGGGTGGTTGGGGCACAGTGGGGTTTTATACATTTTCGGGAGGCATAAGACATCAATCAAATACATGTAAGATACACATTGGTTCCTTTGGAAGGACAAGACAACTCAAAGTGTAGGGAGAGGGGTGCTTCCGGGTCCTAGGCCGATTTAAATATGTTCTGATTAGCAATTGGTTAAGTTGTTATCAATAGAATGTCCAGGTTGTGATAAGGGGTTGTGGAGACCAAAGTTTTATTATGCAGATGAAGCCTCCAAGTAACAGGCTTCAGAAAGAATAGATTGTAAATGTTTCTCATCAGACTTAAGGTCGGCCTTGATGTTAATGACCCACCCTCACCCCCACCTCCTTCCATCATGGCCTGAACAAGTTTTTCAGGTTAACTTTGGAAAGCCCTTGGCAGAGAGGAAGGGTCTATTCAGATGGTTTGGTGTTGGGTTCAGAATTTTATTTTTTGGTTTACACCATTATATCCGATCATATATAAATACAAACAAAAACTTCACCAAATATTACTTTCTTTTTCTAATGGTGTGTGTGTTTTGGGACAGGATCTCTGTCCCTCAGACTGGAGTGCAGTGGTGATTTCTGCTCACTGCAGCCTCAAACTCCCAGCTCAAGCGATCCTCCCACTTCAGCCTTCCGAGTAGCTGGAACCACAGGCACCCACATGATGCCCAGCTAATTTTTGTATTTTTGGTAGAGATGGGGTCGCATTAGATTGCCCAGGCTGGTCTCGACCTCCCTGGCTCACATGATCCTCCCGCCGCGGCCTCCGAGCGGCTGGGATCAGGCGTTAATCACCGCGCCCGGGCTTTATATTTCGTTTTGAAAATGCTGAGATGGACGCAAAGGGCTGAGTGCTCAGTGTCCCCCAGTCACCCTCAGTTGCAGCTTCCGTCCAAAGAAGGAATCGCCCTCTCCCTGCTGGGGCCACTAACAGCACTAACACGGTCCGAATGGCATCGGCAAAGCTCGGGAACGGCGACAGATGGGAAGACGCGTGGGAGCCTGGGGGATCTCGGGAGAGCCGCGCAAACTCGCGGCGGACGCAGCCAGCACCCGCAGCCAGCACCCGCACACTCCCACCCATACCCCGGCAGCCCGCCAAGACTCTCTGGCCCGCACCTCTATGGTAGGAAACCCAGAAAACAGGAAGTGGCCTCGAGAGGGGGAAGGGAGGGGCGGGGCCTCCGCCACCACCTCAGCTGCGGACCGAGGCGAGATGGCGGCCACCGAGGGGGTCGGGGAGGCTGCGCAAGGGGGCGAGCCCGGGCAGCCGGCGCAACCCCCGCCCCAGCCGCACCCACCGCCGCCCCAGCAGCAGCACAAGGAAGAGATGGCGGCCGAGGCTGGGGAAGCCGTGGCGTCCCCCATGGACGACGGGTTTGTGAGCCTGGACTCGCCCTCCTATGTCCTGTACAGGTAACGCCCCCGCGGCGGCCGCGGCTCGGGACACTCCCTGGAGGCCCAGCGGCCCCAAGACCCGCGGCGCGCGCTTCCGGCCCCGGCGCGCCAGGCCGAAGTTCCCGTGGCGCCGCGTGGGCCGGTGCATGGCGCTGGGCCCGGGCGGCTGCCGGGACGTCGCCGCTTCCCAGGGCGGCGCCGGCGCGAGACCGCGGGGACGCGAAGCAGCGAGGTCTCGGCTTTCCGCCTGCTTTAAGCCACGCGGAAACTGCTGCACCCTTGACTGCACTCGTTCAGCTGTTCAGGCGTCGCGATTCGTAAATATAAGAAATTTCCCGCTCTCTTCCACGGCTTCCCAGAACGCTGTGTCGCTAACAACCAGTGAAGACCCAAGGGCTAGGGTGCAGTTCTGGTAGCCGGGCAGGAAACCAGGGCCAGATTTGCTCACCCTAAAAACGAAGTGTGAGGGCTTCCAGTGGCTGGCTCTGCTTGGAGCCCAGAGACATTTTCATCCAATCTGTATTTTAGCGCCTCGTATCAGCCAGGCTAAAGGCTGAAAAGAGATTTGCTACTGAACCTCTCTTAAGTCTCCCTGCATCGCCTCGTACATAATACAAGTGAGGTGTACTGGGGACTGCGGTAACTTTCTTGCCTCTGTCACCCCGTCTTTGCTGACACCCAGTTCCATCAGTTCTTTGCTTTCAGATGGTAATGTTGATTCCTAATTCCCTGTGAACCTGCAGAGATAATCGCCTTAGGTCTTACTTCTGTAGTTCTAGGTAAATCCATTCGATGGCTTGTTTACCTTGATTTTGTGAATGAGTAGAAGTCACTACCCATATATATTTTTTTGATTGGAGATAGTGTTTTACTGATTTAAATTGGTAGCCCCATAATCCTCAAGTCTGCTCTCTGGATTGTGAAATACTCAGGTTCTCACGTGACTGTGGGTGATTTCCTGGTGACTAAATACAGCCTTACCTTTCCCAGGCCACTCCCCCAGGCTCTAGGTGTCACGTCTTAGGTCATGATTTCACTTGTATTTCTCCCTGTATAATGGACACAATTACTAGCATTGCGCATTGGATGCCACAGAATCTCTGCTGTCAACAGCTGATCATTATAGAGAAATAAAAAGTGAAAGGAAGGGCCGGCGCGGTGGCTCACGCCTGTAATCCCAGCACTTTGGGAGGCCGAGGCGGGCGGATCACCTGAGGTCAGGAGTTCCAGACTAACCTGGCCAACATGGTGAAACCCTGTCTCTACTAAAAATACAAAAATTAGCCGGGCGTGGTGGCGGGCACCTGTAATTCCAGCTACTCGGGAGGCTGAGGCAGGAGAATCGCTTTAACCCAGGAGGCAGAGGTTGCAATGAGCGGAGATTGCGCCCATTGCACCACAGCCTGGACAAGAGCGTGACTCCATCTCAAAAAAAAAAAAAAAAAGTGAAAGGAAAAGAATATAAGTGAAAGTGTTTAAGAGAAATTTTGTTACACTGGGTAGGTAGTTCACAGAAATTTCTGTAAGCACTCACTGTTGTCACTATACAGTTATTTTAGCATTGCTTATTAAGTAGTCATTGAATGCCGCCTGTGTGCTGTGGATGTTTTAAGTGCTTATCTCATTTAATCCTCCAAATACCCTTCTAAGGTTGGTAGGTAATAATACTGCCCTGATTTTATAAATGGTGAAACTGAGGCCCCAATAAGTAACTTTCTGAAGGTCACACAGCTATTAAGTGCTCCAGCCAATGTTACGACTTAGGCAGTTGTCAGATTCCAGAGCCTGTCTTATTAATGATCACCTGCGCCACCTCTTGAGTAAATTAATAGTACTTATTTTTATCTTAAAATGTCAATTCCTAGTATTTTGTTACTCAAACGTTTTAAAAATGCTGACTGACTCAAAGAATCTTACTAGACCAATGAGTTAGATTGATTTCTAAGTTAAAAATACTGTGAGGCAGGGAGCGGTGGCTCACACCTGTAATGCCAGCACTTTGGGAGGCCGAGGCGGGCGGATCACCAGGTCAAGAGATTGAGACCATCCTGGCCAACATGGTGAAACCCCATCTCTACTAAAAATACAAAAATTAGCTGGGCTTGGTGGCGCCCGCCTGTAGTCCTTAGTCCCAGCTACTCGGGAGGCTGAGGCAGAAGAATTGGTTGAACCCAGGAGGCAGAGGTTGCAGTGAGCCGAGATGACACCACTGCACTCCAGCCTGGGCGACAGAGTGAGATTCCGTCTCAAAAAAATAAAATAAAAAAAAGTACTGTCTACTTGCTGCAAAAACTTATTTTTCTACTTATAAAACTTTAAATTTGAAAACTGTTGATTAGCTTTTCAGCATCTGAGGGTTATTTGTTTTAATTTTACTTTAATAGTTTAATGTGTAAAACATATTGGCAAAACTTGGTCATGAAGAATCCAACCATGATTACATTATGAGCCCTGTAAGTTATTAATATCAATGTAACTGTAATTATTGTCATTTTAAAAACACTAGAGTCCCTTTTCTTCTGTATTTGAATGTAACCACTGGTTGGGGAATGTCTGTTTTCAGGGACAGAGCAGAATGGGCTGATATAGATCCGGTGCCGCAGAATGATGGCCCCAATCCCGTGGTCCAGATCATTTATAGTGACAAATGTAAGTTTGTTTATATTAGGAAAAGGTCTGTAAGTTAAATATAGTAGCAGAATTGGAATTCACAACTATGTAGCAAGATAGATGACAAATTTCTGTCTAATAAAAATCTGAATGACTTAAGATGAGTTAATTTTGTGTTTTTTTTATGTGTGTGTGTGATTTAGCTTTATGATTAAAAGTTTTATTTTGCCCAAAGACTGGACATATTCTAAATAATAAACGTTACAGTATAGTAGATAATAGCTACTATGTGATTGTGGTTTTCTTTTCTTTGCTGGAGACTCCACCGCCAGGGAGATTATGCATGTACCACACAATATAAATGAGTTACTGTTTTTAGAATAAACTTTGGTTGCTGAAACATCAGGATTTAAACATATATTTTGGCAGTGAAGTGTTCAGCTCAGTTGGAATACATTTATTGATATTAAAATGAGTGGATTTTTTTCTTTGACAAAATATTCTTTTGTAATGAATGTGAAAGTGTAAATTGAAGGTCGTGGAAATGTTAATTGTTAGTTCTTCTAGGAAAGGGAAAATGAATAAAATGGAATGATAGTTTTGTAATTTTATGTATATATATTTCTTTCAGTTAAGGCTTTTCTAAGATCATTCTTTTACAAAAGCATTTTTTTTCTGCTAATAAAATGACAATAAATGTTTAAAAAAGCATAATGATAGGTTTGCCGTATTAAGTGTGCAGATATATTACTAAACTTAATGATTAAGTGGAAGTAGCACAGAAGTAGATTTGTAAAGACTCGAGAAATAGATCCTCACTCTATGAAAGCTTAATATGTGATAAAAAGGACATTTTATACCTTTATGAAAAGGGTGGATTAATCAAATAATGGTTGGAACAGTTGGCTGTGCACTTAGATAAAAGCAGAGTTGTATCCCTATCATTCTTAGGATGGAGAACGTATTAGGCAAGATGTAAACCTCAGAATCGATTAAGGAGAAGGTCAGAATATATAACTGCACGGAAATGCAAAACTCTCATACTTTGAGAGATAGTATATATGAAGAGACAATTCACAAAATAGAAATATCTATGAAGAGATATTAACCTTACTAGTGATCAGAGAAATATAAACCATAACTTATTCAGATTCATAAGTACTTATAACAGAGATGTTGGGGGAAACTAATATAATCATATGTTTCCATTGAGGATAAATTAACCTTTTTGCAAGGTATAAAATTAACATTTTGGGCCAGGCGCGGTGGCTCACGCCTGTAATCCCAGTACTTTGGGAGGCTGAGGTGGGCAGATCACCTAAGGTTAGGAGTTTGAGACTAGCCTGGCCAACGTGGCGAAACCCTGTCTCTACTAAAAATACAAAAATTAGCTGGGCGTGGTGGCAGGCGCCTGTAATCCCAGCTACTCAGGAGGCTGAGGCAGGAGAATTGCTTGAACCTGAGAGGTGGAGGTTGCAGTGAGCCACGATCACGCCATTGCACTGTAGTCTGGACGACAAGAGCAAAACTCTGTCTCAAAAAAAAAAAAAAAAAATTAACTTTGTGAATTCTTACATACACCATGGTTAGAAACCCTAAAGGAAAAGATAAGTTTGACCTGTCAACCGTTTATAGACAAATATATCAATTTAAAACTTACACAGCAGAAGAAACCATGAGCAAGTTAAAAAGCAAGCAGCAGTGTGGAAGAAGGTATGTCATTTAAACAGGATCCATATTAAAACTGAGACGTTTTTACAACAGGATAAGGAGACAGAGAGTTTAATCAAAAAATGGACAAAGGGTATGAACTGGCAATTCACAGAAAAGAAAATCCCATTGGCCAATAAAATAGGAAGAATCCTTTATCATTAAGAATGACAGGTTAAAATGAGAATTCCATTTTCCACCCATGATTTAAGTGGCAGAAATGAAAACTGTCTTGATATTATATTAGGTATTAAGATATATGAAGAGCTCCATACATTTCATATGGGATTTTTCGAATGTTTAGCCATTTTGGAAAGTAGTTTGGTATATCTGTTAAAACTGGAAAATGCACTTATCTTACAACCTAGCAGTGTGTTGCTTCTAATTTAATATTGGGTTCATTCTGGCACATGGCATGAGAAGATATGCACAGGAGGTTAAAAGCACAGACTTTGGAGCCAGACCATCTGGTTCAAATTCTAACTTCACATTTTACTGACTGTGTAATCTTGGACAAGTTATTTAACTCCTATGTGCCTCTGTTTCCACCTGTGTAAAATGAGGATCTTGGTAGTAACTATAGATGTAGTAAATTATTTACATAAAATAGTAGAATACTGTCTGGCTCATAGTAAGCACTATATATGTTAGCTACTATAATTTGCAGCATTTTTTGAAAAAGCAAGATATTGGAAGCTATATGTCTATCTTTTGGAGAAATGGATAAAATAAAATGTATCATTGTCATACAGTTAATACTATATAACCGTTAAGAGGATTTAGATCTATTATAACATGAACAGATCTCAGAAACAATGTTGAGTTAAAAAAGTCAAAGTTTGAGAATCTTCGAGCATGACAATATGTTGTTTATAATTTTTTTTTTTTGAGATGGAGTTTCGCTCTTGTTGCCCAGGCTGGAGTGCAATGGCATGATCTTGGCTCACCGCGACCTCCGCCTCCCGGGTTCAAGTGATTCTCCTGCCTCAGCCGCCCGAGTAGCTGGGATTACAGGCTTGCGACACCACACCTGGCTAATTTTGCATTTTTAGTAGAGACGGGGTTTCTCCATGTTGGTTAGGCTGGTCTCGAACTCCCGACCTCAGGTGATCCGCCCACCTCGGCCTCCCAGAGTGCTGGGATTACAAGCGTGAGCTACCGCGCCTGGTCTGTTTATAATGTTTGAATTAAAAGAATAATGTTTCATTTTACCTTTTACAGTGAATCGGATTTTGGTTGTTTACATAGGAACCTGAGGCTTTGGAGCTATCCCAGCCTGATAGCCTCCCAGTTTATTTTATCAATGTGCATATGTGTATGTTTTATGTGTGTGTGTGTGTGTGTGTGTGTGTGTAAGATAATGTATTATATATATACATTTGTATACATATTTAATATGTTACCATTTTGTTTTAAATTTGAAATTATTTGGAAGCTTGGTTTTTTTTTTGAGACAGACTTTCGCTCTTGTTGCACAGGCTGGAGTACAATGGCGTGATCTCGGCTCACTGCAACCTCTGTCTCCCAGGTTCAAGCGATTCTCGTGCCTCAGCCTTCTGAGTAGCTGGGATTACAGGCATGTGTCACCATGCCCAGCTAATTTTTGTATTTTTAGTAGAGATGGGGTTTCACCATGTTGGTCAGGCTGGTCTTGAGCTTCTGACCTCAAGTGATCCTCCCACCTCGGCCTCCCAAGGTGCTGAGATTACAGGCCTGAGCCACTGCTCAAATTCAACTTTTTAAAGATAGTGTTTAGAACTAGGTAAACTTTGTATACCTCAGAATTTTGTGAAGAGGAGTAATTGTTCATATTCGTGTCTGATACTTTCAGTGTTACAGGCTAAAAGGAAAAAACTGTTTCTCTATAGTCAAAATACTTCGACACCAAATGTTTGGATTTTTCACACCAAGCAATTTTCTGTAGACACCAACTAGTTGCCCTACAATTTAATTCAGTTCTGACATTACCCAGAGTTAGCACAGATCCCACAGGCCAAGGGATCAGTGCTGCAACATCCATCCCACTTCAGATGCCATTGCAAGTAGTGGGTCACCACATTACCCACATTTAATATTCTACTTGGCTGTAAATGACCCCTTTCTGTTTTTTTCTTTTCAGAGACAGGCTCTCACTATGTTACCCAGCGTGGTCTCAAACTCTTGGGCTCAAGCAGTCCTTCTGCCTCAGCCTCCCGAGTAGCTGGGAGTACAGGTGCAAACCACCATACCTGGCAGTTCCTTTTTTTTTTTTTTTTTTGAGACAGTGTTGTGCTGTCACCCAGGCTCGGTGCTTGCGATCATGGCTCACTGCAGCCTTGACCTCCCAGGCTCAAGCGATCCTCCTACCTCTGCCTCCCGAGTAGCTGTGACTGCAGGCCTGGATCACCACGCCCGATTAATTTCTATATTTTTTGTAGAGGCGGAGTTTCCCTAAGTTGCCCAGGCTAATTTTAAACTGCTGGGTTCAAGTGATCTGCCTGCCTCAGTCTTTTGTTTGTTTTTTTTGTAATCCAATGCTCCCAATAAATATCCTTGAATACTTGCACACATATGGGAGTATATTTGTGAGAGAACTTTCTAGAGCTGGAATTACTGGGTCAAAGAGTATGTAAATTTTAATGATTTGTTGTAGAAGTATTTGTACTAGTTTACACTATCTTTAATAATGTACGAGTGAAAAATGCAAAGCTCAGAGTGTGATGGGATCTCGTTTGCATAAAAATGAAGGATGGAATTAGGCTATATACTTGTAGATGCATAGACTATATTTGGAAGGATACACTAGAATGAGTTAATAATGGTTGCTTCTGGGGAGGAGGCTTGGGAATTTAGTGGAATGGAAATCTAGTGTGAACCTTTTTGTACTGTTTGAGTTTTCTGCCTTTGGGCATATTTTTCAGTTAAAAATCTGATCAAAATGTCAGAAAAACAGCTATATGAATATATTTGAATATATGCAACCCTAATTTTTCTTTTATACATAAGGCCTATGGGAGATATGGAATCTGGCATGAACTCATGCACACACGTAAGCAGTAAGCATACAGTTATACATAAATAGTCCATGCTTTTTGTGGCTGAGGCACTAGGGCATTATTAGGGTGGCGGCCACAGCCATTTGACTTTATTTTGCTTGTTGGTATAAATGATACACAGGCCAATAAAATATCTTTATAGGTATAGTGACATTATACATTATAGTGCTAATTTTAAGTAAGATGGTCCTAATGTAGTTGTGTGCTCTATCTCTAGTTAGAGATGTTTATGATTACTTCCGAGCTGTCCTGCAGCGTGATGAAAGAAGTGAACGAGCTTTTAAGCTAACCCGGGATGCTATTGAGTTAAATGCAGCCAATTATACAGTGTGGTAAGTAATACACATCATCAGTATTCCCTGCTTAAATGTTTTACTTCAAGTGGCTTTTCTTTTTTTAAACTGTACTTTAATTTTTTTAAACTGTACTTTATTTTTTTTGGAGGGGGGTGCAGTTTCACTCTTGTTGCCCAGGCTGGAGTATAACTGGTACAATCTTGGCTCACTGCAACCTCTGCCTCCTGGGTTCAAGTGATTCTCCTGCCTCAGCCTTCTGAGTAGCTGGGATTACGGGCGCCCACCACCACGCCCAGCTAATTTTTTTGTATTTTTAGTAGAGACAGGGTTTCACCATGTTGGCCAAGCTGGTCTTGAAATCCTGACTTAAGGTGATCCACTCCCCGCGGCCTCCTAAAGTGTTTGGATTGCAGGTGTGAGCCACTGTGCCTGGCCTTTAATTTTTATCAAAATAGCAATTCGCTTATGGGTTTAAAAGTCAGAAGCTGCATGAAAAGTAGCAATCTCTAGCCCAATATTCCCTCCCACTGCCAGTCCCACTCCGCAGAGGTGGTAAGTAACTCTTAGTGATTTTTTTCTTGAATTAACCTCCATATTCTAGATAATTTGCTTAACTGTTATTATTTTTTCATTTTATTTTATTTTATTTTATATTTTTACTTTTATTTTTTTTTTTTGAGATGGAGTCTTGCTTTGTCACCATCTGGAGTGCAGTGGCACGATCTTGGCTCACTGCAACCTCTGCCTCCAGGGTTCAATCGATTTTCCTGCCTCAGCCTCCCCAGTAGCTGGGATTACAGGTGCCCGCCACCATGCCTGGCTAATTTTTTATTTTTAGTAGAGATAGGGTTTCACCATGTTGGTCAGGCTGGCCTCGATCTCCTGACCTCGTGATCCGCCCACCTCAGCCTTCCAAAGTGCTGGGATTACAGGCGTGAACCACCGTGCCTGGCTTATTTTTTTCATTTAAAACATTATTCCTTCTGTGAAAGATAGTTCATTCTCCACTACCCTCCCTCCATCACAAATGAGCACTCAATTTATGTTCATGCTGACACACTTTTTTTTTTTTGTTTGTTTGTTTTGAGATGGAGTTTCGCTCTTGTTGCCCAGGTTGGAGTGCAGTGGTGCAATCTTGGCTTACTGCAGCCTCTGCCTACCAGATTCAAGTGATTCTCCTGCCTCAGCCTCCCAGGTAGCTGGGATTACAGGTGTACGCCACCACACCCAGCTAATTTTGTATTTTTAGTAGAGACGGGGTTTCATCATGTTGCTCAGGTTGGTCTCGACCTCCTGACCTCGGGTGATCCACCAGTCTCAGCCTCCCAAAGTACTGGGATTATAGGCGTGAGCCACTGTGCACGGCTGCTGACCCACATTTAATAGTATAATGACATTCCCTCTAACAGTGTCATTTTTGTTTTCTTTGTACCAATAGGTAATTTGTCGTCCAGATGCTCTGCTATATGTGAAGTATCATTTTTCTATTGAACACAGGTCATCCTTCAGTTTCATTTTTCTCTTCACCAATTGGATGCTGCATACCTGGTTTTCAGCTCATTCATGTGTTAGATCCCCTGTGTCCTAGATCGTATACCTTTCTCTTTCTTGATTTACTTTCTCATTTTATAGAGCACATCATTGAGTAGAAAGATGGAAAATAATTTTTGGGATTTATACAATTAAAAATCATTAGTCTCCCTTCAACTTTAGTAATAAAATTGTAGATTGGAAATTATTTTCCCTCAGAATTTTAAAACTCTTTTTCTGTTTCTCTTAGCTTCTTTTCAGGTTGAGAAGATTTCCATTCCTTTGTTTAAAACTTTTCTTTTTCTCTTTATGTTCTGGGGATTTTTCTGGGTTCTTCTGATAATTTCTTCTCTTTCCTCTGTTTTCTTTTTCTGGAATGCCTTTTAGTTCTATGTTGTATCTCCTCAATTTTTCTTATTTTCATTTGTTTATCTTTTTATTTTCTTTTGAGATAATTTCATCAATTTTATTTTCTAACTCTCGTATGGATTTTTAAAGATTTCTGCATTCATTTTTAATTTGGGGGAGCTGTTTTTTTGTTCTGTGAATATGCTTTTTTTTTTTTGAGACAGAGTCTCGCTCAGTTGCCCAGGCTGGAGTGCAGTGGCTCGATCTCTGCTCACTGCAAGCTCTGCCTCCTGGGTTCACGCCATTCTCCTGCCTCAGCCTCCCGAGTAGCTGGGACTACGGACGCCTGCCACCACTCCCAGCTAATTTTTTTGTATTTTTTTAGTAGAGATGGGGTTTCACCGTGTTAGCCAGGATGGTCTTGATCTCCTGACCTCGTGATCCGCCCGCCTCGGCCTCCCAAAGTGCTGGGATTACAGGCGTGAGCCACCTTGCCTGGCCTGAATATTCTTTTTTAAATAGCATCGTTCGTGTGTGTGTGTGTGTGTGTGTGTGTTTAATTTCATGGATGTGAGATCTTCTCATCTCTTTTGTTCTCTTTCATATAAATATTTTTCTCAAATGGTTGGTAATTCTTGACTTTCTCTTTATGCGTATAAGAGAGACAGGAAAAATCCTGATTGGAAGCCCTGTGTGTGGCAGGATTTGTCAGCTGAAGGGCTTCGCTGTGAAGTTACTGAGTGGGGATGTGGCTGTGTTGTAGTGAAATCTCACTAGTCAGTATTTAAGTCTTTTCTCTTGGACAGTGTGTCTCTCAAAGAGGATTAAGTAGTTTATTGCCTAAGGAGTGTACATTTAACTGCCACAGTTCTAGGGTGTTAGGCAGGGGAAGATGGTAGGAGAGTCTCACTGTTTAGGATACCAACTTTTTGCTTTTTGCAGATCTTATCCTGTTGTAATTTGAAATAGAAACTTTTTTTTCTAAGTTTGTATATCAACATTTTAAATGTCCTTATTTCCACCCTTTAACTCACCCTGCCTTCCAGTGTGCCTTGTAACCCATTCTGCTTCAGATTTTTCCAGAGAATAAAGCCACTTGTCTCCTGCCCAAGACAGGATGTCACTTCTGTCATGGTAGTGGGAACGGTCTTGGCCGCCAAGGACTCTTTATATAGACTTTCCACTGTTTTTAGTCCCAGTTTTGGAAATACGTCATACCTCTGATTTCTGGAATTTTCTTAAAGTCTTATTCTGTGTTTTAGTTAAATCTTGTCTATCTGCTCACACTTCCCATAATGTTGTTGACCTCTTCCAGTTGCCGTGGTATCTTTGCCCCGATTCTCTTTGTTCTTGTGGGTTTATTCCTTTGTTGTCATTTTAGTGGGGTTTTATTAGGGAGTGAGAATAAACTTGTTTACTTAATCTACCCTGTTTAACTGGAATTCTCAGTGTGTTTCATCATTTTTGGAACTGACAGTACACTTAAAAGATTTCCTGTGAGTTTATTGCTGTTTTGAAAGAAGCAGTATACCTGGAATCCTTACCCATAAAAGCCAAGGGCTTATATTTACATGCTCTGGGAAGTCTACTTTTTTTTTTTTTTTGGAATAATAATGGAGAGAAATACTGTTGTCTCTCCTATTTAGCATTTTATTTTATTTTATTTTTATTAATTTTTTTGAGATGGAGTCTCACGCTGTTGCCCAGGCTGGAGTACGGTGACGTGATCTTGGCTCACTGCAACCTCCGTCACCGGGGTTCAAGTGATTCTCGTGCTGCAGTGTCGCGAATAGCTGGAATTACAGGTGTCTGCCACCACACCCAGCTAGTTTTGTATTTTTGTTTGTTTGTTTGTTTTTTGAGACGGAGTCTTGCTCTGTCGCCCAGGCTGGAGTGCAGTGGCACAATCATGGCTCATTACAACTTCCGACTCCCGGCTTCAAGCAAGTCTCCTGCCTCAGTCTCCCGAGTAGCTGGGACTACAGGCGCATGCCACCATGCCCAGCTAATTTTTTTGTATTTTTAGTAGAGATGGTGTTTCACCATGTTAGCCAGGTCTCAAACTCCTGACCTCGTGATCCGCCCACCTCGGCCTCCCAAAGTGCTGGGATTACAGGCTAATTTTTGTATTTTTAATAGAGATGGGGTTTTGCCACGTTGGCCAGGCTGGTCTCAAACTCTTGACCTCAAGTGATCTGCCTGCCTCAGCCTCCCAAAGTTAGCAGTTCATTTTAAAAGCTAATAAAATTAGGTCCTGGAATGTCCCTTACTATATATCGAGTTGGAAATTTTTGAAATTTTGAAGTAAAACTAGACCAGAACTAACGACGTCTTTAGGAAAATTCCTTTTGTTGGTGGTGGTGGTTAAAACTCCACCTATGGGGAAATTAAAGACAAACTTGTTTCATTTACAAGTAGCATTTTTGTGGTTGTTCTAGAAGTATTTTGTTAATGTTTATAATAGAATTAATTTATTATATGGATAATGTATGTACACGAACAACGTGTACTGTGTAGGGAAAGAGATGTCTTTGATTTTCATATTATAGAACATAGGTGACCAGAGTAGTACCTGAAAATAATTTTAGTTGGTTGGCTGTCATTACTTAAGAATCAGAAATTTACTTTTCTTCTATCTCATACTTGTTACCTTTCACTATTTTTTTCTTTTTGAGACAGAGTTTTGCTCTTGTTGCCCAGTCTGGAGTGCAATGGCGTGATCTTGGCTCACTGCAGCCTCTGCCTCCTCGGTTCAAGTGATTCTCCTGCCTCAGTCTCCCAGGTAGCTGGGATTACAGGCATGCACCACCTCGCCCAACTGATTTTGCATTTTTAGTAGAGATGGGGTTTCTCCATGTTGGTTAGGCTGGTCTCAAACTCCTGACCTCAGGTGACCCACCTGCCTCAGCCTCTCAAAGTGCTGGGGTTACAGGCGTGAGCCACTGTGCCTGGCCACCTTTCACTATTTTTACTAAAAGTGCTTCATTTCTTCCAGTCACCAGATAGTCCACTCACAAGCACTTAAATTGTTAAATTATACAGAGTACCTATGTATAATTTTTTTTTTGGGTGGGGGTGGATGGAGTCTCCCTCTGTTGCCCAGGCTAGTGTGCAGTGGTGTGATCTTGGCTCATTGCAACCTCTGCCTCCTGGGTTCAAGCAATTCTCCTGCCTCAGCCTCCCCGAGCAGCTGGGACTACAGGTGTGCACCACCATGCCCAACTAATTTTTTCTGTATTTTTAGTAGAGACGAGGTTTCACCACGTTGGCAAGGCTGGTCTCAAACTCTTGACCTCATGTGACCTGCACACCTCGGCCTCCCAAAGTGCTGGGATTACAAGCATGAGCCACCGTGCTTGGCCTATAATTGTTAAATTATACAGATTACCTGCCAAAAATTTGTCTAACTGTATTGCTGACTTGTAGCTGTATTTGATATTGTTATTAGGGAACTTCTGTGTAATAATGCGACTTTGGATGTTGTATGTTTGCCCTAGGCATTTCCGGAGAGTTCTTTTGAAGTCACTTCAGAAGGATCTACATGAGGAAATGAACTACATCACTGCAATAATTGAGGAGCAGCCCAAAAACTATCAAGTTTGGTAAGTTTGGAGTCTAGCTGTGTCTCCCAGGCTGGAGTGCAGTGGCATGACCTCGGCTCACTGCAGCCTCTGCCTCCTGGGTTCAAGTGATTCTCCAGCTTCAGCCTCCTGGGTAGCTGGGATTACAGGTGCACGCAACCACACCTGGCTAATTTTGTATTTTTAGTAGAGACGGGGTTTTGCCATGTTGGCCAGGCTGGTCTCGAACTTCTGACCTCAGGTGATCCGCCCTCCTCAGCCTCCCAAAGTGCAGGGATTACAGGTATGAGCCATTGCGCCTGGCCTAGAATTTTATTTAAAAACTACCACTGTAGCCAGGTGCAGTGGCTTCTGCTTGTAATCCCAGCAGTTTGGGAGGCTGAGGCGAGCAGATCACTTGAGTTCAGGAGTTTGAGACCAGCCTGGCCAACATGGTGAATCCCCGTCTCTACTAAAAATACAGAAATTAGCCGGGTGTGGTGGCGTGCCTGTAATCCCAGCTACTCAAGGAGCGTGCCTGTAATCCCAGCTACTCAAGGAGCGTGCCTGTAATCCCAGCTACTCAGGAGGCTGTCAGGATAATCACTTGAACCTGGGAGGTGGAGGTTTCGGTGAGCTGAGATTGCACCACTGCACTCCAGCCTGGGGGACCGAGTGAGACTCTGTCTCAAAAAAAATAAAAAATAAAAAATAAATTAAAAAACTAAAAACTTTACCATTGTAGCCTGTTGATTACAAGATTGTTGTATTTCTAAGAAATTACATTATAAAATAATTGGTTTAATGGGAAAAGAGATTAAATGGAGAGTTGCAGACCCTCACTAAAGTTATTTACCCTGTGGAATTAAGGTGCTTTTATGTAAAAATCTGTAGCTATAAAATTCTGACATCACAGGCATTAGTGTTTGATTACATCGAGTTTTTGCTAAAGAGAAATTGCTTTTCTTTTCTGGATACTGCACACTGTCATTAGCACTTCATCACCCACTGTTATGTAAAACACAAAACCACTCAAAGTAGCTGCTATGGAAAGCCCAGCAGTTTTGAAATTGTTGTACATTTCTAATTATCCGCTCTGTTCGTTTTATAACCAGTGTAGTACAGGCGATGCAAATTCTGTATCCCAGTTAACTAATCACTTTTATTAACTTCTAACTGAAAACTTATGCTATAACATAAAGCCGTGTAACTCCTTAAATCCGAGAACATCAGCATGAACTTTTTCTTCCTCAGTTTGATATCCTGGAGGATCTGATTCTTAGCTTTTCTAAATTACTGAACTCACCAGCAACCTGGAAAAATAAAATCCAGCTAGTGTTCACTGACTTGGAAGATTTCTAAAATAAATTTGGAAACCTTCTGTCTAGGCTTTTGTTTTTGGTAGTATCTTGTCTTAATCTGTAAGACGAATTTTTTAATTTTCCAGGCATGTAGAATAGGTCATTCATTAAGCATTAAATCCTTCCCTTTTTCCTATTGTTCTGCTCACTTTTAGTTGAATGTTATACTCTAATATAGATTTTTTAAGGGTCCGTTTTATTGAGATATAGTTCACTTACCATACAATTCCCCCATTCAAAGTATATAATTCAGTGTTTTTTAGTATATATACAGATCTGTACAACCATCACCATAGTGAGTTTTAGAACATTTTCACTAATAGATTTATATAAATATTTCAGCCAAAGAAAATTATAAAAATGGAACCCAATATAAAATCCTTAAGTATTTTCCTAGCGCAGAAACTCCTGGCCGGGCGCGGTGGCTCACGTCTGTAATCCCAGCACTTTAGGAGGCTGAGGTGGGCGGATCACCTGAGGGCAGGAGTTTGAGACCTGCCTGGCAAACATGGTGAAACCCCGTCTCTACTTAAAATCCAAAAAATTAGCCGGGCGTGGTGGCAGGCGCCTGTAATCCCAGCTACTCGGGAGGCTGAGGCACGAGAATTGCTTGAACCTGGGAGGCGGAGGTTGCAGTGAGCTGAGATTGCGCCATTGCACTCCAGCCTGGGGGACAATGCACTCCAGCCTGGGGAACAAGAGCGAGACTTCGTCTCAAAAAAAAAAAAAAAAACAAAAAAACTCCTCTGTTGACAACTTGCAACTTGTCATAGCTACTTGCCAGTGTAGCAGTAAATTCAGTTCTGCCCACTCATTTGTAGAATGAGAAGCTGCTTGTTTGATGACACTTTGCACTTAGGGAAAATTGACAGGCGTGTGTTAAGTAGAGGAACTTATATATTTGATAAAATAATAGCACATTTTGTCTTGTCTCTCATTATACAATCTAGTAATGTTTCTTAATTTTTTGACACAATTTCATGGTTGTTGAAAGATACTACCAGATGTAGTTTGAGATAAACTATCTGAATTTTTTTTCTATTTTTTTTGTGTTACCTTTTCTCCACAGTGGAGTGTTAAGAATTAGAGATGAATTTTTGTTTATTGTGTGTCCTTTCATGTCACCTTTACAACATGTGCAACTGATATTTTAGTTCATGGGTAAATTAACAAAAAACTTCTCTCCCTTCTTTGGGCTTTAGGCATCATAGGCGAGTATTAGTGGAATGGCTAAGAGATCCATCTCAGGAGCTTGAATTTATTGCTGATATTCTTAATCAGGATGCAAAGAATTATCATGCCTGGCAGCATCGACAATGGGTTATTCAGGTATTGCCTTTCTTGTACAGTGTTTTTCAGATTTTTTTTTTAACTGAACTAAATAAAATTACTCTTAAAGTCTGTTTCTAAACCAAAACACACACATACGTAGATCATTGCACCCAATATATAACTAAAAATTATTGGCCATGTGTGGTGGCTCATGTCTGTGATCCCAGTACTTTGGGAGGCCAAGGCAGGAGGATTGAGTGAGGCCAGGAGTTTGAGATCAGCCTGGGCAACAAAGTGAGACCCCCGTCTCTACAAAAAATACAAAAATTAGCCATGCATGGTGGCACACACCTGTAGTCCCAGCTGCTTGGGAGGCTGAGGCAGGAGGATTGCTTGAGCCCAAGAATTTGAGGTTGCAGTGAACTATGATTACACCACTGCAGTCTACCCTGGGCAGCAGAGTGAGACCCTATCTATTTTAAAAAAAAACAAACATTATTAACATACTTAAAACCTGACATCCTTCATGTTAGCTAACCTTTATAATCTCTTTGGATGTAGTAAATTTTTAGTATTTTTTAGATTGAATTTGTATCATATTTGCTAGCAAATTGAGTATAAAGAGTAGCATATTTTTACTACAGATGTATTATTTTAACTAACAAAGGCATATTATACATTTTTTTCATATATAAACTTTGGAATAGGATTTTACAGTAACTTAAGTTTTTTATTTCTACCCATGTGTCAAAGTTTTATGCTAAATTCTGAATAGAATAGTTGTAACTCCCACTCTGGGTATTTTATTTATTTTAAACAGTTCTAGTATTGTTTCCTGTGAATTTTTTCCAGGGATTGCTACTTTCTGCACTATTCATTAGACCAAGAGCATTTCACCAAATACTTAAAACTTAAAAATTTTTAAACTTTTCCAAATTTGATTAAAAGGATAACATATTCTAAAGGTATTCAATATTTTTACTTATCTCTGAAAAACTTAATCACATAAAAGCATACATTTTACACATACAGCTCTCTCCATCTTCCACAATAGATTAAGACATAAAACATAACCAGTATTTTTGAAAAGCCCCCTTAACTGGCATGCTTCTTACTGAAATTATCATAAAAGGTTCGTATGAGAAAGGATTCCAGAATATCCCTTAATTGTGTTGTAGCTTATGCATTTCTATTTATTTTATACATTATTTAATTCATGTGAGTTACTTACCTGGCAGGGAAGATATGATCACCAAGGTGCCTTTCACATTCATTGCACTCTGGATGTGCTGACCCCTGCAATTTCCCCAAATGGGGGAAGCTCAACTGCATAATTTGTGATAGGGGGACTGTGTGGCACTTTCCTCTGGTCTTCGTGGTTTAAGAACAGGTTTTCTCTGCTTATTTTTATTAAAAAAAAAAAAATTATGTGAGTCAGTGGTTCTCAAGCAGCAGTGATTGTGCCCCCTAGGGGACATTTTTGGTTGTCAGAACTTGGGGCATGTTGCTATTGGCATCTATTGGGTAGAGGGCCAGGATGCTGCTAAACATCCCAAAATGCACAGGACAGTCCCCCACAACAAAGAATTATCCAGCCCATACTTTCAGTAGTGTCAAAGCCAAGGAACTGTGGTCTATTTCTATATGGAAAACTATTTTATTAATATTTCAGTTATTTTCAATGAGGATTTAATGAATTCAGCATACTCTTTGATGACCTAAAATGGGACTATGAGATCTCTAAAAAATATTTCATGACATATATATTAAAAACGTGGTAAAATTTTAGTTTTAAACGTTAGTTTTAAACATGAATTATAAACATTCATGGCCTGTATGTCATTGGCATTGACTGTACTAGAGCTTCTTAAATGAAGGAGTAGAGGACCCTTCTTTGTCCCCAACCGATCACAGATTGGATGTATTTTACTGTATTTCATGTATATCTCATTTATATAAAATACACTAAAAATCAATTACTTTAAAAATGAGTCTGGGTACAGTGGCTCACGCCTGTAATCCCAACACTTTGGGAGGCCCAGGCAAGTGGATCCCGTGAGGCCAGGAGTTCACGACTAGCCTGGCAACATGGCAAAACCCCGTCTCTACAAAAAATACAAAAAAATGAGACGAGCGTAGTGGCGCATGCTTGTGTTCGCAGCTACTCAGGAGGCTGAGGCAGGAGAATCACTTGAGCCCAAGAGGTGGAGGCTGTGGTGAGCTATGCTCACGCCACCACAGTCCATCCTGGGCAACAAAATGAGACCCTGTCTCAAAAGAAAAAAAATTAAAAGTGAAATACACACACACACACACACACTACTACTCACCAGTCAAAAGAAATGAATGATCCATACCGGCAACAACTTGGATGGATCTCAAGGGTATGATCCTTAGTGGAAGGGGAAGTCTCAGGTTTCATACTGTATGGCTCCATTGAGATAATATCCTTGAAACAGCAAAATTATAGACGTAGAGAACAGATCAGAGGTTGCCAGGGTGAGGGAAAAGGGGGTACAGCTATAAAGGGGTAGCATGAGGTAGTTTCTGTGTGCTGAGGGAATAGTTCTCCATCTTGATTGTGGTAGTTATACTATACATGGGATTAAATTGTGTAGAATTATATTCTACCCCCACTCCTCCACCTGTCCCACATACCCACAAGTGAGTACATGTAAGATCTGAATAAGGTGAGCGGTTCCATTAACAATAATGTACAGATGTCATTTTCTGGTTTTGGGATTGCACTTTAGTAAGATGTTTACCATTTGGGGAATCTAAGTGAAGGGTACACAGGGCACTGTGTTATTTTTATAACTTCCATGAGTCTGAAAACAAATAGAAACATATGTATAGAAAACACTACTCTTTGTTTTTCATTATTAGACTCTACAGACATTAAATTGTTACATTGATACAAAAGCTTGTAGGTGTTTACTCTCTATCCTTAGCATGCTGGAGACTGAGAACAGTGGGAGGACACCAATCAGTGCCCACACTAGGCACTAGTTCCTGAACTCCACTAGGAACTTTCACAAAAATGTTACTTTCCTTAATGCGTTTATTTTTATGATCACCTGTAAAATCGGGGACTATCATAGGAGATTCTTACTTTTTTGCTGTTACCAAATAAGAAAACTCCATTATCTTTTTTATAATGTCCCCTACTTTCAAATTATTTATAAGTTTTTTTTATCATTTTCCTCTTTTAAATTATCTTTATTGGTTCTCTTCCCCCATTTTTTTTTATTAAGAGAGCTTTATAATATAAAAAATTTATATTGCCTGGGTGTGGTGGCTCATGCCTGTAATCCCAGCACTTTGGGAGGCCGAGGTGGGCAGATTACTTGAGTTCAGGAGTTCAAGACCAGCCTGGCCAACATGGTAAAACCTGGTCTCTACGAAAACTACAAAAATTAGCCGGTTATGTTGGCTCACACCTGTAGTCCCAGCTACTTGAGGAGCTGAGGCAAGAATATCGCTTGAGTCTGGGAGTTGGAGGTTACAGCGAGCTGAGACTATGCCACTGCACTGCAGCCTGGGCGACCAAGTGAGACGCTGTCTCAATAAAAATAATAGAAATTTATATCTTTGTCCAATTGTGTATATTTCTTTTCTTTTTCTTTTTCTTTTTTTTTTTTGGGACAGGGTCTGTTTCTGTCGCCCAGAGTGCAGTGGTGCAGTCATAGCTCACTGCAGCCTTAAACTCCGGGGCTCAAGTGATCCTCTTCAGCCTCCTGAGTAGCTGGGATTCTAGGCATGTGCCACGATGCCCGACTAATTTTTTTATTTTTATTGTTTTTATTTTTTGGAGACAGAGCCTTGCTCTGTCCCCCAGGCTTGAGTGCAATGGCACGATCTCAGCTCATTGCAACCTCCACCTCACGGGTTCAAGCGATTCTCTTGCCTCAGCCTCCCAAGTAACCGGGATTACAGGCGCCTGTCATCACACCCGGCTAATTTTTGTGTTTTTAGTAGAGATGGGGTTTAGCCATGTTGGCCAGGTTGGTCTCAAACTCCTGACCTCAGGTGATCCACCCACCTCGACCTCCCAAAGTGCTGGGATTACAAACTTGAGCCACCGTGCCCGGACTGTCTTTATTATTTTTCCAGACAAGATCTTGTTATGTTGCCTCTGCTGGTCTCGAACTCCTGGCCTCAAGTGACCTTTCTGCCTCAGCCTCCTGAAGCAGTGGGATTGCCCATGAGAGCCACCACTATTGACCATGTATGCTTCTCTCCATGTATTTTAATGTAATTTTATCATATGTGCACTTTTGAATGCTACCCTTTTACTTAATTTTCATTTTTGAATGCTGCCCTTTTACTTTGATATATTAATATCGGCCAGGTACGGTGGCTTACGCCTGTAATCCCAGCACTTTAGGAGCCCGAGGTGGGCGGATCACCTGAGGTTGGGAGTTCAAGACCAGCCTGACCAACGTGGAGAAACCCCATCTCTACTAAAAATACAAAATTAGCCAGGTGTGGTGGCGCATGCTTGTAATCCCAGCTACTTGGGAGGCTGAGGCAGGAGAATCGCTTGAACCCAGGAAGTGGAGGTTGCAGTGAGCTGAGTTCACGCCATTGCACTCCAGCCTGGGCAACAAGAGTGAAACTGCCTCAAAAAAATAATAATAAGATATATTAATATCAAGTCACATCAAATTTATATCTATACTGTGGTCACTCCTTCTCTTACTAGTGAGTTTGGGGTTTTTTTCCCTCAAAATTTTCTTGGATGTCTTTTTTCCTGCTTTCTGTATGTGTCTTTCCAGGCTCTATCATCAATTTCATACTTGTATCCCCCTCTATTTCCTTTACTTGCAGCTATCACTACCTTCTGAATTTGTGATAAATCCTGTGTCCTCAGTTCTACCTTCTTTGTTGTAGTTTTAATTTATTTTTTATTCATAAATAATGGGACATTTCTAATTGGATGATTTTTCTAAATTTTTCCTTTAGGAATTTAAACTTTGGGATAATGAGCTGCAGTATGTGGACCAACTTCTGAAAGAGGATGTGAGAAATAACTCTGTCTGGAACCAAAGATACTTCGTTATTTCTAACACCACTGGCTACAATGATCGTGCTGTATTGGAGAGAGAAGTCCAGTTAGTAATCTCCTTCACTTGCTCATTCGTTACAAACATGTTTGCATGCCTACCATATCTCAGGCACTGGGGATACAGCAGATCAAGATCCTACCCCATGGAACTAAAAGAGGACAGAGTACTGAGTGGAACATAGGATGATAGATTTACAAATAATGTAGCATACTTCTACTTCATTGTATCTTAAGTTTCTTGAAATATTGCTACTGGAGATTGGAAAGAAATCTTAATGTTATGGGGTATTGTCTAAGAAGCTTTATTTTAAAACCATCTCATTAAATTTTGTTGCATTTTAGATAATCGTCCCCAGATGCCATGTTACCCTAGTGCAGAGTTTGGGGCTGGATAAGTTTTTGTTGTAGGTGGCTATCCTGTGTTTTGTAGGGTATTTAGCAGCATCCTGGCCTTAAAACAAAAATGTTTTCAGACATTGCCAAATGTCCCCCGAGCGGTAAAGTCACCCCCAAGTTGAGAACCGCTCTATACAAAGAGCTGTTATTAGAGCTAGACATTTCTGAATTGGCATCAATTTCTATATTGTATCCATAAACATTAGTAGCCACGATTTTTGTGACCTTATTTGTCCATTGTGTCTGAGTGTCTGTTTTACAATTTGAACAGGCTTGTTGTTTTCAGAGCCTGATGAGATGGGAGTCATAATTTTAGTGTAAATGTGTTTGAACAACTGTTGAGTGGAGCTGATTTGTATAGTGCATCTCCTCTCTTCCAAGCTCTTGATTTTGCCTGGATCGAGGCAGCTTGCTCTTCTTTTATCTGCTCTATACAGGATTCTGGTGACTTAAAATTTATAAAAGGCTTTAATCCATGTCTCACCTTAACACTCTGCTCTGGGCTTTTGTCTGGAGCGTGCACTACCCCTCAAGCACACTTCATGCTTTTTTTCTAGTGCTCTCCTATATAAAGCTGTACAGGCATACCTGGTTTTTTGAGCCTTGTATATATTATGTTTTTTTTTTTTGTTTGTTTTTTGTTTTTTTTAACAAGTTGAAGCATCTTGAGCAATCTTGAGTTGAGCATGTCTTCATTGCCATTCTTTCTAACAGCATGTGCTCACTTGTGTCTCCGTGTCACATTTTGGTACTCCTCAGTATTTCACATTTTTTCATAATCATTATATCTGTTCCAGTGATTTGTGATCAGTCATCTTTGATCAGTCATCTATTGTAATTGTTTGGGGGTGCCACTAACTGCACCCATATAAAACAGAGAATATCACTGTTGCATGTGTTCCACCATCTCTCTCCCTCACCTCAGGCCTCCCTATTCCCTGAGACACAACAATATTGAAATTAAGCCAATTAACCCTACAGTGTCCTCTGAGTGTTCAAGTGAAAGGAAGAGTCACAGCCTCTCACTTTAAATCAAAAGCCAGAAGTGATTAAGCTTAGTGAGGAACACATATCAAAAGCTGAGATAGGTCCAAAGCTAGGCCTCTTGCACCAAACACCAAACTCATAAGAAAGAGTTCTTGAAGGAAATTAAAAGTGCTGCTCCAGTGAACACCTGGACAAAACAGCATTATTGCTGGTATAGAGAAAGTTTGAGTGGCCTGGATAAAAGATAAAACCAGCCACAACATTCCCTTAAGCCAAAGCCTAATCCAGAGGAAGCCCTAATTCTCTTTAATTTGATGAAGGCTGAGAGAAGTGAGGAAGCTGCAGAAGAAAACTTGGATGCTAGCAGAGGTTGGTTCATGAGGTATAAGAAAGAAGCCATCTCCATAGCATGGAAGTGCAAGGTGAAGCAGCAAGTGCTGCTGGAGAAGCTGCAGTGAGTTTTCCAGATCCCGCTCAGATCACTAATGAAGGTGGCTGCATGTAAACAGAAGATTTTCAGTGTAGATGAAACAGCCTTCTATTGGAAGAAGATGCCATCTAAGACTTTTCATAGCTAGAGAGAAGGCACTGCTTCAAAGCTTCACACAGCTGGCTGAATCTTGTTAGGGCCCAATGCAGCTGGTGACTTGAAGTTGAAACCAGTGTTCGGTGATGATTCTGGAAATCTTAGGGCCCTTAAGAATTATGCTGAATCTCCTCTGCCTGTGCTCTATAAATGGAACAACAAAGCCTGGATGACAGCACATCTGTTTACAGCATGGTTTACTGAATATTTTAAGCCCTCTTTGAGGTCTGTTGTTCAGAAAAATTTCTTGGAAAATATGATTGTTCATGGACAACGGACCTCATCACCCAAGAGCTCTAATGGAGATGTGCAAGGAGATGCTGTTTTCATGCCTGCGAACACAACATCCATTCTGCAGCCCATGGATAAAGGAGTCATTTTGATTTTAAAGTCTCACTATTTAAGAAATAAATTTTGTAAGGCTATGAGCTACCATAGATAGTGATTCCTCCAATGAATCTGCAGAGTCAATTGAAAACCTTCTGGGAAGAATTTACCATTCTAGGTGCTATTAGGAATATTCGTGATTCATAGGAGGAGGTCAGAATACCAACATTAACAGGAGTTTGGAAGAAGTTGATTCCAGCCCTCATGGATGACTTTGAGGGGTTCAAGACTTTAGAGGAAGAAGGAACTGCTGCTGTGGTGGAAACAGCAAGGAAACTAGAATTAGAAGTGGAGCCTGAAGATGTGACCGAACTGCTGCATCAAGACAATACTTGATCAGATGAGGAGTCGCTTCTTATGGATGAGCAAAAGAAGTGGTTTCTCAAGATGGAATCTAATCCTGGCAACGACGTTGTGAAATGACATTGTTGAAATGACAACAAAGGATTTTAAATATTGTAAATATTACCTGAACTTAGTTGATAAAGCAGCAGGATATATGAGAGGATTGACTCCAGTTTTGAAAAGTTTTACTGTGAGTAAAATGCTATCAGACAGCATCACATGCTACAGAGAAATCTTTTATTGTTGTCTTATTTTAAGAAATTGCCACAGCCATCTCATCCTTCAGCACCCAGCACCCTACCCTGATCAGTCAGCAGCCATCAACATGGAGGCCAGACCCTCCACCAGCAGAAAGATTACGACTTGCTGAAGGCTCAGATGATCATTAGCATTTTTTAGCAATAAAGTATTTTTTAATTGAGGTATGTACATTGTTTTTTTAGATATGATGCTATTGCATACTAGACTACAATATAGTGTAAACATAATTTATATGTGCTGGGAAAAAGAAAAGTCGTGTGACTTGCTTAATTGTGATAAAATTGCTTTACTGAACCTTCCATATCTGCAAGGTATTCCTGTATTGTTCAGTATGGTAGCTACTAGCCACATATGGCTATTTAAGTTTCAATCGGTATGATTATAAAAAATTAAAAATACAATTATTTCATTGCACATGTCCTATTTTGGGCGTTCAGTACGTACATGTGGCTAGTGACTACCATATTGGACAGCACATACAAAACATTTGCATCATCACTGGCAGTTTTATTGAACATTATTCGTCTAAAGATTGACAGTAGTTAGCGGTAACAAAGCATTTTAAAAATTGAATATGAAGAGTTTTCAAAATGCAAACGTTTAGCCTTTTCAGAGGCAGATCACTGGCTTCCTGTTGCCAAATAGAAACAGAAATAATTACCCAAGAATCTAAAAGAGCTTCCTATACTTAGGATTTATTTTCCTTTTAAGATGGGTAAAAGAAGTATTTAAAATGTGAAGAGTAGCTGTAGGTATCTAGAATTTACAGTTTGTTAAATTTTTTTTAACTCTAAGCATACACAGATAGATGTACATAATTATTTTTGTCATTTTTTTCTTTTTATTATAAAAGTAATGCAATGTAGTTATGGGGGGGGAAATTGTACTAAATTCTATAAAGTAAAAAGTCAAAGTCTTTTACTGTTCTTCATCCCACATCCCATTTTCCAGAGTGAGCTATAATTGGGTGAATTTTTCCAAACTTTATAAATACACTTGCAAACATTTATACACAGCAACCTAGATAATAATGTTACAGGCATTGCCTTTTCAGTTAATGTGTCATGGCCCTTTTTCTAGACTATGAGTGCATAGTCTTCTAGTACTACCAATAACAGCATTTATCAAGCATTTACTATATGCCACTAATTCTAACAGCTCTGTGAGACACTTCATGAAGAACTTGAGGTTCCAGGTAATTCTGTAATTTGCCCAAGAGCACATAATTTATGGGACCAGGATTTGAAGCGAGGCAGCCTGACCTCAAAGTTCATCGGTCTTTTTGTTTGTTTGTTTTCCTAAGAGACAGGGTTTCACTCTGTCACCCAGGCTGGAGTGCAGTGACGGATCATAGCTCACTGCTGCCTTGAGCTCCTGAGCTGAAGGAATCCTCCCACCTCAGCCTGCGAGTAGCTGGGACTACAGGCATGTGCCACTGCATCCAGCTAATTGTTAAAATTTTTTGTAGCGATGAGGTCTCACTATGTTGCCCAGACTGGTCTTGATCTCCTGGCCTCAAGCAGTCTTCCCGCTTTGATCTCTGAAAGTGCTGGGATTACAGATGTGAGCCACCATGCCCAGCTAAAGTTCATGTTTTAACCATAAAAATAGGTAATGCTTTAGTACACATGTATGTAAATAAAAATTTAGATATTGCCAAAATGAAATTAAGAATCTTAAACAAGGACCAGCTAAGACCTGCGGGGACATGGTTTCGCAAATAATTGGAAACATTAAGTCATGTAAAAGTAGTTGGAAAAGTATTTTTATAATGTTGAATGAGTTTATTATTACTCTGTGGAAAAAAAAAAATTATAGTAACAGCACTGCAGCAGAACCAAGACTACCAAGCTTTAGTCAGTGACTTACTCATCTGAGCAATTATGTGGTAAAGCAAGTTCTGTGGCTTCCTTGGGATTTGTGATAATTGAGTCTGAATTATATTTAATCTGTTTAAGGGGAAGATAAAGGTATGGAGCACCCATTTTGACAGGGAATCACATCACAGTTTACTAGTCATCTTGCTTTGGAATATAAGAAATACATTCTTGTGTTGATTTTTCATTTTTATTCTTTGCCTATGTAATTTCCATGCCATTTTTTAATGATAGCTAAAGATTATGTAAATTCTCCTATTTCAGTGACTAGGGATTTGTTGGGACGTAAGTAGAGCTTAGACTGTTTCCCCAAGGTTGCTTTACCAATAAATGGAAAGTTTCCTTCTTTTAGCTGATGTTTCCTTCAAAAGGAAAATCTTCCATATTATTTAAAGGAAATATTTTATGTTCCTTTTTTTCCTATTGTGAATTGAAGCTTTTAGATTAGTTTTGTGTCCTTCCCTAGAACTGAATTGACAGCTGCAGCCTTAAGGGATTCTCGTGATTTAAATATGACTGAGAGAGGTGCCACAGTACACTAAGAAACGCTGACACAAGTGAAAGTGTGTTTACAAAGCTGTGCCACAGTCTTAGTAAAACTGTGTCTTGGCCGGGCGCAGTGGCTCATGCCTATAATCCCAGCACTTTGGGAGGCCGAGGCAGGCGGATCACAAGGTCAGGAGTTCAAGACCAGTCTGGCCAATATGGTGAAACCCTGTCTCTACTAAAAATACAAAAATTAGCTGGGTGTGGTGGTGGGCGCCTGTAGTCCCAGCTACTCGGGAGGCTGAGGCAGGAGTATGACTTGAACCTGGGAGGCGGAGGTTGCAGTGAGCTGAGATTGTGCCACTGCACTCCAGCCTGGGTGACAGAGCAAGACTCCGTTTCAGAAAAAAAAAAAAACTGTGTCTCATCATTGCACTGTTCTTTTAAAATTGTATATATATATTTTTCTTGCAGATACACTCTGGAAATGATTAAACTAGTACCACATAATGAAAGTGCATGGAACTATTTGAAAGGGTAAGAGGTTGTTTTTGCTTTTTTTATATATAAAAAAGAAGTGGCTATATGATGCATCATGGAGTGTATTCCATAATCAGATTCCAAAAGGATAGTAAATAATTTTTCATTTTTCTGAACCTAAGAGCAGAAGTATAACAGCATTATGGAAACTCTCTGGGAGTTTGCCCTTCTATGCACCTCCCAAGTACCTACCAACACTGTTTTCAGAATAATCCACCAGTAAATAATGCCATTTTAATTGTATTTAAGAATCCTGTAGTCTTTATATCAAAGAATGGAACACACACACCCCCAGGCTCTAGTTGGCTCAGGAACACAGTAAAGCGGGGTAGTTTACAGGTAGATTTTGCCAGTGGGCAGCCAACCTTTCTGTTTTCATTTCTAGAGATCTCCGCCTTCAGGTTAACCTACTCCTCAACTAGAAAAGGTTTCACTTGCCTGGCCACTGACGTAACTAAGCTCCTTGTTGAACATAAGAGGTCTTCAAGGAAACTAGGCTCAAAGAGCACAAAGTATGGAACCAGTTACCCTTGGAGATGTGTCAGGGGAGGTGCCTGTAGTATTTGGAGAGCTCGAGGGATGAGAAGCCATCTCAAGAGAAGACGAGGGCTGGGCATGTTAGCTCATGCCTGCAATCCCAGCACTTTGGGAGGCCAAGATGGGCGGATTACTTGAGGCTAGGAGGTCGAGACCAGCCTGGCCAACATGGCAAAACCCCGTCTCTACTAAAAATATACAAATTAGCTGAGCATGTTGGTGCACACCTGTAATCCCAGCTACTTGGGAGGCTGAAGCACGAGAGTTGCTTGAACCTGGAGGTGGAGGTCAGAGTGAGCCAAGATCACACCACTGTGCCCCAGCCTGGGCGACAAGAGACCCTGTCTCAAAGAAAAAAAAAAAAGAAGAACATCTCTCCTGGTTTTGTCCTTCACTTTTTAAGATGATTTATTTTGTGTGTTGTACAGTTTAAGTTATAAATGAACACTTTTAAACTTCATTTTTAAAAACTTTTTCTACTTAGCTTGTAATTATCCTTTTTTTTTTTTTTTTTTTGGAGACAGGATCTCACTCTGTTGCCTAGGCTGGAGGGCAGTGGCATGATCGTGGCCCACTGCAGTCTCGATCTCCTAGGCTCTAGTGATTCTCCCACCTCAGCCTCCCAAGTAGCTGAGACTATAGGTGCCACCACTAGGCATGGCTGATTTTTAAAAAAATTTTAGTAGAGACGAGATCTTGCTATTTTACCCAGGCTGGTCTTGAACTCCTGGGTTCAAGTGTTCCTCCTGCCTCTGTTTCCCAGAGTGTTTCCCAGGCATGAGCCACTGCACCTGGCCAGCTCTTAATTAACTAATGATCTATGATAAGACTCATGTAATTTAAAAGTTTCATTATAGTTTCAGCGTCATTCATTCAAAATAACTCTCCTTTTCTTGTTTGTGTTTCAGGGTTTATTTTCTCTTGATCTTTCTACTGCTTTTGTTCTTCCTTCACAAAATCAAGTCTTTGTTTTTTGTTGTTGTTTACAGGATTTTGCAGGATCGTGGTCTTTCCAAATATCCTAATCTGTTAAATCAATTACTTGATTTACAACCAAGTCATAGTTCCCCCTACCTAATTGCCTTTCTTGTGGATATCTATGAAGACATGCTAGAAAATCAGTGTGACAATAAGGAAGACATTCTTAATAAAGCATTAGAGGTAAGCTGGTGGGGCTCAGTGCTGTCATTTTTGGTATCTCAGAATTGATCTGCCCAATACCACTAATATCCATGTCCCCTTTCAACATCGTTCCTCAGAATTCAGTGCAGGGCTATTTCTGGTTAGGGGCAGCATTGACATCACTTGGCAACACAGCCGGTGACTCTTAATAGTGTGTCTTCATTTGAATGTGATTTGAGTTAAATTGTATTGGCTCAAAGGCATTTGCGCTTGAAATTGAATTACATATTACTTTAATTTTTATTTTTCATTTTCAGTTATGTGAAATCCTAGCTAAAGAAAAGGACACTATAAGAAAGGAATATTGGAGATACATTGGAAGATCCCTTCAAAGCAAACACAGCACAGAAAATGACTCACCAACAAATGTACAGCAATAACACCATCCAGAAGAACTTGATGGAATGCTTTTATTTTTTATTAAGGGACCCTGCAGGAGTTTCACACGAGAGTGGTCCTTCCCTTTGCCTGTGGTGTAAAAGTGCATCACACAGGTATTGCTTTTTAACAAGAACTGATGCTCCTTGGGTGCTGCTGCTACTCAGACTAGCTCTAAGTAATGTGATTCTTCTAAAGCAAAGTCATTGGATGGGAGGAGGAAGAAAAAGTCCCATAAAGGAACTTTTGTAGTCTTATCAACATATAATCTAATCCCTTAGCATCAGCTCCTCCCTCAGTGGTACATGCGTCAAGATTTGTAGCAGTAATAACTGCAGGTCACTTGTATGTAATGGATGTGAGGTAGCCGAAGTTTGGTTCAGTAAGCAGGGAATACAGTCGTTCCATCAGAGCTGGTCTGCACACTCACATTATCTTGCTATCACTGTAACCAACTAATGCCAAAAGAACGGTTTTGTAATAAAATTATAGCTGTATCTAAAAACAATGCCATAGAAGTTTGATTTTTTAATAGCATTGAACTATATATTATACAAGACACATTGTCTCAGCTTAGAAAAGCATTTGAGAAAGAAAATATTGCTATAAAACTGTAAACTAGAAACATGATGTGTTGGAGGAAATGTTAAAATGTAAATTGGTCAGTTCTTGACTGAAAGTGACAAAATCCACTCAAGGTAGTTTAAACCCAAAGGGTTTATTCAGGTTTATAAATATCTCACAGAAGAATTGCCTGATCTTTTAGAAAGACATTCCCAAACCATGCTACACAACTGGACCGTCCCGTTGCTGCTGCCTGTGCCAGAATCAGGAAACTGCTGGATGAGGAGTGAGGAAGCCACGATCCTGGCTGCCAGCTCCAGGACTGTGCTGTGTCTGCACGTTCCACGCAAAGCACATCTGCTGCTTTTCCCATGTAGTGTGGTTCCAAATTAAAGGCTCACTGCAGTGCATCTGATTGGAAGGAACCAACAGGATGTCTTAAAAGCTTAACTGCAGAGGAATCTGGGAAGTGTAGTTTGTAGCTTTCTAGCCTTTTATGATGC
Organism: Homo sapiens; assembly: GCF_000001405.40. Lineage (NCBI taxonomy): Eukaryota > Metazoa > Chordata > Mammalia > Primates > Hominidae > Homo > Homo sapiens. The sequence goes on from NC_000008.11 coordinate 43,086,348, forward strand.
AGGACGCCATGCCAGGAAGGAGTTGGGAGTGGTTAGCAAGCTAGCTTGCTGTACCTGCACTTAATCTCACTTTATTTATTTTTATATATTGATTTTTTGTTTACAAGGAGTCCCACTCTGTCACCCAGGCTGGAGTGCAGTGGCGTGATCGCAGCTTACTGCAACCTCCACCGCCCAGGCTCAAGCAATTCTCCTGCCCCACCATCCCGAGTGGCTGGAATTATAGGTGCCCGCCACCATGCCTGGCTAATTTTTGTATTTTTAGTAGAGACGGAGTTTTACCATGTTGGCCAGGCTGGTCATGAACTCCTGACCTCAAGTAATCTGCCTGCATGGGCCTCCCAAAGTGTTGGGATTACAGGCATGAGACACCAGGCCCGGCCTCAGTCTCACTTTATCTGTAATTTTTGTTCAATGTCAAAGCACCAAAATACAACTAAGGAAATCATACAGCGTTACATAGTCATCCTTTCTCAAGATAAATTTAGGAAATAATATTTTAATACTTTTTGAAGAAAATATATGTAGTGTTATTTCTAACATTTTACATGTTTTTGTTATTTTTAGAATCCAAAAATTTCCAGTTTTATTTTTGAAGCTGCCATAAAGTGCCATTTCCATGTAGACCATTTCAAAGGTGTCATAAGGATCAAAAGCTACATAGAAAAGTTCTCATAAGATAGCAATTACTCTCTGCCGGGCACGATGGCTCACGCTTGTAATCCCAGCACTTTGGGAGGCCGAGGCGGGCAGATCATTTGAGGTCAGGAGTTTGAGACCAGCATGGCCAGCATGGTGAAACCCCCATCTCTACTAAAAATTCAAAAGTTAGCCAGGTGTGGTGGCAGGCACCTGTAATCCCAGCTACTTGGGAGGCTGAGACAGGAAAATTGCTTGAACCCAGGAGGTGGAGGTTGCAGTGAGCTAAGATTGTGCCATTACACTCCAGCCTGGGCAATAGAGCGAGACTCAGTCTCAAAAAAAAAAAAAAAAAAGCAATTACTCTCAGAAACTATAATCGGTGACCCAAAACTGATTGGATTTGGGACTTTGGACTCAACAGAGCTCATAGAGACAGCTTAATAAAAAGCATAGTGAGGCCGGGTGGAGTGGCTCATGCCTATAGTACCAGCACTTTGGGAGGCCGAGGCAGGAGGACTGCTTGAGCCCTGGAATTCAAGACCTGCCTGGGCAACAGCAAGATCTCATCTCTACAAAAATATTTTTTAAAGTTATTAGTGAAGAGTGGTGTGCGCCTGTAGTCCCAGCAACCCGGGAGGCTGGGGTGGGAGGATCACTTGAGCCAGGGTGGTCCAGGCTGCAGTGAGCCATGGTCGTGCCACTGCAGCCTGGGTGACAGAGTGAGACTGTGTCTCAAAAACTGTTTAAAAAATGAGTTTGTCATTTCAAGGAAAACAACGGAATGTTGCCAGTGATAAAATGTGAGCTTGCTTGCTTGCTTTTTTTTTTTTTTTTGAGACGGAGTTTCACTCTTGTTGCCCAGGCTGGAGAGCAATGGCATGATCTCGGCTCACCACAACCTCCGCCTCCCGGGTTCAAGCGATTCTCCTGCCTCAACCTCCCAAGTAGCTGGGATTATAGGCGTCCGCCACCACGCCCAGCTAATTTTTTGTATTTTTAGTAGAGACAGGGTTTCCCCATGTTGGCGAGGCTGGTGTTGAACTCCAGACCTCAGGTCATCTACCAGCCTCGGCCTCCCAAAGTGCTGGGATTACAGGCATGAGCCACCGTGCCAGGCCAAAAATGTGAGCTTTCAAGTGACAATTTTAGGCTGGACGTGGTGGCTCATGCCTGTAATCCCAGCACTTTGGGAGGCTGAGGCAGGTGGATCACTTGAGGTCAGGAGTTTGAGACCAGTCTGGCCAATGTAGTGAAACCCCATTTCTACTAAATATACAGAAACTAGCTGGGTGTGGTGGCACGCACCTATAATCCCAGCTACTTGGGGGGCTAAGGCAGGGGAATCACTTGAACCCAGGAGGCGGAGGTTGCAGTGAGCCGAGATTGCACCACTGTACTCCAGCCTGGGCAACAAAGTGAAATTTCATCTCAAAAAAAAAAAAAAAAGTATTAATTCTCAGGGGTTTGGAGAATTTCCTGTTATCTCTGTTATTTCTAGTTGGTTTTATTTTGTTTTAGTGGTACTCCAGGGGTTACAAAATATTCAACTTTTCACAGCCTATTTAGAATATTTTGTCACTTCAGTTGGCATATGGAAACATTACCACCATATGTCTCCTTACCGTTCACCATTTCTTACATTGAAAACCCCATCAGAGGCTGGGCGCGGTGGCTCACGCCTGTAATCCCAGCACTTTGAAGACCGAGGCGGGCGGATCACGAGGTCAGGAGATCGAGACCATCGTGGATAACACGGTGAAACCCCATCTCTACTAAAAATACAAAAAATTAGCCGGGCATGGTGGCGGGCGCCTGTAGTCCCAGCTACTCGGGAGGCTGAGCCAGGAGAATGGCGTGAACCCGGGAGGCAGAGCTTGCAGTGAGCCGAGATCGCACCACTGCACTCCAGCCTGGGTGACAGAGTGAGACTCTGTCTCAAAAAAAAAACAGAAAAAAAAAGACAAAAAAAAAAAAAAAAAAACAAAAACCCATCAGATAATCTTATAATACTTTTGTATTAAACCACCAAACATATTTTAAAGAACTCAAGAAAAGAAGGAGAGTGTATCGCATTTACCCAGTTATTTATATTCTCTGTTATTCTTTCATTTCTGTTATTCTGTCCAAAGAACTTTCTCTTTTTTTTGAGATGGAGTCTCACTCTGTCGCTTAGGCTGGAGTGCAGTGGCGTGATCTCAGATCACTGCAAACTTTGCCTCCCAGGTTCAAGCAACCTCAGTGCCTCAGCCTTGCCAGTAGCTGGGATTACAGGCACGTGCCACCACGCCCAGCTGATTTTTGTATTTTTAGTAGAGATGGGATTTCACCATATTGGCCAGGCTGGTCTCGAACTCCTGACCTCGGGTGATCTGCCCGCCTCAGCCTCCCAAAGTGCTGGGATTACAGGCTTGAGCCACCAAAGAACTCTTTTAGCAGTTCTGTTAGAGTAGGTCTGCAGGCTACAAATTCTCTTAGTTTTCCTTCATCTTAGTTTATTTCAAGGTTATTCCTGAAGGATGTTTTCACTGCATATGGAATTCTGGGCTTGCAATTCTTTTCTTTCAGCACTTGAAAAACGTTGTGCCACTTTGGTCTTCATGATCTCAGAGGATAAATTCACTGTCATTAGGATTGTGGGTCACCTACAGCTCGTGGCATTTCTCTTTGGCTGTTTTCAATTTTTTTTCCTTGTCTTTATTTTTCAGCAGTTTGATTTTGATGTGTCTGGGCATGGATGTCTTTGGATTTATTGCATTTGGGGTTTGCTCAGTTTTTTGAATCTGTAGGTTGGTGTTTCTTTCCCAAACTTGGGAAGTTTTCAGCCATTATTTCTTCAAAAGCTTTTTAGTGCTTTCTTTCTCATCTGCTTTGGGATTCTGATGGCATAAATATTAGACCTTTTGTTATGTCCCACAGGTGCTTGAAGTTTTATTAATTTTCCCCTCCTCTCTGTTGGTCAGTTTGGATAATTTCTATTAATCTGTCTTCATGTTCACTGACTCCTCTGTCATTTCCATTCTGCCATTGAATCTATCCAGTGAGTTTTAAAATTTGATTATTGTACTTTTCTATTTTAAATGTTTATTTGGTTCCTCTTACTTTCTCCAAGTTTTTTACTCATACTTTCTTTTTTAAAATTATTATTTTTTATTTGTTTGAGACAGAGTCTCGCTCGGTGGCCCAGGCTGGAGTACAATGGCACGATCTCGGCTCACTGCAACCTCCACCTCCCAGGTACAAGCGATTCTCCTGCCTCAGCCTCCTGAGTGCACCTGCCACCATGTCCGGCTAATTTTTGTATTTTTAATAGAGACAGGGTTTCACCATGTTAGCCAGGCTGGTCTCGAACTCCTGATCTCAAGTGATTCGCCTGCCTCAGCCTCTCAAAGTCTTGGGATTACAGGCGCGAGCCACTGTGCCCAGCCCCATACTTTCTATTTTAACTTTTGTTTCAAGAATGTTTATAATTTTTTGAGCATTTTCATAACTAATGTCTTTTTCAGATAATCCTAACAGTCATTTTATAGTTGGTGACTCTTGATTATCTTTTCCCATGCAAGTTGAGATTTTTGTGATGGTTCATATGCCTAGCAATTTTGTATCCTGAGCATTTTGAATATTATGAGGCTCTAATTCTTGTTTAAATCCTATGGAGAATGTTGGCATTTTAATTTTTTTTTTTTGAGAAGGAGTCTTGCTCTGTCACTCAGGCTAGAGTGCAGTGCTGTGATCTGGGCTCACTGAAACCTCTGCCTCCTGGGTTCAAGTGATTCTTGTGCCTCAACCTTCCGGGCAGTTGGGATTACAGGCATCCGCCACCATGCCCGGCTATTTTTTTTTTTTTTTTTTTTTTAAGTAGAGACCGGGTTCCACCATGTTTACCAGGCTGGTCTCAAACTCCTAACCTCAGGTGATCTGCCCTCCCTAAGTGCTGGGATTACAGGTGTGAGCTACCGCGCCTGGCCAACAGTTTAATTTAAGCAAGCACATGAACTAGTTAGGGACAGCCTGCAGGTTCCGATCTTCTTCTGGGGTTCATGTTCCAAAGTGAGTTCTGTGTTCATACCCTCTGTGGGGCTATTTGGATCTGTCTCGTGGCTGCATCCTCCCGTAGTTTGGTACCTGAACAAAAATCTGTTCATGAGCACAGTTCTCTGAGTGTTTGGTGTGCTCGTTAAGTCGATGATACGCAGGTCAGCGATGAGCCCAAGAGTTCAAAAACAACTCTGTGAGGTTGCTTGCCAGATGCTCTCACCTTCCGCTATCTTCTCAGTGTTTTTAGGTTCCCTCAGGTTTCAGTGCGCTGGTCTGAAACTTCCCACTTTCAGTTTGGCTTGGGGGAGCTGCCCACTTCCACAATTGTGCCACAGCAGTGGGAAACAGTTAAAAACAACAAAACACCAAGTTTGTGTCTGTCCTCTTGGAGCTGCAGTGCTACTGAATGGAAAGGACTATCTCTTTCCCTCAGACTTTTGGCTGCTGAAGCTTTTTGCTCTGGCCTTGGGCTTGACTGGGGGCTGGAGTGCAAAGAAAAGAAGAAAATAGAAAGAACAGGGAATTTTCTTCACTCCCTCTGAGGGTTAGGAGTTTCCTTTTCTGCTCCACGAGCCAGAATCAGAGGGTTTCTCCCGAGTCTCTGTGTGTGCCCCCGACACTCAGTTCCAGGCTTTGGACTACCTTCAGCTTGAAGATGGGTGACACAACCAGTTTGATGGTGCGTCAAATTCTGCTGTTCTTTTTATTTTTAATTTTTTGTTTGAATTTAATTCCTCTAATTTTTCATCAGTGTTAAAATTTCACCTTTTCCCAGCACCCCCAAAAAGCCTGTGGGCACAAAATGGTGGCCACGTGGCAAAGAACTCAGCAAGGAGAGCTGCTGGTTGGTTTCTATCTTTGTTTGTTTGAGACGGAGCTTTGCTCTTTTGCCCAGGCTAGAGTGAAGTTGTTGGGGAAACCAGCCCCACACCACCCGGCGGGTACCCCGAGTCCAGCGAAGACAAAGGAATTAGAATAAGAGTTTAAAAGGCGGGTCCGGGGGACCGGAGCGTTGGAGGCTTGCTCACGGCCCCGAGCTCTCGGCCTCCACCCAATTTATTGGTGTATATTCACACTGTTGTGCAACCATCACCCCCATCCATCTCCAGGACTTTACCATCTTCTCACACTGAAACTGTGCACCCGTTAGTATTTTTCATGGCTATGTGGATGTAATATAATTTCTTTCAGAAACCCCTATTGTTATACATTCAGGTTTCTTTTTTTCTCTATTATAAATATCTTTTATCAGCAATGCTTCAGCAAGATCTCTTGTGCATACATCTTGCAGACATATTATTTCTTTTTCTTTTTTTTTTTTTTTTTTTTTGAGACGGAGTCTCGCTCTGTCACCCAGGCTGGAGTACAGTGGCGCGATCTCGGCTCACTGCAAGCTCCGCCTCCCGGGTTCACGCCATTCTCACGCCCGCCACCATGCCCGGCTAATTTTTTGTATTTTTAGTAGAGACGGGGTTTCACCGTGTTATCCAGGATGGTCTCGGTCTCCTGACCTCGTGATCCGCCCACCTCGGCCTCCCAAAGTCCTGGGATTACAGGCATGAGCCACGGCGCCCGGCCACAGACGTTATTTCTGAAGGATAAATTCCTAGAAATGGATTTGCTAGGGCACGTAGGAGGAATTCCAATTTACACTCACTTGTATGTGTGAGGAAACTTTCAGACTCTACTGTAACGACAGGAGGTATTACCGCTGTTTGTCCATGTGATAGGCAAACGTTTCTGTTAATTTTAATACTGTTTGGATAGCTAGTACCGGCTCAGTTTTTTTAACCCACACCATGTTACTGTCTTGATTCTGGACTTTCGCAGTGTGTCAGTGTAGAAGCAGCTAACGCTTCCGATGTACACAACCTAGACGTTCCATGACCCAGCTGACTTCGATGCTGCAAGCCTCCCTTTCGGTTTCCCGGAGCAAGCGCCCGAGTGCGTGTTGGGCTCCCGGCAGGGCTCCTGGCCGGCCCTCGACGGACTTCCCCGCCTTTGCCCAGTCCTGCCCCTCCGCGGAGGCTTGCCAAGGTCTTGTCTGCTGCGCTTGATGTGTGCAGCTCAGCTTTACTGCGTCTAGGCTAAGCCCCACAGTTTCTTTTACAGAGCGATTGTCCAACTTCAGGCATCTGGGTCCCCGAGTGGCGGGTCTGGGCCGGAGCTGGGAATCAGCCTTTCCAGCAAGGTCCCTGCAGATGCCGCGGGTCTGAGGACTACGCTTTGGAAGGCCTCGCAGTGCGTCTAGATCTGACAGCTGCTCTGCATGAGCCTGGCTCCAGGCTGAAGCAATAGTCGGTCAACACAAAATCGTTCTCCCAAGTTAGGGAAGCAGAAGCCAGACAGGGAGACTGGGTAGGTGCGCGCTGGTACCGCCGCGGCGTTCGCTCCGGCTTCAGTGCACGGCCGGAGGAGGACGCCAGGGGGCAGCAGCGCCACGCTCACCCGCCCAGGACGCGCTTCCGAACGCGCAAGCGCAGTAGGCCCAGTGCGTGCTGGCCCGGGGTGGCAGGAGCCGCAGAGGCTTGGGCTGCAGGTAGGTGCTGCGGCGAGGGGTGAGAGGGCGAAGGGGCGAGGGGGCGTGCAGCTGGGTTTCCCGGGGGACCCTGTACGTGGCCTGGGCCGCACCCCCCGCAGCCCCGGCCGCCTGCCCGCGGCCTGTCCGGAGGCTCCCTAGGAGGCTGCGCTGGGCCTGAGCGGCCGTGTCCACCGCGCCCAGCCCCTATCTCCGCGTCCACCCCTGCGCGGTAGCGGGACGTTAAAGAACCAGAGAAGGGCCCGGCGAGGTGGCTCCAGCCTGTAATCCCAGCGCTTTGGGAGGCCGAGGCGGGAGGATCGCGTGAGCTCAGGCGAGAGCAGCCTGGGCAACATGGCGGAACTTCTGTCTCCGTAAAAAAGCACTTAGCCGGGCGCGGTGGCGCCGCCTATAGTCTTATCTACTCCGGAGGCTGAGGCGGGAGAATGCTTGAACCCGGCGGGGGCGGAGGTTTCAGTGAGCCGAAATCGCGCCACTGCACTTCAGCCTGGGGGCCAGAGTGAGAGGCTGTTTCTATTATTATTACTTTATCATTATTATTATTATTTGAGACGGAGTCTCGCTCTGTCGCCCAGGCTGGAGTGTAGTGGCGCGGTCTTGGCTCCTGGGATTACAGGCGTCCGCCACCACGCCCGGCTAATTTTTGTATTTTTAGTAGAAACGGGGTTTCCCCATGTTGGTCAGGCTGGTCTCGAACGCCTGACCTCAGGTGATCCGCCCGCCTCTGCCTCCCAAAGTGCTGGGATTACAGGCGTGAGCTACTGGGTCCGGCAGAGGCTGTCTCTGTTTAAAAAAACAAAAACCAAACCAAACCAAAACAAAACAAAAAACAAAAAAACCAGAAAGGACCGAGGACTCTGTCTCAGCTCTTTGCCTTTGGGTGTTTATTCTGCACGAGATCATTGTTGCCAGGAGGTGTTAAGTGTAATCATATTCTCTTTTTTTTAGAAAGCAAAATTTCGCTGTTTTGTTGCATAATCTTGTCTTTGCCACCCTTTGCCTTTGCTATAGAACCTTAAGGCTAAATAAGCGTTCAGAATATTTAAAATAATCCTCTTAATGTACCTTGTGCTTTATTGGCGCAATGGAATTCTACTCTAAACTGTATTGGATGACATTACTCTGTGTCTTCCCTAGTTGTAGAAAATATCTTGTAAGTCGGTAAAAACTAGTTTTGTCCCTTTGCTTTTCTTTTCTTTTTAAGCTGTAAATGTGGAGCAGTGGGTCCCAAGCCTTTCTCTATCAATAAGCCTTCCTATCAGTGTCAGAAATGCTTTGCATTTCAGTCGTGCCTGAATTTCTTCTGCCCAACCTGCCCCACCATCTTTATTCCTTAATGTGCAGGCTGTTTTCAGGACCAGTAAATTTCAGTGGTTTTTGCTTACTTCTGGACACGAAAGTTCCTTTAGCCACACAGCCTCATGCTATGCTCTGGGCGGCCTACTCCAGAATATGCCTGTGAAACAAAAAAGCAAATCGGGGTTGAGGTGGGCTGAAGTCTTCTTTAAGAAACCGGCAGTCCCAGGGTACCCCAGCCCAGCCCCTAGCTGACCACGCTGGGTTTGATTTAGTTCAACTCCCGAGCATTGCGGTATTTAGGGGAAGAATGGGCTTGAGGCCAGAAAACTTGGCTCTTCTGTGTATAGTTCAGTGACCTTAGATATATTACTTCACCTCTGACTCAGTTGTCTTATCTGTGAAATGGGAATAACAACAATTACATCCACTTCACAGAATTGGTGTGAAGTTGACAGTGTATAAAAGTCAAATGAATTTTGGGGTATTTTTTTTATTTGTTTTGTTTTGGTTTGGTTTGGTTTGTTTTTGCCGAGAGAGGATTCAGAAGTGAATGTGAGGACTTAGGGATATATAAAAGGTTTTTGGGGCATATGAAATTTGGATTCAGCAAGAAATGCATTAAAGGTTTTCTGAGTAATGCTGAGGGTCCAAGAGAGATTAGAAAATATGCATTTCTAGAGTCCCACAGAGTTTTGTAGCTGATGTTGGCAGCCTTTGAGTGGAAATGAAGAAGTGGACAGGGCAAGTTACATGGGTCTGGTGAATGACAAGCAGATCTGGGTTTATGATGAAGCCTCTAGCCTCTTCACTTGCACAAATACCTTCCAAAACCTTGCACAAATCCTCTTGCCAAAACTCTGGCAAGAGGCTCAGCACTTTTACATTCATAACTATTCTTCTCTTAAGGAATTACCACTCCTTGCCCCAACTTGTATAAGCTTCAGGCCCCATAAAACCTGAATCCACTAGTGGCAAGGAAGGATTGGTGGGAGGTTAGGGGTAAGGAGGGTTGGAGGGTTGAAAGGATTTATCGCAGGGTTTGAGCTGGGAAACTTGGATTGGAGAAGGAGGTGGCAGATGAGGGTCCTCAGAAGACAGGAGCCGTGAGGAGAGGAAGAGCGGATTCCGTGGAGCGAACACAGGAGAGGGAAAGCAGCCTGTGCGGCTGAGGCCATGAAGAGGGAGAGGTGCAGAGTGACCAGGCAGTTGGTGCGTCTTTGCCGAGTACCCGCTGTGTGCCAGGCACTGGGGTGCAGTGGTGAACAGGACAGGCAGGCAGGCTTCTTGGTGCTCAGAATCTAGAGGAAGCCGGGGCCTGGGTATCCCAGAAAGGGAGCCTTTGAGGAAAGCTCAGGGGCCAGAGAGTGTGGTGCAGGGAGGGTTTAGGGAAGCAGATAGGGGCTAGATTTCAGGAGGCCACATAAGAGTTTGGACTTGATCCTGTGGGCCGAGTGGGGGGCTGTTGAATGTTAAGCAAGGTGGGATCAGATCCGTGCTTTAGAAAGCTCTCCCTGCATGGGCCGGACATGGTGGCTCATGCCTGTAATCCCAGCACTTTGGGAAGCCAAGGTGGGCGGATCACGAGGTCAGGAGATTGAGACCATCTGGCCAACATAGTGAAACTCCGTCTCTATTAAAATACTAAAATTAGCTGGGCATGGTGGCACGTGCCTGTAATCCCAGCTCTGTAATCCCAGCTACTCAGGAGGCTGAGGCAGGAGAATCCCTTTAACAAGGGAGTCAGAGGTTGCAGTGAGCTGAGATTGTGCTATAGCACTCCAGCCTGGTGACAGAGTGAGACTCCTTCTCAAAAAAAGAAAAAAGAAAAAAAAGAAAGCTCTCCCTGCATGTATCAGAGAAACTTCCATGTATGCCTGGGGAGATGTATACACAGCTTGTCTCACTAATTGTGGAAAAGTCAAACCAGTTGAAAATAGTGAACTGAGTTTTGTGCATCTGCATGGATAAATCTCAGAAATGTAATGTTGAGCTTTTAAAAAAAACTGGTTGCAGGAGGATAATACCAGCCCATCACTGTTTGTATAAAGCTTGAAAACATATGTATGATTTATGGGCACATACTTGTGAAAATAAGCATGTATGAGAAGCGGAGTTTGGTAACCCATCCCTGTAGTCAGTCCCAGCTGCTTGGGAGGTGGAGGCAGGAGGATCACTTGAGTCTAGCCTGGGCAACATAGTGAGACTCCATGTCTTAAGTAGATAGATAAGTAGGTAGGTAAATAGATAAGATCGATTAGATAGATAGACAGCATGTATAGGAATTATATACACCAGTGGTTTTCAGACTTTAGCATGCATCCAAATCACCTAGAGGATTTATTAAAACACAGATGTTCATTTCTGATTCAGTAGGTTTGGAGTGTGGACCCAAGAATTTGCATTTCTCCCAGGTTCCTGGGCTATGACGCCACAGGTCTGGGGAGCACAGTTTGAGAATCTCTGATGTCCACCAACTTGAAGATAGTGATCACTTCTTGAGGGGGAGTAGAATTGGATGGGGAGGAGTCCAGAGGGTCTTCAACTCTATTTGTAATATTTAATTTCTTTAAAAAAAGATCTGAAAAAATGATGCAGTGTGACTTGACAAAGCTGGATGAATGCTTATGATTTTTTTTTTCTCTGTGTGTGAAACACTTAAAGAAAAAGGATCCTGTTTGCTGTGTAATCCTGAGAATGGACTGCAAGAGAGGAAAAACTGGGCGTCTGCTTGGGAATCTATTGTGGAAACCCAGGTGAGAGGTGCTGCTGGCTCACGCAGCGGGGTGGAGGGGAAGGGCAGCAAGGAAGGAGATATGCAAGCAGTTGTGAGGGAGGTTTTGGTGGGAGCATTGACTGCATGTGGTAATCGGTTGGTTTAGAGTTTAGGGGAGGGAGGAATCAAGTCACACACACCTGGTCTGTAACTTGAGTGGGTGGTTGGGTCATGAGCCCATGACAGAGGGAACCCTGGAGGAGGGGCCTGTGGGGACTGGGGAGTTCTGCAGTGGACATCCCATACCTTGATAGGCCAGTGAGCAAAGCATAGGAGAGACCTGGGCTGCAGTGCAGACTTAGAAAGCAGCAGAGTTCAGATGGCTGCTAGTGTCCCAGGTGTGGGTGAGGTTACCTGGGTCTTTGGCAGACCTGGAGGAATGCCATCACCTAAGGCAGGGCTTGGCCAACCACAGCTTCTGCTTGTTTTTGCGTAGCCTGAGAGCTGGGAATGCTTTTATCTTTTTAAATGTTAGGGGGAGACTTCAAGGAAGATATAATTCACAAACCATAACATTTGACATTTTAAAGTGTACAATTCAGTGATATTTAGCATATTTACAAGGTTGTACAATCATCATCACTGTCTAATTCAGGAACATTTTAGCCAAAAAGAGACCCCATCCCTGTCAGCAGCTATTCCACCCCCTGCCTCCCCAGCCTCTGGGAGCCACAAATCTATGTTCTGTGTCTGAATTTGCTGTTTCTGGACATTTCATGTAAATGGAATCTTACAGCATGTGGCCTTTTTGTCAGGCTTATTTCACTGAGCATGATGTTTCCAGGGTTCACCCATGTTGCAGCATGAATTAGTGCTTTATTTTTTATGGCTGAATAATATTCCATTTATGGATGTACCACATTTTGTCTATCCATTCATCTGCCAATGGACACTTGGCTTGTTTCCACTGTTTGGCAGTTGTGGATAATGCTTCCGTGAACATTCATGTATGAGTGTGTGTGTGAGTGTGTGTGTTTTCATAGGTACATACTGGGCAGTGGAGTTGCTGGGTCGTGTGGTGACTGTGCTTAACCTTTTGAGGAGCGGCCAGACTGCTTTCCACAGTGGCTGCATTTTACTTTCTCACCAGTGATGTTTGAGGATTTCAGTTTTTCCACATTCCCCTATGTTGTTACTGATTTTTGTATTATAGCCATCCTCATGGGTGTAAAATGCCATCTTGTCACACTTCTGATCTGCGTTTGCCTTGATGACTGGTGAAGCTGAGCATCTTTCATGTATGTGCCTGTTGGCCATCTGTGTATCTACTTTGGAGAAATGTCTGTTCAAGTCCTTTGCCCATTTTAAAAATTTTATTTGTTTATTTTTTTGAGACAGGGTCTCACTGTCACTCAGGCTGGAGTGTTGTGGCACGATCACAGCTCACTGCAGCCTTGGTCTCCTGGACTCAAATGATCCTCCCACCTCAGCCTCCTGAGTAGCTGGGCCTATAGGCACAGGCCAACATGCCTGGCTAATTTTTAAATTTAGTTTTTGTAGACAGGAGGTCTTACTATGTTACCCTGGCTGGTCTGGAACTCCTAGGCTCAAGCGATCCTCCCACCTTGGCCTCCCAAAGTGCCGGGATTACAAGTGTGAGCCACCAATGCCTGACCCTTTGCACATTTTTAAATTGAGTTGTTTTTTTTGAATCTTTTGAGTTGTTCACCAGACATCCACATGGAGATGTCAAGGAAGCAAGCCTTGGGTTCTGAGGAGAGGCTGGGAATGGAGTTTTACCTTTGGAAGTTGTCAGCAGGCAGCGATGAAAAGTCCTGAGTCTGGGTGAGCTCTCCCAGGGAGTGTGGCAGAGGCCTGAGCTCTGAACTCTGGGGGACCCCACTACGTGGACTCAGAGATGAGGAGCTGCCAGAATGTAGTTTCCTGGAAACCAATTATATAAGGCGTTTAAGGAGGGAGTTATCAATCACGGTAGATGCTATTGATAGATCAAGGAAGACTGGGGCTGTGCTTTGACTGTTGTGTTTAGTGATGTGGAGGCCACCTGTGCTGACTGTGATAAGGTCAGTTTGGGTGCAGTGGCAGTGAGTTGGAGAGAATGAGAGGACAGAGCTGGGCGTGGGGTTTGCCTGAGCTGGGCTCGGGGCCAGTTTCATGGTAACACACTGTTTGTAGTAATAGGAGAGTGCAGGAACCTGGGGTGGGGCTTGGGAACTGGTGGAAATGCTCTCTGATTGCTTCTGTTTTTCTAGTAAAATAGGATGATCTCGTTAGATGATCAGCTGAGAGTGAAGGTGGGGGAACAGGTGGTACATGTTTGGAGAAGGAGAGTGTGAGCTTCCAGCTAGCCTAAGGCCACTCGGGACACACCTATCACTTTTATTGACTCACTGCAATAAGCGAGGCTGCATACTGGCGGGACTTGCATATCTTCATCAGAGGGACAGAGAGTCATCTGAGAGGGCACAGGGCAGGAGTCCTTCGGGGCCTCTCTGACCTGGCCCGGGGCAGGGAGCTGGGGATGGAAGTGCCATGAGTGCAAATAGGGAGCAGGGGGTCAGAGGAACAGAGGATATGGGAATGGGTGGTGGAGCCGGGAGAGACTGGAGCTTTGCCAATGGGGGCCTGGGCTGAGCAGGGCTCAGAGCATGTGGTGATGAGCCTTATGGCAGGTGAGGCTCAAGGCCCAGTGTGTGCTTAGGGAAGTGGGCAGCAGAGCGGGTGAGGGACCCGTGGGTGTATCACAGGGGTAGGGTGTTGAGGAAGTTCCAAAGCAAGCTAATAGGGGTTATGGCTGGAGAGAGGCCCAGTGTGTGTGCTAATGGGGGATAGTGTGGTAGAGGCACCAGGGTGTGTGCTAATAGGCCTCTGAGGCCTCGTGTGTGGTGATGGGGGTGTGTATGGTGTTAGTGCTGTGTGTGTGTCTGTGGGGGCCTGCAGGGTAGGAGAGAATGGGGTGCTTATGGAGGGGAGGTGGTTGAAGGACTCAAGTGCTGGGTGTGCGCTTGTGGGGGTTGTGCCGTGGTGGGTGTGTGCATGCGCTAATAAAGGTCTGGGTAGTTGGAGCCCAGTGCATGCTAATGGAACAGAGCTGGAGGGACCTCATGGAGGGATCTGATGGAGGGAGGACGGTGGGAGACCTGAGCCTGTGCTAGCGGGGATGAGGATTGTGGATCTCTGTGAGGTAGGGGGTGGTGGTGGTGCGGGAAGGGTCTTGGTACCGTCAGAGGCCCGGTGCGCTAAGGGTCAAGTTGGTGTGAGGTGCACGTGTGTCCCTGAGCACGAGGACACTCTAGGAAGGGGCAGCCGGATGGTTTAAGGCGTTCTAGAGGCTGCTACTGTGGGTTTAGAGCCATAGAGGCACTGAAGTGTGTGCCATTGCTGGGAGAGTCAGCAGTGTGAGGTCTGGAGTACGCTCAAGAGCGCCAGAACAGTATGAGCTTGTGTGCTTGCATCTGTGGGGTACTGGAATGTGTTGAGGTTCCAGGGAATACTGATGCAGGGGATGAGTAGAGCCGTGGAGGGGATAAAAATAAATTTAAAAGGCCAGGTGCAGTGGCTCATGCCTGTAATCCCAGCAATTTGGGAGGCTGACGCAGGAGGATTGCTTGAGGCCAGGAGTTCAAGGCCAGCCTGAGCAACATCGTGAGACCCAGTCTCTACAAAAAAAAATACAAAAATTAGCTGGATGTGGTGATGCGCACCTGTAGTCCCAGCTACTAAGGAGGCAGAGGTGACAGGATTGCTTGAGTTTGAGGCTGCATTGAGCTATGATTGCACCACTGCACTCCAGCCCGAGTGACAGAGTCAGACCCTATGTCAAAAAAAAAAAAAAAAAAAAGGAAGAAAATCATAGAATTTTGGAGATGAGTAAAGTTTAGGCAAATTTAAATGAAGTAGTGTTTTGATGGGCTCAAAGCCATGTAGAACTGAGTGTAAAGGGGCCAAGATCTAGTCTGGACTGCAAAGTGGTCCTCTTTCCTTGGAGACTACCAGGTTAACATAGATGTGCAGGATTATCTCCAGAAACTCCTTATCTGAAGGTCTGCCCTGTTTGGGAACTGAGGTTGCTTCTGTGTGTCAGAGTGACTTTGATCCTCCAGGAAAGCATGGGATGTTTTATCCCAACTGATAAGACTTCAAACTGCAAAATTTCTGGTAGTCTGTGATTGTAGAGAACAGAATTTCTAGGTAGTAAAAAAGGAGTCTTCATCCAAAGGGGGTTTTTGACACTTTATGGCTGCAGTGTGTTCTAAGGAGAAATGCCGTTTCCTGTTAACTTTGTGGTTTCATTGACGTCTTGTCCCAGCTCTGTATATGGGAGT
The DNA here is from genome assembly GCF_000001405.40 of Homo sapiens. Lineage (NCBI taxonomy): Eukaryota > Metazoa > Chordata > Mammalia > Primates > Hominidae > Homo > Homo sapiens. Next base: position 43,101,922 of record NC_000008.11, read on the forward strand.
GGATTTTGTTTTCTCAAGGAGGAGGTAGGAACAAGCTTCCTGTCCTGGATTTTTCATGGCTGGCTCCTCTCAGGCCTCTAGTCACAGTGTGAAGGTCACCTCCTTAGAGAGGTCTCCTGGGATGCTTCCTCCAGGGAGTTCCTACACAGTTACTCTCTATCTTTGAACCCCCATCACAGGATGATGATAGACCTATTTGTTTACTTGTTTATTGTCTGTCTTCCCCACTAGACTTTTCCCCTAAGCTCCAGCAGGATAGGAACCATGCTGGTGTAATTCACTGTGTGTGAATGTCTCCAGCACCCACTGCAGGGCTGGGCACATAGAAGCTGCTCAGGACATGTTGCGGGAATGAGCAGCTGGAAGTCAGTGATGGAGAAGAAGAGAGCAGACTGGGACAGAGAGACTCTGATGGGCTTCCCCACGGCCCTGCTCTGTCCTGGGGCTTGAGAACCTGAGGAAACCTGGACTTGAGGCAGGAGGAGGGCCCTGGGAAAGTTGGACCGTTTGGACTATGGCGATTTGTCTGGGTACATAGCTGCAGTTTCTGTTTACACACTTCCTGTTTGGTACTTTGTGGCAGGGTGTTTCCCGACCAGTCCCTGGGCGCCAACTAGAGTATGGACTGACCAGGTACCTGGATGGAGACCTGAGCTGGAGAAGGAGATGCGCTTGGGAGGTAACCCTGCATGTCACAGCTGTCTCTGACCCAGTTCTGTCCCAGTGCCCCAGCATTCCAGTGCTGTTTAGCTGGCTCCCACTGGCATGGCCACATCCACTGTTAAAGTCTCCATATACTTCCATTCTGCTCCATTCTGCTTCTGTAAATCACCTCTGCCATCCACGGTCCTACTTCAGGCTTCTCCGCAGCCAGGCCCCTCCACCATGGCCTTGCACGGCTCCAGCGGTAGAGCCCACACATTATCAGTGGTTACTTATCGCTGGTGTGACATCTGAGTGGTCATCTCTCCAATCTCATCGCTGTTATTCTAGCTCATGTACTTGTCAGCTCCTGTCCGTGGTCATAACCAGGGCTTCTTAATAACTGGTCTCCCAGCCTCAGTCTCTTTCACCCCAAATCTACCTTTCATAACTGCTGAAGAGTAGCTTTTATTTCTTAAAACTGTTGAGGGGATTCTGAGTACCTCCCAGGGAACAGGACAGCTGCTTAGCTGAGTTCGACAGAGGCCCTCAGCTTCCCAGCCTCCACCTGCTACCCTAAGCAGCCTCCTTCTGCTGTCCTTTGTCCACCCTCTGTCCCTGTCCCACCAGTTGACTAATACATTTTGCTTTCATTTTACTGAATATTCATGAGCATCTATTTAATGCATGCTACTGTGAGTCGGACAGAGTCAGACACAAACACCTCCCACCTAACCTAATCTAGAGGAACCCGCATTTTAGTTTGTAATAAAAAGTAATGATTATGGAAACAGCTAACATTGGGCATTTGGGATAAGCCTGGTGTTCGATACCTGCTTTAATCCCCACGGTAACGCTGCAGCTTACAGGACCCTTGAGTAGAAGAGGCATCAGAACACATTTTTGGAAATGAAAGGAAGTGAAAGCTGACTGTCATGACTTCTTGTTTCATTGTGTATTTTAGGAAATTGCAGAGGCCGTCAACATGGAAAAGCAGCCCCAGAACAGCAGGAGAGGCCTCGCCCCCCGAGAGGTGCCGCCAGCTGTTGGGCTGCTGCTGATCATGGCCCTGATGAATACTCTGCTCTACCTCTGCCTCGACCACTTCTTCATCGCTCCTCGACAATCCACTGTGGACCCCACACACTGTCCCTATGGTCACTTCAGGATAGGACAGATGAAAAACTGCTCACCTTGGCTGTCCTGCGAGGAGCTGAGAACAGAAGTGAGACAGCTGAAGCGTGTTGGGGAAGGAGCTGTAAAGAGAGTGAGTCCGGGTTCATTTGCGATTGCTGTCATCCTGTTATTTCGCTTAACACAGTGTCCTCCAGCTCCATCCATGCTGGCACGGATTACGGAATTTCATCCTTTGTTACTGCCAAAGTGTACTCCATTGCATATGTGCACCACATTTGCTTTGGTTGATTCTGTATCTTGGCAATTGTGAATAGTGCTGCAGTAGGCATAGGTTTCAGCCCTTAGGGAAGCAGTGTGGCATCCAGTGTTAGGAGCCCTGCTAGCTCTACGTTTTTATTGTTGAGCTCAATAATCTTACATCTGGCACTTTATCTTTTTTTTTTTGAGAGTCTCGCTCTGTCACCCAGGCTGGAGTGCAATGGCGCCATCTCGGTGCACTGCAATCTCCACCTCCTGGGTTCAAGTGATTCTCGTGACTCAGCCTCCCGAGTAGCTGGGACTATGGGCATATGCCACCACGCCTGGCTAATTTTTTAATTTTAGTAGAGATGGGGTTTCACCATGTTGGCCAGGCTGGTCTTGAACTCCTGACCTTAAGTGATCTACCTGCCTCGGCCTCCCAATCGGACTTTATCTTAATAAGTAATCCAAGGCAGGAAAAAAGTCAAATGCATAAAAGAGTGCCATAGTGATAGAAAACTAGAAACAAAACTTTTAGAATAGTTCATTAAATGATGGTCCATCCACTTGACGGAATATTCTGCAACTGTTGTGTAGTTAGGAACCCCAAGAGGCAACATGAATAAAACCTTATGATGATAAGTGAAGAAAACAAGATATAAAATTGTATAATTGACTTTTCAACTGTGAAATTACGTGTATATGTAGATAAATACAAAAATGGTCAGGCGCAGTGTCTTATACATGTAATCCCAGCACTTTGGGAGGCGGAGGTGGGCGGATTACTTAAGCACAGGAGTTCCAGACCAACCTGGGCAACATGGCAAAACCCAGTTTCTACAAAAATACAAAAATTAGCCTGGCATAATGGTGCGCACTACTTGGGAAGCTCAGGTGGGAGAATCTCTTGAGCCTGGGGAGTTTGAGGCTACAGTAAGCCATGATCTTGCCACTGCATTCCAGACTGGGTGACAGAGCAAGATGCTGTCTCCAAAGGAAAAAAAAAATATGAAAATGATAGAAATTGTGCTAGGGTGAAAGGGGGATTATGGGCAATTTCTTTTCCTGTTTTTCAAACTCTGTGATGGTATTATACTGATTTTTAACAATTTATTTTTAATTGGCATGTAATAATTATCCATATTTATGGGGTACACAGTGATGTTTCCATACCTACTTACAGTGTGTAGTTAGCGGATCAGGGCATATCTGCCATCTCAAACATGTATCACTTCTTTTGGTTGGGAACATTCAATATCTTCTCTTCTGGCTATTTGAGAGTGTATAATATATTGTTAATTATAGTCATCCTATGGTGCTATGAAACACTGGAACTTGCTTCTCTTATCTAGCTGTAATTTTGTATCCTTTAACAAATCTCTGCCTATCCTCGCCTTTGCTCTACCCTTCCCAGCCTCTAGAAAACTGTTAGGCTTTTTACTTCTTTGAGTAAGCTTTTTTAAACTTCTGCATATGAATGAGAACTTGTAGTGTTTAACTTTCTGTTCCTAGTTTATTTCACGTAACATAATGTCCTCCAGTTCCTTTCATGTTGCCATAAATGACAGATTTCCTTCTTTTTTATAGCTGAATAGTATTCTATTTTGTGTATATATACCACATTTTCTTTATCCATTCATCTGCTGAAGGACACTTAGGTTGATTCCATATCTTGGCTATTGTGAATAGTGCTGCAATAAACATCGGGATGCACATATCTCTTTTTTTGTTGTTGTTTTTTGAGACGGAGTTTCCCTCTTGTTGCCCAGGCTGGAGTGCAATGATGCAGTCTCGACTCACTACCACCTCCACTTCTGGGTTCAAGCAATTCTCCTGCCTCAGCCTCCTGAGTAGCTGGAGTTACAGGCATGTGCCACCATGCCCGGCTAATTTTATATTTTTAGTAGAGATGGGGTTTCTCCATGTTGGCCAGGCTGGTCTTGAACTCCTGACCTTGTGATCCACCCACCTTGGCCTCCCAAAGTGCTGGGATTACAGGCGTGAGCCACTTAGCCTGGCTGTGCATATCTCTTTGATATATTGATTTCCTTTCCTTTGGATATATACCCAGTAGTGGAATTGCTGGATCATATGTTAGTTCTGTTTGTAATTTTCTGCGGAACCTCCATACTGTTTTCCATAATGGCTGTACTAATTTACATTCTCACTAACAGAGTATAAGCGTTCCCATTTCTCTGCATCTTCACCAGCATTTGTTATTTTTTGTCTTTTTGATAATGGCCATCCTAACTGGGGTGAGATGGTATCTCATTGTGATTTTGGTTTGCATTTTCCTGATGATTAGTAACATTGAGCATTTTTTCACAAATTTATTGGCCATTTGTATGTCTTCTTTCGAGAATGTCAGTTTAGATCATTTGCCCATTTTTTGATCATATTGTTATTTTTTTCTGTTGAGATGTTTGAGTTCCTTGGATATTGATCCCTTGTTAGATGAATAGCTTGCAAATATTTTCTCCCATTATGTAGTTTGTCTCTTAACTCTATTTGTTTCCTTTGCTGGGAAGAAGGTTTTTGGTTTGTTATAATCCCATTGGTTTACTTTTGCTTTTTTTTTTTTTTTTTTTTGACTGAGTCTTGCTCTATCGCCCAGGCTGGAGTGCTGTGACATGATCTTGGCTCACCGCAACCTCCACCTCCCAGGTTCAAGAGATTCTCGTGCCTCAGCCTCCTGAGTAGCTGGGATTACAGGCGCCCACCACCATGCCTGTATTTTTAGTAAAAATGGGGTTTCTCCATGTTGGCCAGGCTGGTCTTGAACTCTTGACCTCAGGTGATCCGCCCTCCTCGACCTCCCAAAATGCTGGGATTACAGGCATGAGCCACTGGGCCCAGCCCTCAGTTATAATTTTGCAAAGGCGGTTTCAATCCCTCCCTTTGGGGTTTTGTAGCATCTTATTCTTAAGGTGTGGGCTATGAAGATGGAAAAAGGCCATTGATCACTCTAGCTTCTTCATGCTGACAGGGGGCATAGTTGGGGTCGGAGTTGACCCTAAGGTGAGAGGAGTAGAACTGCTTTGCAGCTGTCTGAGTATATTCATGCAGGCCGGGCTGTGGTTCCAAGGCTTTCGTGACAAAGGCAGTAGTATCTTTATAGTTTTAGTACAGCATTTAAACAGACAGTCTACTATAAGGTAAATAATGAGTTTTAGGATAAGGAGTGCAATTTCCAGTTTTAAAAGTAAAGGTTTGAAAGCATTAGTCTGGGGACTTATAGTCCACAAAAATATTAGGATTTAGTCTAAATTGAAGAAAAAAAAAACTAACAACATGTGTACCATAGTTTTTGGAACATAATTTTTCTCTCTTTAGTCCTTATTTTTATTAAAACAAATCACGATAGGACTGATTTGTTGGCAAAATAAACTTTAATTTTATTATGCTTGGCCTGATTATTTGCATAAAGCGCATCAGTAATACTTTTTTTTTCCGAGATGGAGCCTTGCTCTGTCGCCCAGGCTGGAGTGCAGTGGCGTGATCTCAGCTCACTGCAACCTCCGCCTCCCGGGTTCAAGCAGTTTTCCTGCCTCAGCCTCCTGAGTAGCTGGGATTACAGGTGAGTGCCACCACACCTGGCTAATTTTTGTATTTTTAGTAGAGACAGGGTTTCACCACGTTGGTCAGGCTGGTCTCGAACTCCTGACCTCGTGATCTGCCTGCCTTGGTCTCCCAAAGTGCTGGGATTACAGGCATGAATCAGTAATCACCTGGCAAGAATACTTTTTTTTTTTTTGGTAGAGATGGAGTCTTGCTCCGTCACCCAGGCTGGATTGCAGTGGTGTGATTGTGGCTTACTGCAACCTCCGCCTCCCGGGTTCAAGCAATTCTTCTGCCTCAGCCTCTCGAGTAGCTGGGACTATAGGTGCACGTCGCCATGCCTGGCTGATTTCTTTTGTATTTTAGTAAAGACGGGGTTTCACTGTGTTGCCCAGGCTGGTCTTGAACTCCTGAGCTCAGGCAATCCGCCTGCCTTGGCCTCTCAAAGTACTAGGATTACAGGCATGAGCCTCTGCGCCTGGCTAGAATAATTATTTTTTACATAGGCTTTTTAAATTGCCTTTGATGGAACTCTGTTCCATAAGGAATCTCAGATAAGACTTTCTAAAGCTGAGTCCAGCCATAGGTTTGTACCTTCAAATACTTATGAGTTGGGTAAGTTCCTCTCCTCTTGATGCCCCTAGATAACTTGGGGCTCCTGGGCCTGTCAGAAAGTGACATTCTATACTTACCATGGGTCAGGAACCCTGTACAGGGACTGTGTAGACAAAGTATGAGCTCAGTTTTCCCAAGGGCTTTTACTGGCTTTACAAGTACAAGTCAAGGTTGATTCCATAAAGGAAAGCATGCCATTCTAGTCAAACCCTTGGTAAAATAACCAGTGTTTTCAATAGTGTCCTGTTACAAAAGAAAACAGATTCTTATTGTATTTATGAAAATAACTGTATTGCCATAAATTAAGAATACTCACAAATAGTTTTTAAATTCTGGAGAAATCAAGTAGAAACAAATATGCGCCAAATTTTATTCACAGGAGTGTACTTTACTCAGTTGCTACAAGCTGTAAATAGCTTAAAAGAAATTTCCCTGACTCTGAAAAAGCAAAGAATCAGCAGCATTTTAAACAAAAAGGTTACTTCAGACTTTTATTAGTTTAGTCCATGCATTTAACTTCTGTTTGATATTTATGAACATTTCAGCTTTCCATGAGAGTTCTAAAAGTTTTTTTCCTTTATTCTATGTCATAATCTCCAGAGTTATCAGAAACTTGCATTCAAGAGCACATATCAAAGTTTTATAGCTGATTATAAAACCATCTTCTAAAGAGGACCAAATTAAAACAGCAGTTATCTTTGGATGAGAAAAGCATTTTAGGGAAGCCACAAAGACACAATTAACAAGGAAATTTGTGAATCTGTGGCACACAATAATTCAACACAACAGTTATTACTGATGACATATACTGAGTCATATCAGAATTGTAGGAATTTTATACAGTTTTGCAGCACGTAACTTTATATCACAAATTTATATGAATATAACCCAAAGAAAGTTAAGCACCATTTTCTATTTGACAGTGTTTCCTGCATGATTTTAATACATTAAATAAGCTGAATATGTCTTTTGTACTTTAGGGGACTTAATTTTTAAAAATTTTTTATTTTAACTTAGAGCTTGATTTTGAAAGGTTTGTTAAATACCAAACGTTTAAAACATTGGATATTACAAAATGGAGTCTTAGGTTTCCGTAAGTCATTCATTTAGCCAAAGTAACTCAAAAATTTTCAAAAGGAAAAACCATTATTCTGGTAGGAGACTCAGCTTTCCAAACAAGACCCAATGAAGGTAGCATGAGGCTGATTGCCTCCTCTCTCTCCCCTCCCCCTTTTTTCTTTTGTAGTTTACTTAAAAGGTAAATAAAAACCTTTCATTATCTTTTAATATTCCATAAAAATCCTTTTTAAAAGAGAAAACTGAATTTTATGTTTCCATTAGTGTATTTTTAACGTTAAAGCCAGTTTTAATTACATCTTATAAATCTGTCTAGTTCTAATTAGTTTGACCATAAGGTAAGATTTTTTTTTTATTTTTTATTTTTTTCAAGACGCAGTCTCTCTCTGTTGCCCAGGCTGGAGTGCAATGGCATGGTCTCGGCTCACTGCAGCCTCCATCTCCTGGGTTCAAGTGATTCTCCTGCCTCAGCCTCCCGAGTAGCTGGGACTATAGGCATGTGCCACCACACCTGGCTAATTTTTGTATTTTTAGTAGAGACAGGGTTTCACTATGTTGGCCAGGCTGGTCTCGAACTCTTGACCCCTTGATCTACCTGCCTCAGCCTCCCAAAGTGTTGGTATAACAGGCGTGAGCCACCACACCTGGCTTGCCATAAGGTAAGATTTTTATGAATCTTTTATAACCCTTTACAATTTTGTTTTTTTCTTAGAACAAAACTGTTTTAAGAAAACTCTGTTGTGCTTTTATTCCAATTTCCAATTTATGGAAAAACTGCATAACGTGACTTAAACTTTAGCCAATATGTTCACACACAGAATCTCTTACAATTAAGTTTTTATAACCCTTTCACAACTTGTTCAAACCTTTAGACTTTTCCTATCTCATTTAAAACAGTCCGTTAACACTCTAAACTTAGGCAAGAAATCCACATTCCCATGCCTTCTCATAATCTTTTACCAAAAGTACATTTTACTTCCCTTACATGCCTCGTGTATAGAACTGTTTCTTCAGTAGTCTCAAGTGCATATTACACTGTTAACTCAATGACTTTTACTTTTGGTGGAAAGCCTGGTGAGTAAGCAATTTCAATTACGTACCAGGAGTGGAGCCTAGGACACCAGAAGGTCTGACTGTTTCCAGTGTAGCTAGGGAGTGTGGCTAACTCCACATGTCTCAGGCCTTACCTAGCTATAAAGCAGGCAAGTTGTACAGTAAGAGTCATAGTGGCATTTTATGAAGTATTTAACAGGCCTAACAACCTTTGAATTGTACAACATTTCTTGCATAAATTGCCTTTTCATGAATACGTTCACAACTTACAGAGACCATCTACAACATGCTTGGACTTTCAGACTTTTCCTAAACATCCCTCTTTTTAAACAGTCATTTTACTTTAGGACCAGATTTTACCATACAAGATCTTTTCTTATATAAAATTTCTTGGCTGGGCGTGGTGGCTCACGCCTATAATCCCAGCACTTTGGGAGGCCGGGGCAGAAGGATCACCTGAGGTCAGGAGTTAAGAGACCAGCCAACATGGTAAAACCCCATCTCTATTAGAAATACTAATATTAGCCGGGCGTTGTGCTGGGTGCATATATTCCAAGCTACTCGGGAGGCTGAGGCAGGAGAATTGCTTGAAGCTGAAGCCGGGAGGCGGAGGTTGCAGTGAGCCGAGATCGCGCCATTGCACTCCAGCCTGGGGTACAAGAGTGAGCCTCCGTCTTAAAAAAAAAAAGTCTTGGGGGTGAAGCCAAGATGGCCGAATAGGAACAGCTCCAGTCTACAGCACCCAGTGTGAGCGACGCAGAAGACGGGTGATTTCTGCATTTCCAACTGAGGTACCAGGTTCATCTCACTGGGGAGTGCCGGACAGTGGGTGCAGGACAGTGGGTGCAGCACACCATGCGTGAGCCGAAGCAGGGCGAGGCATTGCCCCACCCGGGAAGCGTAAGGAGTCAGGGAGTCCCTTTTCTAGTCAAAGAAAGTGGAGACAGATGGCACCTGGAAAATCGGGTCACTCCCACCCTAATACTGCACTTTTCCAGCGAGCTCAACAAGTGGCACACCAGGAGATTATATCCTGCACCTGGCTCGGAGGGTCCTACGCCCATGGAGCCTCACTCATTGCTAGCACAGCAGTCTGAGATCAAACTGCAAGGCCGCAGCGAGGCTGGGGGAGGGGCGCCCGCCATTGCTCAGGCTTGAGTAGGTAAACAAAGCAGCTGGGAAGCTCAAACTGGGTGGAGCCCACCACAGCTCAAGGAGGCCTGCCTGCCCCTATAGGCTCCACCTCTGGGGGCAGGGCACAGACAAACAAAAGACAGTAATAACCTCTGCGGACTTAAATGTCCCTGTGTGACAGCTTTGAAGAGAGTAGTGGTTCTCCCAGCATGCAGCTTGAGATCTCAGAATGGGCAGACTACCTCCTCAAGTGGGTCCCTGACCCCCGAGTAGCCTAACTGGGAGGCACCCCCCAGTAGGGGCAGACTGACACCTCACACGGCCAGGTACTCCTCTGAGACAAAACTTCCAGAGGAACGATCGGGCAGCAGCATTTGCGGTTCACCAATATCTGCTGTTCTGCAGCCCCCGCTGCTGATACCCAGGCAAACAGGGTCTGGAGTGGACTTCCAGTAAACTCCAACAAACCTGCAGCTGAGGGTCCTGACTGTTAGAAGGAAAACTAACAAACAGGACGTCCACACCAAAAACCCATCTGTACGTCACCATCATCAAAGACCAAAAGTAGATAAAACCACAAAGATGGGGAAAAAACAGAGCAGAAAAACTGGAAACTCTAAAAATCAGAGCGCCTCTCCTCCTCCAAAGGAACGCAGCTCCTCACCAGCAATGGAACAAAACTGGACGGAGAATGACTTTGATGAGTTGAGAGAGGAAGGCTTCAGATGATCAAACTACTGCGAGCTAAAGGAGGAAGTTCGAACCAATGGGAAAGAAGTTAAAAACTTCGAAAAAAAATTAGACGAATGGCTAACTAGAATAACCAATGCAGAGAAGTCCTTAAAGGACCTGAAGGAGCTGAAAACCACGGCACAAGAACTACGTGACAAATGCACAAGCCTCAGTAACCTATGCGATCAACTGGAAGATAGGGTATCAGTGATGGAAGACGAAATGAATGAAATGAAGCGTGAAGAGAAGTTTAGAGAAAAAATAATAAGAAATGAACAAAGCCTCTAAGAAATGTGGGACTATGTGAAAAGACCAAATCTACGTCTGATTGGTGTACCTGAAGGTGACGGGGAGAATGGAACCAAGTTGGAAAACACTCTGCAGGATATTATCCAGGAGAACTTCCCCAATCTAGCAAGGCAGGCCAACATTCACATTCAGGAAATACAGAGAACGCCACAAAGATACTCCTCGAGAAGAGCAACTCCAAGACACATAATTGTCAGATTCACCAAAGTTGAAATGAAGGAAAAAATGTTAAGGGCAGCCAGAGAGAAAGGTCGGGTTACCCACAAAGGGAAGCCCATCAGACTAATAGCGGATCTCTCAGCAGAAACTCTACAAGCCAGAAGAGAGTGGGGGCCAATATTCAACATTCTTAGAGAAAAGAATTTTCAACCCAGAATTTCATATCCAGCCAAACTAAGCTTCATCAGTGAAGGAGAAATAAAATACTTTACAGACAAGCAAATGCTGAGAGATTTTGTCACCACCAGGCCTGCCCTAAAAGAGCTCCTGAAGGAAGCGCTAAACATGGAAAGGAACAACCGGTACCAGCCACTGCAAAATCATGCCAATTGTAAAGACCATCAAGGCTAGGAAGAAACTGCATCAACTAACGAGGAAAATAACCAGCTAACATCATAATCACAGGATCAAATACACACATAACAATTGGTGAATCTCACAATTATGTGTCTTGGAGTTGCTCTTCTCGAGGAGTATCTTTGTGGCATTTTCTGTATTTCCTGAATCTGAAAGTTGGCCTGCCTTGCTAGATTGTGGAAGTTCTCCTGGATAATATCCTGCAGAGTGTTTTCCAACTTGGTTCCATTCTCCCCATCACTTTCAGGTACACCAATCAGACGTAGATTTGGTCTTTTCACATAGTCTCATATTTCTTGGAGGCTTTGTTCATTTCTTTTTATTCTTTTTTCTCTAAACTTCCCTTCTTGCTTCATTTCTTTCATTTCGTCTTCCATCACTGATACCCTTTCTTCCAGTTGATTGCATCGACTCCTGAGGCTTCTTCACTCTTCATGTAGTTCTCGAGCCTTGGCTTTCAGCTCCATCAGCTCCTTTAAGCACTTCTCTGTATTGGTTATTCTAGTTATACATTCATCTAAATTTTTTCAAAGTTTTCAACTTCTTTGCCTTTGGTTTGAATTTCCTCCTGTAGCTCGGCGTAGTTTGATTGTCTGAAGCCTTCTTCTCTGAACTCGTCAAAGTCATTCTCCGTCCAGCTTTTTTCCGTTGCTGGTGAGGAGGTGCATTCCTTTGGAGGAGGAGAGACGCTCTGCTTTTTAGAGTTTCCAGTTTTTCTGCTCTGTTTTTTCCCCATCTTTGTGGTTTTATCTACTTTTGGTCTTTGATGATGGTGATGTACAGATGGGTTTTTGGTGTGGATGTCCTTTCTGTTTGTTAGTTTTCCTTCTAACAGACAGGACCCTCAGCTGCAGGTCTGTTGGAGTTTGCTAGAGGTCCACTCCAGACCCTGTTTGCCTGGGTACCAGCAGCGGTGGCTGCAGAACAGCGGATTTTCGTGAACCGCGAATGCTGCTGTCTGATCGTTCCTCTGGAAGTTTTGTCTCAGAGGAGTACCCGGCCCCGTGAGGTGTCAGTCTGCCCCTACTGGGGGCTGCCTCCCAGTTAGGCTGCTTGGGGGTCAGGGGTCAGGGACCCACTTGAGGCAGTCTGCCTGTTGTCAGATCTCCAGCTGCGTGCTGGGAGAACCACTGCTCTCTTCAAAGCTGTCAGACAGGGACATTTAAGTCTGCAGAGGTTACTGCTGTCTTTTCGTTTCTCTGTGCCCTGTCCCCAGAGGTGGAGCCTACAGAGGCAGGCAGGCCTCCTTGAGCTGTGGTGGGCTCCACCCAGTTAGAGCTTCCCGGCTGCTTTGTTTACCTAAGCAAGCCTGAGCAATGGCGGGCACCCCTCCCCCAGGCTCGCTGCGGCCTTGCAGTTTGATCTCAGACTGCTGTGCTAGCAATCAGTGAGACTCCGTGGGCGTAGGACCCTCCGAGCCACGTGCGGGATATAATCTCCTGGTGTGCCGTTTTTTAAGCCCGTGGGAAAAGTGCAGTATTAGGGTGGGAGTGCCCTGATTTTCCAGGTGCCGTCTGTCACCCCTTTCTTTGACTAGGAAAGGGAATGCCCTGACCCCTTGCGCTTCCTGAGTGAGGCACTGCCTCGCCGTGCTTCGGCTCGTGCACGGTGCGCTGCACCCACTGTCCTGCACCCACTGTCTGGCACTCCCTAGTGAGGTGAACCTGGTACCTCAGATGGAAATGCAGAAATCACCTGTCTTCTGCGTCGCTCACGCTGGGAGCTGTAGACCAGAGCTGTTCCTATTCGGCCATCTTGCCCCTTCGATGCTTTGAGATTTTTAAACCCAAGATTACATTAAAAGAACCAGTTGTGCACTCTCCCAGTCATCTCAAGGACACAGTACACCTGTGTCAGGGGAGCTGCTCAAAGTCTGGAATGTAGATTTGGGGCAACAGGTATATTAAGAAGAAAGATTATAGCAGAGCTGGGAGTCAAATTTTTTTTTCTCATCGTTATAATGAAATGACTTATTGAAGGGCCTGTTGTATAGTACATTAAAAATCCATACAGTATAGCTTGGATCCTGTCAGAAGAGTGGATTTGATTCTTTCTCTTAAATTATTTTGTAGCTCTCATTTTGTGTAACCTTTGGGAGGATCCCTTGTGATGTCTTAATGTTTGAGGCTATATTTAATGCTTACCTTCTGGAAAGATGTTACATGAACAGTCTGTTTAAAGCATGGAGGAATAGTGTCCACTTCTTGGCCTCTTGCCAGCTCTGCCTCCTCATCCCTTCCATCCCTTCTAATCCTGGACCTCTCGTCTTCTGTGCTTGTACCCCGCATGACGTCATCCAGCCTTCTGGCTTCATCTGTGCAGAGACTGCTTCCCTGAAGTTTTCTATACAGCTGCCTACCCGACATGTACCTGGGGTTTCTGAGAGGCTTCTCAAACTCACCACGTCACAGATCTCCCTCAGAGCCTACTCACCTTTTATTATTTCCTAACTCCATCAGTCCTGCTGTTCTGGCCACCTATCTTGTCAATATCCTGACCTCTCTCTCATCCACCTTCAGTACATCAGCAAGTTACATTGTTTCTACTTTTGGAAGAGACCTGGAATTTGACCACTCCTCAGGCTTGCACCAGGACCCAGCCCAGCCCCCCAAACCACCCTGACCCTGGACTTAAATTGTTTCACCAGCCTCCAAAAATGGTCTTTCTGCTTCACACTTGCTCCCTACCTCTTCAGTCTATTCTGAACACAGCACTCAGAATGCCTCTTCTAAATTATTGGTCAAATAGTGTCATTCCTCTGCTCAAAATCCTTTGGTGCTCTCTGTCTCATTCTGAGTAAAAGAGCCCTTGCAACGACAAGGCCCTGCGAGACTTAACAGCCTCCCTCCAGCTCTCTCCTGCTCCATGGTCCCTGTCCGGTCTACTCCAGCATCAGAGCCATGCTGTTCTGGAAGCCTGTGGGCATGCTGCCACTCCAGGGCCCTTGGCCCTTGCTGTTTTCTGTCTGGGCTGTAGTTCCACAAATAACAAGTGGTTCCTTCCCTTACCTCCTTCACGGTCTTGCTCAAAGGCCACCCCAGTGAGAAGTCCTTCAACCCCGTTTAAAATTGCAAACCATCCCTGCTTAATTCTTCTCTAAAGCGCATTTCTCTTTCCAATATACTTTATACATTTCCTATTTACTTTATTCATTGTTTGCCTACTGCACTAGTATGTAAATTTCATGGTGGTAGGGATTTATGTTTATTGACATAATGAAGACACATTTGACTACATAGCAGTTAAAATATTGTAAGACCACATTAACTAAGTTAATTATATTCTTTTTCTTTTCAGAGACAGAGTCTCTCTCTTTTGCCCAGTCTGGAGTGCAGTGGTGCGATCATAGCTTATTGCAACCTCAAACTCCAGTGATCCTCCCACCTCAGCCTCTTGAGTAACTGGGACCACAGGCGTGTGCCACCATGCCTGGCTAATTAAAACTTTTTTTTTTTAAAGAGTTGAGATCTTGTTATGTTGCCCAGGCCGGTCTCGAATTCTGGGCTCAAGTAGTCCTCCTGCCTTGGCCTCCCAAAGTGCTAGGATTACAGGTGTGAGCCACTGTGTCTGGCCTAATTATTTTCTGGATCTTGTCTTTTACATTTGCAATAAAGGATCTCATAGGTAATACATTGACCCTTGAACAATGTGGAGATTAGGGGCACTGATCCCCCACATAATAAGAAATCTGCTTATACTGTTTGATTCCTTAAAAACTTAACAACTAAAAGCCTACTACTGATATCATAGTTGGTTAACTGTACTTTATATAAGTATTATATACTGTATTCTTCAAGATAGGTAGATTTCATGCATGTCCGTGTGAAGAGACCACCAAACAGGCTTTGTGTGAGCAATAAAGCATTTAATCACCTGGGTGCAGGCGGGCTGAGTCCGAAAAGAGAGTCAGCCAAGGGAGATAGGGGTAGGGCCATTTTTATAAGATTTGGGTAGGTAAAGGAAAATTACAGTCAAGGGGGGTTTGTTCTGTGGTGGGCAGGAGTGGGGGTCGCAAGGTGCTCAGTGGGGGAGCTTTTTGAGCCAGGATGAGCCAGGAAAAGGACTTTCACAAGGTAATGTCATCGCTTAAGGCAAGGACTGGCCATTTTCACTTCTTTTGTGGTGGAATATCATCAGTTAAGGCAAGGAGCGGCCATTTACACTTCTTTTGTGGTGGAATGTCATCAGTTAAGGCGGGGCAGGGCAAATTCACTTCTTTTGTGATTCTTCAGTTACTTCAGGCCATCTGGGCGTATATGTGCAAGTCACAGGGGATGCGATGGCTTGGCTTGGGCTCAGAAGCCTGACGAGAGAAATGTTATTAAGAAAAATCATAAGAAAAAATACATTTACTGTTAATTAAATACATTTACTGTTCTTTAAGTGGAAGTGGATCCATCATCCATCGCAAACGTCTTTATCCTTGGTTTTTTCACAGTGAGTGGGCTGAGGAGGAGGAGGAAAGGAAGAGGTTGGTCTTGGTATCCAAGGGGTGGTAAAGGCAGAAGAAA
Source organism: Homo sapiens (assembly GCF_000001405.40). Classification (NCBI taxonomy): domain Eukaryota; kingdom Metazoa; phylum Chordata; class Mammalia; order Primates; family Hominidae; genus Homo; species Homo sapiens. The sequence goes on from NC_000008.11 coordinate 43,117,506, forward strand.
ATCTGTGTGTAAGTGGAACTGCGCAGTTCAAACCCGTGTTGTTCAAGGGTCAAGTATATATAAAGAGCTCCCAGTAATTAATAAGCACAAGGCAGACAACCCTATAGAAAATTGGATAAAGGACAGTGAACAGACTTTTGACAGCAGAAATACAGAAATGCCTAAAAAGATGACAAATGCCTAGCCTTATTAGTAATCAGGGAAATACAAATTAGAAGAGTAAGGTATTTTCATCCATTGATTGGCACAAATTACAAACAGTGGTAATAATCTGGTGTGACTAAGGGTGTATTCCTAAGATTCTATCATGCGCTGCTGGTGAAAGTGCATGCTAGCACAGACTTTGGAGGGTAATGATGGCAATAGATATTTGGTAAATTCTGTCTGCCTACCTAGCTTATAAAATATTTGTGCATGTACATAGACATGTAAATATAAGGCTATACACTGTAGCATTGTCATTAGAAAAGGGACTAACTTAAATGTCCAGGTCTTTAGAAATAGATCATATAAGATCTTATTAAAGGTCTTTACAAAATTATAGCTACATAATAATCTTAAGAAAGAATCCAGTCTATTTTGACAGCATCAATTCCAAATTCCTGGTATTTTTATTATATTATACTTTAATTTTAAAGAAAAAAGGTAGTAGTATCTGTAAAAGCTTACTGGAAATACACAAGTGTAGGTATTATGCCCACACTATGAAACATTACTCAGCTTTAAAAAGAATGGCCTAGATCTACATGTATATATGGAAAGGATTTCTGAGGCTCAGTTAAATGAAAAAAGAGCTGCAATGTATGTATGTTATAACGCCATTAGTATAACAGCAAACCCAAATGCTGTTTTACAAGTGTACATTAATAAATAAAGGCATAGAAAAACTTCTGGGAGGATGACAGCCAGTTACCAGGTTTCCTTTGGGTCGGGAAGTAAAACTGGGGGCAGGGAGACATCCTGCCTATCCTCTGTATTTGAGTTTTTACCAAGAAAAGTGTTCACGATTAATTTTATAATAAAAAAGTAAAGTATTTTAACTGTTCTTTCCAAATAAAAGTCTTTTAGAAAATGATTAAAAGCAACTAAATTAGAGGTTGTGAGAAATGATTCTTAAACAGTCCATGACTAGCAAATTTTTTATATTGGAGGATTCAAATATTTGTGTGTGATCTCAAAGACTAATAGTATTTCATAATAATATTTAATAATCTTCATTTATCTGAAACAAAAATGAATGAGACACAAATGAGGGATCAGGAGCCCTGGGGCCTGTGGCTGAGCCTCCCCAACTTACTGTTTTTTTTGTTGTTGTTGTTACGGAGTCTCGCTCTGTTGCCCAGGCTGGAGTGCAGTGGCCTGATCTCGGCTAACTGCAAGCTCCGCCTCCACGGTTCATGCCATTCTGCCATTCTCCTGCCTCAGCCTCCTGAGTAGCTGGGACTACAGGCACCTGCCACCATGCCCGGCTAATTTTTTGTATTTTTAGTAGAGATGGGATTTCACCATGTTAGCCAGGATGGTCTTGATCTCCTGACCTCGTGATCCACCCGCCTCGGCCTCTTGAAGTGCTGGGATTACAGGCATGAGCCACTGCGGCCGGCCCCCCACTTATTGTTGAATGTGTAGCAGCAGCTTCCCAAAAGCCAGCATCGTTTTTAGGTGAAAAATGGGCCTAGAAAACCAAAGCCATTGCCAGTTCTGGTGGTGACCATGCAGAGGTGGGCGTAAGGAAGCCATGGATCTGAACAAAACCTCAGTTGTTCGTATTAGAGCCAATTATCAGATTCAGTGGGATGCAAATCTATGGAGAGCGTGTGTTCAATATGAAAATTTAAAAAAATCTTGAACTTTTAGAATGTGGTCTTATCTAGTCCTTAAAAATTAGGAAATTTTTAGTGCATGTAGCAGCCAGAGTGAAAAACAGCTTTTTTTTTTTTTTTTTTTTTTTTGAGACGAAGTCTCTAACCAGGCTGGTGTGCAGTGGTGTGATCTTGGCTCACTTCAGCCTCTGCCTCCTGGGTTCAAGCAATTCTCCTGCCTCAGCCTCCTGAGTAGCTGGGACTGCAGGCGCGCGCCACCACGCCCAGCTAATTATTTTGTATTTTTAGTAGAGATGGGGTTTCACCATGTTGCCAGGCTGGTCTCGATCTCCTGACCTTGTGATCCTCTTGCCTCGGCTCCCAAAGTGCTGGGATTACAGGCGTGAGCCACCGCGTCCGGCCCAAAAACAGCTTTTTAATAGAAGTTATTATCCTTAGTGAAATTTCTCAAATATGAGGATTAGAGAGTCTTGAAAGAGTTTTCATTTGAATGTTATGAGCCAATCAAAGTTATCTGGGTTTTTCCATAATGAACCTCCCTTCTTAGATCCAGAAAAGATCTTCATGGTCCTTGGGTCTAACTCCATTTTATATAATATTTCTTTTTCTTTTTTTTTTTTTAAATTCCCAATGTTAGTTTTTCTGAAATTTTATATATTTTTGAGTTAAAAAATTTAAGTTGTAAAAGTAATATATGTTCATCTTGGAAAATACCAAAAGATATGAAGGAAAAAAAAATCACCCAGAATCTTACCACATAAAGACAACTAAGGCATTAGCATATTTCCTTTGATTTCCATGTGCTGTAATTTAAATTTGTCTCGTTTTATGCAGTTGGAACAATATTATACAAATGGTTTTGTATACTTCTCATTTGTAACATTGCTTTTTTTTTTTTTGAGATGGAGTTTCACTCTTGTTCACCCAGGCTGGAGTGCAATGGTGTGATCTTGGCTCTCTGCAACCTCCACCTCCTGGGGTTCAAGCTACTCTTCTGCCTCAGCCTCCTGAGTAGCTGGGATTACAGGCATGCACCACCATGCCCGGCTAATTTTGTATTTTTAGTAGAGGTTTTAGGTTTTAGGTTTCGTCATGTTGGCTAGGCTGGTCTCCAACTCCTGACCTCAGGTGATCTGCCTGCCTTGGCTTCCAAAAGTGCTGGGATTATAGGTATGAGCCACCGCACCCAGCCGTACCATTACTTTTATCTGTTATAACTGTATAAATATATACATTTTGGTGACCGCATGATATATATATATATTGAATGATCCTCCCACCTCAGCCTCCCCTGAGTAGCTGGGGGTACATGTACGCTCCATTACACCCTGCTTGTTTCTTAATTTCTTTCTTTTTTTTTTTTTTTGAGACAGAGTTTCACTCTTGTTGCCCAGGCTGGAGCACAGTGGCGTGATCTTGGCTTACGGCAACCTCTGCCTCCCGGGTTCAAGTGATTCTCCTGCCTCAGCCTCCCAGGTAGCTGGGATTACAGGCATGCACCACCACGCCTGGCTAATTTTGTATTTTTAGTAGAGTCAGGGTTTCTCCATGTTGGTCAGGCTGGTCTTGAATTCCTGACCTCAGGTGATCCACCCGCCTTGGCCTCCCAAAGTGTTGGAATTACAGGTGTGAGCCACCACGCCTGGCCCACCCTGCTAGTTTCTAAAAAATGTTTTGTAGAGATGGGTTCTCACTATGTTGATCATGCTGCTCCCATCTTTTGATAAGTTTCAGTGTATGCTTTTATAAATAATGTCAGATTTTTATTCCTGGAGCTTCTTACCTATTTCCGATTATTGCCTTAGATTTAGATGTTAGAGTCTCTTGATAAATAATGCAAAAAACTGCTTTGGAAACCATAACCTTTATTTGAACAATGACATGGCACACTGCTTGCAGAATGAGCCTGGGGCAGGAATCTCCTGAGTCCTGAGCCTGCTTTCTCTTTTGTAATCTTCTGCCTTCTCTTGGGATTTAAGCAAAAGATCAGAGGTTCTTCCTTTAATTACAGTGCTTCCTGCAAGCAAATGAAAGGTGAAAATCCAAGGCAGAAATGTGAACTTGCTCTTCTATTAGCTGTGGACTCTATGAGAAGGTCTAGTGTTTATGTAGCATTTCAGCTCCTGCCTTTACAGCTGAAGTAACACCAAACCACAGAACATGCAAAAATGTTTTCCTTACATATAAATGTTCCTATTTATGATTTACTATGCCACCTTTTAAAATTAATGAGTAACATTGTTACACGTGATGGGCAGGGCTCTACGCCCTCATGTAGGCTTTTCGGGGTCTCCACACTTACCCACTTTTCCAGTCCACTCCCCTGCCTCCTCTTCCTCCCCACCCACTGTGTGGTGGTCCATTGGAACTGGCAGTCTACTTGCCACTCCTCCCTGCCATGCAGTTATATGGAGTCTTCCCTCCTGAGCTAGCACTCCCCTGCCCTACATTGAATCTGCAGGTCCCCCTCGTTCTATGAGACCAGCTTCCCAAAGCCTTCCAGCACCCTCTGCAGCAGCTCTCAGTGTCCTGCCCAGAGGCAATCGCTTCCTGCCCTGAGGTTCCACCCACTAATGTGGCACTTGCCTTGCTGAATGCTGTGTTTGCTCATCGGTCTCTCTTCATAACTAGACGGAGAGCAACTCTACGATGGGGTCTGCACCTTGTTAATTTCTGTATCTTCTGCAGAACACCTGCCACTTAAAAGATATTTGTTGTTCTTTGGTCACTAAATTAGGTGAGAGTTCAGGCCTGATGCTCTCTATGGCTTTGTTGCAGGTCTTTCTGTCTGAGTGGAAGGAGCACAAAGTTGCACTCTCACAGCTCACCAGCCTGGAGATGAAAGATGATTTCCTCCATGGACTGCAGATGCTGAAATCTCTCCAAGGCACACATGTTGTCACGCTGCTTGGCTATTGTGAGGATGACAACACTATGCTTACTGAATATCACCCTCTAGGTTCCTTGAGTAACCTGGAAGAAACACTAAACCTTTCAAAGTACCAAAATGTGAACACGTGGCAGCACAGGCTGGAGCTGGCCATGGACTATGTCAGCATCATTAATTACCTGCACCACAGCCCTGTGGGCACACGGGTCATGTGCGACTCCAACGACCTGCCGAAGACACTGTCCCAGTATCTGCTAACAAGCAACTTCAGCATTTTGGCAAATGACTTGGACGCCTTACCCCTGGTGAACCACAGCTCCGGGATGCTGGTGAAGTGCGGCCACAGGGAGCTGCATGGGGATTTCGTGGCTCCAGAGCAACTGTGGCCCTATGGAGAGGACGTGCCTTTCCACGATGATCTCATGCCCTCATATGATGAGAAGATTGACATTTGGAAGATCCCAGACATCTCCAGTTTCCTTCTGGGGCACATTGAAGGGAGTGATATGGTCCGATTCCATTTGTTTGATATTCACAAAGCATGCAAGAGCCAGACTCCCTCAGAAAGACCCACTGCCCAGGACGTTCTGGAGACCTACCAGAAGGTCTTGGATACACTTAGAGATGCCATGATGTCTCAGGCAAGAGAGATGCTGTGAAAACCAGTCCAGCCAATGAAGGTGGGATTGAAGGGCTGAATGGAAGTTACAGCATTCTACTCTGATGGTGGAGTTTTTTGCCTGAGTTTCGTGTTTTATTGTTTTTTTTATGGCTTAGCCATGTGGTTCGTTGTCCACATCCACATGTACGTTTGTATGTAGTCCACATTGGTTGTTAGATTTTTTTTTTTTTCTTTGAGATGCGGTCTTGCTCTGTTGCTGAGGCTGGAGTGCAGTGATGTGATCTTGGCTCACTGCAGCCTCTGCCTCCCAGGTTCAAGCAATTCTCCCACCTCAGCCTCCTGAGTAGCTGGGATTACAGGCACACCACCACGCCTGGCTAATTTTTGTATTTTTAGTGGAGGTGGGGTTTCACCATGTTGGCCAGGCTGGTCCCGAACTCCTGACTTCCTCGGCCTCCCAAAGTGTTGGGATTACAGGCATGGGCCACTATGCCTGGCCAGTTGTTAGATTTCCATGGATTTGTAGTTTCCAAAGTTTCTCGTTATTGATTTCTACTTTTCTTCCATTGTGGTCTGAGAAGGTACTTGATATGATTTAGATTTTTAAAAATTTATTGAGACTTGTTTTGTGGTCTAACATATGGTCTATGCTGCAGAATGGTCCATGTGCTGATGAGAAGAATGTATATTCTGCAGCTGTTGGAAGAAAGGGTCTGTAAATGTCTGTTAGGTCCATTTGGTCTATAATGCAGATTAAGTCTGATGTTTCTTTCTAGATGATCTGCCCAATACTGAAAGTGAGGCATTAAAATCCCCTGCTTTTTTTTGTATTAGGATCTGCCTCTCTCTTTAGCTCTAATAGTGTTTGTTTATACATGTGAGTACTTTGGTATTGGGTGCATATATATTTAAAATTGTTACATCCTTTTGCTGAATTGATCCCTTTTTCATTATGTAATGATCTTCTTTGTCCCTTTTTATGTTTTCTGACTTAGTCTATTATGAATAAGTATAGCTACTCCTGCACATTTTTGGTTTAAATTTGCACGGAATATTTTTTTCCATCTGTTCACTTTCAGTCTATATGTGTTTTTACATGTGAAGTGAGTTTGTTATAGGTAACATATAGTTGAATCTTGTTTTTTTAAAATCCATTCAGCCAGTCTATGTATTTTAATTGGAGAATTTAAATTATTTACATTCAGGGTTTTTATTGATAGGTGAGGACTTAGTCCTGTGCATTTGTTTTCTGATTGTCTTGTATATATTTTTTCCTATCTTTTTTATTTATTTTTATTTTTTATTTTGAGACAGAGTGTTGCTGTGTCTCCCAGGCTGGAGTGCAGTGGCAGGATCTCGGCTCACTGCAACCTCTGCCTCCCAAGTTCAAGCAATTCTCCTGCCTCAACCTCCCAAGTGGCTGGGATTACAGGTGCCCACCACCACACCCAGCTAATTTTTGTACTTTTAGTAGAGATGGGGTTTCACCTATCTTCTTTTGTATTGTTTACTTTACAATTTGGTGGTTTTTTAAATAGTCATAATGTTTGATTCCTTTTTCTCATTTGTGTTTCTGTTCTATTAGTGAGTTTTAAGCCTTTGTTTGTTTTCATGATGGTAGATACCATCCTGTCTATTTGAAGATCAGATGAGATTGGGCGTGTTCAGGGTGGTATTAATGTGGGAATGAAGGAGGACTGGAGAGACAATGGGGTGAGACAAGAGGATTTTTATTGAGTGCACTCAGACCCAGCTGATAACATTCAAAAACTGGGCCCAGACAAAGACAGTACTTGACTTTTATACACACTTCTAAAAGGGGGTGGGCTAGCTTGAAACAAGCTTATGGTGGCGTGAAGCAAAGATACAGGGGCAGAACAAAGGCAGCTAATCAAACTGTGACAGGTTCATGAGCCAGGATTACATATGACCCTTGCTGTGCAGCTCACATGGCTGTTATCTAGGCTTGCTCAAAAGAGCCTTGCATGGGCTTATCTCATAACGTTCGCTATGGCACCCAGACTGCCGCAGCCCAGGCCTGCTCAGGCATGTCTTACAACCTTCACTGTGCTGCTTAGTTAAAACAGAGTACTTGAAGTTACTGGTTACAGAAAACCGGAATCTATAAACTCATATGTTTACTCATAAGGGAAAGGAAAATTTGTTTTTTTCTCCCTATGTTGAGGAAGTGCTGGGAGAGTCTCCAGAGCACATTCCTTTGAGCCTTTGCTTATTTGATAATGTTATCGAGACTTTGTCTGGGTCCAGGCTTTGACTGTTAACTGCCTTTGGGATGAGTCAGCCTAATATAGAAAGCTTGTTTTTCTTTTTTTAATTTTATTTTTCTTTCTTTACTTTCCTGCCTCAGTATGGCTTTCTCTTCCAGATGTAGGATTCCCTTAAGCATTTCTTGTCGGGCTGATCTGGTTGTGATGATTTCCCTGTTTTTTCTTTTTTTTTGAGATGGAGTCTTACTCTGTCACCCAGGCTGGAATGCAGTGGCACAACCTCTGCTCACTGCAAGCTCTGCCTCCCGGGTTTGCACCATTCTCCTGCCTCAGCCTCCCAAGTAGCTGGGACCACAGGTGCCTGCCACCACACCCGGCTAATTTTTTGTATCTTTAGTAGAGATGGGGTTTCACCATGTTAGCCAGGATGGTCTCGATCTCCTGATCTCGTGATCTGCCCGCCTCAGACCTCGTGATCCACCCGCCTCGGCCTCCCAAAGTGCTGGTATTACAGGTGTGAGCCACCGTGCCTGGCCAGTATTTTTTTTTTAAAACTAAATTATCATTAATGTTAAAATTTAACTGACCATGTATATAACTGTGTAATTGCTGCTTTCTCACAGAACTGTCTAGGATTCATTCAACAGACCACAGAAATGAGGTCTGGCATTTAACAGACTAATGATAGAAGAAATAAACTGGTTTATACAAGAATATCAAAATACTGTCATGTGGTTTAGTGTAGCTCAAGTTATGAATTAGTGCCAACTCTTGCTGCAGTGTCTCTCACACAATTTTATCTTGGAACTTGGCGATTTAAATTGACTTTCTTCACTGAAAAGAGTTCTTTCATGATACTCTTCGTGAATTGCTCATATAGCAGCTTAATCTCTTTCATTTGCTGTCTCCTAACAATGCTAACTTGTTGCCACCTCTTTTGTTGCTCTTGAAATATTTTAATTAGTTTTTCTTCCTCTCCTCAGTCTTCTACATGTCTATGTTGTATTCTTGAAGCAAAGTCAGCAACTGTATAGGATATCTATAATTCCATTTCTGCATTCTGTGTTCTCAAAATAACATTCAGTTATGTTCTCGGTGTTGATGCAAGCTTTTGTATATACTTTTGAGGCCTTTATCTTTTTGCAGCAAGACCCTGTTTAATGGCAGCTGCAATTACTTGTAGCTTCTCTACATCAACCCCCTTGTCTTCCTCATCTGTTTCTGCAAAAGGTTTTCTTTCCCTGTGCTCATCAGTTTCTGGATCCTTTTCTCCCTGTTCCATTTCCTGGGTGGCCATGACCTGAGCCTCCAACTGGACCTTGGCAGCCCTCCTGTTGCTCCTCCTGCCTTGGGTGCAATCGCTAGTTGTCCTGGGATGCCAGAGGCGACTCCTCAACCCTGAGGGACCCTTGATGGTGCTCCCTCACAGGACCTGTATAATGCCTCACTATGAGGCTCCTCTGAGGGCCTGGGGTCCTCCTCCTCTCAGTTTTTACTTGTGTGGGAAAGACTTTATTTGTCCTTCAATTTTGAAGGATAGCTTTACTTAGTTTAATATTCTTGGCTGGCAGTTTTTTTTATTTCAGCACTGTAATATATATTATCCCATTCTCTCCTGACCTGTAAGTTTTTTTTTTTTTTTTTAAACAGGAAATTCTCTTATAAGTGACTTGATGCTTTCCTTTTGCTGTTTTTAGAATTCTCTCTGTGTTTGACTTTTGACAATTTGATTGTAATGTGCCTTGCAGAAGACCTTTTTGGTTTGAATCTTTTTTGGGATTACTGAACATCCTGTATCTGGATGTCTGTATCTCTTGCAAGACTTAAGAAATGTTTGACTGTTATTTTGCTAAATAGGTTTTCTGTGCCTCTTCCCTTCTCTTTCCTGAAACACCGAGAATTTATTTGGTCTGACTGGGTTATTTCAAAAGACCTGTCTTCAAGTTCAGAAAATCTTAGTTTTGCTTTATCTAGCGTACTTTTGAAGCTCTCAGTTGCATTTTTAAATTTTATTCATTGAATTTTTCAGTTCCAGGATTTGTTTGGTTATTTTTCTATATCTATCTCTACTGACTGTCTTATTCAGATCATGAATTGTTTTCCTACTTTGTATTATCTGTGTTCTCTTGCAACTTGCTGAGTTTCCCTAAGATCATTATTTTGAATTCCTTTTCTGGCATTTTTATAGATTTCCTTTTCTTTTGAATCTGTTACTGGAGAATTATTGTGTCTCTTTGGAGGTATCAAATTTCCTTGCTTTTTCATGTTTCTTGTGTCCTTACATTGATATCTATTCAGCTAGTGGAAGAGTTGCTTCTTCCAATTTTATGGATTGGCTTTCATAAGGAAAGACTTTTTTGTAGGCATATCTGTAGTTTTGGTTGTGATTAGGATGTTTTGGCTTTGATTCTGGTGAGCACAGGAGTGTAGGCTCAATGATTTCTTCAGCTGTAACCAATGTAACTGGTGTCATGTAACCATGTCACTGTGAGTCCTCAGTGGCTTAAGTTGCCATTGTTAGCTGAGGCTGTTGTGAGGCTTTTCTGGGGAAAGGGATGCCAGAGGGGCCAGTCCCTGGGCCTTTTGGTGGCATGGGCAGGCTTTAGCTGTGGTGGCGATGGGCTGGGCATGCTAGTCCTCAGGACCCCAGCTGGTGTAAGTGCTGGTAGTGGGGGGCCCAGGTGGGCTGGTCCTCAAGCCCCCAGGCAGCATTTATGGTGCTGGCAGTGGCAGTAGCAGCAGTGGGCTAGACACTGGACTGTCAGGTGGCAATCATAGCTGTTGGCAGTAGCTGTGGCAGGATGAATGGGACAGTTTCTAGCCCCCTAGGTGATGCACTTGGGTGGGCACTGGTGGTAGGTGGGGCAGGCCTGTTCAGGCCTTGGGATTGTGTGCGTGGGCACCAGTGGTGTTGGATGGGGTGGGCCAGTCGTCAGGCCCCCCTACAGAGCATATAGGCACCAGTAGTGGCATGAGGGAAAGATAGCGCTGGAGAACACTGGTGACAGTGGGTGGAGCAGGCCTGTCTTTAGGTTCTTGGATGGCACATATGGACATACTGGTCCTCAGGCCCCCTGAAGGTGCACACAGGCATGCTGTTGCCCTGCTGAGAGGGGCAAGGTTCTGTTGGTGGCATTGGTGTTGGGAAGATGGCTCCCAGGTTCTGGGAGCTTCAGCTCCCTTTTTCCTGGGGTAGCCTCCCTGGTGTGCTATACTGCCTGTTCCCTGGGATATAAGACACTTCATGGGTCAGAGTACTGGGGACCTGGCTGCACTGCTGGGTGATTGTGATACTGCAACCTTCTGGATGGATGTGGGAGGATGTTCTTGGGGGTCCAGGGATGTGGACTGCAGGGGCTTATTGGACCCCAAGTGGGCAGGATATAATCTGGTGGGGGCTAGCCTCTTAAAATGGTGCTGTGCCACAGCAGCATGTTTCTTGGGATGTGAGTAGGATCCAGTGGAATTCCCTTTCTGGAAGAACGCATTTGCATGGATTCCAGGCAGCTCCGTATACTGGACTCAGGGCCTGTGAAGGCTGACGGCATCCCCTGTGGGTGCCAGCATCTGTGCTGCGAATGTGGACCACTGCAGTTCTTTGACTTTTCTTTTCCCAGAAATGGGATTCCCCTCCTGCTTCTGAGCCAGTCCAAGACATGCTGGCTGCTTTATTTACTGCTCCCTTTGTGCCTCAGAAGTTCCCTGTTGAATAGTGTTCTGTCTTTGGTGCTCTACCTGACATGTGGTTAACTACTTGCTTTTTTGGTCCTTTGTTGTGCAGGAGTTGAGTGCCAGGCTCACGGTTTTTTGATTACCATAGTTTTGTAGTTTTTGAAATTCAGAAGTGTGAGACCTCCAACTTTTTCTTTTTCAAGATTATTTTGGCTGTTGAGTCAATTATGATTCCATATGCATTTTAGATGGATTTTTCTATTTCTGGAATTGTGCCATTAGGAGTCTGATAGATACTGCATTGAATCTGTAGAGTGCTTTGGGTAGTATTGACATCTTCCCACTATTAAGTCTTCCAGTACATGAACACATGCATTTTCCTGATGACTAATGATGTTGTACCTTTTCATATGCTTATTGGCTATTTGTAGATCTTCCTGGGAGAAATGTCTATGCAGACTTTTTGCCAATTTTTTAATTTGTCCATTTAAAAATCAGGGTTTTTTTTGTTGTTGAGTTGTAGGAGTTCTTTTTGTATTCCTTATACTAGTCCCTTATCAGATATATGCTTTGCAGATATTTTCTCCCAGGTGGGTTGTCTTCACTTCCTTGGTAGTGTCTTTTAATACACAAAGTTTTAAATTTTTATGAAGTCAAATGTATCTACATTTTTCTTTGGTTGCTCATGCTTTTGGTGTTGCATCTAAGAATCCACTGCCAAATCCAAGGTCATGAAGATTTACTCCTATGTTTTCTTCTAAGAATTTTATAGTTTTTGCTATTACATAAGGTCTTTGAGCCATTAAGATCTTTGACTTAACTTTTGTATATGATGTAAAGTCACTGTCAAACATCATTCTTTTGCATTTGGCTGTCCAGGTATCCCAGCATTATTTGTTGAAATGCCTACACTTCTTTATATTCCCTTGACTCCTCTAACCAAGGCAGTTGGACCTTTGCTACTACCACTGCCCTGAAACTGCTGTCACTGGGTTACTGAGGACTGGGTAGCTTAGTTGAGTAGATAATCTTTTGTTGTTTCCTCCTTGTAATATACAAGCCTTGGCTTCTGTGACATCATACTCTCCTAGATTTCCCCCTGTCACTGTGGCTTCTTCTCAGTCTCTGTCCATCCCTGGTGCTCCTGAAGGTTCTGTTCTCAGCCTTACACACATTACCTGGGTGATCTCATTCTCTGCCATGACTTCACTTGCCATATATGTGCTGATTTTCCCCAAATTCCTATTTCTCCCGACCTTTACATCTATTTTATTTGCAGGTCATATATCTAATAAGGAATTGATATCCAGTGTACATGTAGAACTCCTGTAATTCAATACAGAAACCAAACAGTCCAATTAATAAATGGAGAAGAGATTTGAATGAACATTTTTCTAAAGAACATCTCAAGCTCAAGATTTCCCAGATAACTTTTCTTTCTTCAAAATCTGCTTCTGTGTTTCCTCATCTGTAGGTGGCACAGCATACATCTGATTTCCCAAGCCAGAAACCTCATAGTTATTCTTGACTCCAGGAAGAAATATTATTGAGTTTTTAAAAACTCAGCTTATTGACTCATTGTTTTATATAATAAAATGCAACAGTTTTAAGTGTATATTTCAATGAGTTTTAATACATTTATGTACTTGTGTCACTATCCTCATAGATAGAGACAAAACATTTCTATCACACCGGCAATTTCCTATGTGTCCCATCCCAATCAATCCTTTCCCCTTTGCTGGCTCCAAACAATGACTCTTTCCTATCTTTTTAGAAAGATTAGAATTGCTTTTCTAGAGTTCCAGTAATGGAATCATACAGTGTCTAAGTCTGTTTGTGGTGCTGTAACAAAATACCTGAGACTGGGTAATTTATAAATTATAGGAATTTATTTCTCACAGTTCTGGATGCTGAAAAGTTTATGATCAAGGCACTAGCAGGTTTGGTGTCTGAGGGCCCAGTTTCTAATTTGAAGATGGTGCTTTAAACACTGTCCTCACATGGTAGAAGGGGCAGATGGGCAAAAAAAAAAAAAAAAAAAAAAGGGCAAATGCTGTGTGTAGCCCCTCTCATAAAGGGCTTAAGCTCATTCACCAGGGAAGAGCTCTCATGACCTAATCACCTCCAAAGACCCCACCTCTTAATACTATTGCATTGCAGATTAAGTTTCAACATGAATTTTGGAGGGATACAAATATTCACACCATAGAATATAGTAATATAGTATAGTATATATTTTTTGTGTCTGTCTGCTTTTGCTCAGTGTAATGTTTTTGAGGTTCATCTATGTTGTTGCATGTATTAGTAGGTTGTATCTATTGGTGCATAGTTATTCCATTGTATGTATGTACCACACTCTTCATTTACCTGCTGATGGATATTGCATTGTTTCCAGTTTTGGGTTATTATGAATAAAACTGCTGTTAACCTTAAAATATAAGTCTTTGTGTAGACATATGTTTTCATTTGTCTTGAGCAAATACCTGATTGGTCAGATGGTCATATGTCAGTATATGTTTAATATCATGTACTTCCAACTGTTTACCAAAGTAGTTGTGCCATTTTATTTTCCCACTAGCGATGTATGAGTTCCATTTGATCCACATCTTTGCCAACACTTGTTATTTATTTTAGCCCATTAAATTTTAGCTGTTTTAGTGGGTGTGATTAGTGTCTCAATGTAGGGTTTTTTTGTTTTTGTTGTTTTTTTTTGGATTGCCTTTCTCTATTGCCCAGGCTTGAGTGCAGTGGCACAATCATAGCTCACTGCAGCCTCAATTTCCTAGACTCAAGTGATCCTTCCACCTCAGCCTCCCAAGTAGCAGTTAGAATCAAGGTTTCTTTCCATGTGGATATCCAATTGTTCCAGCATTATTTATTGACAAGATTATCCTTTCCTTCATTAAATTCCTTTGGCAGCTTGGTGAAAAACCAATGGGTGGGTTTATTTCTAGGCTCTCTATCCTGTCCCTTTTTGTTTTTTTTGTTTTTGTTTTGAGACGGAGTCTTGCTGTGTTGCCCAGCTGGAGTGTAGTGGCGTGATCTCGGCTCACTGCAACCCCCGCCTCCCGGGTTCAAGTGATTCTCCTGCTTCAGCCTCCTGAGTAGCTGGGATTACAGGCATGCGCCACCACGCCCAGCTAATTTTTGTATTTTTAGTAGAGATGGGGTTTTACCGTGTTGGTCCGGCTGGTCTTGAACTCCTGACGTCGTGATCTGCCTGCCTTGGCCTCCCAAAGTGCTGGGATTAGAGGCATGAGCCACCACGCCTGGCACCTATCCTTTTTTAGTAAATCTTAACATCAGGTAGTTGTAAGACCTGCAAATTCGTTATTTTTCACAATTGTTTTGGCCATTTTAGGTCCTTTGCATTTCCACATACATTTTTAGAATCAACTTGTCAATTTTAACAACAACAACAACAACAACAAAACTCCTGGAACTTTGACTGGGATTGTATTGAACTTATAGATCAATCTGGGGAGAACTGGCATCTTAACAGTAATGATTCTTCCAATCTATGAACACAGTATATCTCTCCAACTTTTTAGGTCTTAATTTTGTTAAATTGTTTGTAGTTTTCAGTGTTCTGGTCTTGTACCTGTTTTGTTAAATTTAAAAAATTCCCACTTTGGGAGGCTGAGGCAGGCAGATCACGAGGTCAGGAGTTCGAGACTAGGCTGGCCAAAATAGTGAAACCCCATCTCTACTAAAAATACAAAAAAATTAGCTGGGCATAGTGGCACACGTCTGTAGTCCCAGGTACTTGGGAGTCTGAGGCAGGAGAATCGTTTGAACCCAGGAGGCGGAGGTTGTGGTGAATCGAGATTGTCCCATTGCACTCCAACCTGGGCGACAAGAGCAAAACTCTGTCTCAAAAAAAAAAAAAAATTCCATCATAAAAGAAAAAAAATTCAATTGTAAATTCCAGTTTTTTCAGTGTCAACATCCAGTTGTTTATGTCCAGAAAATAAAAATACAATTGATTTTTGTATACTGACTTTGAATTCTGTGACCTTGCCAAACTCATGAGTTCTAGTAGCTTTTTGATGGGTAGATTCCTTAAGATATTCCACATGTACAATCAGGCCATCTTTGAATGGAGCCAGTTTGTTTGCTTTTATATTTCTTTGCCTTATTGTGTATCCTTGCTTTGTTCTTGATCCACAGGGGGAAGCATTTGGTCTTTGCAAGTGTCAGGTTAGGTTTTTTGGAGATGCCTTTATCATACTAAGGAAGTTCCCTCTTTTTCTAGTTGCTGAGAGTTGAATAGGTGTTGAATCTGTTGATCACATGGGGCCATATGACTTGCTCTGGCCAGAGAAACATGAAGGAAGTCATAGACATCTCTTCTAGATAGGCGCTTGAAGAGCCAGTGTAGGATTTGCTACATTGTCCTCCCACCGCCGCTTCTGCTGTGATGAAGCGTTGGGCATCAGTGTGAACAAGAAAGGGATTGTTGTTGGGGTAAGCCATGAGGTTTTGGAGCTGTTTGTTAATGTATTACAGTCTAATGAGAAGGTTCTTGCCCTCAGGACAAACTCCTTGCCTTCATGGAGCTTACATTCTAGTGCAAGTGGGGCAGACAAATACACGTAATGTCAGGTGGAGATTAGTGTAATGAAGAAAAGCAGGATCCGAGGCTCCAGCACCTTTTAGCTTTAGATAACGGTTTTTGTGGAAGGCCTCCTTAAATGAGGCAGCAGTTGGCCTGAGAGCTGAATGAAGTGAGGGAGGAGCCATGAGGTGTCTGGGTAAGGAAGGGTCTTCCAGGTACAGGAACAGCTATGCACAGCCCTAAGACAGGAACTCCAGACTCTCCTGGACATGGAGGGTGTGACAAAGCTGTCCTCCAAGTGAAAAGAGAAGGGCACATTCAGCCAGTGACTTCTGTGGTTTAAGCCAGGGCTGGGCTAGAGAGGGCCGCTGCTGTGTGTTAGGCAGAAGATGACTAGTTGGCCATGGCCTGGCCAGACCGCTCCGATGCCAGCGTCCTTCAGCTCCTGGGATTTCGAGCGATGGGGCAGGGGGCAAAGAGGAAAGAGGGAGTACCTGAATGTCCTGACATTCTGGCATAGGGGCTTTCTTTGAGAAAAATCATTTGACTGAACTTGAGTTTGTGAGATAGCTCATGACCATTACTTTCCTGAGTTATTCTCCACCTTCAAACTCACCAACAGCTTCTACTGTACTTAGGAAGAAGCCTGCACTCAACTCTGCTATCTAGTTCACCTCCTCTCTCCCCTCTCCCCTTAGAGAACCCTGCTCCAGTTGCCCCAGGTTTCTTTCAGTTCCTTCACAAAGTGACACTTTCTCTGCGCTGTTGGAAAGGCTGTTCCTTCTCCTGAGAACACTCTTCCTGCTTTCTCCTGGCTAACATCTCTCAGGGCTCAACTTAAATGACAGTCCTCCTGGAAGCCTTCCCAGACAAGCCTGGGTGCTTCTGTCAAATGCCACCTTAGCATTTTGTCCTTCTCCTAATAGCACTAATCACATTGTCTTGTAGCTTTAAAAAATTATCAAATAATTCAGACACCCAAAGAAGTATAAAAAATAATACAAAATGCACCGTATCACCCAACTTAAGCAATGAAACACTGCCAGTGAAGTCCTTAAGGTTCTCCTCCCTTCCTGCTCTCAACCCTTACCGGAATTTAATGTTTATCTTTCTGAGACAGCCAGGTGGGAAGGGGTCCCCAGAGAAACTCCAACTGGCCTGCACACTGGTGTGCTTTGCATGTCTGTGTGGTTTGTAGGTAACTTCACTGCAGGCCTCCATCTTGTTTTACAATCTGGGGGCATGGCCTGTAACTCCCTGGTAAGGCTTTGTTTAGCAATCCTGCCTTAGGGAGTGAGTCCCTTTCTAGTTCGATAGCTGCATGTTTTCCTAGCCCTGTCTCTTAAAGGATCCCACCCAGTGACTGAGGTTTCTTCTGCCTGCCTGTGTAACTATATATATATGTTGTGTATGATGTCTGTAAAAAGAGCTCTAATTAATCTGGCCTAAAGAAAGACAAGCGCTTAGATCAAATTTTTTTTAAAGAGAAGATAAAAGCTGTGGTACCTTTCAGTTTATGTGACTTTAATCTTTGAGAAATAAAAACAGCTTTAAAGATTATTGGTAAAAAGCAGATGCCATCAAAATGTAAATAGGCGGACTAAATTATGCAGGCCAGATGCAAGGTTTGCTAAGTGTTTTAAGGTTATAAACTGCTTTTTGGGTTTTGAGAACTATTTGTCTTGATGGCTTCACAATTATTAAGACCTGGGAACATATGGAACTAACCACACCCTTAATTATGCTAGGAGTCAAACCTTGGCTGCATCTGGCACACAAAACAGCTTACCAAGTTTTACATTAAAATTAAAAATTGCTAGGAGTTACTGTTTTAACATGTAATTGAGACTACTGGAAATAGATTTATATGCGAGGTGTGTAAGAACAGTAAATTTTTTTTTTTTTTTGAAACGGAGTCTTGCTCTGTCGCCCAGGCTGGAGTGCAGTGGAGTGATCAGGGCTCACTGAATCCTCCGCCTCCTGGGTTCAAGCTATTCTCCTGCCTCAGCCTCCCAAGTAGCTGGGATTACAGGCATGCGCCACCATGCCTGGTTAATTTTTGTATTTTTAGTAGAGATGAGGTTTCACCATGTTGCCCAGGCTGGTCCCTAACTCCTGACCTCATGATCCACCCGCTTCAGCCTCCCAAAGTGCTTGGGATTACAGGTGTGAGCCACCACGCCCAGCCAAATGTGTTTTTTTGTAAAAGGTTATAAGAAGGCATGGAAATGTAAATTTTTGCCTAGGGTTAAAGGATTGTTTTAAATTAGGATGAAGTTGCAGGTTCAAACAAGTGGTGGAAGCATTGTGGAAATTAATCTTGCAAAGGGGTTTTCTATGTGAACATATTGACTAAATTTCAAAGGGTATTATATGATTTTTCTGTAAATTGAGCATTGAAATAAAAGCACAACAAGGTATTCTTAAGGCACTGATCTGCTCTTCAGCAAAATTTGTAAGGGGTTATAAAAGATTTTTGCTTCTTTAAAATTTCTGAGTCATCATTTTGGCAAAATAAATAACTTATGGTAATCTGGAATTCTGTTTCATAACATCAAGTGCTTTAAACCTCGAACATATTTAACAGCCTTCCCAAATCAAACTTCAGTTTCAAAATTGTCTTTCCTGATGTTTGGCTTTTTGGACCGTTTGGAGTGCCCCTGAAATATCCAAGAAATAGGTAAACAGGATCATTTGACATGTTTAGGTACATGGGATTGCCAAAATGATGTTCAGTTTTCTTTAGGTTATATTTTTGTGAATAATGCTAATGTATGTTCCAAAATTATATGGGATTTCTAAAACTCTAATGTCTAAGTATATGCTATCAACCATAATTAAGGTTGTTAAGTTATTGTAAACCACAGAGATAGCCAAACTTCTTTGTCAATTGTGTTTCTAACTGCAACTAACCTGGACATTTGGCTAGTCACAGACAATTGTTGTCTTGTTTTAATCATTTTCAAAAGATGGTTTATAATAAGCAATAGGACTCTGGCAGGTACTCTCAAATACAGGTTTCTGATAACTTTGGAGATTGTCACATTGGAATAAAGGCAAATGTACAGGATTCATAAAGAGCTGAAGTGTTCACGAATATCAAGCAAAACAAGAACTAAATGGACTGAACTCAAAGCTGAAGCAAACTTTTTGACTTTTGCTGGGAATATTGTTGATCCTTGTTTTGTTTTTCAGAGTCAGGGAAACTTATTTTAAACTATTTATGGTCTTTAATAATTGACTGAGGTATACTCCTGTGGACAAGATTTGGAGCATGCTTGTTTCTCTTTGCCTGGTTCCTTTTTTTTTGTGGACAGACTGTTACTCTTTCGCCCAGGCTGGACTACAGTGGAGGGATCTTGGCCCACTGCAACCTCCGCTTCCCTGGCTCAAGCGATTCTCCTGCCACAGCCTCCTGAGTAGCTGGGACTACAGGCGCGGGCCACCATGCCCAGGTAGTTTTTGTATTTTTAGTAGAGATGGGGTTTCACTATGTTGTCCAGCCTGGTCTCGAACTCCTGACCTCAAGTGATCTGCCTGCCTTGGCCTTCCAAAGTATTGGGATTAGCTGTGAGCCACTGCGCCCGGCCTGGTTCCTCTAGAATCTGGAAACTATCTGTGAGTATTTTTAACTTGTGGCAATATAGTTGTCTGGATCGGTGTGATAGGAATCCATTTATCTTTTGTTAACAAGACGCAATTGGAAAAACTGGTTATTTTCCCGAGGCTTTCACTGGAAGGCTATGCTTCTGTTTAAAGAATCAATCTCGACTTGCAGGGCCAATAAAAGCCCAGTGGGGAAGTTGGCCTCATACTCTTGTCTACACAGTCCCTGTACAGGGTTCCTGACCTGTGGTCAGTAAAGAATGTCACTTGCTAACAGGTCCAGGAGCTCCAAGTTTATCCTGGGACCTTAAGAGGAGAGGATCACCCAACCCAAGGTGTATCATGGGAACTTAAGAGGAGAGGATTAGCCCAGTTCATGGCTGGGCTTGGCTTTATCTTATCTGAGATTCCTTGTGGAACAGAGTTCCATCAAAGCCAGTCCAAAAGGCCTTTGTAGAAATAATTATTCTTGCTGCACTTTATGTAAATAATCAGGCCAAGTATAAGACTGAAGTCTATTTTGCAAACAACTGAGTCCTATCATAATTTCTTTTCTTTTCTTTCTTTTCTTTTTTTTTTTTTTAACAAAAACGAGGCCTGGAGAAAAATTATGTTCCAAAACTTACCATAATTTGTCATTCAATTCTAAACTCAGTTGTTTTTAAATTTTTGCCTGCATTTTTAGACTGACCCTGCTTGTGAACCAACCAGCAATCTCCAGCTGCAGCTCAGAAAGAACAAGAGGGATGGGTAATGTAAAAAAATCTGGATTAGTATTCTAGTTATGAGCAATTATCCTGCAAATTCTGCTAGGCAATGGGAATAAATAGGGTGCCCATCATCCAGAGGTTTCCTTTTGGGAAAGTAAGACCAAGGGAGCTAACCAAAGCCAAGCACCATGCACCCAAATCCTACCAAACATAACTGTAGCCACCAGTTATCTGGGTGTGTCACAAGACATCCTTTTCTCTCCCTTGTTGGAGGACTCAGTTCCACAGTTTTTCCTTAGCATTTGGCTTACGAGAAGGAGTCCATGCAACCCCTCAACCCCTGAGCATAAGTGAGGTCTAGGGAACTCCAAGACTACTGACAGCAGGGGTGATAGGGCATTCATGGGTAGAGGAGATAATTCCCACCCTCTAGACCCCTGCTTCATGGATGCAAGCCATTTTGGCACCCATGGTAGCACTTTCGAAGGTTGCATGGGGATGCAAGGATGGAAGAGGACGCTATTCCTTCTATCCCTCACGTACCCCAGGTATTTGCTAGGAAAAGAACCAGGGATGCCTGCTCCCCTCTTTCTATGTGGGTAGCCATTTATCTTCAGTCTGCACCACTTTCAAATGCATCTGGAACCCTTCGGATTCCTTTGAAAAAATGCCTTCTTTTTTCCTTTCTCCTCCTCGGTTCACAATGACAATCCTAATTGTGTCTCCATACTATGGGACACTCCCCTCAGATGCATTTTCCAAACTGGAAAGAGTTAATTTCCTAAACCTTAAACTGGCTGGCTTAGGATTGGTTTCAGGGGAAGGGAACCCAGAAGCCCAACATGCCAGCAAAAGGGTAAAGTTGTTTACCATTCGGACTTTTGGCCCCCTTCTCCGTGTACAAATTGGTAAAAAGCCTCAGGATTTTTGAGCTGTCCTTATCCCTCCCCTTGTTTCTTTTCTTTTCTTTTTTTTTTTGAGACAGGGTCTCACTCTGTCGCCCAGGCTGGAGTGCAGTGATGTGGTCTTGGCTCACTGCAACCTCCGTTCAAACGATTCTCCTGCCTCAACCTCCTAAGTAGCTGGGAGTACAGGCAGGCACCACCACTGCTGGCTAATTTTTGTATTTTTAGTAGAGACAGGGTTTCACCATGTTGGCCAGGCTGGTCTTGAACTCCTGACCTGCCAGGCTGGAGTGCAGTGGCATAATCTTGGCTCACTGCAAACTCTGCCTCCCGGATTCAAGTGATTCTCCTGCCTCAGCCTCCCAAGTAGCTGGGACTACAGGTACTTGCCATGACGCCCGGCTAATTTTTTGTATTTTTAGTAGTGACAGGGTTTCACCATGTTGGCCAGGATGGTCTCGATTTCTTGACCTCGTGATCCACCTGCCTTGGCCTCCCAAAGTGCTGGGATTACAGGCGTGAGCCACTGTGCCCGGCCATATGTGTTTAATAACCCAGTTTGTCTCTTCTTGCCTTCAGGACATCAAACGGTCATGCTACTGGAAGCTCGGACCATGGCCCCTTCTGCTGGGCACCCTTAGATAGGCCTCTGAGGGAGATCTGATTGCCATTTTCCCGAAACAGTGCCCCCTATCAGCAGGAAGCAGTTAAGATCTGTCTTTGTCCCTATTCTTATCCTAGTGGCAGTTAGATAGACTTCTTTAGAGCGAGGAATGAGCCAGATGGGAAGGGTTCCCTGGTAAAACTCCAACTGGCCTGTGCACTGCTCTGGGGTGGAGCCACAGAAGTTCGCTCCTCAGTTTGCAGCTGGGAGGAGCCTGGCCCTCCTCTTCCTCGGGAGAACCTGGGATTTAATCTGTGAGGTGGGAAGCCTACAACTAGGAGAACTCTGGCTCTGCTGAGTCCCTGTTCCCCTTTTTCTTCCTTTACACCCAATAAAACCCTGCCTTACCCTTCAAATTGTCTGCGAGCCTAATCTTTCCTGGCGTGTGACAAGGACCTCCACCGTCTTTAGCTGAACTAAGGAAAAGTCCCGCAACATTTTCATGTGTGCCTTTGTATTTTTATTACATATATGGATGTCCCTAAACAACATACATTATTGTTTTGCTTTATATATTAAAAAGGCATTCTGCAATTTGCATTTTCCCCAGCCTTGTGTTTTGAGATTTATCCATGTGGATGCGGGAAGCTGTAGAGCACTTCCCCTGCTGTGGGGCAGTTTGTTTTCTCGCTGGCGGACATTCAGCTTGTTGACAAGGTTTTGCAATTACAAGCACCTCTGCTATAGGTATTACTGTACCTGTCCCTTATACCTGCGATAGTGTCTCCCGGCATACAGCCAAGAATGGGTGTGCACACTCCTCGACCTGCTCCCTTCCACTTCGTCAGCCTGGCCGGGGGCTCTTTCAAGAGGTGGGGCCGCTTGGTGGCTTCTAAGTCGTGCCTCTCCCTCTGGGTAATAAACGCCTTGGGGGCAGGGACTTTGCAGTCTTGCTTATTGAGGCGTTTTCCAAAACAGGGACCGAGGGCTCTAACACCCGTGCGGAGGGTGGCCGGCGGGGGCGGGAGTTTGGCAGAATGCGGCTGGAGAAGGTGGGGCGAGGGAAGAAGGCTCCTGGCCTGCAGGGGCCTCTCTTCCGGCTGTTTTTCCTCCCGAAGACAAACACTCCCAACGCAGGGGCGCAGAGCCTCGGCTTCTTTCCTGGCCAGCTCCCTCAAGGCAGGGCCTAGCATGGCCCGGCCCAGCCCCTAGGTTCCCCCGCCCGCGGCTCCCGGGCGCCTCCGCCTCCCGCGGTGACTCAGGCGGCGGTGACGGCAGCGGAGGGGGCGATGACGGGCGCGCGGGCGTCCGCGGCGGAGCAGCGCAGGGCGGGGCGCAGCGGGCAGGCAAGGGCGGCCGAGCGGGCGGCGGGCATGAGCGGGGCGGGCAGGGCGCTGGCCGCGCTGCTGCTGGCCGCGTCCGTGCTGAGCGCCGCGCTGCTGGCCCCCGGCGGCTCTTCGGGGCGCGATGCCCAGGCCGCGCCGCCACGAGGTGAGTGCACACCTCCTACCGCCGCCCGGCCGGCTACGAGCGCAGCGTCTCCTCTCCGCGGCGCCGCCCCTATCTCCGTGCGCGGCGCCGAGCGCTAGGCCGGGCCGGAACCGCCCCCGTGGCCTGGGCTGTTGCTGCGACTTCGCGGTCCCGCGCCCCAGACCGGAGGCCGGACTTCGGGGTGCTGCGGCCGGGCCCCGCGGAGGCGGGGGAGGGGGCGGTTCGGACCGCGGCGGAGTGGAACCTGGGCGCCCAGGCGGCGCCCACCCCAGCGGAGCCTGCGTCCTGGCGCCTTCCGTCTAAACAGAGGCCGCGGATCGGGACGCCGGGACCCCACAAACTGGCAGCCAGGAGGCGGGCCAGCCGAGGATCGGGGGGGCTCGGACTCCCCCTGCACCCAGTCCACTGTTCGGAGGGACTTAGAGCAGGGTCCCTTCCCTGAGGGCCTCGCCCCCGAGGACGTGGCGCCGGAGCCGTGCGACCCATTGGCTTCAGCGGGTGGGAAGCCTGGGGCCGGGACGCGCGTTCGCCCCGCGCTGGGGTTGAACCTGCGTGGATGTGCGGCGGGTGAGGAACCGCGGAGAAGGCGGTGGGGGCGCGGCCTGCAGCCCGGTCCCGGGCGAGCCCTCCGCGCGTCTCCCCTCGGCGCGTTTTCCCTCCAGGGTGACTGGGAAGCCGCCGCCGCCGCCGCCGCCGCCTGGGAGGGGCCGGGCTGGGCGCTTTTGCCCCGGGCCCCGGACCCCGGGCGTTTGTCCGGTGCGCTGGCTTAAGAGGCGCTCAGCTCATACCGTGATTGCACAACTGGCTTGCTCTCCGAACTCGGTGGGGAAAACGGTGACAAATACAGATTCCAGGTCTCCATCTAGACCCCTGCACCGGGGAGCCCCAGGCCCTAGGTCCTTCGCACACGCCCCTCCCAGAGGGGTCGGGCAAGCATCGCAAACCCCTTTGGGTAGGAGGGACGGTGGGAGTCACCTGTCTTTCCCCTCTCGCGCCCTTTTCTTGGTCAGAATACGAAGTTTTAGTGTCTGTGTATGGAGTTCAAACGACCCCTCCTCTCCAAGCAGAAGCTGGAGGAGAAAGGCGTTGTGAATTTTGGAAAAGCGGCTCAGAGGATTACATTTTGTGCGATCCTTGATCCACCCAACCTTCATCTCCTGCGCTCCCCTCCTTTAAAATTGCAAGGACCCCGGGGAGGTTATGTAATCTGCCTGATCACAATTTGTCAGGGACTGATCCCGCCGAACACTCTTTGCATTTTAGCGCCAGTATTAGCTTATCAAAGGGCACTTACTTTTAGAGAGAGGTGGTTTGTAAATAGTAATCACACGTAGTGAGGGGAAGCCGCGTTGGGACCGCAAGGCTTTCCCTGTCACCTGGAGCCCATGTTTGGGCCGCACAGCTTTCCTACTAAAAACGTCATCATCTTCCTTCTTTTTGAAAATTCAGCATTTGCTTGAAGAAAAAAAAAAGTAGACTATGTCTTTAAAAATATGCCCAGCAAAGATAACTCACGAGCAGAGAGCTAGACCAGAAATTAAATATTTGGAAAGGAAATAAAGGTGTAATACACAAGCAGCACATTTATCCCCGCACCATTGGAAGGTGACTTTATTTGGTAATTTGCCCACCAAGACGAGGTAGACCAGAGGAGAGAGAAGGAAATAATTGTTCTTTTGTCTGTAACGCTCTGGGGGTATTGCCCTGGAATTTCTTAGGTCAGCTGCTGTGTGGGAAGGTGACAGCTTTTTCTTGAAGCTGAACATCAAGCTCAGTTTCGAGGTCATATTTGATGACTTATTTGATGGCTTAGTAATTGGGTCCTTTGGTCGTGTCTGTAAGTGATACAGACTGTTATTATTATTTTTAAAAACCACATTCAAATAATGCAAAGTGAAAAAAAAAGGTGTCAAAATCCGCTGGCGTTACTCTGACAGTCTCTAGCTGTGGTTCCCTAGCTGTGGTCTTCACCCTCGGCTGCACACTCGAATCCCTTTGGGAGGTTCGTTGTTTTTTGTGGGAAATTAAAAAAATCATGCTGATTGGGCAGAGATTCTGATTTAATTGGTCTGGAATGGGGCCAGGGCATTGGTAACTTTTGTAGTTTTTTTAGAGCTTCCTCAGGTAATTTTGACATTCAATGAAGACTGAGCCCCTCTGCACATTCCCAAATAGCATAGTTAGTAACAATGACAATGAAGAGCTTTCAGCCTAAAATTCGTGTGGATAATCTAAGTATAAAACAAGTACCTTATTCCGCCCACCACCAAAGGCTTAGAGAAACATGAGTACACACAGTACTTATTCCATCTACGAAGGGATGATGATGTGTGGAGAAATTACGAAGGAAAAGCTCATGGCTTCATGGTCTCTTGGGTATGATCAAGTGTAGGAAAAAGTCTACAGAGAGTGACTAGAAATGTGAAAATGGAAGCCATTAAAACTGAAGAAGGGAAATGAAAAAGAACTATTTTAAAACGATGACAAATTGACAAAGGATTTAATATTTTTGTCTTTAATGTAGAGAAGTTATGCAAATACCTCAGAAGGTGTCAGGGATTAAATAAAGGTGGTTAAATAAATAAATGATTCAGGAATTAATATGAAAGTCACATACTGATGGTAAACATTTGGAAAACATGTTCAAACTTGTTAATCACAAATTCAAAACTAAAATAATTAGGACGTGCCATTTTCTATCCACCAGGCTAACATATGAGGGAAACATGGAAAGGCTAATCTGGCTGGGCTTATAGGGAGGGATCTGTTGAGGCTCAGGAGACTGGTTAGCCGTTATGTGCACAGTTAGACTGACCTCAGCTTAAATCCTGGCTGCTAGTAGGTGACTTTGGGCAAGCTGCTTGACCTCTTCAGGCCTCAGATGCCTCATCCCAAAATGGAGACACCAGGAGCTATTTCTTTCTTTCTTTTTTTTTTTTTTGAGACAGAGTCTCGCTCTGTCGCCCAGGCTGGAGTGCAGTGGTGCGAACTCAGCTCACTGCAAGCTCCGCCTCCTGGGTTCACACCATTCTCCTGACTCAGCCTCCCGAGTAGCTGGGACTATAGGCACCCACCATCACGCCTGGCTAATTTTTTTTTTTTTTGTATTTTTTAGTAGAGATGGGGTTTCACCGTGTTAGCCAGGATGGTCTCAATCCCCTGACCTCATGATCCACCCTCCTTAGCCTCCCAAACTGCTGGGATTACAGGTGTGAGCCACCGTGCCTGGCCCACCAGGAGCTATTTCATAGGGCTCTTGGGGCCTGGTGGTTCTTTGGTAAGTGTGGTTCTTTGTATTACCTGGGAGATCTCAACCATCACAGTTGTCATTAGAAATCAGCACAACTGAATTGGAGAGAAATTTTGTAATGCATATCAGAAGCTATTCAAAAGCCTGTTTTTGGTTAAAGATTTTACTCTTGGGCCCGGTGTGGTGGCTCACGCCTGTAGTCCTAGCACTTTTGGGAGGTCGAGGTGGGCAGATCACTTGACCCCAGGAAGTTGAGACCAGCCTAGGTAACATGGTGAAACCCTGTGTCTACAAAAAAAGACAAAAAAAAATTAGCTGGATGTGCTGGCATGCCCCTGTAGTCCCAGCTACTTGGGAGGCTGAGGTGGGAGGATTGCTTGAACTCAGGAGGTTGAGGCTGCAGTGGGCCGAGATCTTGCCACTGCACTCCAGCCTGGGAGACAGAGCGAGACTCTGTCTCAAAAAAAAAAAAAAAAAAATTTTAACTGGATGTTCCCGATCCTGAAGAGGCTCTGTTGGTCTCTGCATTGGTTGGATGTGGCCTGGATCACTGTAATGTCTATGTGTTGAGCACTTGTTTCTGTGCCAGCCACTTTGTAGATGGTCAAGTTTAGATTTCCCAACGGTTTCATGAGGCACATACTCTTATGACCCTTAATTTATTGGTGAGGAAACTGAGGCAAGTTGGGCTTCAGATTCAAGTTTAACTTGAATTTATCCCACTATGTCATACTCCAGGTCCCAAACATCGCTTCCACTGAAAGCTTTCCAGGAGACCAAAGAACAGAAAAAATGATTGTGAAAGCTTTCTTTGGCCTAGAGAACCAAAAGCTATAGTGGATTATTATTATTATTATTATTTTGCTGAAAGCTTTATTTGTTCTCACTTAGGGTAAATGAAAAATTTCAAGATTTGGCTACAACTTCATTCTTTGAAAAGTAATGTTTTACAGAAAGAGAGGTTAGGGGTACTGGCTCTGAAGACAAAGCTTAGATTCAAGCCCAGCTTCACCACTTACACCAGTCCCCTGATTTTGCCGTTTCCTTGTGATATAAGGCACTCAGGAACACAAGCCAGGCACACAGTAAGTGTTCAGGAAGTGCTGGCATTATGAAGTTCAAACAGCACCACTGGTAAATGAAGTTCAGATTTCAGAGGTGGAGACTGTGTATGCAGCCTCACAGCTAAGTGGATGCCATGGTGAAATGTTTAGATCATAGGCCTTTGAGAAGAATTATCAGAATGTTAGAGGAATGGGCCTCCCTTGGCACCCAGAAATAAACGTTAAAGGAGGCTATTTCATCATATAACAACTTCCGAACTTCTAGAAAAGTGAAAAGAGAGGCTTGGGTAAGGAAGATGAAAGCCCTCCCACCACCCTGCGTGCTGACCTAGGGCATCCTTCCTTCTACTCTGTTGTTAGATCCTCATGATGGCCAAAAAAAAGCATTCTTTAACCTAAAGCATCCCCATGGCTCAATCTCTACCCCTTCATCACCAAGGAAAAGCCAGCTCTAGTGGATTAAGAGTTTTATACTGCAGGGCTTGTCTTCACTGAGAGCTAAATAAGGGTAAAGTAAGATAAACTTAAAAATGAGGGATTGAGGCCCGGCACAGTGGCTCATGCCTATAATCCCAGCACTTTGGGAGGCCGAGGCAGGCAGATCACGAGGTCAAGAGATCGAGACCATCCTGGCCAATGTGGTGAAACCCCGTCACTACTAAAAATACAAAAATTAGCTGGGTTTGGTGGTGCGTGCCTGTAGTCCCAGCTACTCAGGAGGCTGAGGCAGGAGAATGGCTTGAACCCGAGTGGTAGAGGTTGCAGTGAGCCGAGATCGCGCCACTGCACTCCAGCCTGGGTGACAGAGCAAGACTCCATTTAAAAAAAAAAGAAAGAAAGAGGGATTGAGCTGGCTACGTGAAGAATTCATGATTCTGCCATTCAAATGAGTGACTAGGGAGCCCAGAGGAAGCTTTCCCATTACAAAATAGAGACCGAGTTCTTACCTTCCTCATTGTGTTATTAAGTAGTTCCCCATTTTTTTCTTTTGGGTAAATTTACTCAGAGGATAAATTAACTTCTCTTTTATATAATATCATATAAATGGCCCAGTTGGTTGACATGAACCACTCTGCTTTGACTTTTAGACAAGAGCAGTTCACTTTATTTTTCCTACCAAATTGGCACACGTGATTTTAGAATGTGCGTCATCTTTCTGTCATCCTCAGCACATCATCTAGTGAACTGGTGAGCTGTGTGAGTTTCTGGATTGGGGCATGCTCCCAATCCAGGATTCACTGCTCCCAATCCAGGAGCAGTGAGTTTCTCTGCCCTTCAGACTGAGGCTTGTCTTAAAACTGTCTGCTTACCCCTCTCCGATCTGCCATGGAAATTAGGATATTCCAAACTCCAAAACAAAGTGATAGAAAGCAGCACTTCTCAAACTTTCAAGACACGTGCACCCCGCCCCTGGGCCTCGCTAACCTGTCTGACTCAAGCAGGTTCTGCATTTCTAACAAGCTGCCTGGCTACAATCGCAGCTCAGTAACGTGGTAGGGGAGAAAGCTTGAACTTTAGAGTAATACAAATTGGGTTCATATCAATTATTTCATTGAAAAACCGTGGTCACAGGCAGTTATCTAATTCTTGAGAGGCTTAATTTATTCATCTGTAAAGTGGGGAAAATACCTAGCTCATAAGATTGTCATTATTATAGGGAAACTACTAAATTCAGTACATGTCACATCTTAGCACTCGATGAATATAAGTTCCTTACACGATCCTTTGATGCACTAGATTTGAGTGGTGTTGACTGAATCCTCTTGTAGTAGAGACATCTGTGCAAAAGGAGACCTGTGTGTGTGCACATGCATGCATGTGTGTGTGTGCACATGCATGCATGCACGCACATATATCTGCGCATACACAAAGTAATGTGTGAGAGACCCCAGAAATCCCAGAGTGTAAGCTTTTGAGAAGCACTACTGGAAGCAACTGTTCACACGAATGTACTTTGTCTCTAACACATCTTTCGGGTGCCTTTTTTTTTTTTTTTTAACTTTTCCTAATTTCTACCAGACTTAGACAAAAAAAGACATGCAGAGCTGAAGATGGATCAGGCTTTGCTACTCATCCATAATGAACTTCTCTGGACCAACTTGACCGTCTACTGGAAATCTGAATGCTGTTATCACGTATGTATCAGTTCACACTCAGTTCTGTTTGCTTTGGGGCTTGTTTGATATGATCCTTAATGCTCTCATGTCTAAAGCCCTTCACAAGTTAATTTCAGTTTTGCAGCTAAAGAAACAAAGAAGCTATATAAAGAGTCGGAAGAAATACAGTCAGGGGAGGATGCCTAGGAATGCACAGCATCTATTTTTATCTTTTCATCTACTCATCCTTTAAAAAGCCAGTTCTCAGGGATGAACAACCTTGATAGACTATGTTTTATTTTCCTCCTCTCTAGTGCATAACCCTCTTGCTGGACCAGAGAAGGAAGGAGTGAGACACCAGGGTATTCTCCAGGGGCCAGCAGAGTGGTGCAAGTTGAGGGAGTGGCAGTTATTCCAGGGCCCTGCCTCCCTGATGATAACAAATGCATTTTCTCTGAAGGTTTTACTCCTATTCTAGACCTTGTTGCTTTTTAAGGACAAGGCTATTCTTTCATGTAAAATAAAATATTCTACTATGCAACCATAAAAAAAGAATGAAATCATGTCCTTTGCAGCAACATGGATGCAGTTGGAGGCCAATATCCTAAGTAAATTAACACAGGAATAGAAAGCCAAATACTGCATGTTCTCACTTCTAAGTGGAGCTAAGCATTGGGTACTTATGAACATAAAGGTGGGAACAGGAGACACTAGGGACTATTTGGGCTGCAGTACCCAAGCAGTACTGAAAAACTTGGGTACTAGAGCTGAGTAGTACCTATAGGGCTGAAAAATTACCTACTAGGTACTGTGCTCACCACCTGGGAGACAGGATCATTCATGCCCCAAACTTCAGCATCATACAGTATACCCATGTAACAAACCTGCACATGTGCCCCTGAATCTAAAATAAAAATTGAAATGATAAAATGTTTTTGCCAGGCACAGTGGCTCACGCCTGTAATCTCAGCACTTTGGGAGACCGAGGTAGGGGGATCACCTGAGGTCAGGAGTTCGAGACCAGCCTGACCAACATGGAGAAACCCTGTCTCTACTAAAAATACAAAATTACCGGGCATGGTGGCACATGACTTGTAATCCCAGCTACTTGGGAGGCTGAGGCAGGAGAATCGCTTGAACCCAGGAGGTGGAGGTTGCAGTGAGCCGAGATCGCGCCATTGCTCTCCAGCCTGGGCAACAAAAGCGAAACTCTGTCTCAAAAAAATAAAAAGAAAAAATTTTTATTGCCAAATTGAGAGCTTCGTTATACCTACCATCAGAGGTTGAATTTTAATTTATATTTATATTTAATTTATATTAAATTTATATTAAATTCATATATATAGTAATGCTATATCAAGGTGTTATGCTGTCGTCAAGGTGTTAGGTGTAGGGCAAGTAAGACCATTATTAGAATAAAACAAGTAGGATCATTGGCATACAACAGTGATGCTGTGGACAAATTAAAGAATTAAAAAAGAGGCCAGGCATGGTGGCTCACACCTGTAATCCCAGCACTTTGGGAGGCCAAGGAGGGTGGATCACCTGAGGTCTGGAGTTAGAGATCAGCCTGGCCAACATGGTGAAACCCCATCTCTATTAAAAAATACAAAAAATTACCCGGGCATGGTAGCAGGTGCCTGTAATCACAGCTACTTGGGAGGCTGAGGCTGGAGAATCGCTTGAACCTGGGTGGAGGCGGAGGTTGCAGTGAGCCGAGATCGCACCATTGCACTCTAACCTGGGCAACAAGAGCGAAACTCCGTCTCAAGAAAAAAAAAAAAAAAGAAAGAATTAAAAAACAGGAAGACAGGCCGTGCACGGTGGCTCACTCTTATAATCCTAGCACTTTGGGTGGCCTAGTGGGCAGATCATGAGGTCAGGAGTTTGAGACCAGCCTGGCCAGCATGGTGAAACCCCGACTCTACTAAAAATACAAAAATTAGCTACGCACAGTGGTGTGTGCCTGTAATCCCAGCTACTTGGGAGGCTGAGGCAGGAGAATCGTTTAACCCCGGGAGGCAGAGGTGGCAGTGAGCTGAGATCGAGCCACTGCACTCCAGCCTGGGCATCAGAGCGAGACTCTGTCTCAAAAAATAAATAAATAAATAAATAAATAAATAAAGGAATTAACTACACGAGACTGTTTTAAGAAAAAAATTGCCGATTTATTTAAAAGAGCATGGAGATAATTATGTCAGGAAAATGTATAAAGAAGTGACACAGGGTTTGTATTTAATCATAGTGGTAGAAAATATCCCATTATTGCAAAAAAGATTTTACCCTGGAAACTGGAAAGACACTTATGACTCTTTTAACTAGAGACTGATAAAATTATGTCTAGACATAAACTTTTAAATTTTGAAATTTAATGATAATTTTTAAAATTTTAGGCCGGGCGCGGTGGCTCACGCCTATAATCCCAGCACTTTGGGAGGCCGAGGCGGGCGGATCACGAAGTCAGGAGATCGAGACCATCCTGGCTAGCACCGTGAAACCCCGTCTCTACTGAAAAAATACGAAAAGTTAGCCAGGCATGGTGGCGGGCGCCTGTAGTCCCAGCTACTCAGGAGGCTGAGGCAGGAGAATGGCGTGAACCCGGGAGGCGGAGCTTGCAGTGAGCCGAGATCGGGCCACTGTACTCCAGCCTGGGCAACAGAGCAAGACTCTGTCTCAAAAAAAAAAAAAATTTTTTTTTAAATTTTAAGCAGATGTAGATTATAGGAGACACAAGTATGCAAAAAATGCAAATTATAATAACTTCATACATTTAGTAAACCAGATAATAAAAATCTGGGGCTGATGGAAGGATATCTTTAAGATATTTAAGGTGAAGGTATGCCCAAGAGATCAGTTACTAGCTGAGTTGAAGAATTTCCTGTTCTGTTTCCCTCTTTATCTCACTTCCTTAAAGTAGAAAGACCTTTTATTTTATTTATTTATTTATTTTAAGACGGAGTCTTGCTCTGTCGCCCAGGCTGGAGTGCAGTGGCACGATCTCACCTCACCACAACCTCCACCTCCTGGGTTCAAGCGATTCTCCTGCCTCAGCCTCCCGAGTAGTTGGGACTACAGGCGCCCGCCACCGCACCCAGTAATTTTGTATTTTTAGTAGAGACAGGGTTTCACCATTTTGGCCACGCTGGTCCTGAACTCCTGACCTTGTGATCCGCCCGCCTCAGCCTCCCAGAGTGCTGGGATTACCGACGTGAGCCACCGCGCCTGGCCAACATTTAGTTTTTTATAAGTAAGATGTTCTCAGTATGGTAAACAGTTAATGTTTCTGTATCTTTAAAATATTGCTAAAAAAAGAAGACTGAGCCCTGCGAGGTAGTTCACACCTGTAATCCCAGCACTTTGGGAGGCCAAGGTGAGAGGATCACTTGAGGTAGGAGTTTGAGACCAGCTGGGGCAACAAAGTAAGTCCTCATCTCTTTCAAAACAAAACAAAACAAAAACAAGACTATACAATGTGGAAAATACATAAAAAAGAAAAGATATTGTGAGTATTTAAAATTGCTTTTGGAGGCCAGGCGCGGTGGCTCACACCTGTAATCCCAGCACTCTGGGAGGCCAAGGTGGGCGGATCACAAGGTCAGGAGATCGAGACCATCCTGGCCAACACGGTGAAACCCTGTCTCTACTAAAAAATACAAAAAATTAGCCAGGCATGGTGGTGGGCTCCTGTAGTCCCAGCTACTCGGGAGGCTGAGGCAGGAGAATGGCGTGAACCCGGGAGGCGGAGCTTGCAAAGAGCCAAGATTGCGCCACTGCACTCCAGCCTGGGTGACAGAGCGAGACTCCGTTTCAAAATAAATAAATAAATAAATAAATAAATAAATAAAATAAAATTGCTTTTGGAAAGAGAAGAGCTATATATATATACATTAGTAAATAAAGTATTAAAAACTAAAATATTGCACTCATAAAGAATACAATGAAAACTTGTACTTTTTGATGAAGTAGATATTAGAATAAAAGGGGCTAGTTAAGCATTTGCATAAATAGTAAATACTAATGCTAAAATATGAACACCCTAAATAAAAAGGCACCAAATTTATGTGGGTCCCCAAAGTACATCGAAAATAATGGTAGCAGCTAATAATACAAAACAAAGTCGTAGTAGAGACAAATGATAAGATACTCTTACCAGGGCAAACATTTTGAAGGTTTCATCATAGAGCTGGTGAACTGAGCTGAATAATGTCAGGGAGTGAGGTGGTTAAGAGCTTGGATTCTGCAGTCCAAGTGTCTGGTTTGAATCCCACCTCTGTCACTTGTGTTACTTTGGGTATGGTTCTCACCTTCTCTCTGCTTCTCTTCCCCTGTGAAGCTGGAAAAATAACGGAACCTGCCGCTGAGCTCCTTGGGAGTGTTTCGTGACTGAGTGTCTGTAAGCTGAAGCAGAGCGAGACCTCTCCACGTGTCAGTGTTACTGGCAATAGAAATAAGTAACACGTGTGGCAGAAATTAAATGAAAAAAGTAGATAATTAAAAAATTCCTGTATATATTCGTTTCACAAAACACTCATCATATGTTAAGTCAAAAGAGACTGGATAAATTAAAAAAAGCAGGGATTATGTATTCTACCTCATACTTCTGCACAACAAAGAAACAAACTAATATAATAAGGGTTATAATATAAATACGAGCATTTCGTTGAAAATCTTTAGATCAGGCCAAAGCAATTCCTATGAAAAAAATGCATGTAAATGTTCATAATAATAAAGACGATGGTAATAGAAATTGCAGCTACTGTTTCCTGAGGACTTGTTCAGTGTTTTAGGTCTGTCTCATTTAACTTACAACACTCCAGTAGAGAGATTCTATCCAGGAGAGAGGATTTGCTGGAGATACTGAAATTAAGAGAAATAAAGTGACATTTTTCTGGGTTACCTAGCTGTTAGGTGGCAAAGCTACAATTCACCCCTCCCTGTAGCTTTGGAGGTTGGTATTTATGTTAATCAGAAAGAAAAGGGGAGGCTGGATGCAGTGGTTCATACGTCTAATCCCAGCACTTTGGGAGGCCCAGGTGGGCAGATCACTTGAAGGTTGGGAGTTTTGAGACCAGCCTGACCAACATGGTGAAACCCCATCTCTACTAAAAATACAAAAATTAGCTGGGCATGGTGGTGGGCGCTTGTAGTACCAGTTACTTGGGAGGCTGAGGCAGGAGAATCACTTGAACCTGGTAGGCGGAGGTTGTAGTGAGCTGAGAGCATGCCATTGCACTCCAGCCTGGGTGACAGAGCGAGAGTCCATCTCAAGAAAGAAAAGGGGAAATGCAAAGCTATTCAGTAGGGATCTCAAGGTTTTTGAAAGCAAACAGTGTAATCATCCAAACAAAAAGAAAAAGAAGCAATAATATTAATAAATACATAAGGTAGAAAATGATAGCAGAATCGAAGTAAGAACAAGCTGAGAAATGATTTTTTATTTTTGAGGCAGGGTCTTGCTCTGTTGCCCAGGTTGGAGTGCAGTGGTGTGTGATCATGACTCACTGCACTCTCAAACTCCTGGGCTCAAGAAATCCTTCTGCTTCAGCCTCTCAAGTAGCTAGGACTATAGGCGTGGACCATGACACCCAGCTAATTTTTTATTTAAAAATTTTTGTGGAGACAAGGTCTTGCTATGTTGCTCAGACTGGTTTGGAACTCCTGGCCTCAAGTGATTCTCCTGCCTCGGCCTCCCAAAGTGCTAGAATTACAGGCGTGAACCACAGATCTGGATGAAAATGATACATTTAAATGAGAAAAATAAAGGTTAAGTGGAGAGATAGCCAATAACCATTGATATCAAGACTAAACAGGAAAAATATCAGTGTTTCCCAAGTTAATTAATATACTTAATTTCTATTAATATGTAAATAGAATTCATTATATAGTCTACATAAATAATTTCAAAATTCATATGAAAAAGTAAATGAGTCAGAGGATCAAAAGACGGCCCAAATTGGTCTGAGTATTGTGGGTTATTGTTAAGCTGATTTAATATTGTCTCCCCCGACAACCATGCTTGACTAGCTTAAAAGAAAAAAAAAAAGGCCCAAAAGGAGATTGGGCAATGTGGAGACTTGCTGTATTAGATAAGATATATTGTGAGGCCATAATCGTTTATGTAGCCAAAAAAGAGAAATGAAGACTAACAGACCAATGTAAGTGTGAGAAGTAGAATCTAATTTATGTAAGAACCTAGAGTATTATAACTAAGACCATGGGGAAAGGTATTTAAAATTACTGTATACCATGTATCAAGTACTCCAAGAGGATTCAAGTTAAAAAGTAAACCCACAAACTAAAAAAAATTTTAAAAGGCAGAATACATTTTTAAAAAGTTTTTTTTTTAATTGACATAATAATGGTACATATTTATGGGGTACAGTATCTCGAACTGCTGAGCTCAAGTGATCCGCCCACCTCGGCCTCCCAAAGTGCTAGGATTACAGGTGTGAGCCACCGTGCCCAGCCAATGTACACGTTGGGTAATGATCAAGTTAGGGTAGTTAACATTTCCATCACCAAAACACTTGTCATTTCTTTGTGGTGCGATGGTTCAAAATCATCTCTTCATCTATTTTGCAATATACATTACATTATTGTTAACTATAGTCACCCTACTGTGCCATGTGTCACCAGAACTGATCCCATTGTAACTGTGACTTTTACACCTGTTGATCAACCTCCATATCTCCTCTTTCCTACTAACCTCTATTTACTCTCTACTTCTATGAGGTCACATTTTTAGCTTTTACATACGAGTGAGATCATGTGGTATTTGTCTTTCTGTGTCTGGCTTATTTCACTTAACATAATGTCCATTAGGCTTATCCATGTTGCTGCAAATGAGAGGATTTTATTCTTTTTTATGGCTGAATAGTATTCCTCTGTGAATATATTGCACATTTCTTTGTCCATTCATCGGTTGATGGATAGTTAGGTTGATTCCATATCTTGGCTATTATGAATAGTGCTGTATTAAACATGGGAGTACAAGTATCTCTTTGACAAACTGATTTTCTTTTCTTTTCTTTTTTTTCTTGAAGGATGAAAATGAGATTGATCTTTATTGTAGAATCCAGGCCAGGGGGCTGCTTTGAAGGCAAGAATTTCATGCTAGAAATTCCTTATTAGCCACACAAACTTCTTGTAGCAAGATAGACTTGTATTACTTTTTTTTTCTTTATTATACTTTCAGTTTTAGGGTACATGTGCACAATGTGCAGGTTTGTTACATATGTATACATGTGCCATGTTGGTGTGCTGCACCCATTAACTCATCATTTAACATTAGGTATATCTCCTAATGCTATCCCTCCCCCCTCCCCCCACCGCACAGCAGGTCCTGGTGTGTGATGTTCCCCTTCCTGTGTCCATGTGTTCTCATTGTTCAATTCCCACATATGAGTGAGAGCACGCGGTGTTTGGTTTTTTGTCCTTGCGATAGTTTGCTGAGAATGATGGTTTCCAGCTTCATCCATGTCCCTACAAAGGACATGAACTCATCCTTTTTTATCGCTGCCTAGTATTCCATGGTGTATATGTGCCACATTTTCTTAATCCAGTCTATCATTGTTGGACATTTGGGTTGGTTCCAAGTCTTTGCTATTGTGAATAGTGCCGCAATAAACATATGTGTGCATGTGTCTTTATAGCAGCATGATTTATATTCCTTTGGGTAATCCAGTAAAGGGATGGCTGGGTCAAATGGTATTTCTAGTTCTAGATCCCTGAGGAATCGCCACACCGACTTCCACAGTGGTTGAACTAGTTTACAGTCCTCCCAACAGTGTAAAAGTGTTCCTATTTCTCCACATCCTCTCCAGCACCTGTTGTTTCCTGACTTTTTAATGATCGCCATTCTAACTGGTGTAAGATGGTATCTCATTGTGGTTTTGATTTGCATTTCTCTGATGGCCAGTGATGATGAGCATTTTTTCATGTGTTTGTGGGCTGCATAATTGTCTTCTTTTGAGAAGTGTCTGTTCATATCCTTCGCCCACTTGTTGATGGGGTTGTTTGTTTTTTTCTTGTAAATTTGACAAACTGATTTTCTTTCTTTTGGATCTATACCCAGTAGTGGGATTGTTGGATCATGTGGTAGTTCTATTTTAATTTTTAGGAACCTTCATATTGTTTCCCACAATGGCTGTACTAATTTATATTCCCAACAACAGTGTGTAAGAGTGCCCCTTTCTCCACATCCTTGCCAGCATGCATTATTTTTTGTCTTTTTGATAGTAGCCAATCTAAATAACTGAGTTGAGGTGATATCTTATTGTGGTTTTGATTTACATTTCCCTGATTATTAGTGATGTGCATTTTTTCACATACCTGTTGGGATTTTTATATCTTCTTTTTTTCCCCTGATACATAATAGTTGTATATGTCTTTTGAGAAATACCTATTTTGATTTATTGCCCATTTAAAAAATGAGCCTTTTTTTTGCTATTGAGGTGTTTGAGTTCCTTATATATTCTGTCAGATGGTAGTGTGTGAATATTTTCTCCCATTCTATAGCTTGTTTCTTCACTCTGTGGATTGCTTCTTTCACTGTGCATAGGCTTTTTTACTTTAGTATAATCCCATTTGTCTAGATTTGCTTCTGTTACCTATGCACCAGTGTCATGCAATGTTTCCCCCATGCTTACTTCTAGTAGTTTCATAGTTTCAGGTCTTACATTTAAGCTGTTAATCCATTTTGAGTTGGTTTGTGAAAGATATGAGAGATAGGGGTCTAGTTTCATTCTTCTACATGTAAATATCCAGTTTCCCAGCACTATTTATTGAAGAGACTGTCCTTTCCTCAATGTGTGTCCTTTTTTTTTTCTTTTTTTAAGATGGAGTTGTGCTCTTTTTGCCCAGGCTGGAGTGCAATGGCACATCTCTGCTTACTGCAGCCTCTGTCTTCCGGGTTCAAGTGATTCTCCCATCTCAGCCTCCTGAGTAGCTGGGATTATAGACACCCACTACCATGCCCGGCTAATTTTGTATTTTTAGTAGATATGGGGTTTCACCATGTTGGCCAGGCTGGTCTCGAATTCCTGACCTCAGGTGATCTGCCAGCCTCGGCCTCCCAAAGTGCTGGGATTACAGGCATGAGCCACTGTGCCCAGTCACCTACTTTTTTGATGTAGACATTTATTGCCATAAACTTCTCTCTTAGAACTGGTTTTGCTGTATTCCATAGGTTTTGGAATGTTGTGCTTCCATTTTCATATGGAAACAACATTTTTAGTTTTAAATTTCTTTTTACATTTTCTCAAGAAAATTTTAAATTTCTTTTAAATTTTTTCTTTTCTGAGACAGAGTCTCACTCTTTCGCCCAGGCTGGAGAGAAGTGGTGTCATCTCGGCTCACTGCAACCTCCACCCCCTGGGTTCAAGTGATTTTCCTGCCTCAGCCTCCCACGTAACTGGGATTATAGGTGCCCACCACCATGCCCAGCTAATTTTTAAAATTTTTTCATTGACTCATTGGTTATTCAGGAATATGTTGTTTAATTTTCATGGATTTGTACAGTTTCCAAAGTTCCTCCTGTTACTGATTTTTAGTTTTATTCCATTGTGGTCAGAAAAGATAATTGATATGATTTTGATTTTTAAACTTTGTTTAGACTTGTTTGCTCCCTTTAGGTCTATTAATAATTCCTTTATATATTTAGTTGTTACAATGTTGGGTGCAAATATATTTATAACTGTTACATCTTCCTGCTGTATTAATCATTTTATATGGCCTTTTATATAATGGCCTTCTTTTTCTCTTTTTACAGTTTTTGGCTTAAAGTCTATGTCTTTTGTATTAGTACAGCTACTCTTGACCTTTTTTGTTTCCATTTTCATAGAATACCTTTTTCCATCCCTTTTCTTTGAGTCTGTGTGTTCTTAAAATTGAAGGGAGTCTCTTGTAGGCAGCATACAGTTGGGTCTGTTTTTTTTAATCCTTTCAACTATTCTATGTCAGCAGAATACATTTTTGAATTAATGAAGCAATAGAAGAAACAACAAGCCAGATTAGTATGGCTATATTAAAAATTTAAAACTTATAATTGAAAACATAATATAGCAGGATGAAACAGAAAGCACTAGAATGGAGAAATATTTGAGAGGGTTAAAAGTTTAATATTATAGTATATGAGGACATATTTCTAAGATTATGTCAAGGGAACTTGGTATGTAAACAGTGTTTCACACCATAGGAAACAAAATAACAAAATTATTGAATTATTTAATTTGTGATCATTTTAAAATATAATCTTAATGCTGTGATATAAATATCTAGTAACTGAACAAAAAATGATTTTAAAATCCTAGTAAAGCTGGTGAGAAATAAATATATTGCTTTAATTTGATTTATTTAACTAATATTTGGTCATTTGTAACGGGAGCTATTAAAATGACTATTTTTTTAATCCAGTAATCTTACCCTTAGAAATCTGCTTTAGAGAAAGAATTGAAAAGAATAAGAACCTTGGCCAGGCATGGTGGCTTATGCCTGTAATCCCAGCACTTTGAGAGGCTGAGGCAGGTGCATCACCTGAGTTCAGGAGTTCAAGACAAGCCTGGGCAACATGGCAAAACCCCATCTCTACCAAAAAGTACAAAAAACTAGCTGGGCGTAGTGATGCGTGCCTGTGGTCCCAGCTACTTGGGAGGCTGAGGTGGGAGAATTGCTTGAGCCTGGGAGGTGAAGGTTGCAGTGAGCTGAGATCATGCCACTGCACTCCAACCTGGGTGACAGAGTGAGACCCCATCTCAAAACAAAAATAAAACAAAACAAAAAAGTAATAAGAACCTCATGTGTAGGTCTTTTAAAACACATAATTTATATAGCAAAAACAATAAATAGATTAAAAAAGCTTTGAAACCAGCCTAAATACTCAAAGTATTTGATGGACTGACTAGAATACATATATTAAGTTACAAATATGCACATTAGATAAAATCATGGAAACTTACTTGTTAATATTAAATTTATGCAAGACTTAATGCAAGACTTAATGTATGTTCTACTTATTGATTTGTGAAGTTTACCTATGAAGATTGTACAATTCCATAGTGACACAGTGATTTTTTTTTTGTTTTGTTTTTTGTTTTGAGACAGAGTCTTGCTCTCTTGCCAGGCTGGAGTGCAGTGGCGTGATCTCAGCTCACTGCAACCTCCTACTCCCTGGTTCAAGCGATTCTCCTGCCTCAGCCTCCCAAGTAGCTGGGATTACAGGCATGTGCCACCACGTCCAGCTAATTTTTGTATTTTTTAGTAGAGACAGGGTTTCACCATGTTGGCCAGGATGGTCTTGATTTCCTGACCTCCTGATCCGCCTGCCTTGGCCTCCCAAAGTGCTGGGATTACAGGTATGAGCCACTGCGCCCAGCCCAGTCATTGTTTTAGTACAAAATAATAGGTAAATTTAAATTATTGAAATGTAGAGGTTTTTTTATAAGTATGAAGGAAAAGTCATGTCAGGATCTCCAGTTGGATATTTATGTCCTCCAGCAATCAACAGATGTTGAAAAACCTCTGGCGGTTGACCTGTTGTGCTTTTATTTACAGTGCTTGTTTCAGGTTCTGGTAAACGTTCCTCAGAGTCCAAAAGCAGGGAAGCCTAGTGCTGCAGCTGCCTCTGTCAGCACCCAGCACGGATCTATCCTGCAGCTGAACGACACCTTGGAAGAGAAAGAAGTTTGTAGGTTTGTGCCTGCTTTGTTGTGATCTAAGTGAAGTCTGCATTTTCTCTTTTTCTATTTTGGTTTTAGCTTTTTTTCTCTTTACAGTATTTTTCTTTATCTTTTCTGGTCCGTACCCAGGAACATGTATTATTCTGCCTCCATGATATTAGCAAAATCCAACTTCTTATTTTCTAATCTAACCACTTGTCTTAATTTTACCTAATGTTTGTAGGTTGGAATACAGATTTGGAGAATTTGGAAACTATTCTCTCTTGGTAAAGAACATCCATAATGGAGTTAGTGAAATTGCCTGTGACCTGGCTGTGAACGAGGATCCAGTTGATAGTAACCTTCGTACGTATATGTTCTCTGCTGATTTTCACATTTGCATTTTCAGAGGTTTCAGTTTTTGAGTACTGTTTGTAAAGCAAAGCAGTCCATGACGCTTTCTGTAGTTGAAAACCTAAATCTTAGGTCATTGATGAGCACCACTCCCCCCAAAAAATCCACATAAATTATAGGTTATTTCTACTTAG
Source organism: Homo sapiens (assembly GCF_000001405.40). Lineage (NCBI taxonomy): Eukaryota > Metazoa > Chordata > Mammalia > Primates > Hominidae > Homo > Homo sapiens. The sequence goes on from NC_000008.11 coordinate 43,159,227, forward strand.
TTATGATGTATTTAAAATATGTTTATTGTATTATCTGTATATAATAATACAATTATGTGACATTAAAAAATTATTTATTGGCCTGGCATGGTGGCTCATGCTTGTAATCCCAGCACTTTGGGAGGCCAAGGCAGGCAGATCACTCGAGCTCACAAGTTTGAGACGAGCCTGGGTGATGTGGTAAAACCCCATCTCTACAAAAAATACAAAAATTAGCTGGGCCTGGCGATGCGTGCCTGTAGTCCCAGCTACTTGGGAGGCTGAGGTGGGAGGATGGCTTGAACCTGGGAGGCAGAAGTTGCAATGAGCCAAGATTGTACCACTGCACTGCAACCTGGGTGATAGAGCCAGACCTTGTCTCAAAAAAAATTATATGATATATCAATACATTCTCATAGTTTTTAGTTTAATTATGAAGCATTAATAAGCCAAAAATGTTAATGCAGTGGAAAGAAACTAGAAATAGGGTAATTGACTGTCAAATATCTCTCCTTGTTTTAGGAGTGAGCGTATAGTATTTCCTGTATATCTTCTGCTGCCAGTCCAGAGATCCTCTTAGGTTAAGGAGGGATCATTCATTATCTAATAACCCCACTGAAGAAAATCTGCCATTCGGAACTCCCTATTAGGTAACAATGTATGTGCTGCCTTTTGAAAGGCAGTAACAAATCCCTGTGGTGTGAACAAGTACTGTTCACAGGGAAGCTATTAAAGACTATGAGGTTATATCAAAAGAACGCAGGAGCCGATATGAAAGGGCCAATGTAGGACAATTTAAGCATTAAGAAGAATAATATATGTAGTGGAAGAAAAATAATGAATGTATAAAAACCATGAGGTCATATGAAACTAAGATGAGCAAGGCCTGCCTTCCCAAAGAAAACAAAAACAATGCTTTGTCTTTATAGGTAATCAGGGCACCTGATGTTAACTGTGTGATTTAAAATTGTCAGTTGAAAGGAGAGATTTAAGCATTTATTTTGCCCGTTTTAACTGTAATTCAGGGTAACCAAAGATAGTCCCTGTTGAGGGAAAATTCTGTGGAGAAGAATTCCAGGTAATAAATACAGCAAAAGGGCAGGATATGTCGCAACCCTTAATGAAGTAAGTGATTGTGATTCAGGCATATACTATATGAGTGGATGAAACCACGAGGTGAAGGGGAATTTTTACCAGCTGAACACATCCACCAGTCATGGGGCAACCGCAACAGGTACACTTTCAGTGTTGGCCAGGAAGTTATTGTTAATTTCATATGACATTGTGTTTATATAACAAAAGGCCCATTTCAAAGATACTTTTAGTTTTGAAATAGTTTTAGATTTGTAGAAGTGTTGCAAAAAGAGTTCTCAAATATCCTTCACTTAGCTTCCCCTAAACCCTAAACTGTAAAATCACAGTGTAATTATCCCACATACTATTACTGAAACCAGCAACTTAACATTGTTCTTAACATTGAACATAATATTGATACAGTACTGATTGGGGTTATTTAAATTTCTCTAAATGTCCCTTTTAATATCCTTCTCCGGTGCTGGATTTGAGGTAGGATCCCACACTGCATTTAGCTTTCAGATCTCCTTTGTCTCCTCCAGTCTAGGACAGTTCCTCAGTCTTTCTTTGTCTTTCATGACCTTGATGGTTTGAAGGGTAATGTCTGGTTGTTTTGTCAACTGTCCTTGATTTGGATTTGCTTGATGTTTGGTGTTTTCTCATGAATAGGTAGAGGTTTTGCATTTTTTACTGGTATACAGCAAAAGCGAGGCTGGGTCCTTCTCAGTGCCTTGTGTGAGGAGGCACACAGTGTCAGGCTGTCTTTACAAGGGCTTTAGAGACACATCCTGAAGTATGTAGGGATGAAATAACATGATGTCTTGGATTCCTAAAGAAATAGTTTAGCCAGAAAAAGCAGGACATGGGGGTGGGTGGGTAGTTATAGATGAAGCAACAGGGACAATATCTTGATAATTCTAGGATCTGGGTGATGGATTATATATAGGGTGATGGTACCATTCTCTGTGCTTTTGTTTATGTTTGATATTTTTTATAATGACAATTATCACTCCCTTCAGGGTGAGCATAGGAAATTCAGCATGAGAATATAGGCTTCCCCTCACTGGTTTTCATTTATAGATAAATGTAATGATGTGATGTCTTTGATGTTCATGATGACATTTTTGGGGGCTAATGTGTTTTCTTCTCTTTTTCTAGCTGTGAGCATTGCATTCCTTATTGGTCTTGCTGTCATCATTGTGATATCCTTTCTGAGGCTCTTGTTGAGGTAAGATATTTGGGGAGGACGCCACTGGAAAGGCAGAGTATAGAAATAACACATTCAGAAGGGGCAGCTGTCACCCTCAAGTGGCCATATTCTTCGATGATATGAACATTTCTGTGTCCCCCATGTCCATCCAGTGCTAGGCTTCAGGGACTCATGTAGACTAAGACGTGGTCTCTGACTTTAGGGAAGTGATATTAAAGGTGCTTGTGGATTTTTTCCTTCCTTCCTCCCACATGGCTGAAGAGGAAGAAAATGCTTGAGAAATCATTATTTCCTAAAGCATCCGACTTTTTAACGAGCAGAAGTGGCTCATGACAATTTTAGGAGGAGGTCGCTGCACTGAACTCCCTTCCCCCTCTCTGGCCCTGAGCCCTGAGGCACCTTCTAGTCCAGCTGCCCAACCTCTGCCAGCCCAGGCATCTGGTGGCACAGATGTATGCCTGGTGGCTGTTCTTCTGGACCTCGCACGGACTCCCTGTCCCTTGGTTAGTTTGTTAGCCAATGTGGAGAAGGGACTGGTCCTGCTCTGCGTGGTGAATAGCGATTCTGGTAAGAGTGAATTAGTAGACTAGAACAAGAAAGTAAAATAGATCCAGTTTTAATTAACTTTCAAAGGAAAGTTTTTTTCATGTTTTAAAAAGAATAAGAGTGAATTTTCTCATGCTTATCTTGTTAGGGTCTCAAGAAGAACCACAAGGTTTTATTGATGAGCAATATCCAAACTGAAAGAATGAAAACCTAACCTCTAAGTCGGCTAGCTTGGGAAACCCTGAAGCTTTGGGGAATTTCTGCACTGTGATACTCTAGCTTTGTACATCTTAGAAATAGTATAATTCCATGTGTGAGGACCCCAACTGTGTATAGGGTAAAAGAACCACATGTTGCCCAGAAGCCGGTGTGTAACCTGTTTTTTAGGGATAGAGGAAGATTCTAGCAGTGGAGTTTCATTTCTTTGAGTTAAGGTATTATCTCATCAACCTTTTGATAAAATGCAAATGCTATTTCAGTATATCAGGATGCTTTTCACGTAAATGGATCTATTATGGATTTTTTTTTTTTTTGAGACAGAGTCTCACTCTTGTCATCCAGGCTGGAGTGCAGTGGTGCCATTATGGCTGACTGCAGCCTTGACTTCCTGGGCTCAGGTGATTCTCCCACCTTTGCCTCCTAAGTAGTTGGGACTACAGGCATGCATCACCATGCCTGGCTAATGGTTTTTTTTTTTTTAATTTTTGTATTTTTAGTGGAGACGGGGTCTTGATATGTTGCCCAGGCTGGTCTTGAACTCCTCGACTCAAGTGTTCCATCTGTCTCTGACTCCCAGAGTGCAGGGATTATAGGCATGAGTCACCACACCTGGTCATATTACATGACTTTTTAAAGTAATTGGTAGCTAGGCCGGGTACGGTGGCTCACGCCTCTAATACCAGCACTTTGAGAGGCCAAGGCAGATGGATCACTTGAGGTCAGGAGTTTGAGACCAGCCTGGTAACATGATGAAATCCCATCTCTACTAAAAATACAAAAAGTAGCTAAGTGTGATGGTGGGTGCCTGTAGTCCCAGCTACTCAGGAGGCTGAGGCACGAAAATGGCTTGAGGTTGCAGTGAGGTGGGAGGGAGGTTGGAGGTTGCAGTGATCTGAGATTGTGCCACTGCATTCCGGCCGGGGACTCTCAAGAAAAAAAAAAGTAATTGATAGCTGAGATCAAGCATTTTCAAAGGGAAGAGATTCCACCTTGCCCCATGTGGAACTGAAACTACTCTTTGCACATGATGCTGCCCTTCCAGCCTGCGGGCAGAATGCTCTTCTTGACAAAGCAGGAGTCCCTTATTCCTTGCCCCCTCGCTTTCCAACATACCCAGGGAGGTTCAGATGACTGTGAGCCAAAAAACAACCAGAAAAAGTCGAGAGAATAAAGAGCCCCTCTCTTTTTCACTTAGGCAACAAGCATGAACAAGAAAATTAAGTATTTTTGTTTTATTTTTAGAAATCTTAACTTCTCCTTTTCACCCTTTTTTTTTTTTTTTAATTTTTTGAGGTGGAGTCTCACTCTGCCACGCAGGCTGGAGTGCAGTGGTGCGATCTCTGCTCGCTGCAACCTCTGCCTCTGGGTTTTAAGAAATTCTCTGCCTCAGCCTCCCAAATAGCTGGGATTACAGGCACGTGACACCATGCCCAGCTAATTTTTAGTAGAGATGAGGTTTCAGCATCTTGGCCAAGCTGGTCTTGAACTCCTGACCTCGTGATCCACCTGCCTCTGCCTCTCAAAGTGCTGGGATTACAGGCGTGAGCCACCATGCCTGGCCACCCTTCTTTAGATGTGTCTATTTTAACATTTTACATGTGATGGTGATGTTATCCATGTTGAATAAACTAGAAATCAGAGTTGAGTTGTGAGGGAAAAAGAGAAATTGCAAATGTATGCCTTGGGCATATGGATCATATTTGGATACTGAATTGAACCACTGAACTATAAAAACATGTTATGAAACAGGGAAACTGCACTGGCTATGTGACGGTATTAAGGAATTACTGCTAACATTTAAAAATGTGATAAGGGTATTGTGGTTATGTTTAGAAATAAAAATAGTCCATATCCATTAGAGATACATACTAAATTGTTTTTGCATGAAATGATATGATGTCTAGGATTTTCTATAAAACAATCCGAGGCAGGAATGAGGGACAGTGGGTGAGAGGACATATGAAGTAAGATTGGCCATGTGTCGACACTTGTTGAAGCTGGATGATGGAGGTCCATTATTCAGGCAAACCCTGTGTTATTGTGCTTTGCTTTATTGCACTTCACAGATATTGCATGTTTTACAAATTGAAGGTTCGTGGCAACCCTGCATCCAGCAATTCTTTTTTTTTTTTGAGACGTGGTCTCATTCTGTCTCCCAAGTTGGAGAGCAGTGGTGCCATCACAGCTCACTGCAGCCTTGACCTCCCACACTGCAGCCTTTTGATTTAAAGCGAGAGACGTGCAGCCGGACACCATGGCTCACACCTGTAATCCCAGCACTTTGGGGGGCCTAGGCAGGTGGATCGCTTGAACTCAGGAGTTCGAGACCAGCCTGGCCAACATGGTGAAACCCCCATCTCTACTAAAAATAGAAAAATTAGCTGGGCGTGGCGGCGCACGCCTGTAATCCCAGGTACTCGGGAGGCTGAGGCAGGAGAATTGCTGGAACCCAGGAAGTGGAGGTTTGCAGTGAGCCGAGATCGCGCTACTGCACTCCAGCCTGGGTGACAGAGTGAGACTCCATCTCAAAAAATAAAAAATAAAGTGAGAGACATGCAACTCTTTCTTTTACTCAAACGCTTAGAAGCCATTGTAGGGCAATTATAATTGGCCTAATTTCAATATTGTTGTATCTGAATGAATAGAGAGGCCCAAAGAGAGGGAGGGAGATGGAGGAACAGTCAGAACATACTCAACGCTTATTGACCTTATTGACCTCCCAGGCACAAGCAGTCCTCCCATCTCAGCCTCCCAAGTAGCTGGGACTAGAGGCATGTGCCACCATGATAATTTTTTTTTTTTTTTTTTTTTTTTTTTAGTAGAGATGAAGTTCTCACTGTGTTGCCCAGGCTTGCATTGAGTAATTCTGTTGGCACCATTTTTCCAACAGCATGTGCTCACTTCTTGTCTTTGCATTACATTTTGGTAATCGTTATAATATTTCAAACTTTTTCATACTATTATATCTGTTATGGTGATCTGTGATCAATGATCTTTGATGCTCCTACTGTAATTGTTTTGGGATGCCATGAACCCTGCCTGTATAAGATGGTGAACTTAATCAGTATTGAGTGTATTCTGACTGTTCCACCCACTGACTGTTCCCCCATTTCTCTCCCTCTCTTTGGGCTTCTCTATCCTTTCAGATACAACAATATTGAAATTAGGCTAATTAATTATCCTACAGTGGCTTCTAAGTGAGTAAAAGAAAGAGTTGCATGTCTCTCACTTTAAATCAAAAGCTAGAAATGATTAAACTTAGTGAGAAAGGCATGTCGAGAGCCATGATAGGCTGAAAGCTAGGCCTCTTGTGCCCAACAGTTAGCCAAGTTGTGAAAGTTCTTGAAGAAAATTAAATGTTCTACTCCAGGGAAGACACAAATGATAAGAAAGTGAAACAGGCTGGGCTTAGTGGCTCACACCTGTAATCCCAGCACTTTGGGAGCCTGAGGCCAGATTATTGCTTGAAGCTAGGAGTTCGAGACCAGCCTGGCCAACATGGCAAAACCCCATCTCTACTAAAAATACAAAATTAGCTGGGCATGGTGTTGCATGCCTGTAATCCCAGCTACTCTGGAGCCTGAGGCAGGAGAATTGCTTGAACCCGGGAGTCAGAAGTTGCAGTGAGCTGAGATTGCTCCACTGTACTCCAGCCTAGGCAAAGGAGCTAGACTCTGTCTCAAAAAGAAAAAAAAGAAAAAGAAGAAAATGAAACAGCCTTACTGCTGATATGGAGAAAGTTTGAATGGTCTGGATAGAAGATCAAACTATTCCCTTAAGCCAAAGCCTAATCCAGAGCAAGGCCCTAGCTCTTTTCAGTTCTGTAGAGACTAAGAGAAGTGAGGAATCTGCAGAAGAAAAGTTGGAAACTAGCAGAGGTTGGTTCAGAAGGTTTAAGGAAGGAAGCCATTTCCATAACATAAAAGTGCAAGGTGAAGCGGCAAGTGCTGATGGAGAAGCTGCAGCAAGTTATCCAGAAGATCCAGCTAAGATAATTGATGAAAGTGGCTACACTAACAACACAGTTTCCATGCAGATGAAACAGCCTTCTATTGGAAGAAGATGCCATCTAAGACTTTTAATAGCCAGGAAGGAGAATTCAAAGCTTCACAGGACAGGCTGACTCTCTTGTTAGGAGCTAACGCAACTGGTGACTTTAAGTTGAAGCCAATGCTCATTTACCATTCTGGAAATCCTAGGGTCCTTAAGAATTATGCTAAATCTCCTCTGTCTGTGCTCAATAAATGGAACAGCAAAGCCTGGATGACAGCACATCTGTTTACAGCGTGGCTTACTGACTATTTTAAGCCTACTGTCGAGACCTACTGTTCAGAAAAGAATATTTTTTTCAAAATATTGTTGGTCATTGACAATGCAGCAAGTCACCCAAGAGCTCCAATGGAGATGTACAAGCAGATGAATGTTGTTTTCATGCCTGTAACACAATATCCATTCTGCAGCCCATGGATCAAGGAGTAATATTGATTTTCAAGTCTTACTATTTAAAAAATAGGTTTTTATAAAGCCGTATAGCTGCCATACATAGACAGTGATTTCTCCAATGAATCTGGGCAAAGTCCATTGAAAACCTTCTGGAAAGGATTCACCATTGTAGATGCCATTAAGAAATTTGTGATTCATGAGAGGAAGTAAAATTATCAACATTAACAGGAGTTTGGAGGAAGTTGATTCCAGCCCTCATGGATGACTCGGGGGTTTAAGGCTTCAGTGGAGGAAATAACTGCAGATGTGGTGGAAATAAAACTAGAATTAGAAGTGAAGCCTGAAGATGTGACTGAATTGCTGCAATCTCATGACAATACTTGATCAGACAAGGAGTTGCTTCTTATAGATGAGCAAAGGAAGTGGTTTCTCAAGGTGGAATCTACTCCTGGTAACCATGTTGTGAACATTGCTGAGATGACAACAAAGGATTTAGAATATCACATAAATGTAGTTGGTAGAGCAGAGGCAGAGTTTGAGACGATTGACTCTAATTTTGAAAGAAGGTCTAACTGTGGGTAAAATGCTATCAAACAGCATCACGTGCTGCAGAGAAATCTTGTGAAAGGAAAAGTCTGTGGCAAACTGTATTGTCTTGATTTCGGAAATTGCCACAGCCACCTCAACCTACGGCAGCCACCACCCTGACCACTCAGCAGCCATCAACATGGAGGCCAGATCCTCCACCAGCAAAAAGATTAGAACTTGCTGAAGGCTCAAATAATCATTAACTTTTTATTAGCAATACATTTTTAAATTAAGGTATGTAAACTGTCTTTTTGTGCATAATGGTATTGCACACTTAATAGACTATAGTATAGTGTAATATATAACTTTTATATACACTGGGTCACAGAAAATTTGTGAGAGTCACTGTATTGTGATATTGGCCTTATTGTGGTGGTCTGGGACCAAGCCTGCAGTGTCTTGAGCTATGCCTGTACTGGTTTCTCTGCTTCTGTGTAACTGTTCATGACCAAAAAATAAAAGGGGAAAAAATCCTATGCACTGGATAATTTGTTTATGCCAGGGTAGGGTATACTTTTCAAAAGATTTCTTCCCAGGTAGAAATCTCATTTTAAAGAAAAACCAGTTAATATATTTATCTTTTGTTAGTCATGTAAATCAATTTAATGTTATCTGGATATCTTTCTTTTCTTTCTTTCTTTTTTTTTTTTTGAGACAGAGTCTTGCTATGTCACCCAGGCTGGAGTGCGGTGGCACCATCTCGGCTCACTCCAAGCTCTGCCTCCCGGGTTCACACCATTCTCCTACCTCAGCCTCCTGAGTAGCTGGAACTGCAGGTGCCCGCCACCATGCCTGGCTAATTTTTTTGTATTTTTAGTAGAGACAGGGTTTCACCGTCTTAGCCAGGATGGTCTTGATCTCCTAACCTCGTGATCCGCCCGTCTTGGCCTCCCAAAGTGTTGGGATTACAGGCGTGAGCCACCGCGCCCAGCCTGGATCATTTTGAATTAAAGCAACCATATTCAAAAAGAACCCAGTACATTAACTATTTGAATCACCCCAAAGTTGCTTTCAACTTTTCCCAGTGTGCACATATGCATTTTTGTTTGTAATTGAATGTAAATGTTAGGTTTTTGCTTTTTGTATTTAATAGTTGATCTTTTTTTTTTTTTTTTTTTTTTTTTGAGATGGAGTCTCGCTCTGTTGCCCAGGCTGGAGTCCAGTGGGCGTGATCTCGGCTCACTGCAACTTCCCTCCGCCTCCTGGGTTCAAGCAATTCTCCTGCCTCAGCCTCCTGAGTAGCTGGGATTACAGGCGTGTACCACCACATCTGGCTAATTTTTGTATTTTTAGTAGAGACATGGTTTCACCATGTTGGCCAGGCTGGTCTCGAACTCCTGACCTCAAGTGATCCACCCACCTCGGCCCCCCAAAGTGCTGGGATTACAGGCAAGAGCCACCATGCCTGGCCTAATAATTTATATCTTCATCTTAATGTTTCTTTGTGTGGGCAGAGCCCACATTCTTTTGCTTTCATGACTGTATCACATCCTATCACACAGCTGTCATATTCTGTGTTTAGTCATCCTTGTTTTGAGTAAATTTGGTTGTTTCCAAGTTTTTGCTATTTTAATTTTAATAGTATTATTAGTGAGAATCCCAGCCACGGGGAATAGTTACCTCATTTACCTTCTGAAGTCTTTAATGAAAGCTCTGTCATCATTCCTGTTTTATTGATGAGGAAACTATGCTGTCAGAGTTGAGTATTTATAAGTAGAGCTGCTGAAAATTGTGATTTCTATTTTTATATTGTTAAAAAATGTTTAGAATGTTTAATTACTTAGTAATATAGAATATGAGCTTTAATTTTATTTCCATATAATATCCAATCATTTAAAAAATTCTGCCAATGAAAATAAATTAATTGAGCCCTTTATTTATTTTCAGTTTGGATGACTTTAACAATTGGATTTCTAAAGCCATAAGTTCTCGAGAAACTGATCGCCTCATCAATTCTGTAAGTTATGAGATGCATAGTGTATTGCCCAGGTGGTTTTCTAAACTTGGAATTTATAGTTTCTTATTTAATCATTATTGTCCAGTTTTATGTTTATATTGAGGAAGGCCAGGTTGTAGCTCCCGTATTCCTAATAGAGAGCAGCCCTCTCTTCAGCTGCTGGGAAGGGCTCCATCCCTTCTCTTGCTTCAGTGACATTGGAACGTTCCGCTCTATCAGGATACCTGAGGTAGAGACATTTTTCACTCTGCAGGCAGCATTGTTGAATCAATCCAGTTAAGTAGAGAGTGTCAAAGTTAAAACAAAGAAATAAGAGACAACAATATTAAATCTATAAATGCTGATGGCCTCCTCTAATGATTTAAATATGTCATTAAATTTTTGTTAATAAATTCAGGCTCATTTATGGGGATGTTGGCTTCTGTGCTTGTGCTAGATGCACTTACGACTAGTTTTTTTGGTGTCATTTATCAATGTGGCCACTGGCAAACTCAGTAAAAGGCAGGAAAAGCTGATAAAGTACAAAACCAGACCTCTAGATGGGATCTTTACAAAAGCAAATCCAAGTATTGTTTAGAAAAACTTTTTTATTTTTTGAGACAGGATCTTACTCTGTTGCCCAGGCTGGAGTTCAGTGGCGTGGTCTCAACTCGCTGCAGCCTCAACCTCCTGGGCTCAGATGATCTTCCCACCTCAGCTTCCCAAGTAGCTGGGACTACAGGTGTGTGCCACTCCACCTGGCTAATTTTTGTATTTTTTGTAGAGACAGGGTTTCACCATGTTGCCCAGGCTGGTCTCAAACTCTTGGGCTCAAGAGATTTGCCCACCTTGGCCTCCCAAAGTGCTGAAATCACAGGTGTGAGCCACTGTGCCTACAGAAAAACTATTTTTTAGCTTTCTAAACTATTTTTAGATTTCTACTATATCACATTCTTTCCTAAAGAAATAAAAAATTGATGCCGGTTGCGGTGACTCACGTCTGTAATCCCAGCACTTTAGGAGGCTGAGGCAGGCAGATCATGAGGTCAGGAGTTTGAGACCAGCCTGACCAACATGATGAAACCCCATCTCTACTAAAAATACAAAAATTAGCCGGACGTGGTGGCGCATGCCTGTAATCACAGCTACGCAGGAGGCTGAGGCAGGAGAATCGCTTGACCCCAGGAGGTGGAGGTTGCAGTGAGCCAAGGTCTTGCCATTGCACTCCAGGCTGGGCCACAGAGCGAGACTCTGTCTCAAAAAACAAAACAAAACAAAACAAAACAAAGAAATCAAAAAATGACAAAATGAAATTTACCCCTTAGCATTATGAGTTGTCATCTTTCTCCCTTTTTTTCTGAAGGAGCTGGGATCTCCCAGCAGGACAGACCCTCTCGATGGTGATGTTCAGCCAGCAACGTGGCGTCTATCTGCCCTGCCGCCCCGCCTCCGCAGCGTGGACACCTTCAGGGGGTATGTGGGCCTCCCTGTAGCACAGTGGGTGCAGGTAGTCACAGGACTACATAATTGTACATACACACACTTTTAGCTTTTAAGGACTTTTACATATCTTTTACTTTCTAGGCTAGGAAGGATTTCTTGGATGTAAAAGTAAACTCTGCAGCCTCTCCAGTCTGGAAGACCATCATGATCCTCAGTGTCTGTATTGACAGAGGAGTAGTGGATGAGGCCAGAGCCAGTGTCCACTTGGATACGTGGTCTGCTGAGTGAAGGGCATTTTTATTTGGGCAAGTCGCTGTTACTTGGGGCTGCAGACTGTATCCCATGTCCAGTCAGTAGCTTGACGGCTCAGAAGATGCACTAGTCTAGCAAGGAAACACCAGCATGTGGCAGAGGGAGGGCTGATCCTGCGCTGCTAGCAGAGTGACTTGAGTATCAGGCCCTCGTGCTAGCAAACCCATAGCCCTGGTAGAAGAACAAGGGCCAGGACTGAAATCTGAAAATAAAGTTTAAAAACTGTATAGCGAAGAATAAATACACAGGTATCAGCTCTTTTATTTCTACATACTGAAGCCTTCTGAACTCTAGTGACAACCCTATAACTTTGCCCCAGTCTCACCAGAGCCCTGAGTGCCCTGGCAGGTAGATTGGAAGCAGGTAGTAAGAACAATATGATCATAATGAAACTTGCTAACAATTCTGGAGTTCTCATAATGTGCCAGTCACTGTTCTAACTCGTCTTAATTTATTTAATCTCTTAGTAATCCTATGAGATATATACTTTTAATGTGCCTGATTCACATTAAAAGTAAAAGAAATTGTGCTGCTGAGTGAAGTAACTTGCCCAAGCTCACTCAGGTACCAAATAGGAAAGCCAGGGTTTGATGGCAGGCACTTGGGTTACAGAGTCTCCCAAATTAGTCTGTTGACACCTAAGGTCAGCACCCTCAGCATTCTGCACAGTTAGCCTCAAACAGTAGCACATCCGGAATCTATTACTCTGTCTTTTAGATTTCCATTGCTACTTTTGGAGATAAGATGGTCACAGATAGACAGGAACTAACATTTATTAAGTGTCTAAAATATGCTGGGCACTGGTTAGCTGCTGTAAAATACATCATTCTCCTTAAAAGTCACATGTGGTTAGGGCACTTTCTTTTACAGATGAGCACACTGAGTTTACTGATGAGAACCTTGCCCAGGGTCTTATGGCTAATGACAGAAAAGGATCTAAGATTGGAATTCTGAGCTCGCTGACTCAGCTGGCTGTGTGCCTTCCACCAGAGTTCTTTAACCCGAGACATCTAAATAATTAGCACAAAACTGAGTTATTGGAAATATTTTGCAATGTTTTCAAGTTACATAGTTTAAGACTGCAGTATACACTTTGGTTAAGACATCATGTTGGCAGTGTTGGCAATGGTCCTAACTGTAGTGCATGGTCCTAATTGCGATGACTAGAAAATAATCGCTTCTTGGCCTTGATGTCTCATCTTGTGTAATAAAATGCTCAGTAGAATTGCATTGTTGCATGATTGCACCTTGTGAGTATAAATGTGTCTTCAGTTCAGCCCTTCCTTTTCACATAGCAAACCCTGAAAGGCTTCTCTTTGTTGGCTTCTTCTAGGATTGCTCTTATACTCATGGTCTTTGTCAATTATGGAGGAGGAAAATATTGGTACTTCAAACATGCAAGTTGGAATGGTAAGATATTTCCTAAAAGTAATGTTGCTTATATACGTCCTTCACAGAGCTTCAGGGCAGGAGAATCACTCAGCATTCTCCCCAGAAACTCCAGAAATGAGCCCCAGCAGCCTCCTCTGAGCCACTGAGCTCCTGCTCCCTCCTAGGGTGACCTGTAGATGATTCTGCGAGCCCTTTAGTTTTGTTCCTCCTTTTGTGTGCTGTGAATCTGTAAAGCTTCACTGTAATAACAGACTCTAGAAGTTTCTGCTGTGGGACTGAGGGACTCTGCAGAATATGTTATGGATTTGGTTGTAAATGATCATGGTCATATTCTAGATATGCCTTCTATTACAGCCACCATGCTCTTGGGGGCTCTGTCTTCTAGGACTTATGGTCCTTTTTGAGATGGCGTTGAACTAGGATTGGTCTGAGTGGTGGTGAATAATATCTGTAAGTCTGGCTTGGTAGTTGCTTTACAAATGGATTAGTGCTTCTTAAACATAACAAACGTGTCTACATATTTCTAGTTTGGTTTTCCTGTGTCTAGTTATGTTCATAGGAAGTGTCCCAGCCAGGTCCAGTGCTTGGTTGCAGAGTCTCAAGGAAGAGTTTGTGAGTTTACTTTCTTTTTTTAAAGGCAGAGTCTTGCTTTGTAGCCCAGGCTAGATTGCAGTGGTGTGATAATAGCTGACCACAGCCTCGACCTCCTGGGCTCAAGCAATCCTCCCACCTCAGCCTCCTGAGTAGCTGGGACTACAGGTGTGTGCCACCATACATGGCTAGTTTTTTAAAACAATTTTTAGTACAGATGGTGTCTCACTCTGTTGCCCAGGCTGGTCTCAAACTCCTGGGCTCAAGCGATCCTCCCACCTTAGCCTCCCAAAGTGCTGGGATTACAGGTGTGAGCCACACCACACCTGGCCTATGAGTTTTCTTTTTCTTTTTCTTTTTTTTTTTTGAGATGGAGTTTCATTCTTGTCACCCAGGCTGGAGTGCAATGGCGCGATCTTGGCTCACTGCAACCTCTGCCTCCCAGGTTCAAGTGATTCTCCTGCCTCAGCCTCCCAGGTAGCTGGGATTACAGGTGCCCGCCACCACACCCGGCTAATTTTTGTATTTTTAGTAGAGACGGAGTTTGATCACGTTGGCCAGGCTAGTCTCGAACTCCTGACCTCAGGTGATCTGCTCGCCTCGGCCCCCACAAAGTGTTGGGATTACGGGCATGAGTCACTGCGCCTCCCCTGGGTTTACTTTCTATACCAGTGTGTAATGAAGTCCACACTAGATTTAGGAGGTATTTGTATTCTAGAGTCCTTTTGCTTATGCTTTGTACTTGTTCTGCAGGGCTGACAGTGGCTGACCTCGTGTTCCCGTGGTGAGTTGCCGGTCTGCCCTCTTCTCTTCCACGGGTTGACTCCAATCTCCTGTTTTTCAGATGATGCTGGAGCCTCTCTTCTGAGACGGGCATGTGTTATGTGGTTAGGAAGTCCTTCCAAAAGTCCTGTTACTGGATAGTTCTCATACTTGACCCAGTGCCTACACGTGTGTATAAAAGAGTGATTTGGGGCCGGGCGCGGTGGCTCACGCCTGTAATCCTAGCACTTTGGGAGGCTGAGGCAGGCGAATTACCTGAGGTCAGGAGTTCAAGACCAGCCTGGCCAACATGGTGAAACTCTGTCTCTACTAAAAATACAAAAAATTAGCTGGGTGCAGTGGCACGTGCCTGTAATCCCAGCTACTCGGGAGGCTGAGGAAGGAGAATCACTTGAACCCAGGAGGCGGGGGTTGCGGTGAGCAGAGATCACGCCACTGCACTCCAGCCTGGGCGACAGAGTGAGACTTCATCTCAAAAAAAAAAAAATAAAAAAAATAAAGTGATTTTATAGGGAATATTTTGTTAGTGTAGATATGGTATGCCAGATCCTGAAACCTTGTAGGAAATTATACATTCTGAACATGTAGTTCAGTTCCATTAATCCTGAAAATACTTATAAAATCCTATTTCCTGAAGAATTACAGTATATTGGTATCAGTGAATGCTAATAAATATGTAGGTGGGCAATGATAGTCATAAACTAAAATTTAAAATAACAGTTGAGTAGCTCAATTCTGTCTCTGATCATTCATAGCTTC
This sequence comes from Homo sapiens, assembly GCF_000001405.40. Lineage (NCBI taxonomy): Eukaryota > Metazoa > Chordata > Mammalia > Primates > Hominidae > Homo > Homo sapiens. Next base: position 43,174,502 of record NC_000008.11, read on the forward strand.
TTATTCTTGTGAAGGGACATTGCCTATGTGATGTGGAATTTGTATCTTTGCTATGGTGTATTAAGTGACATTGCTCCCTCATTAGCAGGTAGTACCAGCCTTATTATTGTTATTTTTTATTTCAAATTTTAAATTTTTGTGGGTACATAGTTTATATAGTATGGTAGATATGAGATATTTTGATGCAGGCATACAATGTGTAATAATCACATCAGGGTAAATGGGGTACCCACCCCCTCAGGCATTTACCATTTTGTGTTATAAACAATCCAATTATAATTTTTTAGTTATTTTTAAATGTACAGTAAATTATTGTTGACTGTAGTCACCCTGTCATGCTATCAAATACTTGATCTTATTCATTCCATCCAGCTATATTTTTGTACTCATTAACCACGCCCCCTCCTTCCCTCCCCACTACCCTTCCCTTCTGGTATCCATCCTTCTATCGCCCTGAGTTCAGTTGTTTTAATTTTTAGCTCCACAAATAATTGGAACATGGCTTATTTCACTTAACATAATGTCCTCGAGTTCCATCCATGCTGTTGCACATGACAGGATCTCATTCTTTTTTATGGCTGAATAGTACTTCATTGTGTATATACACCACATTTTCTTTCTAAGTGTCTGTTGATGGATGCTTAGTCTGCTTCCAGATCTTGGCTATTGTGAATAGTGCTGCAATAAAGATGGGAGTATCTCTTCAATATACTGATTTCCTTCCTTTTGCATATATACCCAGCAGTGGGATTGCTGGATCATATGGTACCTCTACTTTTAGGTTTTGAGGAACCTCTAACCTATTGTCCATGGTGATTGTACTAATTTACATTCCCACCAACAGTGTACAAGTGTTCCCTTTTCCCCACCTCCTCATCAGCATTGGTTATTGCTGTCTTTTGGATAAAAACCATTTTAACTGGGGTAAGATGATATCTCACTGTAGCTTTGACTTGCATTTCTCTGATGATCAATGATGTTGAGCACCGTTTCATATTCGTGTTTGCCATTTGGATGTCTTCTTTTGAGAAATGTCTGTTCAGATCTTTTGTCCTCTTTTTTTTTTTTTTTTTTTTTTTTTCAAGATGAAGTCTTGCTCTGTAGCCCAGGTGGGAGTGCAGTGGCATGATCTTGGTTCATTGCAACCTCTGCCTCCTGGGTTCCAGCGATTCTTCTGCCTCAGCCTCCCGAGTAGCTGGGATTACAGGTGCGCACCACCACACCTGGCTATTTTTTTGTATTTTTAGTAGAGATGAGGTTTCACCATGTTGGCCAGGCTGGTCTTGAACTCCTGACCTCAGGTAATCTGCCTGCCTTGGCCTCCCAAAGTGCTAGGATTACAGGCGTGAGCCACCGAGCCCGGCCTTTTAATCCATTTTTAATTGGATTATTAGATTTTTTTTCCTATAGAGTTGTTTGAGCTCCTTATATGTTCTGGCTATTTATTGCTTGTCTGATGGGGAGTTTGCAAATATTTTCTCCCATTCCATGGGTTGTCTCTTCACTTTGTTAATTATCTTCTTTTCTGTGTGGAAGCTTTTTACTTGATATGATCCCGTTTGTCCATTTTTGCTTTGGTTACTTGTGCTGTGTGAAGTGTTAATCAAGAAATCTTCACTTAGTCCAGTGTGCTGGAGTGTTTCCCCAATGTTTTCTCTTAGTAGTTTCATAGTTTGAGGTCTTAAGTTTAAGTCTTTAATCCATTTTGATTTGATTTTTTTAATATGATGAGAGATAGGGGTCTAGGTTCATTCTTCTGCATATGAATATCCAGTTTTCTAGCATCATTTTTTTGAAGAGACTGTCCTTTCTCCAATGTGTGTTCTTGGCACTTTTGTCGAAAATGAGTTCACTGTAGCTATATGGATTTAGCTCTGAGTTCTTTATTCTGTCCCACTATCTATGTGTCTGTTTTTATGCCACTACCATGCTGTTTTTGTTTCTATAGCTCTGTGGTATAATTTAAAGTCAGGTAATGTGATTCTTCCAGTTTTGTTCTCTTGCTCAGGATAACTTTGGCTACGCTGGGTCTTTTGTGGTTCCATATAAATTTCAGCATTTTTTTTTCTATTTCAGTGAAGAATGTTATTGGTATTTTGATAGGGATTGCATTGAGTCTGTAGATTGCTTTAGGTAGTGTGAACATTTTAACAATATTAATTTTTCTAATGTATGAACATGGAATTTCTTTCCATTTTTTGGTGCCCTCTTCAATTTCTTTCATCAGTGGTTTATAGTTTTCATTGTAGAAATCCTTCTCTTCTTTGGTTAAGTTAATTTTGAGGTACTTTATTTTATTTGTGGCAATTGGAAATGGAATTCCTTTCCTGATTTCTTTTTCAGATTGTTTTCTGTTGGCATATAGAAATGCTACTGATTTTTGTATGTTGATTTGTATCCTGCAACTTTACTGAATTTGTTGATCAGTTCTAATAGTTTTCTGGTGGAGTCTAGGTTTTTCCAAATATAAGATCACGTTATCTGCAAACAAGGGTACTTTGACTTCCTCCTTTCCAACTTGGATGCCCTTTATTTGTTTCTCTTGTCTGACTGCTCTATTTTTGTACTCATTATTAGTGCCATGTTGAATAACAGTGGTGAAAAGTAGGCATCCTTGTCATGTTCCAGATCTTGGAGGAAAGGCTTTCAGTTTTTCCTAGAGACACCAAGGAATGCAGCAAGAGCAAACTTTCATCTCTGTGATCCCTTGCCAAGTAATTAGAAAAATCAGTATTCTAACTTTTTTTTTTTTAAAGAGATAATTTAGGGCCAGGTGTGGTGGCTCATGCCTGTAATCCCAGCACTTTTGGGAGGCCGAGGCGGGCGGATCACAAGGTCGGGAGATTGAGACCATCCTGGCTAACACGGTGAAACCCTGTCTCTACTAAAAATACAAAAAAAAGAAAATTAGCCGGGCACGGTGGCGGGCACCTGTAGTCCCAGCTACTCAGGAGGCTGAGGTGGGAGAATGGCGTGAACCCAGGAGGCGGAGCTTGCAGTGAGCCGAGATCGTGCCATTGCACTCCAGTCTGGGCAACAGAGCAAGACTCCGTCTCAAAAAAAAAAAAAAAAAAAAAGAGTAATTTAGTAATTTAGTATGGTCAAAGAAAAGAAAGGAAATGTGTATTACTTAGACTAAATGGAGAGAGAAAAAGTAAGCTTTCATTTTTCTTTCAGGTGCAGAAGGGTGTATAGAAATGATTGAAATGTCTGTGTTTCAAGGGCTTTGAGGGTGTGCTTGTGAATGTCAAGTTATTTGAAGACATTACTGTGGCTTCGAATCATCATTTCTTTTTGATAACGAAATGGGAGGGTTGTCTTTGGAAATTCCATTTAATATTAAAGAAATTTTCTCCTAAGACAGGACTTGAAGGTGCACTGTCAAAAACCTTCCAGCCCCATGGGGCTATATTCTGAACTCTTCCTCTACTGTTAGCTCAGTATTATTTCAGTAATTGGCTACTTTAAACAAATTATGGTTGCTTCTCTTTTATAGCATATTATAAAATGTTACTGATATATAGACAAAAAATTTGGAAATGGCCACCTATTAATAACTAGATTCTTTTTAGGTTTGTATTTATTATGGGATCTTCCATTTTTCTATCGATGACTTCTATACTGCAACGGGGGTGTTCAAAATTCAGATTGCTGGGGAAGATTGCATGGAGGAGTTTCCTGTTAATCTGCATAGGAATTATCATTGTGAATCCCAATTATTGCCTTGGTCCATGTAAGTACTTTTTCCCTCTGTTATATATATTCAGGTTGAAATATGGAAACTATATGTTGTAATTTGAGAGAAATGCAATTCCTCCATCTCAGGTGCCTGCAAATAGAATAATCATTAGGAAAGTATATACAATGGTTGTCTAACTGTGAGCATTATTATTATTATTTTTGAATTTTAGACCTGGGAGGAGCCTCTGAGACTACTCAAACCCTTCTCTTGTGCAGAGGAAAAGTCTGAGGCCAAGAGCGATTGAAGGTTTTCTCTGGATTATCTGAGTGTAGTGAGAGGCACAGCAGGGACCAGACCAGGCCGCCTTGGTCTCCAACTTTGCCCCCTGCTAATGTGATTTCATCAGCTTTCTTTTTTTTTTTTTTTTTTTTAAATTTATTTATTTATTTTTTATTGATCATTCTTGGGTGTTGGGATTTGGCAGGGTCATAGGACAATAGTGGAGGGAAGGTCAGCAGATAAACAAGTGAACAAAGGTCTCTGGTTTTCCTAGGCAGAGGACCCTGCGGCCTTGGCCTTCCGCAGTGTTTGTGTCCCTGGGTACTTAAGATTAGGGAGTGGTGATGACTCTTAACGAGCATGCTGCCTTCAAGCATCTGTTTAACAAAGCACATCTTGCACCACCCTTAATCCATTTAACCCTGAGTGGACACAGCACATGTTTCAGAGAGCACAGGGTTGGGGATAAGGTCACAGATCAACAGGATCCCAAGGCAGAAGAATTTTTCTTAGTACAGAACAAAATGAAAAGTCTCCCATGTCTACTTCTATCCACACAGACCCGGCAACCATCCGATTTCTCAATTTTTTCCCCACCCTTCCCGCCTTTCTATTCCACAAAACCGCCATTGTCATCATGGCCCATCCCCAATGAGCCGCTGGGCACACCTCCCAGACGGGGTCGTGGCCGGGCAGAGGGGCTCCTCACTTCCCAGTAGGGGCGGCCGGGCAGAAGCGCCCCTCACCTCCCGGATGGGGCGGCTGGCCGGGCGGGGGCTGACCCCCCCACCACCCTCCCGGACGGGGCGGCTGGCCAGGCAGAGGGGCTCCTCACTTCCCAGTAGGGGCGGCCGGGCAGAGGCGCCCCTCACCTCCTGGATAGGGCGGCTGGCTGGGCGGGGGGCTGTCCCCCCCACCTCCCTCCCGGACGGGGCGGCTGGCCGGGCAGAGGGGTCCTCACTTCCCAGTAGGGGCGGCCGGGCAGAGGCGCCCCTCACCTCCCGGACGGGGCGGCCGGCCGGAAGGGGGGCTGACCCCCCCCACCTCCCTCCCGGACGGGGCGGCTGGCCGACCCCCCCCACCGCCTCCCTCCCGGACGGGGCGGCTGGCCGGACAGAGGGGCTCCTCACTTTCCAGTAGGGGCGGCCGGGCAGAGGCGCCCCTCACCTCCCGGACGGGGCGACTGGCCAGGCGGGGGGCTGATCCCCCCACCTCCCTCCCGGATGGGGCGGCTGGCCAGGTGGGGGGATGACCCCCCCACCTCCCTCCCGGGCGGGGCGGCTGGCCGGGCAGAGGGGCTCCTCACTTCCCAGTAGGGGCGGCCGGGCAGAGGCGCCCCTCACCTCCCGGATGGGGCGGCTGGCCAGGCGGGGGGCTGATCCCCCCACCTCCCTCCCAGACGGGGCGGCTGGCCGGGCGGGGGGCTGACCCCCCACCTCCCTCCCGGACTGGGCGGCTGGCCGGGCGGGGGGCTGACCCCCCCACCTCCCTCCTGGACGGGGCGTCTGGCCGGGCAGAGGGGCTCCTCACTTCCCAGTAGGGGCGGCCGGGCAGAGGAGCCCCTCACCTCCCAGACGGGGCGGCTGGCCGGGCGGGGGGCTGACCCCCCCACCTCCCTCCCGGACGGGGCGGCTGGCCGACCCCCCCCCCCACCGCCTCCCTCCCGGATGGGGCGGCTGGCCGGGCAGAGGGGCTCCTCACTTCCCAGTAGGGGCGGCCGGGCAGAGGAGCCCCTCACCTCCCGGACGGGGTGGCTGGCCGGGCGGGGGGCTGACCCCCCCCACCTCCCTCCCGGACGGGGTGGCTGCTGGGCGGAGACGCTCCTCATTTCCCAGACGGGGTGGTTGCCGGACGGAGGGGCTCCTCACTTCTCAGACGGGGCGGTTGCCAGGCAGAGGGTTTCCTCACTTCTCAGACGGAGCGGCCGGGCAGAGACGCTCCCCACCTCCCAGACAGGGCTGCGGCCCAGCAGAGGCACTCCTCACATCCCAGACAGGGCGGCGGGGCAGAGGTGCTCCCCACATCTCAGACGATGGGCGGCCGGGCAGAGACGCTCCTCACTTCCTAGATGGGATGGCGGCGGGGAAGAGGCGCTCCTCGCTTCCCAGATGGGATGGCGGCCGGGCAGAGACGCTCCTCACTTTCCAGACTGGGCAGCCAGGCAGAGGGGCTCCTCACATCCCAGACGATGGGTGGCCAAGCAGAGACGCTCCTCACTTCCCAGACGGGGTGGCTGCTGGGCAGAGGCTGCAATCTCGGCTCTCCGGGAGGCCAAGGCAGGCGGCTGGGAGGTGGTTGCAGCGAGCCGAGATCACGCCACTGCACTCCAGCCTGGGCACCATTGAGCACTGAGTGAACGAGACTCCATCTGCAATCCCGGCACCTCGGGAGGCCGAGGCTGGCGGATCACTCGCGGCTAGGAGCTGGAGACCAGCCCGGCCAACACAGCGAAACCCCGTCTCCACCAAAAAAAACCGAAAACCAGTCAGGCGTGGCGGTGCGCGCCTGCAATCGCAGGCACTCGGCAGGCTGAGGCAGGAGAATCAGGCAGGGAGGTTGCAGTGAGCCGAGATGGCAGCAGTACCGTCCAGCCTTGGCTCGGCATCAGAGGGAGACCGTGGAGGGAGAGGGAGAGGGAGAGGGAGAGGGAGAGGGAGAGGGAGAGGGAGAGGGAGAGGGAGAGGGAGAGGGAGAGGGAGAGGGAGAGGGAGAGGGAGAGGGAGAGGGAGAGGGAGAGGGAGAGGGAGAGGGAGAGGGAGAGGGAGAGGGAGAGCATTTCATCAGCTTTCGATAGTGTGCGGCAGTTCACGAATCCACCTTCACTGGCACTTGTATGGCAGCTGGGTTTCTGGAAGGAGTAATATCTTTGTCATTAGTTTAGTGGTGCGCAGGGACAGCAGAGCTGAGGGAAGGCTTGTGAGCCCTCTGCTTTGAATGAGTATCAGAGTCGGGAGGGCACTAGTCACTGTCCTCAAGGGCCTTGCAACTGTCGTTAGCAGAAGAGGACACAAACATCTAGACAATGGCCAAATGGAGCCCTCAGGCAATATGTACTTTAATAGGCACTAGCAAGAGGTGGAGGTCACTTCTAGATGGTGTTTCATATGAATGTGGACTTGGTGGATCTCCAAAAAGGGAGCCACTGCTTCCAGTAGGATTCATTTTAGGGTTTGTTGTCAGGTCTGTTCTTCCGGTCATACGGTTGGGTAGCAGATAGGGCAGGGAGGGTCAGTCAGTGGCGTTCTTGGGGTGATACAGCTGGGTAGTGGGTAGGGCAGGGAGAGTGGCTTGTGTTGGGCCTGCAAGGTCCTAGCAGACGTGCGGGTTGATTGCAAATTCCTAATAGGAAAGAGCCAGGGTCAGGCACAGGCCTGGCTTTATCCCCACACCTGAGTAAGACGCTTTGGTTCTTATCCCAGTCTCTCATCTGGCCAGCTTCCTGTTTTGAGTTTGAGCCATGTCCCTGACTGACCCTCCCTCTATTAAGAGGGATTGGCCTGTTTTTGGAAGCTGGGCTGAGCCCATGTCTCTTGACCGTATATATTTCCATGTCCAAGAGCTTAAAAAAGACTTACTTAGATGCAATATAGGTATGTCTTCCCCTTTAGGAAACAAATAATGTTGTCCTGGGATGAGAGGAGAAGTCCTGGCTAACACTTGACCTAACTTGTGTCTTTTGCAGTGTCTTGGGACAAGGTGCGCATTCCTGGTGTGCTGCAGCGATTGGGAGTGACATACTTTGTGGTTGCTGTGTTGGAGCTCCTCTTTGCTAAACCTGTGCCTGAACATTGTGCCTCGGTGAGAAACCATGTTTTAATTAAGAAAAACTTTTTTTAAATTAAAAAAAATGTATTGTGTGGTGATACGGTCTCACTATGTTGTCCAGACTGGTCCCTCACTCCTGGCTTCAAGTGATCCTCCTGCCTTGGCCACCCAAAGCGCCGGGATTACAGGTGTGAGCCACCATGCCTGGCCAGAAACTGTGTTCTTGTTGTTGTTGATACAGGGTCTTGCTGTGTTGCCCAGGCTGGGGTGCAGTGGTGTGATCTTGGCTCACTGAAGCCTCAACATCCCAGGCTTAAGCGATCCTCCCTCCTCAGTCTCCTAATTAGCTGGGACTACAGGAGCGCACCACCATGCCTGGCTAGTTTTATTTATTCTTTTGTAGAGACAAGGTCTCACTATGTTGTCCAGGCTGGTTTCAAACTCCTGGACTCAGGTGATCTTCCTGCCTCGGCCTCACAAATTGCTGGGATTACAGGTGTGAGCCACCATGCCCAGCCAAAACAGTGTTTTTTAAAAAAAGGGAGAACAAAGGGGGATATGGTTTTTAGAACTTCTAAAATTTCTGCATGCAATACTGTACATCTGCTAATCAAATACATTCTGATTTTCACTTTCATTAGTTATTTTTAATCTTTATGTCAATTTTTTTATTATAAAATACACGACATGAGATCTATCCTCTTAACAAATTTGTCAGCAGACAGTAATCACATGCATTCTTTTTTCCTCTTATTTTTAGTTGATATGTAATACTTGTACATATTTATGAGGCTCAGAGTAATATTTTGATACCTGTGTATCATACAGTGTGTAACGATCAAATCAGGGTAATTAGCATATTCATCACCTCAAACAGTTATTATCATTTCTTTGTGTCAGGAACATGCACAATCCTCTCTGCTAGTTTCAAATGCATTCTGTTTTATTTACTTCTTGGAGACAGGGTCTCACTCTGTTACCCAGGCTGGAGTGCAGGGGCACGATCTCAACTCACTGTTGCCTTAACCTCCCAGGCTCAAGCGATTCTCCTACCTCAGCCTCCTGAGTAGCTGGGACTATAGGCATGCACTACCATGCCCAGTTAATGATTGTATTTATTGTAGAGACGAGGTTTCACTGTGTTGCCCAGGCTGGTCTTGAACTCCTGGGCTCAAGTGATTTACCCACCTCAGCCTCCCAAAATGCTAGGACTACAGGTGTGAGTCACCATGCCTGGCCTCATTTTTTTTTTTTTTCTTTTGAGAGGGAGTCTTGCTCTGTCCGCCAGGCTGGAGTGCAGTGGCGCGATCTGGGCTCACTGCAAACTCCGCCTCCTGGGTTCACGCCGTTCTCCTGTCTCAGCCTCCTGAGTAGCTGGGACTACAGGCGCCCGCCACCACTCCCAGCTAATTTTTTTTTAAATTATCCTTTAAGTTCTAGGGTATATGTGCACAACGTGCAGGTTTGTTACATAGGTATACATGTGCCATGTTGGTATGCTGCACCCGTTAACTCGTCATTTACATTAGGTATATCCCCTAATGCTATACCTCCCCTTTCCCCCTGCCCCACAACAGGCCCCGGTGTGTGATGTTCCCCACCCTGTGACCAAGTGTTCTCATTGTTTAATTCCCACCTATGAGTGAGAACATGTAGTGTTTGGTTTTCTGTCTTTGTGATAGTTTGCTGAGAATGATGGTTTCCAGCTTCATCCATGTCCCTACAAAGGACATGAATTCATCCTTTTTTATGGCTGCATAGTATTCCATGGTGTATATGTGCCACATTTTCTTAATCCAGTCTATCATTGTTGGGCATTTGGGTTGGTTCCAAGTCTTTGCTATTGTGAATAGTGCTGCAATAAACATACGTGTGCATGTGTCTTTATAGCAGCATGATTTATAATCCTTTGGGTATATACCCAGTAATGGGATGGCTGGGTCCAATGGTATTTCTAGTTCTAGATCCCTGAGGAATCGCCATACTGACTTCCACAATGGTTGAACTAGTTTACGGTCCCACCAACAGTGTAAAAGTGTTCCTATTTCTCCACATCCTCTCCAGCACCTGTTGTTTCCTGACTTTTTAATGATTGCCATTCTAACTGGTGTGAGATGGTATCTCATTGTGGTTTTGATTTGCATTTCTCTGATGGCCAGTGATGATGAGCATTTTTTCATGTGTCTGTTGGCTGCATAAATGTCTTCTTTTGAGAAGTGTCTGTTCATATCCTTTGCCCACTTTTTGATGGGGTTGTTTGATTTCTTCTTGTAAATTTGTTTAAGTTCTTTGTAGATTCTGGATATTAGCCCTTTGTCAGATGGGTAGGTTGTAAAACTTTTCTCCCATTCTGTAGGTTGCCTGTTCACTCTGATGGTAGTTTCTTTTGCTGTGCAGAAGCTCTTTAGTTTAGTTAGATCCCATTTGTCAATTCTGGCTTTTGTTGCCATTGCTTTTGGTGTTTTAGACGTGAAGTCCTTGCCCATGCCTGTGTCCTGAATGGTATTGCCTAGGTTTTCTTCTAGGGTTTTTATGGTTTTAGGTCTAACATTTAAGTCTTTAATCCATTGTGAATTAATTTTTGTATAAGGTGTAAGGAAGCGATTCAGTTTCAGCTTTCTACATATGGCTAGCTAGTTTTCCCAGCACCATTTATTAAATAAGGAATCCTTTCCCCATTTCTTGTTTTTGTCAGGTTTGTCAGAGATCAGATGGTTGTAGATGTGTGGTATTATTTCTGAGGGCTCTGTTCTGTTCCATTGGTCTATATCTCTGTTTTACTACCAGTACCATGCTGTTTTGGTTACTGTAGCCTTGTAGTATAGTTTGAAGCCAGGTGGCATGATACCTCCAGCTTTGTTCTTGTGGCTTAGGATTGTCTTGGCAATGCAGGCTCTTTTTTGGTTCCATATGAACTTTAAAGTAGTTTTTTCCAATTCTGTGAAGAAAGTCATTGGTAGCTTGATGGGGATGGCATTGAATCTATAAATTACCTTGGGCAGTATCGCCATTTTCATGATATTGATTCTTCCTATCCATAAGCATGGAATGTTCTTCCATTTGTTTGTGTCCTCTTTTATTTTGTTGAGCAGTGGTTTGTAGTTCTCCTTGAGGAGGTCCTTCACATCCCTTGTAAGTTGGATTCCTAGGTATTTTATTCTCTTTGAAGCAATTGTGAATGGGACTTCACTCATGATTTGGCTCTCTGTTTGTCTGTTATTGGTGTATAGGAATGCTTGTGATTTTTGTACATTGATTTTGTATCCTGAGACTTTGCTGAAGTTGCTTATCAGCTTAAGGAAATTTTGGGCTGAGATGATGGGGTTTTCTAAATATACAATCATGTCATCTGCAAACAGGGACAATTTGACTTCCTCCTTTCCTAATTGAATACCTTTTATTTCTTTCTCCTGCCTGATTGCCCTGGCCAGAACTTCCAATCCTATGTTGAACAGGAGTGGTGAGAGAGGGCATCCCTGTCTTGTGCCAGTTTTCAAAGGGAATGCTTCCAGTTTTTGTCCATTCAGTATGATATTGGCTGTGGGTTTGTCATAAGTAGCTCTTATTATTTTGAGACAGGTCCCATCGATACCTAGTTTATTGAAAGTTTTTAGCATGAAGGGCTGTTGAATTTTGTCGAAGGCCTTTTCTGCATCTATTGAGATAATCATGTGGTTTTTGTTTTTGGTTCTGTTTATATGATGGATTACATTTATTGATTTGCATATGTTGAACCAGCCTTGCATCCCAGGAATGAAGCCGACTTGATCATGGTGGATAAGCTTTTTGATGTGCTGCTGGATTCGGTTTCCCAGTATTTTATTGAGGATTTTTGCATCGATGTTCATCAGGGATATTGGTCTAAAATTCTCTTTTTTTGTTGTGTCTCTGCCAGGCTTTGGTATCAGGATGATGCTGGCCTCATAAAATGAGTTAGGGTTGATTCCCTCTTTTTCTATTGATTGGAATAGTTTCAGAAGGAATGGTACCAGCTCCTCTTTGTACCTCTGGTAGAATTTGGTTGTGAATCCATCTGGTGCTGGAGTTTTTTTGTTGGTAGGCTATTAATTATTGCTTCAATTTCAGAGCCTGTTATTGTTCTATTCAGGGATTCAACTTCTTCCTGGTTTAGTCTTGGGAGGGTGTGTATGTGTCCAGGAATTTATCAATTTCTTCTAGATTTTCTAGTTTTTTTGAGTAGAAGTGTTTATAGTATTCTCTGATTGTAGTTTGTATTTCTGTGGAATCGGTGGTGATATCACCCTTATCATTTTTTATTGTGTCTATTTGATTCTTCTCCCTTTTCTTCTTTATTAGTCTTGCTAGCAGTTTATCAATTTTGTTGATCTTTTAAAAAAACCAGCTCCTGGATTCATTGATTTTTTTGAAGGGTTTTTTGTGTTTCTATCTCCTTCAGTTCTGCTCTGATCTTAGTTACTTCTTGCCTTCTGCTAGCTTTTGAATGTGTTTGCTCTTGCTTCTCTAGTTCTTTTAATTGTGATGTTAGGGTGTCAATTTTAGATCTTTTCCTGCTTTCTCTTGTGGGCATTTAGTGCTATAAATTTCCTTCTACACACTGCTCTAAATGTGTCCTGGAGATTCTGGTATGTTGTGTCTTTGTTATCATTGATTTCAAAGAACATCTTTATTTCTGCCTTCATTTCGTTATGTACCCAGTAGTCATTCAGGAGTGGGTTGTTCAGTTTCCATGTAGTTGAGCAGTTTTGAGAGAGTTTCTTAATCCTGAGTTCTAATTTGATTGCACTGTGGTCTGAGAGACAGTTTGTTATAATTTCTGTTCTTTTACATTTGCTGAGGAGTGCTTTACTTCCAACTATGTGGTCAATTTTGGAATAAGTGCAATGTGGTGCTGAGAAGAATGTATATTCTGTTGATTTGAGGTGGAGAGTTCTGTAGATGTCTATCAGGTCTGTGTGGTGCAGAGCTGAGTTCAATTCCTGGATATCCTTGTTAACTTTCTGTCTCATTGATCTGTCTAATGTTGACAGTGGGTTGTTAAAGTCTCCCATTATTATCATGTGGGAGTGTAAGTCTCTTTGTAGGTCTCTAAGGACTTGCTTTATAAATCTGGGTGCTCCTGTATTGGGTGCATATATATTTAGGATAGTTAGCTCTTCTTGTTGAATTGATCCCTTTACCATTATGTAATGGCCTTCTTTGTCTCTTTTGATCTTTGTTGGTTTAAAGTCTGTTTAATCAGAGACTTGGATTGCAACTCCTGCCTTTTTTTGTTTTCCGTTTACCTGGTAGATCTTCCTCCATCCCTTTATTTTGAGCCTATGTGTGTCTTTGCACGTGAGATGGGTCTCCTGAATACAGCACACTGATGGGTCTTGACTCTTTATCCAATTTGCCAGTCTGTGTCTTTTAATTGGAGCATTTAGCCCATTTATATTTAAGGTTAATATCGTTATGTGTGAATTTGATCCTGTCATTATGACGTTAGCTGGTTATTTTGCACTTTAGTTGATGCAGTTTCTTCCTAGCATTGATGGTCTTTACAATTTGGCATGTTTTTGCAGTGTCTGGTACCGGTTGTTCCTTTCCATGTTTAGTGCTTCCTTGAGGAGCTCTTGTAAGGTAGGCCTGCTGGTGACAAAATCTTTCAGTATTTGTTTGTCTGTAAAGTATTTTATTTCTCTTTCACTTATGAAGCTTAGTTTGGCTGGATATGAAATTCTAGACTGAAAATCCTTTTCTTTAAGAATGTTGGATATTGGCCCCCACTGTCTTGTGGCTTGTAGAGTTTCTGCTGAGAGATCTGCTGTTAGTCTGATGGACTTCCCTTTATGGGTAACCTGACCTTTCTCTCTGGCTGCCCTTAACATTTTTTCCTTCATTTCAACTTTGGTGAATCTGACAATTATGTGTCTTGGAGTTGCTCTTCTTGAGGAGTATCTTTGTGGTGTTCTCTGTATTTCCTGAATTTGAATGTTGGCCTGCCTTGCTGGGTTGCGGAAGTTCTCCTAGATAATATCCTGAAGAGTTTTTTCCGACTTGGTTCTGTTCTCCCCGTCACTTTCAGGTACACCAATCAGACACAGATTTGATCTTTTCACATAGTCCCATATTTCTTGGAGCTTTGTTCATTTCTTTTTACTCTTTTTTCTCCAAACTTCTTTTCTCGCTTCATTTCATTCATTTGATCTTCAATCACTGATACCCTTTCTTCCACTTGACTGAATTGGCTACTGAAGCTTGTGCATGCATCACGTAGTTCTTGTGCCACAGTTTTCAGCTCCATCAGGTCATTTAAGGTCTTTTCTACACTGTTGATTCTAGTTACCCATTTGTCTAATCTTTTCTCAAGGTTTTTAGCTTCTTTGAGATGGGTTCAAACATCCTCCTTTAGCTCGGAGAAGTTTGTTATTACCATTCATCTGAAGCCTTCTTCTCTCAACTCATCAAAGTCATTCTCCAACCAGGTTTGTTCCATTGCTGGCGAGGTGCTGCGTTCCTTTGGAGGAGAAGAGGCGCTCTGATTTTTAGAATTTTCAGCTTTTCTGCTCTGTTTTCTCCCCATCTTTGTGGTTTTATCTACCTTTGGTCTTTGATGATGGTGATGTACAGATGGGGTTTTGGTGTGGATGTCCTTTTTGTTTGTTAGTTTTCCTTCTAACAGTCAGGACCCTCAGCTGCAGGTCTGTTGGAGTTTGCTGGAGGTCCACTCCAGACCCTGTTTGCCTGGGTATCACCAGTGGAGGCTGCAGAATGGCAAATGTTGCTGCCTGATCCTTCCCCTGGAAGCTTCGTCTCAGAGGGGCACCCAGCTGTATGGGGTGTCAGTCGGTCCCTACTGGGAGGTGTCTCCCATTTAGGCTACTTGGGGGTCAGGGACCCACTTGAGGAGGCAGTCTGTCCGTTCTCAGATCTCAAACTCTGTGCTGGGAGAACCACTACTCTCTTCAAAGCTGTCAGACAGGGACGTTTAAGTTTGCAGAAGTTTCTGCTGCCTTTTATTCAGCTATGCCCTGCCCCCAGAGGTGGAGTCTACAGAGGCAGGCAGGCCTTCTTGAGCTGCGGTGGGCTCCACTCAGTTCAAGCTCCCCACCTGCTTTGTTTACCTTCTCAAGCCTCAGCAATGGCGGATGCCCTTCCCCCCAGCCTCGCTGCCACCTTGCAGTTTGATCTCAGACTGCTGTGCTAGCAATGAGTAAGGTTCTGTGGGCGTGGGACCCTCCGAGCCAGATGCAAGATATAATCTCCTGGTGTGCCGTTTGTTAAGACCATTGGAAAAGTGCAGTATTAGTGTAGGAGTGTCCCGATTTTCCAGGTACCATCTGTCATGGCTTCCCTTGGCTAGGAAAGGGAATTATCCGACCTCTTGCACTTGGGGTGATGCTCCACCCTGCTCCGTGGGCTGTACCCACTGTCTGACAAGCCCCAGTGAGATGAACCCGGTACCTCAGTTGGAAATGCAGAAATCATCTGTCTTCTGCGTCGCTCACACTGGGAGCTGTATACTGGAGCTGTTCCTATTCGGCCATCTTGGAACCTCCTCCACGCCCAGCTAATTTTTTGTATTTTTTAGTAGAGATGGAGTTTCACTGTGTTAGCCAGGATGGTCTCGATCTGACCTCGTGATCTGCCTGCCTTGGCCTCCCAAAGTGCTGGGAGTACAGGCGGGAGCCACCGCGTCTGGCCGCCTGACCCCATTCTTGATAGTATTAAATAATACCACCAGCATCCAGTTTGCTGGTTCAGTCTCTTGGGGCATTATTGCGATTTTTTCAATTTCCTTGTAGCATAACATATATATGTGTAAAATTCATGTAACGTTTTGGTATCTGTTCAAATGCTGTAAAGTTCAATTTTGAGGATAATCCCCAGGTAGGGCATGGGAGAGTGATGGTATTGTGCTTGGCTATTTGCATTGCTTCTTTATCAGAAGCATGTCGGAGTCCCATCTCATTTGTGATTACTTCCTCTCTTACTATAAATTGCTAGGTGGAGTTCACTCAGGTGACAGTTACTTCTTTCCCCCACCCACCATTAGTGACAAAAATTCCGACGGAAATGTTTAAATTCTTCCATTTGGGGTCCTATTCAACAATCAGTTAATAAAGCCGTGTTGTCTTCTAGCTTCTTTCAAGATACGTAACTAGCAAGTTCATCACTGAATCTCACTTTCTCTGGGTGCTTCCTACAATGTTAGTTATCTAGTTTGGGGGGCGTTTTAGTCATTGTTACTCTTTCCCCCTCTGCCCTTGTCATTAATGTGTCCTCTGGCTGTGGATTTCCTTAGGGTGAAGGACAGGCGAGACGTGCCTGAGTGGGCACAGAGCTTGGTCAGCCATGGATATGAAAGCTGCTATTTTCAGCCCTTCTGTGGGACCTGAGGGTCCGCGGAGGTGCATCCTGGGCCATCACCATAGGGTCAGGGGTTCAGTGGGACACTAAGAACAGGTGGGCTGCACCCTTTCTTCCTTCAACCACAGAGATCCAAAAGTTTGAATTTCGTTAGTTTACTTATTTTATTTTTAAATTTTAAATCACAGGTATATTGATGTATAATTTACGTACCATAAAACTCCCATGTTGAAAGTGTACAATTTGATGATATTTGCTCTATTCAGAGTTGTGCAGCTGTCACCAGTCTGTAATTCTGGAAGGTTTTCCTTACCCCACGAAGAACCCTGCACTAACCGCCAGTCACTCCCCACATCACAACTCCCCCAGCCCCAGGCAACCCCAGCCTACTTGTTGTCTCTACACATGTACCTGCTCTAGACAGTCCGTATACATGAAGTCATATAACGTGGCTTTTTGTGCCTGGCTGCTTCCACTTAGCATATTTTTTGAGGTTCATCCATGTTGCATATGTCAGCACTTCCTTCCAAAATTGCTGAATTAGATTCCGCTTTAGGGATACACCACATTTTGCTCACCCATTTATTAGTCAGTGAACATTTGACTTGTGTCCCCTTTTTTGCTGTTGTGAACAATGCTCCTATATGTATGTGTACAAGTTTTTGTGTGAACATATGTTTTCAGTTCTCTTGGGTATAGGAATAGAATTGTCTGCTGATTTCTTTTGAATGGGTGTTTTGCTGTGAGATTTCATGGAGAGGGAACATCTGGAGAACCTAACGTAGTCAGTAAGTTTTTGTATTACTGCCAAAAAGGCCAAGAAATGAGTCACCGGGAATTTCCTAAAGACATGTGCTTAGTTCCCTTCTATTTGCATTTAGTTCACCCGTGTTTTATTTTTCTGCCCCCACTCAGGAGAGGAGCTGCCTTTCTCTTCGAGACATCACGTCCAGCTGGCCCCAGTGGCTGCTCATCCTGGTGCTGGAAGGCCTGTGGCTGGGCTTGACATTCCTCCTGCCAGTCCCTGGGTGCCCTACGTAAGCGAACCCCTGGGGGTCATCCCTTGTGCATGTCCTGTTCTGCCCAGTCAGAGGTTCTGGGCTTTCACAGGTCTCGAGTCAGAGGAATTCTCTTTCCCTCTTCCTTCTCCTTTGAGGCCTGCTTTGCATGGGGAGAGGAGATTGGCACGTGTCCAGAGTGATTTCCCTGTGGGTGGTGTGAGGGTCAGCTTGAATAGAATTCGGGCCTCCCACCTTCATAGTGTGGGAGCAGTTTGTCAGTGAGCGTGCATGAGCCAGAAGGACGTTTTAGCTGGCTCATGTTTGGGGCTCTCTGAATTGGGCTGCATACATAGCCAATATAAACCATGTTTTTTTTTTCTCTTTTTGGAGATGGAATCTTGCTCTGTCGCCCAGGCAGGAGTGCAGTGGCATGAACTCGGCTCACTGCAACCTGCGCCTCCCAGGTTCAAGCGATTCTCCTGCATTAGCCTCCTGAGTAGCTGGGATTACAGGCGCACACCACCATGCCCGGCTAATTTTTGTATTTTAATAGAGACGGGGTTTCACCATGTTGGCCAGGTTGGTCTCAAATTCCTGACCTCAGGTGATCTGCCCGCCTTGGCCTCCCAAAGTGTTGGGATTACAGGCGTGAGCCACCGTGCCCGGCCTGAGGTTTTTTTATTCTTGTCCCTCTGTTCGCCCTTATGAGGTCTTGTCATTTACATATGCTTTTCACCTTCCTAGTGGTTATCTTGGTCCTGGGGGCATTGGAGATTTTGGCAAGTATCCAAATTGCACTGGAGGAGCTGCAGGCTACATCGACCGCCTGCTGCTGGGAGACGATCACCTTTACCAGCACCCATCTTCTGCTGTGAGTGAGACTCGAGTTCGCTTAGAACTGGAACTCAGGCTTTCAGAAGTGAAGGAAAGTAGAAAGAGCCAGCAAACGTTAAACCATGCCCATTTAAGAAAACACACTGAGAACTGATGATTATTTGAAAAGTCAGCTAACTTAATGACTTTAGGGATCACTGTATGGCAGTGTGTAAACATTATTTTGGATTTTAAAGTGAGAATGTGGAGCTGGACACAGTGGCTCACACCTGCATTCCCAGCTACTCGGGAGGCCAAGGTGAGAGGATTGCTTGAGCCCAGGAATCTGAGACCAGCCTGTGCAATAGTGAGACCCCGTCTCTGTAAGGAAAAAAAAAACAAAAAACAAAAAAAAAAGCAAGTGAGAATGCATTGTGTAAATGATCATAGCACAGTGCTTTTCTGTACGTCTCAGGTCGGATTTCCTGGCAGCAGACCCTGAGACAGAGGGTCACATGCAGGAAGTGGATCAGGCAGTCCTTGCGGGGGAATAAAGGAGGCAGGACCGTGCAGAGGGAGAAGTTGACCTGCACGGTCAACTTTGTAGGTAGCCCCAGCAAAGGCCCCAGCCAATCTTGGGGGCACCGGGGTGGCGCTGCAGAATTGTTCTGAATTGAGGCAAAGGTTTGGGCCCTTCCTACCCCTGGATGGTGCGGAAGGCCCCCTGCAGAAGGCTGATCCCTGGAGAGGTAGCTCTCTTTAGTCAAGGGCAGATCCAGAAGAGGCACCTGTCTGAGAGCTGTGGTCATGAATACTTCCAGCAGCTGGAGGAATGAAGGTTTTGTGCTGAAAGGGTTGGAGGGCTCTGAGGGTGTGTGACAGCACCTAATTACACTGTTCATTTCCAGATTTCTACAATTTCTGCAGTAACATTTATTTTATAATAAAAAAAGAAACATATTTAAAAATGTTATTTGCCTTAAAAGAAGATAGGAAGCTGTTGTTGCTACAGTAGGGTTGACCAAAAAGAATAAATCTGGAAATTAGGAAGGTACCGTGCATTGCATTTGAAGCTGGTCAGGAAGGCGTCATGTCACAAGGCCTGGAGCCAGCGCTGTTTGCTGCCCCCGCTGCAATCACAGTGGCTGCTGGACTGTGACTTGTCCCTGGGAGTCTCTGTTCCCTGCTGAGTGTCCACACTGCACACTTTCTTAGCCGGAAGCATTCTGCCTGTTATCCCTATAAGTTGGCAATGAATTTCTGCAGCAAAAACAGAAAACCATGACATACTGGAGTGTATTCAGGTTTGTATTTGGTCTAGGAGCTGTTTGTACGTGTTTTCAGATCAGTGAGTGAGTGCTGCCTTCTGCTTCTGTTTGTTAAGGTACTTTACCACACCGAGGTGGCCTATGACCCCGAGGGCATCCTGGGCACCATCAACTCCATCGTGATGGCCTTTTTAGGAGTTCAGGTATTTGTTCATTTCATTAGGTTACTTTTTCTGACAATTTATGATATTTTATTCACTCATTTAAAAACCATTTCATTAAAATAATTGGAAGCATATTCTCTCTTGTGCTATGGGCCTAATATATTCTGTTATCTTTGACAGATTGTGCAGAACCAAAAGTTACTGAAATTCAGCACATTCAAGTAATTAGATATAATTCTTATATTCTCAAAAAAATTCTTACTTATATGGCTTATCTTAGCACGGCAGTTTCTAGATAAAAGGTTTCCCTTGCCAAGCTGCAGTGGCTCATGCCTATAACGCCAACATTTTGGGAAGCCAAGGCAGGAGGATTGCTTGAGTCCGGGAGTTTGAGACCAGCCTGGGTAACATAGTGAGACCCTGTCTCTACAAGAAATTAAAAATATTAGCCAGGCATGATGGCACACACCTGTAGTCCCAGCTACTTGGGAGCTGAGGTAGGAGTATGGCTTGAACCAAGGAGGTTGAGGCTGCAGTGAGCCTTGATTGCACCACTGCACTCCTGGCTGGGCAACAGAGTGAGACCCTGTCTCAAAAAAGAAAAAAAGGTTTTCCTGATGGAGTGTGCAGAGTGTGTGGGTATTGGTAACATTGGGAAGTCACTGTGTCATTTGTCACACTTCTTTCATGTACACTCATATTAGTCTGTGTGTCCTGACCTAACAAAATACCCGAGACTGGGTAATTCATAAAGAACAGTAACACTGCAGGTTCATTTGTCTGGTGAGGGTCTGGGCTCTCCTCCCAAGGTGGCAACTTGATTGGGGCATGTCCTTCAGGGGGGACAAATGCTGTGTCCTCACACGGTGTCCCCACCAGCTGGTGAAAGGGCAGAGACAGGACTTACTGCCTCAAGCCCTTTTCTAAGGCCATTCATGAGGGTGGAGCCCTCACGCTGCATCCCGTGAATGGGATTGTTGCCCTTATGAAAGAGAAGCCCCAGAGACCTGCCTTGCCTCTTCTACCATGTGAGGACAGAACAAGAAGTCGCCATCTATCTGAAAACAGGCCTTCACCAGATACCGAATCTACTGGTGCCTTGATCTTGGACTTCCCAACCTTCAGAACTGTGAGAAATAAAATTCTGTTTTTCAGAAGCCAACAAAAAATTTTTTTTCTCCTCTGTGCTATCTAGTGGGACAGTCCCTAGCCAGGGTCGCTGTTGAGCATTTGAGATGTGGGGAGTGTGACTGAGGAACTGAATTTTAAATTTTACTTAATATGATTTTAAATTTAGATGGTCACTTGTGGCTAGTGGTTCGGCTGTTGGGTAGTGCAGATCTGAAGCATACACAGGTGACCCTGGAACACCTCGGGGCATGGGGACACTGTCCCCCCATGCAGTGGAAAATCTACAGAGGACTTTTGACTCCCCCAAAACTTAAACACTAATAGCCTGCTGTGGACCCAAAGCCTTACCAATAACATCAACAGTTGATTCACACATATTTTATATAAATATTATATACTGTGTTTTTACAATAAAGTAAGCTCAAGAAAAGAAAATGTTATTAAGAAAGCCATAAGGAAGAGAAAATCTAGTCCTATTCATTAAGTGGGAGTGGATCATCATGAAGATCTGCATCTTCATCATCTTCATGTTGAGTATGAGTAGTAGGAGGAGGAGAAGGAAGAGGAGGAGGAGGAGGAGGAAGAAGAGGAGGAAGAGGAGGAGGGAGTAGAGGAGGAGGAGGATGAGGAGGAAGAGGGGGTGGAGGAAGAGGAGGAGGAGGAAGAAGAGAAGGAGGGTGTGGAGGAGGATGGGGTGGAGGAAGAGGAGGAGGAGGGGCTGGAGGAGGAGGAGGGTGAGGGTGTGGATGAGGAGGAGGAGGGTGTGGAGGAGGAGGAGGAAGAGGAGGAGGGGGTAGAGGAAGAGGAGGAAGAGGAGGAGGAGGGGTAGAGGAAGAAGAGGAGGAGGAGGGTGTGGAAGAGGAGTAGGGGTCGGTCTTGCTGTCTCAGGGGTAACAGAGGCAGAAGAGAATCCGCATATAAGTGGACCTGCGCAGTTCAAACCTGTGTTGTTCAAGGATCAGCTGTACATTTTGGTGATGAAATAATTTTGTATTTAGAAATACGGCCTTTATCTCTGTAGCACTTTCTAGTTGATATTGTGCTTTTCCATATATTCCGTATATTCATGTAATCCCTACATACACTTTCTAGGTAGATCACTGGAGCGGTCAGTCCAGTGGGGAGGCTAGGAGTGCAGACCTGGAGCCACGCTCCCTGGGTTTGTGTCCAGCTCTGCCACTTCCCAGCTGGGTGACCTCGGGCGTGTGGCTGACTCCCTCTTGTGCTTCAACAGCACCTACTTCAGAAGGGTGTTGCAAGGATTGAATAAGTTAATTCATGTAAAGTTCTAAGAACTGGCACATAAAAAATGTTGATTAATATTAGCTATTACTATAAATTATTTTTAAAGCTTCTCATCCTTTGATGTTTTCAAAAATGAATACCTAATTTCAGAGGGATTGTATGTGAAGTCCATATTTCACTGTTTTTAAATGTTTCCCTGCCTCCCCCACCCTGCCTCTGGTTCCACCCTGTCCCGGTCCCTCTTCCTAGTGCTGCCCAGACTGGGTCACCAAACAGGCCTGTCTGACGGAACCCTTGTCACCTTTGTGGAGAATTCTCTTTGGGCCCTGCCTGGAAGTAAGAGCCACGGAGCCTGCCCAGGTGCCCCTTCTCCTCCTTTCCCCATGACCTGGGCTTCTGCATTCCCTGCAGCAGTGGAGATGTGGTGTGGCTACCATGCTTCCCCCGAGCTCTGTGCCTGCTGCCCCATTCTGCTCAGGAGCCTCTTCCTGCGGGGACCCTCTGGTGCTCTGGCCTCACCTCTGTGGCTCGTCCTCTCTGATGCCTCCTCCTCCCCAGAGAGGGCGTTCATCTCTGGTCCCATGCTCCTCTGTTAGTCTCCACTAGTCAAAGGCAGAGGTGATGTTTCCCGCCTCCCTGTAATCCCAGCACCTAGTAGCGTGCCCAGCAAGTGAATCTCTTTGTCAGGTAGTTAAGACAGTGGATTAATATGAAATAAAAATATCCCTTTGGCGATTCTTTTGGTCACACTGTGTTATCTCCTCCAGGCAGGAAAAATACTATTGTATTACAAGGCTCGGACCAAAGACATCCTGATTCGATTCACTGCTTGGTGTTGTATTCTTGTAAGTAAGCAGCATTCCTCGCTAAAATTCCTTTCCTTCACATGTATAGATATTTAAAAGGAATAAAATGTTTAGCAACACTGAGCTAGCCATTGTCACCACATGGCAGCAGGTACCATTTTCTTCACTTGAATAACAGAGAGGAACAAATCTTTCCACCTAAATGCACAGATTTATTTTCTTAGGAAAATGTCTTTATCAATAAGGCAGTGTTTGCCATCAGATAGCCAGGAATGCCTGAAGAAATGTGAGGTATGGGCTCTGTGTGGAGAGGCGTATCAGAGAGACTGGGCAAATCAGACCAGGTTGCAGACATCAACTTCCAGATTATATGGGAAAGAGAGTTGCAAGGTTGACTGTTTGTTCATTTCATCCTGACCGCAGCCATGCCTCCTCTTCAGAGTCACTGTCATTTAATCAGTAAGCTTACCCTCTTCAACTCAGTAGAATGGTGAAGAGATTTTGGGAGAGTATTTTTCAGTTCATACATTTAAAAAAATATGTTTCCATTTAAAAGAGAAAAATATAAGGCACAAGTTTCAGCCCTCTCTACGTGATTAAATAACTAATATATATTGGTGTTGAAACCAAGTGTTTTCTGAGATAATAATATAAAATGTTAACATCCTTCTCTTCCCCATTACAGGGGCTCATTTCTGTTGCTCTGACGAAGGTTTCTGAAAATGAAGGCTTTATTCCAGTAAACAAAAATCTCTGGTATGTATGGAAAAAGCATGATTTTATGGATGACTGTTCATGCTGAAATTGGATTTGTTCCGTACGAGCACTGAAACGTCTCCTCCACCCCTCCCAGGTCCCTTTCGTATGTCACTACGCTCAGTTCTTTTGCCTTCTTCATCCTGCTGGTCCTGTACCCAGTTGTGGATGTGAAGGGGCTGTGGACAGGAACCCCATTCTTTTATCCAGGTAAGTCACCTCCAACCTCAAACAGAGCTGGGATGGTGACCAGGAGGCAGGCCCAGGGACCTCTGGAGCATCCTTGGTGCTGGGGTCTTGAGCCACTGCCCTAGCGGCAGGTGTCCAAAAGCCAGGCTGAGGGAGGAAGCAGCAGGGCCCACATTGTCCCAGCCCACACCAGATGTCACTGGCCTGCTCCAGAGCAGTCCACCCCATTTTCACCGTGTAGGTTGTGGAGTCGTTGTATGACAGTTTGTGACTCCACCTGTTTCTTCAGGCTATACCAAATTGTGGAGGAGCGGAAATGATTCAGGGCACATTATCCAGTTTCTGGTTCTTTTTTTTTTTTTTTTTTTTTTTTTGAGACAGAGTCTTGCTCTGTTGCCCAGGCTGGAGTGCAGTGGTGTGATCTCGGCTCACTGCAAGCTCCGCTTCCCAGGTTCACGCCATTCTCCTGCCTCAGCCTCCTGAGTAGCTGGGACTACAGGCGCCCGCCACCACGCCCAGCTAATTTTTTGTATTTTTAGTTGAGATGGGATTTCACAGTGTTAGCTAGGATGGTCTTGATCTCCCGACCTCGTGATCCGCCCGCCTCGGCCTCCCAAAGTGCTGGGATTACAGGCGTGAGCCACCGTGCCCAGCCTCTGGTTCTTAATAATGGTGCTATGCTTGCTTTCTTAATATAAATCCACTACTATAGAGATTGTGCATTAGAAGAAATAGCAAGAGGTGATATCAAGGGATAAATGGAATGATTTAGATGCAGTTCCAACCGAGGACTTAGAAACACATCAGATCATTTCAATGCCTCATTTCAGCCCTTTGATTCGAGGAATAGTTACATTCTTTGGACCTCAGATTTTCTGCCTAGAAAATATAAGTTATTAATAATAATTTTAGCTTTCCTTTCAGATTTAGTTTTCAAGAATTGTACTGTTATAAAATGAATATTATCTAATACCTTTTTTGTGTTTTTGAGACACAGTCTTGCTCTGTCGCCCAGGCTGGAGTGCAGTGGTGTGATTTTGGCTCACTGCAACCTCCGCCTCCCAGGTTCAAGTGATTCTTGTGCCTCAGCCTCCCAAGAAGCTGGGATTACGGGCACACCCCACCACGCCCGGCTAATTTTGTATTTTTAGTAGAGACGGGGTTTCATCACGTTGGCCAGGCTGGTCTCGAACTCCTGGCCTTAAGCGATCCACCCGCTTTGGCCTCCCAAAGTGCTGGGATTATAGTCGTGAGCCACTACACCAGGCCTTTCAATAATTTTTGATATGGTTTATATTTAAATACCTAAGATATGCATTACTTATTTTTGGCAGTAGCCAACAATGGAAGTGCACACTTTCTGTTTTTTCATTGAACTGGTTTCAAGAATTAAATAGATGGTTAGATGTGACTCATCTGTGAGAAACATGATCTTCTGTATGTCTCTCTCCTTAAGGAATGAATTCCATTCTGGTATATGTCGGCCACGAGGTGTTTGAGAACTACTTCCCCTTTCAGTGGAAGCTGAAGGACAACCAGTCCCACAAGGAGCACCTGACTCAGAACATCGTCGCCACTGCCCTCTGGGTGCTCATTGCCTACATCCTCTATAGAAAGAAGATTTTTTGGAAAATCTGATGGCTCCCACTGAGATGTGCTGCTGGAAGACTCTAGTAGGCCTGCAGGGAGGACTGAAGCAGCCTTTGTTAAAGGGAAGCATTCATTAGGAAATTGACTGGCTGCGTGTTTACAGACTCTGGGGGAAGACACTGATGTCCTCAAACTGGTTAACTGTGACACGGCTCGCCAGAACTCTGCCTGTCTATTTGTGACTTACAGATTTGAAATGTAATTGTCTTTTTTCCTCCATCTTCTGTGGAAATGGATGTCTTTGGAACTTCATTCCGAGGAGATAAGCTTTAACTTTCCAAAAGGGAATTGCCATGGGTGTTTTTCTTCTGTGGTGAGTGAAACAATCTGAGGTCTGGTTCTTGCTGACCTTGTTGCCCTGCAAACTTCCTTTCCACGTGTACGCGCACACCAACACGAAATGCCATCACTCCTACTGCGGCTGCTATGAAGCTTACTGGTTGTGATGTGTTATAATTTAGTCTGTTTTTTTGATTGAATGCAGTTTAATGTTTCCAGAAAGCCAAAGTAATTTTCTTTTCAGATATGCAAGGCTTTGGTGGGTCCAAAAAATGTCTATCACAAGCCATTTTTTCCTTTTCCTCTCTCGAAAAGTTAAAATATCTATGTGTTATTCCCAAACCCTCTTACCTATGTATCTGCCTGTCTGTCCATCATCTTCCTTCCTCCCTATCTCTGTGTATCTGGATGGCAGCCGCTGCCCAGGGGAGTGGCTGTGGGGAGGGCAGGTACTGTCTTTGCCTGTGGGTCCAGCTGAGCCATCCCTGCTGGGTGATGCTGGGCAAGACCCTTGGCCCGTCTGGGCCTTGGCTTCCTCACTTGTGAAATGAGCGGGAAGATGACTCTCAGTTCCTTCCACCTCTTAGACATGGTGAGGTAACAGACATCAAAAGCTTTTCTGAAATCTTCAGAAGAAATAGTTCCATTACAGAAAACTCTTCAAAATAAATAGTAGTGAAAACTTTTAAAAACTCTCATTGGAGTAAGTCTTTTCAAGATGATCCTCCACAATGGAGGCAGCGTTCCTACTTGTCATCACACAGCTGAAGACATTGTTTCTTAGGTGTGAAATCGGGGACAAAGGACAAACAGAGACACACGGCATTGTTCATGGGAGGCATCGTCACCCTCCTGGGTGTTCTGTGGGAATTTCCTGTGTGAGGAAAACGTGGCCACAGGGTTGTGCTGTACCCACCCTTCCCCGGCGAGATGGCCCTCGGCCTGTGCCGCTGCTTCCACCCTCGCCACTCCATGGCAGCTTTTGGTCTGTTTCCGGCTCTGCCCTCTGCCCTGAACTCTCATCCGGCTTGTACCTGCCTGCTGGACCCCTCCACCTGGAGGCCAGCCCATGTCTCAGGCCCAGCCCTAGCCTCTTCTCCTCAAATTCTAAGTGTTTTCTCTTTAGGTTTCCCTGGCTTTGTGAATGGATCATGTGTCTCTAGGTATAAACCTGACATCATCTTTCCACCCGGCTTACCTCCACCAGATCTCCCCAGTTCTGTCTCCATCTTCTACCTGCAGCTGCTCTGTTCTCATGGTCACTGCTGCATCACTGAGTCTGGACCCTTGTTATCATTTTCAAACTGGCCTCCTTCCCTCGTTCCCCACTTCTTAAAGTCACCTGTCCATTGCCACCAGATTAAGCTTTCTCCAGCCAGATCACCTCTCTCTGAGAAACCTCCATTGACATGGAAACACCATTGTCTGGCACACATACTCACATACTCACCTTCCCGTCTTGATCCCCACACATCTTTCCAGCCTCCCCTCCCACTCCACTCCCTGCTCTCTCCTCCACCTCCCCATCCTCTTGTCTCCCCTCCCCTCTGAATCCAGCCCAGCGGGGCTTCTCCTGCCTCCATCACATCACAGAAGTACCTCCTGCTTCTGGTTTTAATTAGAGCCTTCCCCGATTACATTTTCCTCTGAATTTTTTCCTATCTACATTTGATCTGTCATGTTTAAACCCCCTACTTCTAAGGGAACTTCTCTAATCTCTTATCCTCATCCCCAAATAGTGTTTTCTTCCTCTGGGTTCTTATAATGTTGGTATCAATCTCACAGCATTTAGTGCTTCCTGCCTGGTGTGACAGTTACCTGTGTGCATGTGCAATTTCTAATTTCCCACGCTAGACTGTGAGCTTCCTAAGGCAAGAATCATGCCTTGTTGGTTTCTGTATTCCTCATGGTGCCAAACACAGTGCCTTCTACATTGCAGGCGCTGAATAAACATTTTTAAAGCAAAATGATGTGGATTTTTAAAATAAATATTTAAGTGCTGGTAAGATGAGCATGTATCCGGGGTGCCCATGAAATGTTCTTGGGGCCGTGTGGGGACAGTCGTCATTCCTCCTCCTGCCACCCTTTTCTTTCAGTGAGTCACTGTGGATGGTCCCAGCTGTGTCATCCCAAAGTTCAGCAGGGAAAGCTGAGCTGGGCCTCTCCAGGTGAGTTTTCTAGAAGCATTTCTCAAACTGTGGGTTACATCAACTTGGGTGTCTTGAGCTGTAAGGAAGGAACTCCGGAGTCAGCTGGGCTACAGGGGAGCTTCTCTAAGTCCTGCGGGAGGCCAGACCCAGCCTGAGCTTGCTGTTAGCTAGCGGAGGCAGCTGCTGGTGGCCCAGGTGCTCGACACCAGGCATCCCCTCTCCTCCCACGAAGGGTGTGCCATAATCCCCTTCAACAGGAAATGCTTCCCAGAAGCCTCTCAGCAGCCTCCCCTCCTGTCCTATCAGCTAGAAGCGCCTCGCTTGTCCCAAGACCAGCAGGGACAGGGAACTGTCCGAGCCCGTGGCTGTGTGGAGGAAGGCGACCCCCAGCACAAGATTGGTTTCCTTTGGGAAGGGAAGAGGGAGTGTGTTGGGGTAAGGGGTAGAGCAGAGGAATGGTCAGGGGGCAACAACCGCTGACAGCTGCAACAGGTGCATGGCATCTCACAGGGAGGCAGGGAGGTGCGAGCTCCTAAGTAATGGAGCAAAAAAATTCTATTCTGTAGAATGGGGAGAGAAAATGTGACATTTTAATTTTTTTTTGCATTTATATTCCTAATTCCTACTTAAAGTGAATATACTGCCGCTGTAGATCATAAAATGTATCTTTTCCATGGCCAACAAGGGGCATCTTTTATAAATGCATAATAACCCAGTTTGTATCAAAGGGTATCGACTTAAGTGAAATTTCAACATGCTGTTACTTTTTCCTTTTAATGTAATTCTGTTTTCCAAATAAATGGGGGAGACAAATGGACTTTGAGTAAATTTCTTAGCATATCAAACTGCCTTTCACAAACAGATCTTTGTATGGATTCTAAGAAGACTAGGAGTAACTGGGTGCAGTGGCGTGTGCCTATAGGCCCAGGCACTCGAGAGGCTAAGGTGGGAGGATCCCATGAGCTTAGGAGTTCGAGGCTGCAGTGAGCTATGATTGCACAACTGCATTCCAGCCTGGGTGACAGAGCAAGACTCTGTCTCTAAAGAAAGAAAGCAAAACAAAATTAGGGATAGAGTTTTAAAAGTGCTAAGCAATACACCATATAATCCATGACCCTATTAATAATGAAGCTTCTGGCATAATTCCAGCTTTTAAAGTCTTTATCACACCTCTTGGTAAGCTTTGAAATTAAGTGGGGAAACTTACCAGTTACATATTTGTGTAATCTATCAGTTTTCACTAGAATGTAGTAAGCCAGCATTTTTCTTTTAGTAATAGGTTTCTGTTGAGCATTCATTTTAAAATTGTTCTTCAAGCTACATGCATTTCCAAATTCAAAGTGGATGGAAATGCTTGGCCAGGCGTGGTGGCTTACGCCTGTAATTCCTGCACTTTGGCCAAGGTGGGTGGATCACTTGAGGTCAGAAGTTCGAGACCAGCCTGGCCAACATGGTGAAACTGCTTCTTTACCAAAAAATACAAAAAGTCAGGCATGGTGGCAGGCACCTGTAATCCCAGCTACTCTGGAGGCTAAGGCAGAGAATTGCTTGAACCTGGGAGGTGGAGGTTGCAGTGAGCTGAGATCACGGCGCTGCACTCCAGCCTGGGTGACAGAGCAAGACTCTCTCAAAAACAAAAAAAACAAAAACAAAAACAAACTAACAAAAAACAAAGTTAATGGAAATGCTAGATGTTTGCATTATGCCATAAAATGCCTCGGACTTCATAAATGCCTTATCTAATTGTGTTTGTCAAAAGACTGTAATAGGCAAAATACGCCATC
Organism: Homo sapiens; assembly: GCF_000001405.40. NCBI lineage: Eukaryota > Metazoa > Chordata > Mammalia > Primates > Hominidae > Homo > Homo sapiens. The sequence continues at coordinate 43,203,795 of NC_000008.11, forward strand.
ACCTGCTGGCTGTTCTTTCCAGAATTCCATCCAAAGTGCTAGATGTGAGGACAGCTGTCTTGCCCACTGTCAGGAGGAGCTTGTGGCTTCCCACAGTGTCCATTACCATTTGCGGTTCGGTGGAATCCTACTCTGACTACTGGAAATTTTTCTGTAGAAATCAGTTCTTTTTCTGATTTTCCACCTTTCATGGTCAGCTGTTCTTGTATTTTATCGTATATGTAGTCACACCTATACTTCCATAAACGAGAGTTTCTATTCTGATATTTGGTCACAGTCTGAGTGTCATTTGGCTACAAACTGGTGCCTCCCTCTCCCTACATCCTATGCGGCTCTGTCCAGGTCACAGCTGGTTGAGCAGAGGTACAGCCCGGCAGTGTGACAACCCCAGGTGATGCTTTCCTGTCAAAGGACACTAAGAGGACACTGGCCACTAACACTGTCACAGCAGGGAGGTGCAGCGTGAATGGAGAGCAAAGACTGGAGACGTCTTAAAGGGCGGGGTGCGTCACCGAGGAGGCACTGAGCGGGATGGCTGTCCTTGTGACCACGCCACCTGGATTCTGTTCATTGGCGTTGTCCGGGGGAGAAACAAACCGTCTGTCTTTGTAATAGGAGGCAGCGATGCAAGTTGTAGGAAGACGCCCACTGAATTGTGGCTTGCACAGGCAGGAGGGCCCTGGCGTGAGGGGTGGCCAGGGAGAGCCCAGTGAGGGACGCAGCTCTGGGGCCCCGCGCCCCTGGAGGTTGCCCCGGAGGCAGGGCCTCGACCTTGACCCACAGGGCTGGGTGGGGCTGAAAATGGGCTCCCAGACCAGCGCGAGGAGCTGCGCCCAGGCCTAGCAGGCGGTTTGGCCGCGGCTGCAGCTTAGCGTCTAGGCCACGCCAGGCAGGCTCCCGGAGCCGTCCACTGCCCCACCAGGAACGTTCCGGGCTCTTCTGCTGCGCGCGGAAGCAAGTGAAATCCAGCCTCAAAGACTCTGATGGAAGAACACCTGTGAATACCGCGCCCTCTAGGCGTCCGCCACACCCCACGGCCCCCCAGACGGGGTCTTCTTTTGTTGCCCAGGCTGGAGTGCAATGGCGCAGTTATGGCTCAATGCAGCCTCGACCTCCCTGGCTCAAGCCATTCTCTCGCCTTAGCCTCCCAGGCTACAGGCGCGCCAACACGCCTAATTTTTTTAAACTTTTTTTTTTTTTTTGGTCTAGCGACGGGGCTCACTCTATTGCCTAGGGTGGTCTCAAACTCCTGGACTCAAGCGATCCTCTGGCCTCGGCCTCTCAAAGTTCTGGGATTTCAGGCATGAGCCACCGCACCGGTCCTTGAGACTTTTGACCTCCGTGCCCGCCCCTCCGGAATGCCCACCCCAGCCAAACTCCTCTCTCTCCTCCAGCTGGTGGCTGGGGCACGGCCCTCTCCAACACCTCTGCCCCTCCGCTATTGAACTTCACATCCAAGTTTATGTCACTTCTCTGTGCCCAGGCCATCGGATGGCCCCAGCTGACAGTGGCATCCCGTCCCTACAGTTTGGGGCTTCACCCATATTCACAAAGGACCAGGGGGGTAAGGACCCCCAACCAGGCACCCACGTTGGTGAAGGCTCCCCACTTCCTCCATCAGAATCCACCGCTGGGGAACCCTGGCCATTCGCGGGAGCTCCCAATATTCCCCAGTAGGCGCCCCGCCCAAACTACATCCCTTCTCTCCACTAGACCTGGGCTACTCTCTGGGAGAATGAAATGGCCTCTGCCAGACAGGGACTCACCCAGGACACAACCCCTCATCCCGTTGAACAGACTGCGTATGTCCTCTAGGCTCAAGGAAACCTGACTTGCTGGGCCTGGGGCCCTTAGGCCTGCTCTTATTCAGTATTCATAAGAATCAGCAAAGCGTTTCATAGAGTCCACAGATTCATGCAAAAAGAGGAGAAAAGCACAAACACAGCAGCACACATGCACAAGCACACACACACATGCACACACACATGCACACACATACATGAATACACACAAGCACAATGCACAAACATACACGTGCAAACACAGACAAGCACACACACCACACACACAAGCATACACATATGCATACATGCACAAGCACACACATACATACGCACCCAAGCACACATGCAAACATGCACACATGCAAATACAAGCAAACATGCACAAGCATACAGATATAAGCACACACAAGCACACACACACAAGCACATATACACCCAAGCACACATACACCAAGCACACACACAAACACACGCACAAGCACACATGCACAAGTGTGTAGAAACACACACAAGGACATACGCACAAGCATGCACATGCATAAGCACACACAAGCACACATGCACAAGTGCACACGCACAAGTGCACACAAGCACACGCATAAACATGCACGAGTACATACGCACAAATGCACACGTGCAAGGACACAGACACGAGCATACACATACGCACACACACACACAAGCCCGCATGCACAGAGACCTTCAAGGGGCTCCCCCCCGGCCCAAGAGGAAGTCATTCCGACTTCCTGCCTAGGTCCTGCAGCCAGAGCAGCAGCAAATGCCCCAGGAGACGGTCCTTTCAACTTCCTGCGCCCCTCGGCTCTCTGACAGGCCCAGGCCAGGCCTTATTATCCCTCAGTGTGGAGCCCAGTGCAAGCGCCATCACCTGCTGGAGGGAGCCGGGACTCCGCACCCGGGCCTGCCCGTAGAAGCCTCGTGCGCTCGTGGCTTTAGTGTGCCCTTTTCCTCCATGCCTGCAGTAAGAGCTGAGGCTTGACCAAACATTCCGTTTGTTTCGAGCATTGGTAAAGAGCAGGCCAAAGGGCCCGAGGCCCCACGTTGGCGGCTGCCTTGGGACTAGCAGGCACGCTTTGCAGGATGGGTCCAGTAGGTATAGAGATCGTTTGCGTTCTTGGTCCATCTCTGTCATTCCCCTAGAGAGCAGGGTAGGCCTAGCCCCCATCTCTGTCATTCCCCTAGAGAGCAGGGCAGGCCTAGCCCAAGGAAGGTCTATTCGGCCACAGGTTTGGGCCACAGCCCCTGGTTTGGCGAAAAGGGGGGTGCATGCGGCTGGCCTGGGCAGAGGACATAGGCAACCTTTGCCGATGGGTTCCTGGGCCCCGGGTCCTGTCCACCCGTGGTCATATGTGGACATGGGTGAAGCTCCAAACTGTAGGGATGGGATGTAACTGCCAACAGGGGTGAGAAGGTCCTGGGCGGGGACCGTGACAGAGGCTCCTGTGTGAGATGTTTGACAGTGGAGGGGCAGGAAGTGATGGAGGGGGCCGTGTTCAGGCCATCTGTAAGAGGAGAGAGAGAGGCAGCTGGCAGTGGGTGTGCAGTAGGGGTGGCCACAGAGAGCCTAGAGGCCCCCTATTCCCAGACAGACTCCCATCCAAATCCTTGGAGAACCCCATTAGTACAGCCGGGAGGGGAAACGGTATGGAGGTTCTTCAAAAAATTAAAAATAGAACTGTGATATGATCCAGCTGTGCTAAGTATTTATCTAAAGGATATGGATTTTGCATATTGAAGAGATATCTGCATTCCAGTGTTCATTACAGCATTGTTCATAAGAGCCAACCTTATGAAGTCAACCTAAGTGTTCATGAATGAATGAATGAATCCAGAAAATGTGGTATATATTGACAATGGAATACTAGTCAGCCTTTAAAAATAGAAAAGGGAATCCTGTCATTTGTGACAACATGGATAAACCTGGAGGGCATTAACTGAAATAAACTAGGTACAGAAAGACAAATCCCACATGATCTCACTTATGTAGAATCCAAAAAAGGAATTCACAGAAGCAGAGAGTAGAATGGAGATTGTCAGGGGCAGACGAGTTGATTGAGGAGATGTGGGTCAAAGGATACAAAAGTCCAGTTAGACAGGAGGTATAAATTGAAGAGCTGCATAGTGCAACATGGTGACTAGAGTTAACAACAATGTGTTTACGTCTGTGAACCTGCAGAGAGAAGTCACTTGAGAACTGCTGAGACAGTAGATTTTAAGTGTTCTCCCCACAACAATAAAAGTTTGTTAAGTGAGGATTATGTGAATTAGCTGGACTTAGGCATTCTACAATATATACATATATCAAAACATCACGTTGCGCACATACATATATACAATTTTTATTTGTCAATTAATAAAACTTTGATAACAGAACACCATTATGATATTGACTATTGAAGCTTATACTTTGAAAATTTTCTAATAGCAACATTGTGTATTTACTTCATACTTTATATTACTGTATTCAGTTTACTGGGTTCTTATGAAATAAAATAATGCAGCAAAAACAAAACACATCATCTTCTTTGTACATTTCTGGCAAGACATCTGCATAGTAAGTAATTTGGCTTTGCCCAAAGAGAGGTCTGGCCCCTTCTGTTGACTTCAGGGAGGTAACCCATATCACACCTGACAGAGTGTCCTTGTGTAGAGCCGGGCTGACCACACTGGATCTAATGGAGAGGCTGCCCACACCTAACAGTCTCAGGGTATGGGGTGATTATGCCAGAAAGACCAATCATGTAACCTAGGGTAGTGGCTTTGGTCCCCTGATATGAGTTTGTTTACCTGATGACTGACTTGACCCATGTGAGAAATCATCAGTCAGTCAGTCATGTCTACATAGGAAAGCCCCGGTCAGATCTCTGGACAGCAGAGTGTGGGTGGGCTTCCCTAGCTAAAAATACTCCTAGTGTGTTGTTGTGTATCCATGCAGGTAGGCTAACACATCCGGAGGACAGTGGAAGCTTTGCATTTATAAATCTCCCAGACTCAGCTCTGTGGGTCTCCTCCTTTGGCTGATATGAGTTTGTACCCTTGCCCTGTAATACACTATAACCATGAGTATAATAGCTTCCACTGAGCTCTGTGAGTCCTTCTGTGAATTACTGTATCTGACAGTGGTTTTGTGAACACCCCAAGCTTGCAAAGGCAGTCTTAAGGAATGTGCCATGAGACTTTGCAGTTTGGCTACTTCTGGGGAGTACTCAACAGCCAATCTCCTAGCATACTATTATTCTATAATATGCATCAGGATTAATCAATATGCACTTGGGCTTAGCTGTAAATTTATGAAAAATAATTAAAATATGTATCTGGTAAAATAAATACCAGTAGCTGTATGCATTCGGCCCTAACTAAATGCTAGGTACTAGACAAGTATTATTTGCTTGGTTTATCACACCAACCTGTGAGATACATAGTTATGCCTAATTCTAAGGAAGAAGAGAAATAAAAAATTTAAAAAAAACCCAGTTGATTAGAATGCTACTCACACACTGTGTTGGGAGAATGTTATTTTAACAGTATAGACATGGTGACTATAACATGTTTAAAAGCTGTTTCTTAGAATGCTTTCTATACACTATGTTGCAAATAGTTTTATTTCAGAGACTGGATATGGTGGTAACACAATAATGCCTATAGTGTAAAGACATATTTAAAGATGTTTCTGAGAAAGCTATGTACACACTATGTTGAGATCAGTGTCATTTCCAAGAATGGATGTGGTGAGCACTCTGTATGTAGCGTTAAAAGACACATGTTTACAGATATTTCTAAGAATGCTACACGTACACTATGTTGTCGTAGTCTTATTACACAGAACGGATATGAAAACCCCCAAGTAATGCATGAGGTGGATGCAGAGACACACATTTCACAGCTGTTTGTCATCATGTTTCTCATACACCATGTGGAGAACAGTGTTACTTCAGGTGGAGGTGAAGCCCACACTCTAATGCATGCAGAGTTGGGCTAAAAGACACTTGTTTAAAAGATATTTCTTACAAGGCTACTTGTACACTATGTCGCATACAGTGTTGTTTCAAAGAATGGATGTGATGACCATAAAATAATGCCTATAGCAAAGTACTAAGACACGTGTTTTAAAGCTGCTTTGTGGTATTCTACATACATACTATGTTAAGAACAATGTTTTGGCAGTGAGTGATGTGATGACTGCACCGTAATGCACTTAAGGAATGCTTAAAGAGAGGTATTACAGGCCAGGTGTGGTGGCTCATGCCTGTAATCCCAGCACTTTGGGAGGTTGAGGTGGGCGGATCACCTAAGGTCAGGAGTTTGAGACTAGCCTGACCAACGTGGCGAAATCCCATCTTTACTAAAAATACAAAAATTAGCTGAGTGTGGTGGTGCATGCCTGTAATCCCAGTTATTTGGGAGGCTGAGGCAGAAGAATGGCTTGAATCTGGGAGGCAGAGGTTGCAGTGAGCCGAGATTGTGCCATTGCACTCCAGCCTGGGAGACAAGAGCGAAACTCCGTCTCAAAAAAAAAAAAAGACATAGGTATTACAGATGTCTCTTGAATGTTACTCTTACACTATGCTGACAGCAGTGTTATTTCAGAAAATGTCTGTGGTGACCACACTCCCTGAAACTAAAACGACTAGATGAACACACTGGGGAAAATCTCTATGACATTGGTCTGGGTGATAGTGTTTTGGATGTGACCCCCAAAAGTACGGACAACAAAAGAAAAATTAAGACAAATGGGATTACATCAAAGCAAAAAGCTTCTGCCCAGCAAAGGAAATAGAGTGATGAGATAACCTAAGGAATAGGAGAGAGTCTTTGCAAATCAAACTCCTGAAAAGGAGCTAATATCCCATGGCTTCTACCGGCATCCATGAAAATGGCAGGTTAATATGACGACTTACAATAGGATGGAATTGAAGAAGCTGCACACTTATGGAAAGTTTTGGTAATGAGGCTGGGATGCTGAGAGATGACTTTCTGGCCCCTTTGTAGGCCTGGTAAGAGGACCTGTGAATTCTCTTGGCCAAGTGGTGAGCAAGGTGGGGATGAGTGTCCTGCACTGTCCTGTCTGCGAATGTAGCGACGAGTGGGTGAGACAGGATTGAAACAAGCAGCCTGAGTACTTTGCTTGTTCATGTTTCTCCTGCTAGGAAAAAGGGGTAAGGGGTCCCCAGAGCTGACACTGAGCCTTGAATGAATCCAAAGCACTAGAAGTTGATATGGTTGATCTGTGAGTGGCAAGAGGCTGCTAGAAACTAAAGGAAAATGTGCTTTGTTAGTGGCTTTCTTACCAGCATGGAGGTGCCCATTCCCTCTGCACTCCGTAATCACCCATCCACCAGTATCCAACTTCAGCATCTTGAAAGATTAAGCCAAGTATGAATGGGTATTTGAGAGAGGAGAGTAACTCTTTGGAGATAGGTGTTCAGTTAACCATCCTGTGTAGTCCCCTGGAGCACACGGGGAGCTCTGGGTGCAGGGTAGGTGGAAGCCCCAGAGGACTGTAGGGTCTAGAGTGGTGGCAAATGGGCAGAAAGGAGTAAATTCCGGATCCTGGGTGCTCTCCAAATGCTGGGATGCCCACAGGGGAGAAGGTAGCACAACCCTTAGAGAAAAATCCCATCACCCAAACCCTCTCCTCACCCTAGCCCCTTCTGGCCCCTTGTGCCTCCACACCCTTGCACAGGGGATGGTGCAATCTTAAGTCAGCCCCTGACTCAGACAGGTGTGAATCACCATGGTCTGTGCTTACTGAGCTAATGCTAAGCGTGCTTCATGGCTCTCTATAGTAAATCAAAAATTTGTTTGGGTGACATATGACCAATGAGAGTTCTGTAAATATGGGTATTAATGAACACTATGTGACAATGAAGCCTTTTGTATTATAGAAGCACATATTCAATGAATTCTAAGCACAATCCCAATAGTACTTATCTCATTCTTAGGTCATCTTTGCAAAGGAGGCAAAGCCAAGCCAGGTCCTGCTGCTTTGACTGATGGTGGGAAGAGGCGGAGTGCATGGGTCACCAGGCAGTGGGGAAGAGAGGAAACCAGCGTGGATTGCACTTCACTCACCCAGCTCTGTCCTCCTCCTCTGATTGACATGCTACAAAGCTCAGTAGGGTGTGGTTTCATAGCCTGGGACTCAAGAATCCGGGAATTATATGAGGACCCAGCCCAGGTGCGTCTTTGGGAGGCACACGTGAGTATCTGGAGTATACAGAAGACAGATGCACTGTTTACTCAGGGCATGGTGTGCCAAGCCGTGTGCTAACAGCAGGTTATAGGCTCTGGGTGACTTATTCTTTGGGCTAACTCAACAATGGAGGAACTCATTATCCTTATTTTACATGAGGAAACTGCCGTTTAGATGGAATAAATAAATAGACAGGATTAAATGGCTGGTAAATGGTAAACTGATATCTCAAAGACAGGTCATCTGATCGTACTTTAGGTGAGCTAGGCAGCCTCATGCCAGCTCTCTACGAAAATGCCACAAGCAGCAGAGGGTGTCATTTGAGCCTTTGATGAACAGGAGAAAACCTCAAACGTTGCCACTCATGAGAATGGGGTTAAGATTGTTACAACATTTGACGGGACACCTATTTGTAACTTTTTTTTTTACTTCACTGGGAAGGAGGGAGACACCCATTTTTATCTTAATGCAGTCCATGAAAGTGCCTGTAAGGCTTATATGGGTTCAGGCCGGGCACGGTGGCTCACGCCTGTAATCCCAGCACTTTGGGAGGCCGAGGTGGGTGGATCACCTGAGGTCAGGAGTTTGAGACCAGCCTGGCCAACATGGTGAAACCCTGTCTCTACTAAAAATATAAAAATTAGCCAGATGTGGTGGTGGGTGCCTGTAATCCCAGCTACTCAGGAGGCTGAGGCAGGAGAATCGTTTGAACCTGGGGGGGTGGAGGTTGCAGTGAGAGGAGATCGTACCACTTCACTCCAGCCTGGGGGAAAGATTGAAACACCATCTCAAAAAAAAAAAAAAAAAAAAGACTTACATGGGTTTTGAGTCTATCTCTTGGATAAGACTTTACGTGGAATATATTTTATCTCAAAAAGCATTTATTCAGCCACTGATAACTCTATGAAGCTCTGTAAAATATGTAATGATTAGACGGATTAGGTGTTTCATCTGAGATGAGTAACTGTGTTTGTAATAAAATGTATTTATAAATAAGTATGATCATGAATATTTAATAACTAGTAACCACTTGAATACATGTCTTTGGCCAGAATATTTACATATATATGTACCTACACTATATAATACCTATTATGTATAATTTTTATATATACACTTTATATTATATTACAATATAGCTGCACCTTCTGTGGCTTTTGTGGGCTTTATTACCCACCAAGGTGTCAGCCATCAGGTCCTCAACAGTGGCAGTGAGGAAATCAGGCGTGCATGGGCCAAGCCACTGGGCACAGTGGATCTCCCACGAGAGGGGTCCACAGAGTTCAGGGGGTATGGCAGCTCTGCTCCTGCTGAGAGGGTGCCAGGCAGCTTCCTAAGCCTATAGGACCTCTAAAAGTCTCCTTTTTCTAGACACAAGGTTTGGTGAATGGTGTGGCTCGGATGTTATTTGTCCCCAACAAAACTCATGTTGAGCTGGGTGTGGTGGCTCACACCTATAATCCCAGCACTTTCGGAGACTGAGATGGGGGGATCACTTGAGGTCAGGAGTTTGAGACACCAGCCTGGACAACATGGCAAAACCCTGTCTCTACTAAAAATACAAAAATTAGCCCAGCGTGGTGGTGCGCACCTGTAGTCCCAGCTACTCGGGAGGCTGAGGCAGGAGAATTGCTTGAACTTGGGATGTGGAGGTTGCAGTGAGCCAAGATCATGCCACTGCATTCCAGCCTGGGTGACAGAGCGAGACTCCATCTCAGAAACACAAAAATAAAAAATCTCTTGTGAAATTTGATGCCAATGTGGCAGGGTTGGGAGGTGGGCCCTAGTGGGGGATTTTAGGTCATGGGTGTGGACCCTCATAAAGAATGCCCTCTTCCAGGGGTGAGTTCTCACTGTCATTATTTCCTGCAAGGGCAGGTTGTTAGAAAGAGTCTGGCTCTCTTGGTTTCTCTCTTGATTCACCTCTTGCCGTGTGATCTCTTTGCACACACCTTCCACTCTCCACCATGAGTGGAGGCAGCACGAGGTCCTCTCTAGAAGCCGAGCAGATGCCAGCCCCATGCCTCTTATAGTTCGCAGCCTGTAGAACCCTGAGCTAAATAAACCTCTTTTCTTTATAGATTATCCATTCTTAGGTTGTGTGATAGCAGCACAAAAAGGATGAAGACAGGGAGCTTTGCTCCGATTGGCCCAGCTTGATCCTGCCCCTGGCCTGGGCCACTCAAGATGCCAGTGCTCACTCCCACCGTTGTGTTCCTGTGGGCCAGCCCCTCACTGGGATGCCATTGGTGTCCACTTGGCCTAGAAGTGCCCATGATAGGACCCTGGTCATCCTAGTGACCAAACCTAACCTTTCATTTGACTTTTTATTGTAGAAAGAAATGCGTTCTGGCTGGTGGTAGCTCATGCCTGTAATCCCAGCACTTCGGGAGGCTGAGGCAGGTGGATCACTTGAGCTCAGGAGTTTGAGACCAGCCTGGGGAACATGGCAAAACCCCGTCTCTAGCAAAAATACAAAAAATTAGCCGGGTGTGGTGGCATCGCTTATGGCCACAGCTACTCGGGAGGCTGAGGTGGGAGGATTGCTTGAGCCTAGGAGGTAGAGGTTGCAGTGAGCCGAGATTGCACCACTGCACTCCAGCCTGGGTGACAGAGTGACCTATCTCAAAAAAAAAAAAAAAAAGAAAAAAGAAAAATGTGTTCTTCAGTGGAAAACCTTACCCTCTTTAGAAGATACCACGCCAGGTTATCTGACTCTAGTCTGCACTCAATGTGTGTTTTGCAACCCTTTTTAAGTTTTAGGTCACTGATAGACATGCACAATGTGTTGTCCAGTCCAGGGTCAATTTTCTCTCCTCTCACAGAGGAAGGAAATGAGCTTTCTTCCCATTTACATACTCATTTAAATACTCCTGGTTAATATTCCTCTGTTTGTTGGATTCTTTTTTTCTACTGGTTATTGTATCTGCTAATCTCTTATAAGTTAAATAAAATATTTTAACATGTGTTTGTATCTTTATGAGTGCCAGACTTAATTTTTTTAAAAAGATGTATTTTAAGCATTTTTAAGGTCACACCAATATGCCCAATTGATTCAACTACTAGGACCAGATAAATTTCTATGACAGAAAGTTGCATCAAATGCATAACTGAAGCCTGGGCGTGTCTTTTCTTGGCTCTCCTGCGTGACTGCAAAACATCAGTGGAAATTTGTTGACTCTGCTTTTCTCATTTCAATTTTCCATTCTGTTAATTTCATGTTGATGAGTTTTTTGCCACATTTATAGCTGAAAAGCTGTTTCCACTTTTGGCACAAGGGTTTGGAGTTTATTTAATTCTTTTTATTAAGATAAAATTTATATAACATTTAATATATTAATCATGTTAGAATTTACAACTCAGTGCTTTTTGTTGTGTTCACAAGATTTTACAATCATCACTATGTAGTTCCAGAACAGTATGACACCCCCAAAAGAAACCTCACACCCATTAAGTGCTCGTTTCCTATTGCTCCCCTCACTCCCCAAGGCCCTGGTAACCACTAATCCAGTTTCTGTTCCTATGGATTTGCCTATTCTGGGCATTTTATACAACTAGATTAATAAAGTCTCTGGCTTTGATGTCTGCCTTTTGTCATTGATCATGTTGTTTTAAATAGCCGTCCATATAGAGGCACATATCAGTGCTTCATTCCTTTGTATGGCTAATTGTCCATTGCATGAATGTGTCTCGGCTGTGTATCTAGTCTTCCATTGAGGGACATTTGGGTGGTTTCCACTTTTTGGTGATAATCAATAATCCTCGTATGAAAAGCATATCAAGTCTTTGTGTGGGCATATGTTTTCATTTCTGTTGGGTATATCTTCAGGAGTGGAATTGCTGGGCCATATGATAACCCTATGTTAACCTTGGGAGAAACTTCCAAAATGTTTTCCAAAATGGCTGCCTCATTTCACCAACCCCCCAGCACTGCATGGGGCTCTAGTTTCCTCATGTTTTCCCCCACACTTGTCTGTCTTCTGAACTACACCCATACTAACAGGGGTGAAGTGGATGTTGAGAATGTCTTCTGTGCTCATTGCCCTCTTGTATCATTTATTTCTCTATCCTGATGTGTTGTCATCACTAATAATTGAAAGTCCTCAGAATATTTATCCCAAGTTAATTTACACATGAAGGACATTTACAAGGGTATAAAATGATTTCCTCAGTGAATGTAGTTGTCTCATTTATTTGCAATGTACTGGATGATAGATTTGATTTTCTTATTAGCATACTCTGCACCCTTTTTGAAATAAACCATCTGTCATCATTTTGTATACTTAGCTAGTAATTTTATGTCAAAATTCATAATTCTTCCTGGCCTATTTTAAAAGTTTGGGTATAGTGGATCTAATAGCACACACAGTCTTTCCATGGCTTTTCTTTTTTTTCATGATTAATGAAATGGATTTGAAAGATGAATACCTAAACTTGAAAAACATGGGAAAAAGTGTCATTGAAAACAATGACCACTTTTGGTGAATGCTTCCAAATATTAAAAAAAAAATTTTTTTTAGTTTCTAATTATTCCCAGTTGAGTTGAGTTGACACCTCCTAGGAGGGCAGAGGCTCCGTTTCTGGATCACACTTTCTGTCACGGGACTGCTCATAGTGGTGCTTCAACCTCGGCACGGGGAGAGTAAATAACTGCACAGTGTAGAAGCAATCAAGGCAGCCCACATAAACTAGAGCTATGCGACTAACTTAGGAGATTGTCTAGTCCTTCCACAGCAGGCAGAGCTAAGCCTGGATGCCCTGGTCATGGCCCATGAGGACAAAGGGGCTGACTGTGGGAAAACAGGCAGTGATGAGTGCAGCCATAGAATGGCAACTATATTATATAGAAATCACTTTTCTCTGTTTTCTAATTTATTACCATAAGGTTGTTTATATTAGTCTCTACGGGTTTAAAAACTATCAATTGTTTTAATCGTGTTTATTAATATTTAAGTTAGTCTCTTCATCTTTTTCTCACCATTGCACTAGGTCTGTGTATTTTATCATAATTTTATTCCTTTTTTGTTATATTCTATGTAATAATTATTCTATATTTTACTGTCTACCTTATGCTTTGTTGTTACACATTACTGTATTTAGCCTATGCTTCTATGTATAAGTTCCAGAGACTGACATTAAGCATGCATATTGTCGGCATCCTTTATTCTAGTAATTGAATTTGCAGTTATCTTATTTTGCCTAAAACTCTTGAATCAAATAGCGTGCACAACTTTGATTTGGAGGAGTTATATTGTCTTCTCGTGTAAAAAATAATATTAGGAATATTGCCTAGTTTTAATCTTTAAAATTTAAAATTCTTTAATATATTATTTACAAATATTATTACATTATAAGTAGCAAAGCTAATCTCTTTGATTAAAATATTTTATGCTTGGTAAAACTTTCTTTGAGGCCAGGCGCAGTGGCTCATGCCTGTAATCCCAGCACTTTGGGAGGCTGAGGAGGGCAGATCACAAGGTCAGGAGATCGAGACCATCCTGGCTAACACGGTGAAATCCCGTCTCTACTAAAAATACAAAAAAATTAACCAGGCGTGGTGGCAGGCGCCTGTAGTCCCAGCTACTGGGGAGGCTGAGGCAGAAGAATGGTTTGAACCCGGGAGGCGGAGCTTGCAGTGAGCCGAGATCGCACCACTGCACTCCAGCCTGGGCTACAGTGCAAGACTCCGTCTCAAAAAACAAAACAAAACAAAACAAACAAAAAAACTTTCTTTGATATACCTAATGCTAAATGATGAGTTAATGGGTGCAGCACACCAGCATGGCACATGTGTACACATGTAAACTGCACATTGTGCACATGTACTTAAACAAGTATAATAATAACAAAAAAAATAAAATAAAATTACATTCAAACTATAAAGTTGGAGTTTTTATCAAAAAGTACAGACATTTATAATAAAAACAAAGTATTTTCATAATTAAGCCTTGTAAGTTCCTATTTTTTTTATTTTATATCAATAATAACCAGCATGAAAAAGCAAAAAAAAAAAAAACAACTTTCTTTGAGAACAAAATATTTCAATGGTTTCATTGTGCTGAAAAATGTGATACAAAGCTCAGATTCAGCATATGTCAATTAGGACAAGCATGTGTGTCGTATTGTTGAAAATTTTGAATCATCAATAAATGTTATCTGTGTTATCACAAATATAATCACATCACAAAGGGTCTGTTAAAGTTTTTCACTGTGGTCAAAGAACTGCACATTTTATCTTATGATTCTGTCAAAAGTTCCCCCTTACTATTCAAACCAGCAATTATCTTCCCTAAAAAATGAAGCCATGGCCGTTTTTCCCAGATACCTTGTCTTCAGCTCCTCCATGGACAGTGGACGGTTCCACCATAGATTCCTTCCCAAAGATCAGAATGTGTGGTTCATCCCACTTCTTTCTTTGGAGCAGGCTAATTGAGATTATCACTTGAGAGATAAGAATACAGAATATTCTACCTCCAAAGTGTTCCAAAAACCAGTTGGTTTTCTCTATGATCCCTCTCCCTCTTTTTTTTTTTTTTTTTTTGAGATGAAGTCTTGTTCTGTCACCCATGCTGGAGCACAATCTCGGCTCACTGCAGCCTCTTGACTCCTGGTTCAAGCGATCCTCCCACCTCAGCCTCCCAGGTAGCTGGGATTACAGGCATGCACCACCTCACCTGGCTAATTTTTGTAATTTTTAGTAGAGACGGGGTTTCACCATATTGGTCAGGCTGGTCTCAAACTCCTGACCTCAGGTGATCCACCTACCTTGGCCTTTCAAAGTGCTGGGATTACAGACATGAGCCACCATGCCCGGCCACAATTCTAATATTTATTAGCTGTGAATCAAGTTCTAATTAAAACTTCTTGATAAGATTCTTGGCTGGGCATGGTGGGTCAGGCCTGTAATCACAGCACTTTGGGAGGCCGAGGCAGGTGGATCACCTGAGGTCAGGAGTTTGAGACGAGCCTGGCTAACACAGTGAAACCCCGTCTCTACTAAAACTTATAAAAATTAGCCGGGTGTGGTGGCAGGCGCCTGTAATCCCAGCTTGTCGGGAGGCTGAGGCAGGAGAATCGCTTGAACCCAGGAGGTGGAGGTTGCAGTGAGCCGAGATCACACCATTGCACTCCAGCCTGGGAAACAGTGAGACTCCGTCTCAAAAAAAAAAAAAAAAAAATTCTTGTGCTCACTTTGCCCCACCCAGGCCATTCTGTTTACTTTTACCTGAAAATATTTGAAAAATATGCTACTCTCTTCCCACCAAAAAATCACATATCTCAAATGATTAACTTTCTTTTCAGGATTTAAGGTAAAATGACAAAACTGGTCTTTGATGTCCTGCAGTATCTGATACACCGTTTTCCTTCATGCTTCATTCCAGGCCACTTGCTGTGGTGTTCCTGCTTTTCCTTTTCACTTTCTTGATAAGCAATTACTCAGTCTTTTCCATTTTATTAAACTCTTCTTATATTTCTGTGTCCAGTTAATTTCAGGATATTTTTAATTAATCGGTTCTACATTACATACTCGTATAAGCTTTCCATTGTCTCCAAGTTATTAGAGGCCCATTTAAAAAAGAGAAAAGAGTTTTTAGCTTCTAAACTTCTCCACTAAAATGTTTAATAAATGAAAGTTATACCAGCACTTTGGGAGACCGAGGCAGGTGGATCACCTGAGGTCAGGAGTTTGTGACCAGCCTGGCCAACATGGTGAAACCCCATCTGTACTAAAAATACAAAAAATTAGCTGGGCGTGGTAGCGGGTGCTTGTAATCCCAGCTACTTAGGAGGCTGAGGTAGGAGAATCGCTTGAACCTGGGAGGCGGAGGTTGCAGTCAGCCGAGATGGCGCCACTGCACTCCAGCCTGGGTGACAAGAATGAAACTCAGTCTCAAAAAAAAAATTATAAAATCATTTTCAAAACATTTAGTCTACACCTGCCATTCTCACCCCATGACAATCCTACGAAGGCAGAGGATCTGTTTCCAGATCACACTCTCTGTCATGTGACTGCTCACAGTGGCGCTTCAACATCGGCACAGGGAGAGTAAATAACTGCACAGTGTAGAAACAATCAAGACAGCCCACATAAATTAGAGCTATGCGACTAGCTTAGGAGATTGTCCAGTCCTTCCACATCAGGCAGAGCTGAGCCCGAATGCCCTGGTCATGGCCCATGAGGACAAAGGGGCTGACTGTGGGGAAACAGGCAGTGGTCAGTGCAGACGTGTTCACCAGCCACCAGCTGGGGTTAGGGTACTTAGCCAAAAATGGTGTGAAGACAGAGGAGAGGGTATAGAATGATGCAAAGGTGCTCACTAGAACAAGGATGCTTTGGGTCACTCTGAACTCAGGGGAGGACCTGGTGGGGAGGTTAGTCCTGTGAAGGTGTTGGACCCACTCCCTGTGCCTGTGCCGAATAAAGACCATGGACCTGCTGGCCCAGGTCATGAGGCCCAAACACAAAACATCGTAGGATCATGACAACGTTGTATGTAGTAATCCTGTAATTCTGTTATTACTTACTGCACAACAATATCCCAAATCTCTTTTCCGTGTGTTATGTTTGTTACTCCACTTGTCAGTCATACTCCTAAGAAAAATGGTATTTACCAGCATGTTCAGCACCTAGCACAGGAGGGTGAAGGCCCCAACGTATCTGGGAGCTTATAGTTTCAGCTCTGCCCACGTGGAATTTGTGGGGCCGATCGTGATGGCCTGGAAGATACTCAGAAATCAGGTGGTGCCCATGCACACACCCCTGCCCACTCTGTGGAAACAGAAAACAAATTTGCACCCAATGTCACTGAGGAAATGGCCATTGTTTGTGGGACTCCTTTAGAGAGAATGACCAAGGAGTTGGCTATAGTCAGGTGCTGGAGAATCAGATCTGTGGACTTTAATGTGCATCTGGTGAAATAAAGGAAACTATAATGATAAAGAAGAAAGCAATTGCCCAGGAATCCTACTGTGGCCTGAGATAAGAAGATCATTCCTATTGTCACATCCCTGGAGGCCATTTGCCATTTTTCAATGACTGATCATCCTATTCAGAGTGAGAAGATCCTGCATGAAAACAGGAGGCCTGTGGTACCATGACAACTGAAATCCACTCTTGTGGACCATAGTTTTCAAACCATTAATTTCCTATTAAATTTCATTTTCCTTTTTCTGAGAGTTTTGCTATAAAAATATATATGTGTATATAGATACATATTCCTAGCATAAGAGTGTTATAACAGTGTTTTATGTATAACTGTTACAACAATTCTCTGAAGGGCTTTATTGTTCCCATTTGACAGGTGAGGCAATCTTGGGCACAGGAAAGCTGAATGACACTCCCAAAGTCACTTCCTTGTAAGAGGCAGTGTCAGAAGCTGCTAGTGTACTTGACCACTATGCTGTCTTAGCAGCAGATATATTTATTTATTTATTTATTTTGAGATGGAGTGGAGTGCAGTGGCACCATCGCGGCTCACTGCAACCTCTGCCTCCCACGTTCAAGTCATTCTCCCACCTCAGCCTCCCGAGTAGCTGGGATTACAGGTGCGTGCCACCACACCTGGCTAATTTTTGTATGTTTAGTAGAGACAGGGTTTCACCATGTTGGCCAGGCTGGTCACAAACTCCTGACCTCAGGTGATCTGCCCTCCACGGCCTCCCAAAGTGCTGGGATTACAGGCATGAGCCACTGTGCCCGGCCCAGATATATTTATTTTTTAAAACAATCCACATACTTAAAAAAATATTTTGTATCTCTTGAGTTTTTAAAAGAATGGTTGTGAGTCTTGTTTTTCTTTTCAATTGTGATTGAAAACAACATTGCTTGTTTTCTAGGCAAACATTATAGTGATTAGAGATCCAAGTAAAATATAGATGGGCTGATTTTAGTATAACCTTAAAAGAATAATTATATAAACCAAATGGAATTTATTGAATGCACAAATGGAATTAAAAGAGGAGGTTCTTTTCCATCTTAACCAGGAAGGAGCATACAATAGAATGGGCATGCGCTAAGCAAGGGAGCAGGAAAATGAGTAGGAGGGAAAACATTGCAGGAGAAACTAAATTACCATGAGTGTAGAAAGAAAATGAGTATTTGTGAATGCAAAAATATCAAATATAGTATTTCAATGTCAGACTGGTTCACTATATTAAAACACGAGTCCACCATGCAAAAGAAAAACTAGAGGTAAAGATTGTACATTGACTCAAAATAGTACTAAGATGAGCACTGAGACTGCGAATGGCATGAAAACATTTTTACACCAGAGGAAAGATCACAAAATAATGCAATTCTGAAAACTGCTGAAGAGTGTAACTTTTTTCCTGAATACAAAAACCTAAGGTCAGTTACCTTTCTTTGCTGATTTCATGAAGGAAAACAGCCTCACCATAATAAAGAGACAACAGATTTTTTTTCTGTCACGGCACAGTTACGGTCTCCATTTGGTATATTCTATGCACAGAGTTGGTGAAAACACTATATTTACTATTTCTGAACAGAATAAGATAATTCAATCAGCTACATCTTATACATGATCACAGGCATGGAGGTGTCATGGAAACAAGTCTACAAATCTTAGAAATGTTCATGTAGATAAGAGAGAGCAGCTGGCAAATTAATTTCCAAATTATATTAGAGAACTTAAAAATAGGCCGGGTATGATGGCTCATGCCTATAACCCCAAAACTTTTGGAGGTTGAGGCAAGAGGATTGCTTGAGGCCAGGAGACCAGCCTGAGCAACATAGGGAGAGCCTGTCTCTACAAAAAATTTTTTAAAATTTGCTGAATGTTGTGGCACATGCCTGTGGTCCCAGCTACTCGGAAGGCTGAGGTGGGAGGATCATTTGAGTCAAGGCTGCAGTGGGCCACAATTGTACTCTGGCCTGAGCAACAGAAAGAGACCCTGCCTCAAACAAACAAAAAAAGATTTAATGACTTTATTGAAACCAACAATGATGAACAGCGAGGATTACATTAAATGAGAAGCAGTTAGGGGCTGGTTTATGGTCTTGACCTCCATTCCTTCTCCATGAGTCCAGCCCATGACCCAGTGATTATTTCCCTTTCCCTGCATTGTGTTGGCACTGACTTAGTTTCTAGCCCAGAAGATTCCCATTTCCCAGACAAAAGCCTTTGCTCCATCTCCCAGTACACTTCCTTCTGGTGCAGGCTATGCCTTCTAGACTGAAATAGAAAATACTCACCTGATTTTTCCCTTGCTGCTGGGACAATGCAGGTTTATGCTCAGGACAGCCAGCAGATGAGTGTGCGGAGGGAGGCAGCCAGCTCTCAGATATGGGTTTTTGTCCTGTGACCTCACCATTTCTCAGCACTTCAATGAGCATTTCACCTGTGGCAACAATGACAGTGCACACTTGGGGAGCTAAAGATAGTTTAAAGAAACTTTGTCACAGTTACCAATGACCAAAAACAAGTATAATTTTCTAGTGAGCATCTCCAGAGAGATGAGAGTGTTTGGCAGAGGTTCTTGCTTTCCACGATCCCTTGGAGGCAACAGGAAGAGGCTCCCAAGGAGGGAGCAGGAAGGGCTGAGTCCAGACTGAGGGGTTGGCAGCAGAGCACACGCGTCTTGCCGGAGTCTGTGCTTTCCTGAGATGGTCTCCTATGGAAAATCCAATTTTCTGCTAATCCTCAGATTCCTGAGCCAAACTATCATTTGATTATGAATAGAGAAATGGGATCATGCCAAGAACTTGAGAAGGATGTGTCAGCAGGTTACAGTGCAAACAGCAACTTGAAGTCCAATACTGATAGGAAAAATAAATGGAAACAAATTTGGGCAATCCAATGTAACTTAACCTGCAAATGTAGATGTTATATATTCTATAAATATATATTTTATCAACATTTACCCCCAGAGAGATAGAAGTTCTAAATTGTACAATATATATAAAAGAAACAGACGTTTATCAGAGTCCCTCACATACACAAAAGCACCAAGTTCATATGATCCAGAAAGGAATTCTACTAATGAACTGATTGATAAACTGATGCTACCTAAACTATTTGAATCTTAAAGTAGTCTATCTTCCCAATAGTTTTTAGGAAAGGTGCATAAAGGTGATATGAGAACTTACCATGGTTTGAGCCACATATTACAAAAATATAGGACATATGAATATAACTATAAAAAATTTAAATATTAGAAGCAATTGGCTAGGTGCTGTGGCTCACGCCTGTAATCCCAATGGTTTGGGAGGCCAAGGCAGGTGAATCACCTGAGGTCAGAAGTTTGAGACAAACCTGGCCAACATGGCGAAACCCCGTCTCTACTAAAAATACAAGAATTAGCTGGGCGTGGTGGTGCACACCTGTAATCCCAGCTACTTGGGAGGCTGAGGCAGGAGAATCTCTTGAACCCAGGAGGCAGAGGTTGTAGTGAGCCGAGATCGCGCCATTGCACTCCAGCCTGGGCGACAGAGCAAGACTCTGTCTAAAATAAAATAAAATAAAATAAAATAAAATAAAATAAAATTAAAATAAAATAAAAAGCCATTAGGGCAGTCACCAATGTTCTATGAGGGATGTGTCTTGGAAGAAAAAGTCTCTTCTGTAAGGATTACTCAACTGGTACATGGGCAGGCAAGGTGATCCCTAGTGGCCTGCCAGTCTTAAGAAAAATTTTATGCATCTAGGGAAAAATTGGTCACAACCAGGCAATTAGATCGCAGCCTCCCCACCAAGTAAAACAAAATTCTGTGTTAAGCACATGTAAAACAAAACACCAGTACAAACCCAAAATATTTTCTCATAGGCATTGTAGAGTTTTTTGTTTGTTCTGTTTTTTGCTCTCGAGAGATTAATAAGCAGAATGGGACCCTCAAATTTCAAAGCATGCAATAATGGTCCCCCCACTCCTGGGACCCCTGCCAGGTATATGTTTAAAAACTAATTCACAACTGATTTTGGCTGGGCGCGGTGGCTCACACCTGTAATCCCAGCACTTTGAGGGCCAAGGTGGGCAGATCGCCTGAGGTCAGAAGTTCGAGACCAGCCTGGCCAATATGGTGAAACCCCATCTCTACTAAAAATACAAAAATTAGCTGGGCATGGTGGTACACGCCTGTAAGCCCAGTTACTCGAGAGGCTGAGGCAGGAGACTTGCTTGAACCTGGGAGGCAGAGGTTGCAGTGAGCCAAGATTTTGCCATTGTAATCCAGCCTGGGCAAAAAGAGTGAAGTGAAGCTCCATCTCAAAAAAAAAAAAAAAAAAAAAAAAAAAGGAAAAAAGAAAAATTAAGGTCCTCTGTCTTGCATGTTTTAATTTTTATTTGTATAAATTTAAGCGGTACAAGTGTAGTTTTGTTACATGGATACACTGGGTGGTGATGAAGTTTGGTTTATCACCTGAATAGTGCACATTGTATCCACCAAGTAATTTCTCATCCCTTACACCCTCCCACTCACCCACCCTTCTGAGTCTCCAATGACTATATATATATATTTTTTTGAGATGGAGTTTCCCTCTGTCGCCTAGGCTGGAATGCAATGGCGGGATCCCGGCTCACTGCAACCTCCCGCCTCCTAGATTCAAGCAATTCTACTGCCTCAGCCTCTGGGTGGCTCGGACTATAGGTGCACGCTATCACACCCGGCTAATTTTTGTATTTATAGTAGAGACGGGGTTTCACCATGTTGGCCAGGCTGGTCTCGAACTCCTGACCTCAGGTGATCTGCCCACTTTAGCCTCCCATAGTGCTGGGATTACAGGCTTGAGCCAGCGTGCCTGACCTCCAATGACTATTATTCCACTTTCTATATCCATGAGTACATGTTATTTAGCTCCCATTTATAAGTGAGAACATGGAATATTTGACTTTGTTTCTTTTATTTTACTTAAGATAATAACCTCCATTTCCATCCACATTGCTGCAAAAGACATGATTTCAAGGCTGGGCATGGTGGCTCACACCTGTAATCCCAGCACTTTGGGAGGCTGAGGCGGGTGGATCACTTGAGGTCAGGAGTTCGAGACCAGTCTGGCCAACATGGTGAAACCCTGTCTCTGCTAAAAATACAAAATTAGCCAGGTGTGGTTAGTGCATGCCTGTATTCCCAGCTACTTGGGAGGCTGAGGCAGGAGAATCACTTGAACCTAGGAGGTGGAGGTTGCAGTGATCCTAGATCTTGCCATCGCACTCCAGCCTGGGCAACAAGAATGAAACTCTGTCTCAAAAAAAGGACATGATTTTATTTATTTTTTAATTTTGTAGTTTATCTTAGATATAGGAATACATGTACAGATTTGTTAGATGGGACTATTGTGGATTTTATTCTTTTTATGGCTGAAGAGTAATCCATTATATACATACCACATTTTCTTTATTCAGTCATCCATTGATGGACAATAGCAAAGATATGGAATCAATCTAAGTGCTGCTCTGAGCATACAAGTGCAGGTATCTTTTTGATATAATATTTTTCCTTTGTGTACATATCCAGCAGTAGAATTGCTGGATCGAAGGGTAGTTCTATTTTTAGTTCTTTGAAACACTTACATACTCTTTTCCATAGAGGTTGTACTAATTTAGTTCCCACTAACAGTGTATAAGTGTTTCCTTTTCTCCACCTCCTCACCAGAATCTGTTATTTTTTGACTTTTTAATAATTGCCATTCTGACTGGTGTGAGATAGTGTCTCATTGTGGTTTTAATTTGCATTTCTCTCATGATTAATAATGTTGCACATTTTTTCATATGCTTCATGGCCATTTGTATGGCTTCTTTTGAAAAATATCTGTTCATGTTCTTTGCCCACTTTTTATTTTATTTATTTATTTTTAGTATAATCTGTACAACAATCTTTGCCCGCTTTTTGGTGGGGTTATTTTTTTTTTGGTGTGTGTATGGAGTTGCTTTAGTTCCTTGGAAATTCTAGGTATCAGTCCTCTGTCAGATGCATAGTTTGCAAATATTTCCTCCTATTCTGCAGGTTGTCTATTCACTCTGTTTATTATTTCTTTTGTTCTGTAGAAGTTTTTTAGTTTAATAAGACCCATTTCTATATTTTTATTTTTGTTACTTGTACTTTTGAGGTCTTACTAATAAATTCTTTGTGTGGACAAACTGTTCAAAAGAGTTTTGCCCAGGTTTCTTCTGCTATGTTTATAGTTCTACAACTTATATTTAAGTTTTGGTCCATCTTGGGTTGATTTTTGTATATGGTGAGAGATATGTGCTCAGTTTCATTCTTTTGGATATAAATACCTGATTTTCCCAGCCTCCCTGAGTGAAAATGGTGTCCTTTTTCCAGTGTATATTTGTGTTGATTTTGTCAAAATCAGTTGGCTGTAGACATGTGACTTTATTTTTGGCTTCTTTCTTTTGTTCCATTGATCTATTTTTATACCTGTACCATGCTGTTTGGTTGCTATAGCTTTGTAGTATAATTTGAAGCCATGTAATATGATACCTGCAGCTTTGTTCTTTTTGCTTAGGATTGCTTTACCTCTTCAGGTTTTTTTGGTTCCACACGAATTTTAGGATTTTTTTTTAATTCTGTGAAAAATGACATTGATATTTTGATAGGGATTACACTGAATCTGTACATAGCTTTGGGCAGTATAGTCATTTTAATATTACTTCTTCAGATCCATAATAATGGGATATTTTCCCACTTGTTTGTGTCATCTACAATTACCTCATCTTTGTTTTGTAGTTCTCCTTGTGGAGATCTTTCACGTCCTTGGTTAAATGTATTCCTAGGCAGTGGGAGAGAATGATAATTGTGGGGATGGAATTTAAACATTATGTATTTAAGATAAAAAATATTGTCTCAAACCTGTAATCCCAGTACTTTGGGAGGCCGAGGTGGGTGGATCACGAGGTCAGGAGATCGAGACCTTCCTGGCTAACACAGTGAAACCCTGTCTCTACTAAAAAAAAAAAATACAAAATACAAAAAATTAGCCAGGCATGGTGGCGAGTGCCTGTAGTCCCAGCTACTTGGGAGGCTGAGGCAGGAGAATGGCGTGAACCCGGGAGGCGGAGCTTGCAGTGAGCTGAGATTGCGCCACTGCACTCCAGTCTGGGCGACAGAGCGAGACTCCGTCTCAAAAAAAAAAGAAAAATATTGTACTGAGCTTATGATTTGGGGGAAGTTTCCAAGTCATTTAATATAGTAAGAACCTTTTCTGTCATCTTTGCTAAGGCTGAATTGCAATGTTATCATCTTTAGGGCCCCAAAAGTAATTATGTTCACAGATTTTTAATGCTTTAATCTCATGTGTTTATTAGACAGTGAATGTTTACTTAAAATTAACCCCTGACATTTTCCAAATTGACTCACAAATTGGATAAAAGTTATATATGCTTTTATCTTTAAGTCTACTTTAAAAGAGAGTCTTAAATTTAGAAATGCCAGAATGTATTTACATGTTTGTAATTCAAAATGGAGTTTCTGCAAACACTTAATTTCCAAATTATATCAATGACATTTAAATAGATTATAATTGAAATTTGATGCTAGGAGTAATAATCATAATGCAAATTAGTTAGAAAAGTTATGACTGCTCAAATATTACTGTCTTACAAATTACTTATAATTATCATGCCGAAGTTTTGACACCCATTTAAAATTCAGTTTCTTAGAGATTTAAGCATTATAAGGAAATAAGAATACTCTCTTCTTGTATAGATGTTAAATAAAATATCTTGTTTCCTTTAAAGATCCAAGAAATTAAAATAGCATTTTATAACATGACTTATGATAGTCAACAATCATGTCTTTTTTTAAAGAAAATTGTAAAAATTATTTGAATCCATGAATATTGTTTGTTCTCATTTCTCTGAAGCCATATTAGGCTAATTTTGAGTGTCAAAGTTACTCCATCATGTGGTTTTGAGTGTTAAAAGCAAAACAAATAGAAGTGAATATTCTGGCCAGGCACAGTGGCTCACGCCTGTAATCCTAGCACTTTGGAAGGCTGAGGCGGGCGGATTACTTGAGGTCGAGAGTTCAAAACAAGCCTGGTCAACATGGTGAAACCCCGTCTCCACTAAAAATGCAAAAAGTAGCCAGACATGGTAGCAGGTGCCTGTAGCCCCACCACTTGGGAGACTGAGGCAGGAGAATCGCTTGAACCTGGGAGGCAGAGGTTGCAGTGAGCTGAGATCATGTCACTGCATTCCAGCCTGAGTGACAGAGTGAGACTCCTTCACGGAAAAAAAAAAAAAAAAAAGAAGTAAATATTCTGTGGTAACATAATAGTTTTTTAAGCAGGACACACATTGACCAAATATCTTAAATTTTCTTTCTAAGTTGTTATGAACTCCCCCACATGAAATAGTAGTCAGTTATATAATAAAAGTTTTACTGTTCTTATTGAAGTTGGATAATTAACAGCAGAGTAAGCTCAACTAATTTACATGGGAAAAGACAACAATAGTATAAATAAATTTCCTTCATTTGACACCATCAAACAAAGTTGTTTAAACTTTCTCGTTCGTTTTCACATCGTTATCTCTTCAATTTATCCAAAGCATTTAAAATATGTTCTTGTTATTCTTCATAATAGGTACCCTGTGAGATACTGATTTTTCTTTTTTAATTATTAACAGGCAAGAAAACGAGAGCTCAAACAGGATGAATTTCAAGATGGCAATGGCAGAACTCAAAATTGCATTTGTCAGTGTCCAAAACCACTGTTCTTCCACAAGTCTTTTTTATATAGAATTCTTTTTCTGTAATCTATTTTGTTTATGATAGCTAAACATTCAGTTTCATTTATATTATGTATTTTATCTTATTGTTTTTATAGTATTTTCTTTCTCTCCATACATTCTAATCAGTTTATTCACATGGTCAAACATTAACAGCAGATATTTATGACAATTTCTATTTAAAAACCTTAAACATTGATTACATTTTCAATTATTTTCTCCATACAGGCATACCTCAGAAATATTGTGCGTTCAGTTCCAAACCACAACAATAAAGTGAATATTGCAATAAAGTGAGTAACACAGACTTTTTGGTTTCTGACACATAGAAAAGCTATGTTTACTCTATAGTGTAGTACATTAAGTGTGCAATGGCATTATGTCTAAACATCAATGTACATAACTTAATTGAAAATACTGTATTGCTAAAAAATGCTAATAATCATCTGGACCTTCAGCAAGTTATAACCTTTTTGTTGGTGGAAGCTCTTACCTCAATTTTCATGGCTGCTGACCAATCAGGGTGGTGGTTGCTAAAGGTTGGGGGGCTGTGGTAATTTCTTAAAATAAGAAAACAATGAAGTTTGCTACATTTACTGACATCTTTTAAGGGAAGATTTCTCTGTAGCATGCAATGCTGTTTGATAGCATTTTACCCTACAGTAGCATTTCTTTCAAAATTGGGGTTCACCTTATATAACCCTGCCATTGCTTCATCAACTAAATTTATTTAATATTTGAATTCCTTTGCAGTTATCTAAACACTGTTAATAGCATTTTCTTGGCTCATCCATGTAAATCATTCTAGAAGATCCATTAAAATTTTATGATGAGATTGCAGCAATTCAGTCACATCTTCAAGCTCCACTGCTGATTCTAGGTCTCTTTCTATTTCCACCACAGCAGTGCTTCCTTCTTCCACTAAAGTCTTGAATCCCTCAAAGTCATCAATGAAGGTTGGAAGCAACTTCTTCTAAACTCCTATTAATGTTGATATTTTGACCTCCTCCCATGAATCACAAATATTCTTTTTTTTTGTATACATAGAGATGGGATCTTACTATGTTGACCAGGCTGGTGTTGAACTCCCGGCCTCAAGCAATCTTCCCATCTCAGCCTCCCAAAGTGCTGGGATTACAGGCATGAGCCACCGTGCCCAGCCTCCATGAATCACGAATGTTCTTAATGGCGTCTAGAACAGTACATTCTTTCTTTTTTTTTTTTTTTTACTTATTTATTTATTTATTTATTATTATTATACTTTAAGTTTTAGGGTACATGTGCACAATGTACAGGTTAGTTACATATGTATACATGTGCCGTGCTGGTGTGCTGCACCCACTAAATGATAGACTGGATTAAGAAAATGTGGCACATATACACCATGGAATACTATGCAGCCATAAAAAATGATGAGTTCATGTCCTTTGTAGCCACCTGGATGAAATTGGAAATCATCATTCTCAGTAAACTATCACAAGAACAGTACATTCTTTCTAAAAGGTTTTAAATTTGCTTTGCCCAAATCTCTCTGAGGAATCACTATCTGCGGCAGCTATAATCTTATGAAATTTCTTTCTTTTTTTAATTAAAAAAAATTTAATGTTGGTGGGTATATAGTAGGTGTATATATTTATGGGGTACATGAGATGTTTTGATACATGCATGCAACGAGTAATAATCACATCATGGAGAATGGGGTGTCCATCCCCTCAGCATTTATGCATTGTTACAAATAATTCAATTATACTCTTTTAGTTATTTTAAATTGTACAATTAAGTTACTGTTGAGTATAGTCAGCTTGTTGTACTATCGAATAGTTGAAATTTATTTCTCAGATAATATGACTTGGAAGTCAAATTTACTTCTTGCTGATCCATGGGCTGTAGAATGGATATTCTGTGAGCAGACCTAAAACAATATGAATCTCCTTGTGCATCTCTGTCATAGCTCTTGGGTAACTAGGTACATTATCAATGTATGGTAAAGTTTTGAAAAAAATATCTTTTTTTCTGAGCAGTAGGTCTCAGCAGTTGGCTTAAAATATTAAGTAAACCACACTGCAAACAGATATGCTGTCATCAGGCTTTGTTCCATTTCCAGAGCAAAGGCAGAGTAGGTTTAGCATCATTCCTAAGGTCCCTAGGATTTTCTGAATGGTAAATGAGTACTGGCTTCAACCTAAAGTGTCCAGCTGCATTACCCACTAATAAGAGAGTCAGTCTGTCCTTTGAAGCTGTGAAACCAGGCATTGACTTCACTTCTTAGCTATGAAAGTCCTAGGAGACATCTTCTTCCAATGCAAGACTATTTCAGCTGCACTGACAGTCTGTCATTTGGTGTGGTCACTTTCCTCAGTGACCTTAGCTAGATCAAGGTAACTTGCTACAGCTTCTCTATCAGCTCTTGCTGCCTTGCCTTGCACTTTCATGTTACGGAGGTGACTTCTTTCCTTAAACCTCATGAACCAACTTCTGCTAACTTCAAACTTTTCTTCTGCAGCTTCGGTCACTTCCTCACCTCTCTCAGCTTTTACAGAATTGAAGAGAGTTAGGGAGTTTCTCTGGATTAGGCTTTGGCTTAAGGAAGCGTTATGGCTGGTTTGATCTTCTATTCAGACCACTCAAAATTTCTCCATATCAGCAATAAGACTGTTTGCTTTCTTATCATTCATGTGTTTACTGGACCAGCACTTTTGATTTTTTTCAGGAACTTTTATTTGCATTCACAACTTAGCTAACTGTTTGGTGCAAGAGGCCTAGCTTTAAGGCTATCTCAGTTTTTGACATGTCTTCCTCACTAAGCTTAATAATTTCTAGCTTTTGATTTAAAGTGAGAGAAATGCAACTCTTCCTTTTATTTGAATACTTAGAGACCATTTTAGAGCTATTAATTGGCCTAAGATTGTTGTGTCTCAGGGAATAGAGAGGCCAAGGGAGAGAGATGGCAAAAAGAGAAGAATGGGTGGTCAATGTAGCAGGCAGAACACATGCAACACATATTGATTAGGTTTGCTGTCTTCTATGGGCACAGTTCATGGCACCCCAAACGAGTACAGTATTAACATCGGAAATCACGAATTACAGATCACCATAACAGATATAACAGAAAGGAAAAAGTTTGAAATAATATGTGAATTACCAAAATGTGACACACAGGCATGAAGTAAGTACACGCTGTTGGAAAAATGATGCCAATAGAAGTGTTTGATGCAGCGTTGCCGGAAACCTTCAATTTGTAAAACACTCAATATCTGCAAAGCACAATAAAATGAGGGATGACTGTATACTGTTCAATATTTTTTTACTTATTATGAACATGGTGCTTTTTTAAATGATTTTTTTGAGATGTATCTAAATAGCTGCAAAGACATTCATTGTATGAATGTACAATAATTTAATGTAACAACTATTTTTAATTTTTCTAAAATATATTTAAAAATTTTTAAATCACCCATAATATTATTATTGAAATTCATGTAAAGCAGTAAAAGCAATTAGCTGGGTGTGGTGGCATGTGCCTATAGTCCCAGCTACTCAGGAGGCTGAGGCAGGAGAATTGCTTGATCCTGGGAGGCAGAGGTTGCAGCGAGCCGAAATCGCGCCACTGCACTCTAGCCTGGGCGACAGGGCAAACAAGACTCCATTTCGGAAAAAAAAAAAAAAAAAAAAAAAAAGGCAGTAAAAGCTCCCTCTTCTGTTCATGCTGTAATTTTCCCAAAGGTTAACTTTCTTGTGTGGATCTTTCACAATAATTTTCTAAGTTTGTAATTATACATCAATAAGTATGTATGTAGATCTGACACAGATCTCAGTCACCGGTTTCCTTAGCGCACCTGTCTCATGTATCCTTGGCCATCTACTCTGCCACCAGCCATGCCCTGTGGTTTCCTGCTCAGGCCCAAGTAGCTTTGCTGCCTGGTGACAACCAGTGTGCTGTCTGTCCTAGGAGTATAGCCTCTGATACACAGCCAGGTCCAGCAGTGATTGCCCAGAGATTCCAGCTTTTTCCTCTGTAGGAACTAGCAACCCATAAAATAGCTTGGGCTTTGGCATTTGAACTCACTATTGAAAGAATGATGCATTCTGGAGGTATGAGGGAGTTAATGTCCTATGGGGAATACTTTGTCAATGGAAAAAGAAGGTAGGAGGAAGCTGAGAAATTAAGCTTCTCTTCCCATAATCTACTCTGAAGTGGGATACCTATTTTTGGCTCATCCAGAAAAGTGTTCTATCTCAAGCAGATAATTGTTTCCCACTAATTTACTATAGTTTTGTGGTTTCTCATAAAGTAATAACCACTGACTCCCATTTCTAGCCAACCTTATTTCTCTTTCTCTTACCTATGCTGCCCTTTTTCTCACCTCCAAAAGAAAACATCTAATACGTGTATCAGAAAACACAATATAAAATAATAGATATGTACACATGTGTATTAAAAAATTAAACAGAACAAATATTAAACAAAATAGCTCTGAACCATCCATCATTTCAACAAGAAATCACAAGGGAAATTAGAAAATATCTGGAGTGGATTGAAAAGAATAACACAATAAATCAAAATACATGGAAAGAAGCTAAAGCAATGCTTACAGGGAAACTTATGAATTCAAATGTTTTGCTAGAAAGGAAGAGCGTCTCAAATCAATTACCTAATCAACTTAAGAAACAAAAACAAAAACAAAAATAAATAAAATAAAAGAAATAATAATAATCAGAACAACAATTAGTGAAATAGGAAACACAAAAACAATAGAGAAAACAATGAAACCTAAAATTGTATCTTTGAAATAACGCAACTGGTAGAGATTTTACTGGACTCATCAAGATGAAAGAGAGAAGGCACAGATTGTCAATATCAGGAATGAAAGGCAGAACCTTACAACAGATTCAACAGAAATTTAAAAAGAATTTAAGGCTGACATGGTGGCTCACGCTTGTAATCCCAGCACTTTGGGAGGTTGAGGTGGGTGGATCGTTTGAGGTCAGGAGTTCAAGACCAGCCTGGCCAACATGGTGAAACCCTGTCACTACTAAAAATACAAAAAAAAAAAAAAAAAAATTAGCCGGGGTGTGGTGGCACAGGCCTGTAGTCCCAGCTACTGGGAAGACTGAGGTAGGAGAATCGCTTGAACCTGGGAGGCAGAGTTTGCAGTGAGCCAAGATTGTGCTACTGCACTCCAGCCTGGGTGACAGAGCAAGGCTCCATCTCAAAAAATAAAATAAAATAAAATAAAAAAAGTAAGGTAATGATGAACAACTAATATCAACAAGTTTAACAACATAAATGAAATAATAAAATTCCTAGATAGATATTAAGTAGAAAAACTGACTTAAAAACAAAATAGAAAATCTTAATAGATGTATATAAAGTAAAAAAAAATTGAATTAGTAACTAAATATATTCCCCTGAAGAAGAGTGTAGTGCCAGATGGCTTAACCTGTGAATTCCATCTAATATTTAAGGAAGAAAGAATACCAGTCATACACAAACATTTTCAGCAAATGGAGAAAAGAGCATATGCCCAAACATTTTAGAAAGCCAGTATTAGCTTGATACCAAGGCAGGATGGCGACATCAGAGGAAAAGCACCAAGCAATATCTGTCATAAGTTTACATGCAAACATATTTAACAAAACGGAAGCAAATTAAATCCAACAACATGTAAAATGGTGATACACTGTAACTCTCTGGAATTAATCCTAGTAATGCAAATTTGGTTTACTATCTAAAACCCAATGAACATAGTACATCATATAAATAAAATAAAGTAGTAAATCAATAGAATCATCTCAAAAGACATAAAAGCATTTTGACAAAATCCAATGCTAATTTCTGATAACTCACAACAAACATACGTAAAAAAGTGAAAAAAACTAGCATAAAGGACAGAGGAGAGTAATTGGAATTATACCATTTTAAGGCTCTTGCCTTAAACAAAAATGTTAAAATATTAATTCAAGATAGACTATGATAAAGATACATATTGCAATCTTTCTTTCTTTCTTTCTTTTTTTTTTTTTTTTTGAGACAGAGCCTAGCTCTGTCACCCAGGCTGGAGTGCAGTGGCAAGATCTCAGCTCACTGCAACCTCCACGTCCCAGGTTCAAGCAACTCTCCTGCCTCAGCCTCCTGAGTAGCTGGGATTACAGGTGCCTGCCACCATGTCCGGCTAATTTTTGAATTTTTAGTAGAGACAGGGTTTCACCATGTTGGCTAGGCTGGTCTCGAACTCCTGACCTCAAATGATCTGCCCGCCTCGGCCTTCCAAAGTGCTGGGGTTACAGTCGCGAGCCACTGTGCCTGGCCTACATATTGTAATCTTTCAATTAACAAAAAAAATGAAAACAAACAGATATAGCTAAGAAGACAGCAGAAGTGATAAAACAGAAGACTAAAAAATAGGCACACTAAAGAAAGAATAGTTTAAAAAAAAGAAGAAATAGAAAACAAATAACAACAGGGTACACTTAAACCTAGTCATTTTCAACAATTACATTAAATATAAAAGGGCCCAGGCTTCATGGCTCATGCCTGTAATCCCAGCACTCTGGAAGCTGAGGTGGGAGGATGACTTGAGACCAGGAGTTTGAGACCAGCCCTGGCAGTGAGATGCTGTCTCTGTCTCTGCATGCACTGTGTTTTTTTTGTTTTTTTTTGAGGGAGTTTCATTCTGGTTGCCCAGGCTGGAGTGCAATGGCACAGTCTCAGCTCACTGCAACCTCCGCCTCCAAGGTTCAAGCGATTCTCCTGCCTCAGCCTCCCGAGTAGCTGGGATTACAGGCATGTGCCACCACGCCCAGCTAATTTTGTATTTTTAGTAGAAACGGGGTTTCTCCATATTGGTCAGGCTGGTCTCGAACTCCTGACTTCAGGTGATCCACCCGCCTCGTCCTTCCAAAGTGCTGGGATTACAGGCGTGAGCCACCGCGTGCCCGGTCAAAATTTTTTTTTTCTTTGAGACGGAGTCTCACTCTGTCGCCCAGGCTGGACTGCAGTGGCGCGATCTCTGGCTCACTGCAAGCTCCGCCTCCCGGGTTCATGCCATTCTCCTGCCTCAGCCTCCTGAGTAACTGGGACTACAGGCTCCCGCCACCATGCCCGGCTAATTTTTTGTATTTTTTTTTAGTAGAAACGGGGTTTCACTGTGTTAGCCAGGATGGTCTCGATCTTCCGACCTTGTGATCTGCCCACCTCGGCCTCCCAAAGAAAATTTTTTTTAAAAAATAAAAGATTAGCTGGGCATGGTGCCATGTCCCTGCAGTCCTAGCTACTCAGAAGGCTGAGGCAAGAGGATCCTTTGAGCCCAGGAGTTTGAGGTTACAACGAGCTATGATCATGCTACTGCAGCCCAGCCTGTGTGACAGAGCCAGACCCTGTTTCTAATACATAAATAAATATAGAAGGGCTGGATATCTCAATTTCAAAGTTCGGATTACTTATGAGATTAAAAAAAATAAATAAGACCCAACCCTATGCTGTTCACAAGAAGCATATTTTAGATATAGAAACAACACGTAGGCAAAAGTATGGGTATAAATGTGTCATACAAATGCTCATCCTAAAAGAATTGGTGTGCCCATATTAATATTAGATAAAGTGGTCTTCCAAACAGGAGTACTGCCAAAGATAAAGGGGTCAAGTCACAATCAAAATAGGCCAGTTCATAAGATTAACAATCTTAAATGGGTGAGCCTAATGAAACTTCAAAATGTGTGAAACAGACATCAACAGTAAAGGTGACGATAATCAGATCTACTTTTTTAAGTGTCTGTGGAACATTAATCAAGACAGATCAAATACTGGACCATAAAACAATTCTCAATAAATATAAAATGATTTAAATCATAGAGGGTTTGTATACTGAGCAAAATAGGACTAAATTAAACATCAACAACAAAAATATACTCAGAAAACCTTAATATTTGGCAATTGAGCAAAGAACTTCTAAATAACAATGAATAATTCTCAGATATATATGTTAATTTTTTTATTGTGTTAAAATTTTAACAATTTTAAGTATATAATTCAGTAGCATTAAGTACATTCACAGTGTTGTACAACCATCCTATTAATCACAAGCCAAAATAAAGTACCCATTAAACAGTGACTCACCATTACTTCCTTTGGTATTTTAGGTAGAGTATATAATATATATTTCGTGTACTTTGATATTTTATGTACAGTATATAATATGTAATTGGTGTAATTTGATATTTTATGTTCAGTATATAATATGTATTTGGTGTACTTTTTGATATTTTATGTACAGTATATAATATGTATTTTGGGTACTTTGATATTTTATGTACAGTATATAATAAGTATTTGGTGTACTTTGATATTTTATGTACAGTATATAACATGTATTTGGTGTACTTTGATATTTTATGTACAGTATATAATATGTATTTGGTGTACTTTAATATTTTACATACAGTATATAATATGTATTTTGTGTATTTTGATATTTTGTGTACAGTATATAATATATATTTTGTGTACTTTGATATTTTATGTACAGTATATTATATGTGTTTTCTGTACTTTGATATTTTATGTACAGTATATAAAATGTATTTGGTGTACTTTGATATTTTATGCACAGTATATAATATGTATTTGGTGTACTTTGATATTATATGTACAGTATATAATATATATTTGGTGTACTTTTTGATATTTTATGTACAGTATATAATAAGTAGTTGGTGTAATTTTTGATAATTTAAGTACAGTAAATAATAAGTATTTGGTGTACTTTTTGATATTTTATGTACAGTATGTAATATGTATTTGGTGTACTTTTTGATATTTTATGTACAGTACATAATATGTATTTGGTGTACTTTGATATTTTATGTACAGTATATAGTATATATTTGGTGTACTTTTTGATATTTTATGTACAGTATATAATACGTATTTAGTGTACTATTTGATATTATATGTACAGTATATAAGATACATTTGGTGTACTTTTTGATATTTTATTTACAGTATATGACATGCATGTGGTGTACTTTTTGATATTTTATGTACAGTATATAACATGTGTTTGCTGTACTTTGATATTTTATGTAGAGTATATAATATGTATTTGGTGCACTATGAAATTTTATGTACAGTATATAATATGAATTTGGCGTACTTTGATATTTTATGGACAGTATATAATAGGTATTTTGTGTAGTTTGATATTTTATGTACAGTATAAAATATGTATTTGGTGTACTTTGATATTTTATGTACAGTATATAATATGCATTTGATGTAGTTTGATATTTTATGTACTCTATATAATATGTATTTGGTGTATTTTGATATTTTATGCACAGTGTATAATACACCAAATACAATTTATATACTGTACATAAAATATCAAAGTACACCAAATGCATTTTATATACTGTATATAAAACACCAACGTACACCAAATACATACTATATACTGTACATAGTTTGAAAGTACACCAAATACATATTATATACTGTACATAAAATGTCAAAAAGTACACCAAATACATATTATATACTGTACCTAAAATGTCAAAAAGTACACGAAATACATATTATATTCTGTACATATATTATCAAAAAGTACACCAAATACATATTATATACTGTAGATAAAATATACGAAAGTACACCAAATACATATTATATACTGTACATAAAATATCAAAAACTACAGCAAATACATATTATATACTGTAAATAAAATATCAAAAATTACACCAAATACATATTATATGCTGTACACAAAATATCAAAGTACCCAAAATACATATGATATACTGTACATAAAAAATCAAAGTACAAAAAATACATATGATATACAGTACATAAAATATCAAAGTTCACCAAATACATATTATATAATGTACATAAAACATCAAACTACAGCAAATACATATTATATACTGTACATAAAATATCAAATAGTACACCAAATACATACTATATACTGTACATCAATTATCAAAGTACACCAAATACGTATTATATACTGTACATAAGATATCAAAGTACACTTAATACATATTATATACTATACATAATATATCAAAGTACACAAAATATATATTATATGCTGTACATATAATATCAAAGTATACATAATATATATTATACACTGTACTTAAAATACCAAAGTACACAAAATATATATTATATACTGTACATAAAATATCAAAGTACACCAAATACATATTATATACTGTACATAAAATATCAAAGTACACCAAATACATATTATATACTGTTCATAAAATATCAAAGTACACAAATTACATGTTATATACTGTACATAAAATATCAATGTGCACCAAATACATATTATATACTGTACATAAAATATCAAAGTACACAAAATACATATTATACACTGTACATAAAATATCAAAGTATGCAAAACATATATACTGCACATAAAATATCAACTTACACGAAGTATATATTATATACTGTACATAAAATATCAAAGTACACCGAATATATATTATATACTGAACATAAAATATCAAATCACACATATTATATATTATATACTGTACATAAAATATCAAAGTACACCAAATACATATTATATACTGTACATGAAATATCAAAGTACACCAAATACATATTATATACTGTACATAAAAAGCAACGTACACAAAATATATATTATATACTGTACATAAAATATCAAAGTCCACCAAATACATATTTTATACTGTACATAAAATGTAAAAAGGTACACCAAATACATATTTTATACTGTACATAAAATATCAAAACGTACCCCAAATACATATTATATATTGTACATAAAATATCAAAAGGTACACCAAAGATATATTATATATTGTACATAAAATATGAAAAAGTACACCTAATATATATTATATCCTGTACATCAAGTATCAAAAAGTACATCATATATATTATATACTGTACATCAAATATCAAAAAGTACATTATATATTATATACTGTACATCAAATATCAAAATGTACAACAAATATATATTATATAATGTACATCAAATATTAAAAATTAACCAAATACATATTATATACTGTATATCAAACATGAAATAGTACACCAAGTACTTATTATATACTGTACATCAAATATCAAAGTACACAAAATACTTATTATATACTGTACACAAAATATGAAAGTACACCAGATACATATTATATACTGTATATAAAATAGAAAAGTACCCCAAATACATATTATATACTGTACACAAAATATAAAATTACAGAAAATACATATTATATACTGTATATAAAATATCAAAGTACACAAAATATGTATTGTATACTGTACATAAAATATCAAAGTACACCAAATATATATTATTTACTGTACATAAAATATCAAACATACCAAATACATACTATATACTATAACTAAAATATCAAAGTACACCAAATACATAATATATACTGTACATAAAATACCTAAGTACACCAAATACATATTATATACTCTACATAAAATATCAAAGTACACAAAATACATATTATATACTGTACATAAAATATCAAAGTACACCAAATTCATATTACATACTGTACATAAAATTTCAAAGTACACCATATACATATTATATGCTGTGCATAAAATATCAAAGTACACAAAGTACATATTATATACCATACATAAAATATCAAAGTACACTAAATACATATTATGTACTGCAAATAAAATATCAAAATACACAAAATACATATTATATACTGTACACAAAACATCAAAGTACAGAAAATACATATTATATACTGTATGTAAAATATTAAAGTACACCAAATACATATTATATACTGTACATAAAATATCAAATTACACCAAATACATATAATATACTATACATAAAACATGAAAGTACACCAGATACATATTACATACTGTACATTAATCATCAAAGTACACCAGATACATATTATATACTGTACATAAAATATCAATGTACACAAAATACATATTATATACTGTACATAAAATATCAAAGTACACCAAATACATATTATATACTCTATATAAAATATCAAAGTACACCAAATACATATTATATACTGTGCATAAAATATCAAAGTACACAAAGTACATATTATATAGTGTACATAAAATATCAAAGTACTCTAAATACATATTATATACTGTATTCAAAATATCAAAGTACACAAAATACATATTATATACTGTATGCTAAATATTAAACTACACCAAATACATATTATATACTGTACATAAAATATCAAAGTACACCAAATACACATTATATACTGTACATAAAATATCAAACTACACCAAATACATATTATATACTGTACATAAAAAATCAAACTACACCAAATACATATTATAAACTGTACATAAAATATCAAAGTACACAAAATACATATTATATACTGTACATAAAATATCAAAGTACACGAAATATATATTACATACTGTACCTAAAATATCAAAGTACACGAAATACACATTAAATACTGTACCTAAAATATCAAAATACACGAAATACATATTATATACTGTACCTAAAATATCAAAGTACACGAAATACATATTACATACTGTACCCAAAATATCAAACTAGACGAAATACATATTATATACTGTACCTAAAATATCAAAGTACACATAATACATATTACATACTGTACCTAAAATATCAAAGTACACCAAATACATATTACATACTGTACCTAAAATATCAAAGTTCACCAAATACACATTTTATACTGTACCTAAAATATCAAAGTACAACAAATACATATTACATACTGTACCTAAAATATCAAATACACCAAATACATATTACATACTGTACCTAAAATATCAAAGTATACCAAATACATATTATATACTGTACATAAAATATCAAAGTACACAAAATAAACACTTATCTTTGTTCTGTCTTCACAAATTTGCCTATTGTAGATATTTCATATCAATGGAATCACACAACATTTGTCTTTTTATGTCTGGCTTACCTCACTTAGCATCACGTTTCCAAGTTTCACCCATGTTGCATGCATGAGAACTTCATTCCCTTTAATGGATGAATAATACTCTATTATATATGTATCATATTTTGTTTATCCATTCATTTGTTGATGGACATGGGCTGTCCCTGCCTTTTGGCTATGGCAAATAATGCTACAATAAACTTTGGTGTAAAAATGTCTGTTCCAGATCCTGCTGTCAACTTTTTTGTGTGTAATACCTAGGAGTGGCATTTCTGGGTCTATGTGTGATTCTGTGAGGAACCACCGAACTGCTCTCCACAGCAACTGCATCATTTTCTGTTTTTAGCAGCCAATTCATGAGGGCTTCATTTTCTCCACATCCTTAGCAACATTTATTTTCTGTTTCATTGTTGTTATGAAAGCCATATCGGAGGATGGAAAGTGGTATTTCATTTTGGTTTTGATTTGCACTTTATTAATGAATAATGGTGTTTAGCATTTTTTTTGTCCTTATTAGACATTTGTATATTTTCTTTGGAGAAATGTCTATTCAAGTCCTTTGCCTATTTTTTAATTGGAATGTTAGAAATTTTGTTGTTAAGTTGTGCGATATTAAGCTTTTATCGGATATATGTTTTGCTTTTATCAGATAAATATTTTCTCACATACTACGGGTGGTCTTTTCACTCCCTTGATAGTGTCCTTTGATGCATAAAATTTTTCGATTTTGATTAAATCTAACGTGTTTTTTCTTTTGTTATCTGTGCTTTTGTGTCATATTTCAAAAAGCATTTAAAACTCAAAGGTCATAAAGATTTACGTGTGTGTTTTCTTCTAAGAGTTACATATTTTTAGTCCTTACATTTAAGTCTTTTGTTAATTTAGAGTTAATTTTTGTATATAGTGCAAGGTAGGGGTCTAACTTCACTCCTGTGCATGGATATCCAGCTGTTGAAGAGAGTGTTCTTTCCTCCATTGACTGGTCTTGGCCTCCTTGCTGAACAGTCATTGACCATATATATGAGGACTAATTTCTAGGATCTCAATCCTATTCTGTTATTTTAAATGTCTATTGATTTTATGCCAGTACCACACCCTCTTGATTACTGTAGATTTGTAGTAGGTTGTGAAACTGGAAAATGTGAGTTTTCCAATGTTCTTTTTCAAGATTGTTTTGTCTATGTCAGATTCTTTGAATTTTTGTATGAATTTTATAATGGGTTTCTCTGTGTCTGCAAAAAATGTCTTTGAGATTTTGATGGTATCGTATTGAATCTCTAGATTACTTTAGATGGTATGGTCATCAAATATTGTCTTACAACCCATGAACACAGAATGTCTTTCCAGTTATTTAAACTCTTCAGTTTCTTTCAGCGAAGTTTTGTGCATACCACCATGTTTAGATTTATGCCTGAATATCTTATTCTTTGATGCTATTATAAATGGAATTTTAAAAATGTTTCCATAGTTCATTACAGCTATATAGAAATACAACTAATTAGCATGTGTTTGTCTTGCTTCCTTCCTCTTTTATTAGTTCTGATGGGTTTTGGGTATTCTTTAGAGCTTTATACACATAAGATCATGTGTAGATATAATTTTACTTCTATTTTTCATTTCTAATTTAGATGCCTTTTATTTCTTTGTCTTGCCTAATTGCTCTGGCTAGAATTTCCAGTGCTATGCTGAACAGAATTGGCAAATGCACCATCCTTGTCCTGTTCTAGATGTTAGGAAAACAGCTTTCAGTGTTTCACCATTGAGCACGATATTAACTGTCAGTTTTTTATATCCCATTGTCATGTTGCAGAAGTTCCCTTCTGTGCTTAGTTTATTGGGTATTTTTATCATAAAAGAGAGTTGTATATCATCAATGCTTTTTCTGCATCAATTGAAATAATCATGTGCTTATTCATTTTACTGTTATAGTATATTACACTGATCGGTTTATAATATGTTGAGCCACACTTGCATTTTTGGGATAAATCTCACTTGGTGATAGTTTACAATCCTTTGATTATACAGTAGTGCTGCTAGTATTTTGTTAGTATTGCTAGCATTTTGCTGAGATTTTTGCCTATATTTTCATAAGGGATATCGTGCTTTAGTTCTCTTTTTTTGTGCTTTGTCTGGCTTTGGTATCAGGATAATGCTGTTATCAAAAAGTGAGGGTTGGGCGCGGTGGCTCATGCCTGTAATCCCAGCACTTTGGGAGGCTGAGGCAGTTGGATCATGAGGTCAGTTTGAGACCAGCCTGACCAACATGGTGAAACCCCCGTCTCTACTAAAAATACGAAAATTAGCTGGGTGTAGTGGCAGGGACCTGTAATCCCAGCTACTCGGGAGGCTGAGACATGAGAATCGCTTGAACCCAGGAGGCAGAGGTTGCAGTTAGCCAAGGTCGTGCCACTGCACTCCAGCCTGGGGGATAAGACTCTGTCTCCAAACAAACAAACAAACAAACAACTCCCCGCCCCCACCCCACAAAACAACTGAATTGGCAAGTATTCTTTCTTCATACATTTTGTTGGAAGAGTTTGAGAAGAAATGGTATTAATTTTTCTTTAAATGTTAGATAGACTCACATTTAAATGTTAGGTAGATTTATGACCAAATATGGCTATTTGGTCATAAATCTTTTTTTGTTAAATGGTTTTTGATTACTAGTCCAATCTTCTTGCTTGTTATCTGAATGCAGGTCTATTCAGATTTTCTCTTTCTTCTTGAGCTATTTTGGTAGTTTGTGTCTTTCCAGCAATTCGTCCATTTCATCCAGGGCACCTAATTTGTTAATATGCAGCTGTTCACAGTATTCTCCTATAATCCTTTTTTATTTCTGTAAAGTTGGTAGTAATGGCTCTACTTTCATTTATGATTTTAGTGATGAAAGTCTTCCATCTTTTGCTCAGTCAATACAGTGAAAGGTTTGATCTTTTCAAAGAATCAACTTTTAGCTGTGTTTATTTCTTCTACTGCTTTTCAACCTTCTATTTTATTGATTTATACTCTAATCTTTATTATTTCTTTCCTTCTGCTAGCTTTGGATTTAGTTTTCTCTGGTTTTTCTACTGCTTTTAGGTACACAGTGAGGTTACTGATTTGAGATTTTTTTTTTAATGTGATTGTTTATATCCATACATTTTCCTTTGAACTCTACTTTCACTGCATTCAATAAGTTTTGGTATGCTTTATTTTTATTTTAATTTGTCTCAAAATACTTTATAATTTCACTTGTGATTTATCCTTTCACTCACTGGTAGTTTAAGAGTACATTGTTTAATTTCCACATATTTGTGAATTTTCCCATTTTCATTTTTTATTTATCTGTTGTTTCTTCCATTGTGGTTGTAAATTATATTTTGTATGATTTCAAACTTTTAAAAATGATTAGGACATATTTTTGC
The DNA here is from genome assembly GCF_000001405.40 of Homo sapiens. Lineage (NCBI taxonomy): Eukaryota > Metazoa > Chordata > Mammalia > Primates > Hominidae > Homo > Homo sapiens. The sequence goes on from NC_000008.11 coordinate 43,245,854, forward strand.
AGAGGAAGATATGGCCTATCCTAGAGAAAGTTCCATATCCACTTGAAAATAATGTGTATTCTGCTGTTGTTGGGTGGACTGTTCTGTATCTGTATATTAGATCTAAGCGGCTTATACTATTGTTCAAGTCTTCTGTTTCTCATGAAGCTTCTGTCTGGTTTTTCTACCCATTAATTAAAATGAGGTATTGAAGTGTCCAACTGTTATTATAGAACTGTGTGGGTTTAACCTTTTAATCCTGTTAAATTTTTTCAGCTTTACTGAGGTATAATTGAGAAATAAATGTGAACATATTCAAGGTTTGCAATGTGATGTGTTTCTATCTATATGCACATTCTGAAATGATTACCAAAACGAAGTCAATTAACATATTAATTACCTCACATAATAGCTTTTTGTGCGCATGCGTGGGATAAGAATACTTAACCCCATCCCCAGTGACTGCAGAGTGGCCCTTCCAGCTGTTCCAGGCTCTGGCAGAGGAGGAGCAGAGCGGGTGGCACCGCCAGGGGAGCCCTCAGGCCTGGCGCGCACGCATTCCGGAGGTCGCCAGGCCATGCTCCGTCGCCTGGGCGCCCAAGCTGCAGCCCCAAATTTTTGGGTGGATTGTGGTTTTGGGGTGGATCGCGGATTTGGGGCTGCACTTGGGCGCTGCCCGGCAACTCCCCAGCCCGCTCACACTGCCAGCATCGCAGAGCCGGGGCCAGAAGTCCCGGTGCTGCGGCCAAGCCAGGCGTTCTGCCCGGCGGCGGCTGCACAGGGGCGAGAACTGAGAACCTGCCGCTCAACCCCATCCTGGGTGACTGCGGAGTGCCCATGCCAGCGGCTTCTGTCTCCCTGCGGCGGAGGAGCGGGGCGGGAGGCACGGCCTAGGGGCCCTCAGGCTGGTCGCGCTGGCGATCCCGAGGCCGCCCAGGCCATGCCCCTCCAGCCCGCCTGGGCACCCAAGCTGCAGTCGCCCTCTGTGTGCAGGCAGCAGCCTCCGGGAAACCTCTAAGCCCGCCTGCTCTCCGAACATCTAAGAACCAGGACCAGATGTCCCTGTGGCTGCTGCCGAGCCAGGCGGTCCGCCCGACGGCGGCTGCACAGGGGCGAGAACCTGCCGCTCAATCCCATCCCCGGTGGCTGCGGACTGCTTCTGGCCAGCGGTCCCGAGCTCCGTCAGAGGAGGACGGCGGGTGGCACGACCAGGGATTTGAGGGTAGATTGCGGTTTTTGGGTGGATCGCGGATTTGGGGGTGGATCGCAGATTTAGGGCTGGGAGGCGGGGTGGAAAGGCTACCTGGAGCCGCGGCGGCTCAGGAGCGGGTTGTTGAGCGTCTGAGAAGTCGCCACCACGAGGAAGCGCTTCAGCTTCTGGAGACGCCTGGGCCAGGCGGTCCTGCTCCATCGACCACGAGTACCCGGATCCCGGGTACCACACCTGGGACGCGGAACTGCGGAAGATCCACAGGGCGGCAGTGAGGGGCGACGCCGCAGAGGTGGAGCGCCGCCGCAGAGGTCGAGCGCCGCCAGATGCGCAGAAGCCGGGACTTGTACGCCCGCGACAGGAAAGACAGGCAGCGGGGCCTCAGCTCCAGGTGGGAGGGGGCCCTAGGCCCGGCTTCCCGCAGCCCCGCAGCCCCGCAGCCCCGCAGCCCCGTAGCCCCGAAGCCCCGCAGCACCTGGGGCGGGGATCTTGGAGGGCGCCGGGCACCCTCGGAACAGCGAAGCCAAACGGAGCCTCAGCTGCTTTCTATCGCTGGCAATTCCCCGTCTGGAGCACTTGGTGGAGAATTTGATTTATCTCACAAAGTTAGGCATATACACGTTTAAAAGATAAGTCTCATATACATGATAGGGAGGTGCCTAATGAGAACTCATTCCCATATCAAAAATGCCATGAGTCATTTTCAGTAGGCGAAAAGTTCTCCGATAAAACCCTGCGTCTGTTTTACATCCGAATCCACCTATGTAGATAAATTCTTTACTGGGGCTCCTTAGAGGGAAACTTGGAAGTGGGAGGTGGGTTCCGTGTTCTTGAATGGGAAGACTCAGTTTTCTCAAAATGTGAGCTCTTTCTATATTTATCAGTTTTACGTAAACCAAGTGAAAATATCAACGTTTTAACATTTTTGCATGACACTTGCTGTCTGTCTTTTTCTCTTGCGATGACATTTAAACATTTTTATAATGGAGTGAAAAAAGTCTTGCTCCTCTAGATATCAAAATGTGCTATTAATTCCCACAATTAACTGTTGACTAACAGCTGAAAAGACGTAAATACATGGAACAGGATAGGAAATCCCAAAACACTGAGATAAATGTAAGATATATACGTAGGGATTGTGGTAACATTTCAGATGAGTAGGAAGGTATGAGTTATTAATAACGTGTCCTATTTGAAGAAAACTAATAAAATTTTGTGCGACAAAAATGAGTTCCTGAAAGAATACAGATTGAAATTATTACATATGCAAAACGAAGAAAGTACCAGAAGAAAACAGAAATGCTTATTTATACAGGTACATTTTATATTGACAAAGGCCTTCCTAAGAATGACCTCACAAGTAGGCATTCTGAAGGTTGATTTAGCAACTAAAAATTAAAACCCCTTGTGTATCAGAAAAAATTAACAAAAGATGACATACTTGAAAAATGCTATAATTTTTTACTATATATAAATATATATTAATACATATTCAGATGAAAAGTGTGTCTTTATTCTACAGGGAACTTATTACATTTTTTATTATATATAATATATATTACTGATTATAACAAATTGTATATATTACTGATATAATATGTTATATATATCAGTTTTATACACACACACACACACACACACACACACACACACACACAGATAAAAAGCACATCTTTATTTTACAGGGAATTCTTTCAAATAAAATCCAGAAGAAAAGAACTCTAAAAGTGAGCAAAGTACTTTTTTGCAGATCCACAACTTAACTTACGTACATAGGAAAAAATCCTTAGTGTTTCTCATAAGAGAATTTAAGTTAAAAGAGAAATGAGACTGTTTTCTATCCACAATGTTTGTGAGAATAAAGAGCAGTGGTAGTTATACTGCTGCTTAAAGTTTAAGTTGCTGATGACTTTTCAAGTAGATAATTTGGTGGTAATTACCACATTTAAAAAATCTATATGCCCTTTACCTATCAATTCCATTATATTAAAATACCTTTAGAAAATAGAGATACATGCACTTTGTTTTTTCTCAGCACTTATTTTAACAAGAAATGATAGGATAGATCCTATAAATAAATTTCAGTTGCATCCATAGGATGGAATAATATGTGACCATTTTGTTATAGCCAGTGAGAAAAAAAAGTCAGTTTGCTTGCATATACACACAAACATACTATGGTCTTGTGTTAGCCAAAACTATGTACAAAATATGATAAAAATTGTAACTTCTGAGCATTGGTATTTTAAGTAAAGTTTCTTGCTCCTTTTTCTTATCTGTGATTTCCGCAATGATCATGTATAAAACTTCTAGTAAAAGTTTATTATTAATGGAATAATCCTTGGGAAGAGAGAATATGAATCTTGCACAGGTAAAAATAATTTCTCGCTGTCTATTTTATCATTATTATTGCGTGGGTTGTTATCTTCTTTGAACTTTTAGCCTCTTCAGAAGTAAAAAGGGAATCTTTTTATGTATGCTTGCAGATTTTATTATGTATATATTTTATTAGGTACATATGCTTTTCTTATGTATAGATTCATTGAATATATGCAAACAATGACAGATTAAACATTTCATTTTGTATTCTTACAAAAATAATAAATAGCAAATATAATTACTATCACAAAAATATTGTTTTATAAAAGTTTTATTTAAAAATATTGAACTCCACAACTGTATTTATCCATTCTTTCAATCCATTTATTCATCAAACATAACATGAATGCTTGTTATGTAACAGACATATTCTACTATCTCTCAGGATCCTTCCATCCTTAAAAAGTTCATGTTTACCTGCCCTGACTGAGCAGTTTAAAGAATGTATATATAAATTACATGTATATATATATAAATTAATTCTTTTAATTTAATTAGTTTAGCTTAGAATTCAGAGTTATTTCAGAAGTTAGTTGTAGCTAATTCATAATCTCAAACAGTATTGTCTGGAATCTTCTGATCCATAGTCAGACACGTTATCCATCGCACCACTGGCCCGCGGTTTCTCAAACAGTACTGTCTGAAACAAATTCATTTACCTAATTATGATCCCTGAAATTCTATATATTTTTGTATTAATATAAACAAGAAATTAGACTTTTAAGATTTTTAAGTTAGTGTGTTGTATTTTTCTCTATAGTCATATTATAACAAATTGGACTTATGCAAATGGTTCTTCTATTTAATTTTTATAATAAATGGTTTGTATTTAGTAGATAAATATTAATTACACTTGATTCTTGAATAATGTGGGGGTTAGGGACTCTTATTTCTGTGGAATTGAAAATCCGAGTATAACTTTTGACCTCTTCCAAACTAGCCTACCATTGACTGGAAGCTTTACTGATAACATAAACAGTCGAGGTACATATATTTGGTATGTGCTGCTGCATTATTTACTATGTTCTTAAAATAAAGTAAGCTAGATAAATGAAGCTGATATAAAGAAAATCATAGAAAAGAAAAAATATACTTACTATTCATAAAGCATAAATGAATCCTCCCAAAGGTCTTCATCTTCATCATCTTCAGGTTTCCTGCCCTCTGCCTCTTTTAATCTGGTGGACCTCATTCTTTAAGTCTCAGCTCAGGCATGATCTCTAGAAAAGCCATCCCCGAAGGTTTTATTCCTATTCTTTACACCCCGGTGCCTACCACTTAGTAGGAACTCAATAATAAATATTTGGTAAAATAAAGACTGTTTATACAAAGATGATTGCTACAGTCTAGCTGCAAAGGGGATAGACATGCAAAGACATGATGTACAGTTCAGGTGGTGAAGTGACACTAGAAAAATTGACAAAGTACTAAGGGAGCCCCAAGGAAGGAGATGCCTGTGTATGTGGAGAAAGATAGTCAGATTCAAGGAGGATTTCACATAGCATTCTGAGCCTTTTTTTTTTTCTTTTTCTGTTTTTGGAGACACATTCTTACTCTGTCACCCAGGGTGGAGTGCAATGGCATGATTAAGACTCATAGCAAACTCAAACTCCTGGGCTTAAGGGAGCCTCTCGTCTCAACCTCTTGAGTAGCTGGGACTACAGGTGCTCACCACCATGCCTGGCAAATTTTCTGTAGAGTCAGGGTTTCTCTGTGGTCTCCAGGCTGGTCTTAAACTCTTGGCCTCAAGCAATTCTCCTTCCTGGGCCTTCCAAAGTACTGGGATTACAGGTGTGAGCTACTGTGCCCAGCCTACATTCAGAGTCTTAAAAAATGAAAATAAATTTGTCAGAATAGTAGAGGAAAACATTTCTGATGTAAAAAATAGGGTGTACACTAATAAAGGTACAAATGGTAACAATAATTTTGCAAATTATTAGTAAATACCAACTTGCATAGCATGTTGTTAAAAAGATACTATTATGAAGTAGAGAATAGTAAAGTGTTACTTTATATGTTTTTACTGTATTTTTAAATTTTGTTTTGTTTCCAGAAGTTTTGTTTATTTATGTTGGGTGGAACAATTTGTGAGCAAACCTTAGATTTTTGCATGGCTTGAACCTACTGATACCTAGTGTCTCCCCAAGTGGTGCGTTGAAGTTTCAGATAACTAGAAGTATTTCTTAAAGATGTAAATATTCCAGTAAACATTAAGCTTTATTTAAACTCTCAATTTATAAAATAAGAGTATATATTATTTTGTATCAATTTTTATAAAGATTATAGTCGTTATCTAACCGTTCTAAGTCACTCATTTTAATTAAACATGTGGATTTGTCAGCAGAACACGACTTAAAAGTGGCTTCAGAGGAAAAGCAAGAAAGGCTTGAAAGATGTGAAAATAAACAGCCACAGGTATATAAAAATTTAAATTTTAATTTCTGGCTTACTATTGGTTTGTTTGTTTCTTTTTCTTTAATAACATGGTATAGTCCAAATGAAGTGACCTTCTGGACTATCCCTTTTAGAATCCAACAGATAATCATTTCATATTTAATTTTAAAACATTTTAACCAGTTATAAAATTTAAAAAATTCTTACAGTCTGTAGTAACTCATAGCTATCTTTACCCTTGGAATTGAGGCCAGAAATTTCCAGAAGTCTCTTTGCTCTTTTATTTTTATAACCTTCTTCATGATAAAGAAGGTAACATCAAAAATTGAGTTGTGCTACTAAGCAAGAGAAATTACGAACAATTTAACAGTGATGGCCACTGAATTCAACTCATGTTAAAGGACTCATCATTGCCAGTGGCCCAAACTTTGCAGTTTTATGTTGCCAGTCACTAGTGGCTGAGGTTAAAGACTTCTGTTTTTTGGTCTCTGGTTGCCTCCAGTGTCTATGTTCAGGGAGAGAATTGGGTCATAAAATCAACCCAACTGCCTATTAAGAGAATCATGCCTTCCAGAATGGGACCTTTGGTATTAGGATACAAACAAAAACTTTCTTATTTTAACATAAATAGTAAATGTTATTAAAAATTTTAAGTCCACTGTCACTAGTGGAACTTAGAATATATTAGAACTGGATATAAGCAGATAATCTATCTAGATACATAACACTATCATATTACAGTATAGCATTTGAAGTAGAATCTAAAAATTTTCTTCTCTTTCTAATTGGTGTTCATTTTGGCTTCTAATAATTTGGCATTTGCCTACCCTACAGTTAATCTTTAGAAGTATAAATTCACTGTAGGGGTTCACTATTTATGGTATGCTGAGGTAAAAGTCTTTTAAAGAGAGAAAGCTTTTATAATACTACATATCTTCTGTGAACCTATTTCTGGTAGATTTAACTCATAATGAATTAAATTTAGTCCCAAGAAACAACGAGAGTTAAGCTTGATGGTTCATGTTTTTCTCCTGTGTTAGACCAAGGCAAATTAGTTTTTACTTCTTAGTTATAATCCAGTAGCTTAGGGGTAGCAAAACATAGAATAAGCTTCACAGTTAAATTTTAATTATGTTATAATTTTTCTTTGCTCATACTTGATTACTTCAGAATAAAGTTAATTTTAAAACATGCACTCTGACAGAGAAGGCATCTGAGAAACAAAACAAGCAAATGAATTTTCCACCTGCAAAAAAATGTCTCGAGAACAAGAACTGAGTAAGAATTGTGATAAAGAGGATATGTCTATTCAGGGCTTCCTTTAAAATTCATTTTAAAAACGTTCAACTGAAGATTGGTGAAAGTTTTGAAATATTCAAAATTACTGTTTGTCCTGAGGAAGCGTTCGTACATAGTAACTCTAAAGAGGGACAAACTTAAAGGGAGTGCCCTCTAATCTGATGAATCATATCCCTGATCATGAGGAAGCAGATGCATCTGGAGTGTCTAACTGTAGTATTCCAGGCATTGCCTGAACAGAAGGAATGTCTGTTCATTCTTCAAACATGTCTTGTCATTGCATTTATACCTTGGGTTCCTCAAACAAACTTGCCAGTCATCTTCTAAGCTTTATTCAAATGAAAACAAATCAGACTATAAAAATTATAACAAACAGTTATAAACAGACCATAGCCTGTTTCTAACAGCGATGAAGAAAATGGTTGAAATGATACAGAAAATGAAAAATTAAGGAGCTCAGTAGTTACGGTTGAAATAAAAGAAAACCCAGAGTTTGATAATGCAAGTGATAAAAAATATAAACCAAAATACCACTGATTGGAAATTACACATTAGACATTGGCCTCAGTCTAGAGATCCAAAAAGTCTTTTTGATTTGTGGTTTGGCCACTCCAAAGAAATGTATCATGTGATACAGATAGAAAGCCACAGTATTTCCGCTGTTGCAGACACTTATAAAAATAGAAAACCAATACAGCACTTGTTCCACAATTCATGTGGATCTTAGAGGCTCTTCTAAAGCTTAAAGATGACTGGCAAGTGTGTTTCAGGGACCTACATATGACAGTCCCACTGTTAATAACTATAAAAGCATAAAACATGAATTAGAAGTTATTCTCCACCCTGTAGTGACAGAACATCAAAAGCATATCTAGAAGAAGACTTACAGCAAGATATCCAAAGGTTTAAGAATGAGGTGGGCATGTTACAAGTAGAGTCCCTGGCTTTGAAGAAAGAGAAAGTTTAACTACAAAATGACAGAGGTTCACTTGCTGTTCTCTTTTTATAAGTTATCTGATTCATTCTGATTTTCTACTCAAGAAAATCTCATGTGTATGGTTACACTGTGGTTATCTAAATGTGTAATTATGTGTCAAAGTAAATTAGTGCTGCTATCTAAATGACACTTCTGGAAATATTCTTGTAATCTTTGTTGATTACTCAACCCAAGTCTCACTATTAGTCTTTCAAGTGGCTTATGGGCTGGGAAACTAATTTAGCCATATACCATGTGATCTTCTGAACCAGATAAGCATAAAGAAAATTGCTAAAGAAATAAGCTCTAGATTCTTTTTTCTGTATTCATTTAAAGACGAATTACATTTATTTAAATGATAAAATGGTAATACAGTGGGAGGGAAGCAATGACTGAGAAGAGACATAAAAATATATCTTGCCTTGAGAGTTGCAACAAATATTCCCATCCAAAGAAGTCTGTTTAATGTGCTTTCATGCATGCAAGTTTATCTGTTTGACTCAAACTGTTTAAACTTATTATTCCATCATGGTCATTTTAAATATTTTTGGAAACAAATACATATACTTTCACATATTAAAAAAAATCACCACTCTCCAATGTTTCTGTTGAATCAGAATTTACGTTATGTTGTTTATTAAAATATGTTAAGTTTTGACATGTATGATTTTGTCATATAAGTAGCATAACCCCTCAGCCAAAAATTTAGCATTTGATTCTTTAGTTGAAAGCTGAGTTCTGTACATTTTGTTCTAAAGATAGACAAAAATCTAGAGATTTTCTTTTTTCAAAGTAAAAGCAGATGAGGCCTCCCACTACCCTCGGAGGCATGATCTAGGAGACAGCAGAAAGCAGTTTCAATTCTAGTCATATTTCTAGCTCTAGCTCTACATGCAAGTACCTCTGAGAAGTATTTTCATTGGCCTATACACAATGAGGATACTGATACATGTATATTATAAAATAAAAATGTGAAATACAGATGTAGCTAACATTTTACAACTGAAGCATTCTTCTAGTCACTGGTAAATGAAAACACCTTAACTAAATCATATGGCAACTACATGTGTGAAGCTTACTAAATAAATTGTTTCATAAGGCATTTTTTATAGAGAAGTATTTATTCTCCCCAGTCATTCCCTGCTTACTCCACTTTCTATTGGGCTTTTTGCATGTCAAATTTGAAAACATGAACAAACAAAATAAAGTGAACATGGTAGTTTATTATTATGAAAGTAATTGTAATGTATAAGTTAGATGTCCCTGTGCTATTGACAAAATTCTCTAAAAACCTTTTGAATAAATGTGACAAAGACTACCTAAGTTGATGTCCACAATTTGAGAGAAAAGAAAGACAAAAACAGTCCTTGAGGACTCAGATGCCTCAGGAAGATTTAAGAAGTTTTTATACTTTGATGGAGCTTTTAAGAAAAATTCATCTATTTTTTTCCTTGCTCTGGTCACATACTGAGAGGACTTACAGACTGCTTACTTAATAGTATGGATTTGTATTTTTCTTAGAGTAAAGTAGCATCCTGATTTTGAAATAGTTCCTGTAGTTTGTTTAAAGAAAGCAGGAAAGAAACAAAACAAGAAAAAAAGGAAAGAAGGAAGAAAAAAAGAAAGTGAGGAAGGAAGAAGGGAAGGAAGAAAAAATATGGAAGAAAGGAAGAATTTCTTTTAGAGTAGTGGAAAGCTGTCAAAATCTGCTTAAGAAAACCGTTTGTATAAAATGTTTTGTCTTGCCCTCCAAAGCTCAAAGTCTCTGGTCCTGCTGATGGCTTTCCTATCTAGAATATACAGATCTTCCACAAATTGAAAAACTAAAATATAGAAATATATTTTGTACAGGTGGCGGATTTGAAATGTTTTATCAAGGCTAAAACAGGATGTATATCATTATAATACTTTTCCTTCACATTCTGCTCTGAATTTGCTCAGTCAGCACCATTCCACTTAATAAGGCTTAGATCAAATCAAATCAAACTTTGATTTGAATATTACAGAAGAGAACACATGGTAGGAGCTTGTATATTCTCTGTCTCTCTTACTCTCTCTCATGTCTGAGAGAGAATACCTTGGGGTTGACCAGCTAGACAGTTTATGAGAAGGTAGTATCTCCCTGTTTTCATTCTCCAGGAATACTGAACAGTGTATTATTGAATTATATTTGATTAAAATATACTGATGGAAAAGAGCACTTCAGAGTGTCCAAAATGGAAGTAAATGTAAATCTTTTTATAATTTATAAATACCAAGTTTATAAAACGAATCTTCTCTTGTAGATTTGTAGATTGTAGATTTCTGCTCATAGCAGAAAGCAGAGGCCAAGATAATTTTAAATTATCTTACTTTTAAAAATATAATTATTTTCTAAAGTGAACTTAAAGCAAAATCTAAATACAGAAAAATGCCTGATTACAAGGGTGCAGCTCAAAGAGCTTTTACAGAGTTAGGCACCTGTGAAAGCAGCACAGATTAAGAAACAGCACTGAGCCTCCCCACCCAACTCATCGCCGTGTCTCTCCATAGCTACATCCTAACTTCTAATTAGATTTCTAGATTGGATTTCTCAGGCTTTGAGTTTCTCACAAGTGGGGTGATACAGTAAGTTTTCTTTTGTGCCTTCTTTTTACAAATGATTTTTTGTGAAATTCATTCATGTTGTTATGAATAGTTACAGGTCATTCATTTTCATAGCTTTATTGCAGTCCATGTGAATATAGATACTTTGTTTATCCATTTTCCTATTTACAGACCTTTGAGGAGTTTCTGGAGTAGGGTTGATGCTAATTGTGCTGCAATAATAATATTTAACATTTTTTGGAAACATGTACACATTTTTAGGGCATATTTCTCAGAATGGAATTGCTGGGTCATAGAACATGTAAAGTAGATATTGCCAGCAGTTTTTCAAATTTATATTTTTCAAATTTATACAAGTACTTCTAGTATATGTGAATTCAAGTCACTCCACTTCCAAACCAACACATTGTATGTTTTTAAAAAATATTTACATTTGGATGAGTTTGTAGAAATATTATATTTAATTTTGCATTTTTTGTGTGTAATGAAGTTGAGCATCTGTTTGTGTTTATGCTGGCTGTTTGAATATCCCATCTTATAAAGTGCCTTTTAAAATATTTTTTCTATATTTCTACTTGATTGCCTATCATTTATTGAATACTATAGATATGTAGAATATACACATAAAATATCTCCTTATATCTTTGGCCTTCATTTTTATTATGCTAATAGTGCCTGTGGATTCACAGAATTTCTCCCTTTATTTGTTTGCTTTTGAGACAGGGTCTCACTTTGTTACTGAGGCTGGAGTACAGTGGCACGATCTAGGCTTACTGCAACCTCTGCCTCCCAGGTTCAAGCAGTTCTTGTGCCTCAGCCTCCCTAGTAGTTGGGATTACAGGCATGTGCCACTAAGCTCAGCTGATTTTTTTGTATTTTTAGTGGGGACGAGTTTTTGCTATATTAGCAAGGCTGGTCTCGAACTCCTTGCCTCAAGCAATCCACCTGTCTCAGCCTCCCAAAGTGCTGCTGCGATTTCAGATGTGAGCCACCATGCAAGGCCAGAATTTCTTAATTTGACATAACAATTTTGTTCTGTTACTGTTAGGTTTGTTTTCTAACACCCTGTTTAAGAACTATTTATCCCAGGGGGAATAAAGTTACTTATCAAATTTGTTCTGTTACTTATCAAATTTGTTCTGTTACTGTTAGGTTTGTTTTCTAACATCCTGTTTAAGAACTGTTTCTCCCAGGGGGAATAAAATTATATTTACTTATGTAAGTGTTAACTACATGTCTCAACTGTGGGGAAAATGGATTCCTAGATAACTCTTTGTAGTACTACATCCATTGTTTGAAGTGTAGTGTGCATAAAATTTAATGAAGACAATTTGCATTGAAAAAGTCACATTTCTATAAAGCCATAAATTAATTAGTTCTAAGACTTAGCCTACTTGGATGTTAGTAAGTTCAGTCTCAGTTGCTTACATTGTGTTCTCATACCCTGCATAGAAATGATCCAAATATGAATAGGAATTTGAGGTATAAGTGTTAGCAGAAAAAGAAAATCAGGGGTGCTCCATGGCTTCTGTCCACAGTGGGCACTGGGTTGGCCTTTGCCTTACCTAGGAGATGGGGTGGTGGAGTGCTCAGGCCAGTTGTCTGCCCTTGGGTGCTGCTGTCAGGAATGAGACTCTCATCTCCTTTCTTGAAGACATCAGTCTCTGCTACCTTGCTCCTAGTCTCCTCCTCAAGCTCAGGAAAGACTAAAAATCCCTCAGATCTAGTTGGTTTCCACCTGTACCAGTCTTTCACATCTCTGTGCTTTGAGATAAAGCAGTACCAGCTCTTTCAGTGAGAGTTAAGACACTGGTTAAATAGAGTTTGATCTTCCTGCACAGTGATAGCAGGCATTAAAGATGGTAACACAAGTTAACCTTTTTCTAAATAATATCAACAACTATAAAAGAAAATTCAAAATATGAAAATATTCTAAAATTGTATTTAGGATAAAAGTAACTATGGTACTTGGATATTCACTAATAAATATTCAGGATCTAAAGTTTATTAATGCTTTCAAAAAAATAGTACCTATTTTTAATTTTTACTTTTTTTGTTTTTAGAGATTGTGGTCTCACTCTGTCAACCAGGTGTTGGAGTGCAGTGGGACAATCATGGGTTACTGTACCCTGGAACTATGGAGCTCAAGTGATCCTCTTGCCTCAGCCTCTTGAGTAGCTGGGACTACAGGTGCATGCTACCCCAACTGGCTCATTTAAATTTTTTTTTTTTGTAAATATTGGATCTGGCTGTGTCATCTAGGTTGGTCATAAACTCCTAGCCTCAAGCAATTCTCGTACCTTGGCTTCCCAAAGCACTGGTATTACAGATGTGAACACCATGCATGGCCAAGAAACAGAATGTAATATTATAAAGCTATCAACTGAAGAAAATATATTTGATACATATGTAAAATGTAAAACCTAAAATCTGATTTTTTCTCCTCTTCCTCACCACGTGTATTATTCCATTCTCACATTATGATAAAGGACTAACTGATACTGGGTAATTTGTTAAAAAAAGTGGGGGTTAGTTGACTGACAGTTCTCAGACTATGCAGGAAGCATGGCTAGAGAGGCCTCAGGAAACTTATAATCATGGCAGAAAGTGAAGGGGAAGCAAACACATCTTTCGTTGTGAGAGCAAGAGGAAGAGAGAGAAGGGGGAGATGATATACACATTTTAAAAGCCAGATCTCATGAGAATTCACTATCAGGAGAATAGCAAGGGAGAAATCTGCCCCCATGATCCAATCTCCTTTCATCAGCCCCTCCTCCAACACTGGGGATTACAATTTGACATGAGACTTGGGTAGGGACACAGACTCAAACCATATCATTCTGTCCTGGCCCCTCCCAAATCTCATGTCCTTCTCACATTTCAAAATACAATCATGTCTTCCCAACAGTCCTCCAAAATCTTAACTCATTTCAGCCTTAATGCAAAAGTCCAAAGTTCAAAGTCTTATCTGAGATAAGGCTAGTCCTTTTTGCCTGAGCCTGTAAAATCAAATCGATATTACTTATTACTTACTTCCAGCATACAATGGGGGTACAGTCATTGGGTAAATGCTCCCATTTCAGAAAAGAGAAATTGGCCAAAACAAAGAAGCTACAGGCTCCATGCAAGTCTAAAACCCAGCAGGACAGTCATTAAATCTTAAAGCTCCAAAGTAATCTCTTTTGATTCCATGTTTCACATCCAGGGCATGCTGATGCAAGGAGTGGTTTCCCAAGTCCTTGGGCAGCTCTGCCTCTGTGGATCTGCAGGATACATGGCTGCTTTTACAGGCTGATATTGAGTACCTGTGGCTTTTCCAGGCACACAATACAAGCTGATGGTGAATCTACTATTCTGGGGACTGGAGGACTGTGGCCTTTTTCTCACAGCTCCACTAGGCAGTTCCCCTGTGGGAACTCTGTGGGGGGCACCAACCCACGTTTTCCCTCTACACTGCCATAGCAAACATTCTCCATAAGGGCTCTGCCCCTGCAGCAGACTTCTGCCTGGACATCCAGGCATTTCCATACATCCTCTGGAATCTAGGCTGATATTCCTAGATGCTCAGCCTCCGAGCATCTGCAGGCTTAACACCACATAGAAGCCCTAGTGGCTTCCAGCTTACACCCTCTGGCACAGCAGCCTGAAACATATCTGGGACCTTTTTAGCCTTAGCTGAAGCTGGATGCAGGGAGCAGTGTCCTGAGATTGCACAGGGCAGCACAGCCCTGGGCTTAGCCCATGAAACCATTCTTTTCTTCTCAGTCTCCAGGCCTGTAATGGGAGGGATGGCAACAAAGTTCTCTGAAATTCCTTCAAGGCAATTTTCCTATTGTCTTGGCTATTAACATTTGGTTCCTCTTTATTTATGCAAATTTCTGTAGCTGGCTTGAATTCTTCATCAGAAGATATGTTTTTCTTTTTTAAAAAATTTATTATTATTATACTTTAAGTTTTAGGGTACATGTGCACATTGTGCAGGTTAGTTACATATGCATACATGTGCCATGCTGCTGCGCTGCACCCACTAACTCGTCATCTAGTATTAGGTATATCTCCCAATGCTATCCCTCCCCCCTCCCCCCACCCCACAACAGTCCCTGGAGTGTGATGTTCCCCTTCCTGTGTCCATGTGTTCTCATTGTTCAGTTCCCACCTATGAGTGAGAATATGCGGTGTTTGGTTTTTTGTTCTTGCGATAGTTTACTGAGAATGATGATTTCCAATTTCATCCATGTCCCTACAAAGGACATGAACTCATCATTTTTTATGGCTGCATAGTATTCCATGGTGTATATGTGCCACATTTTCTTAATCCAGTCTATCATTGTTGGACATTTGGGTTGGTTCCAAGTCTTTGCTATTGTGAATAATGCCACAATAAACATACGTGTGCATGTGTCTTTATAGCAGCATGATTTATAGTCCTTTGGGTATATACCCAGTAATGGGATGGCTGGGTCAAATGGTATTTCTAGTTCTAGATCCCTGAGGAATCGCCACACTGACTTCCACAATGGTTAAACTAGTTTACAGTCCCACCAACAGTGTAAAAGTGTTCCTATTTCTCCACATCCTCTCCAGCACCTGTTGTTTCCTGACTTTTTAATGATTGCCATTCTAACTGGTGTGAGATGGTATCTCATTGTGGTTTTGATTTGCATTTCTCTGATGGCCAGTGATGGTGAGCATTTTTTCATGTGTTTTTTGGCTGCATAAATGTCTTCTTTTGAGAAGTGTCTGTTCATGTCCTTTGCCCAGTTTTTCATGGGGTTTTTTTTCTCTTGTAAATTTGTTGGAGTTCATTGTAGATTCTGGATATTAGCCCTTTGTCAGAGGAGTAGGTTGCGAAAATTTTCTCCCATTTTGTAGGTTGCCTGTTCACTCTGATGGTAGTTTCTTTTGCTGTGCAGAAGCTCTTTAGTTTAATTAGATCCCATTTGTCAATTTTGGCTTTTGTTGCCATTGCTTTTGGTGTTTTAGACATGAAGTGCTTGCCCATGCCTATGTCCTGAATGGTAGTGCCTAGGTTTTCTTCTAGGGTTTTTATGGTTTTAGGTCTAACGTTTAAGTCTTTAATCCATCTTGAATTGATTTTTGTATAATGTGTAAGGAAGGGATCCAGTTTCAGCTTTCTACATATGGCTAGCCAGTTTTCCCAGCACCATTTATTAAATAGGGAATCCTTTCCCCTTTGCTTGTTTTTCTCAGGTTTGTCAAAGATCAGATAGTTGTAGATATGTGGCATTATTTCTGAGGGCTCTGTTCTGTTCCATTGTTCTATATCTCTGTTTTGGTACCAGTACCATGCTGTTTTGGTTACTGTAGCCTTGTAGTATAGTTTGAAGTCAGGTAGTGTGATGCCTCCAGCTTTGTTCTTTTGGCTTAGGATTGACTTGGTGATGCGGGCTCTTTTTTGGTTCCATATGAACTTTAAAGTAGTTTTTTCCAATTCTGTGAAGAAAGTCATTGGTAGCTTGATGGGGATGGCATTGAATCTGTAAATTCATGATATTGATTCTTCCTACCCATGAGCATGGAATGTTCTTCCATTTGTTTGTATCCTCTTTTATTTCCTTGAGCAGTGGTTTGTAGTTCTCCCTGAAGAGGTCCTTCACATCCCTTGTAAATTGGATTCCTAGGTATTTTATTCTCTTTGAAGCAATTGTGAATGGGACTTCACTCATGATTTGGCTCTCTGTCTGTCTGTTGTTGGTGTATAAGAATGCTTGTGATTTTTGTACATTGATTTTGTATCCTGAGACTTTGCTGAAGTTGCTTATCAGCTTAAGGAGATTTTGGGCTGAGACAGTGGGGTTTTCTAGATATACAATCATGTCGTCTGCAAACAGGGACAATTTGATTTCCTCTTTTCCTAATTGAATACCCTTTATTTCTTTTTCCTGCCTAATTGCCCTGGCCAGAACTTCCAACACTATGTTGAATAGGAGTGATGAGAGAGGGCATCCCTGTCTTGTGCCAGTTTTCAAAGGGAATGCTTAAAGCTTTTGCCCATTCAGTATGATATTGGCTGTGGGTTTGTCATAGATAGCTCTTATTATTTTGAGATACGTCCCATCAATACCTAATTTATTGAGAGTTTTTAGCATGAAGGATTGTTGAATTTTGTCAAAGGCCTTTTCTGCATCTATTGAGATAATCATGTGGTTTTTGTCTTTGGTTCTCTTTATATGGTGGATTACATTTATTCATTTGCGTATATTGAACCAGCCTTGCATCCCAGGGATGAAGCCTACTTGATCATGGTGGATAAGCTTTTTGATGTGCTGCTGGATTCGGTTTGCCAGTATTTTACTGAGGATTTTTGCATCAATGTTCATCAAGGATATTGGTCTAAAATTCTCTTTTTTGGTTGTGTCTCTGCCCAGCTTTGGTATCAGGATGATGCTGGCCTCATATAATGAGTTAGGGAGGATTCCTTCTTTATCTATTGATTGGAATAGTTTCAGAAGGAATGGTACCAGTTCCTCCTTGTACCTCTGGTAGAATTTGGCTGTGAATCCATCTGGTCTTGGACTCTTTTTGGTTGGTAAGCTATTAATTATTGCCACAATTTCAGATCCTGTTATTGGTCTATTCAGAGATTCAACTTCTTCCTGGTTTAGTCTTGGGAGAGTGTATGTGTCGAGGAATTTATCCATTTCTTCTAGATTTTCTAGTTTATTTGCGTAGAGGTGTTTGTAGTATTCTCTGATGGTAGTTTGTATTTCTGTGGGATCGGTGGTGATATCCCCTTTATCATTTTTTATTGCATCTATTTGATTCTTCTCTTTTTTCTTTATTAGTCTTGCTAGCGGTCTATCAGTTTTGTTGATCCTTTTCAAAAACCAGCTCCTGGATTCATTAATTTTTTGAAGGGTTTTTTGTATCTCTATTTCCTTCAGTTCTGCTCTGATTTTAGTTATTTCTTGCCTTCTGCTAGCTTTTGAATGTGTTTGCTCTTGCTTTTCTAGTTCTTTTAATTGTGATGTTAGGGTGTCAATTTTGGATCTTTCCTGCTTTCTCTTGTGGGCATTTAGTGCTATAAATTTCCTTCTACACACTGCTTTGAGTGCGTCCCAGAGATTCTGGTATGTTGTGTCTTTGTTCTCGTTGGTTTCAAAGAACATCTTTATTTCTGCCTTCATTTCGTTATGTACCCAGTAGTCATTCAGGAGCAGGTTGTTCAGTTTCCATGTAGTTGAGCGGTTTAGAGTGAGATTCTTAATCCTGAGTTCTAGTTTGATTGCACTGTGGTCTGAGAGATAGTTTGTTATAATCTCTGTTCTTTTACATTTGCTGAGGAGAGTTTTACTTCCAAGTATGTGGTCAGTTTTGGAATAGGTGTGGTGTGGTGCTGAAAAAAATGTATATTCTGTTGATTTGGGGTGGAGAGTTCTGTAGATGTCTATTAGGTCCGCTTGTTGCAGAGCTGAGTTCAATTCCTGGGTATCCTTGTTAACTTTCTGTCTCATTGATCTGTCTAATGTTGACAGTGGGGTGTTAAAGTCTCCCATTATTAATGTGTGGGAGTCTAAGTCTCTTTGTAGGTCACTCAGGACTTGCTTTATGGATCTGGGTGCTCCTGTATTGGGTGCATATATATTCAGGATAGTTAGCTCTTCTTGTTGAATTGATCCCTTTACCATTATGTGATGGCCTTCTTTGTCTCTTTTGATCTTTGTTGGTTTAAAATCTGTTTTATCAGAGACTAGGATTGCAACCCCTGCCTTTTTTTATTTTCCATTTGCTTGGTAGATCTTCCTCCATCCTTTTATTTTGAGCCTATGTGTCTCTGCACGTGAGATGGGTTTCCTGAATACAGCACACTGATGGGTCTTGACTCTTTATCCAATTTTCCAGTCTGTGTCTTTTAATTGGACCATTTAGTCCATTTACATTTAAAGTTAATATTGTTATGTGTGAATTTGATCCTGTCATTATGATGTTAGCTGGTTATTTTGCTCGTTAGTTCATGCAGTTTCTTCCTAGTCCCAATGGTCTTTACATTTTTGCATGATTTTGCAGTGGCTGGTATCGGTTGTTCCTTTCCATGTTTAGCACTTCCTTCAGGAGCTCTTTTAGGGCAGGCCTGGTGGTGACAAAATCTCTCAGCATTTGCTTGTCTGTAAAGTATTTTATTTCTCCTTCACTTATGAAGCTTAGTTTGGCTGGATATGAAATTCTGGGTTGAAAATTCTTTTCTTCAAGAATGTTGAATATTGGCCGCCACTCTCTTCTGGCTTGTAGAGTTTCTGCCGAGAGATCCGCTGTTAGTCTGATGGGCTTCCCTTTGTGGGTAACCCGACCTTTCTCTCTGGCTGCCCTTAACATTTTTTCCTCATTTCAACTTTGGTGAATCTGAAAATTATGTGTCTTGGCATTGCTCTTCTCGAGGAGTATCTTTGTGGCGTTCTCTGTATTTCCTGAATGTGAATGTTGGCCTTCCTTGCTAGATTGGGGAAGTTCTCCTGGATAATATCCTGCAGTGTTTTCCAACTTGGTTCCATTCTCCCTTTCACTTTTAGGTACACCAATCAGACGTAGATTTGGTCTTTTCACATAGTCCCATATTTCTTGGAGGCTTTGTTCATTTCTTTTTATTCTTTTTTCTCTAAACTTCCCTTCTCGCTTCATTTCTTTCATTTCATCTTCCATCACTGATACCCTTTCTTCCAGTTGATCGCATCGACTCCTGAGGCTTCTTCATTCTTCATGTAGTTCTCGAGCCTTGGCTTTCAGCTCCATCAGCTCCTTTAAGCACTTCTCTGTATTGGTTATTCTAGTTATACATTCGTCTAAATTTTTGCAAAGTTTTCAACTTCTTTGCCTTTGGTTTGAATTTCCTCCTGTAGCTCAGAGTAGTTTGATCGTCTGAAGCCTTCTTCTCTGAACTCGTCAAAGTCATTCTCTGTCCAGCTTTATTCCATTGCTGGTGAGGAGCTGCATTCCTTTGGAGGAGGAGAGATGCTCTGCTTTTCAGAGTTTCCAGTTCTTCTGCTCTGTTTTTTCCCCATCTTTGTGGTTTTATCTACTTTTGGTCTTTGATGATGGTGATGTATAGATGGGTTTTTGGTGTGGATGTCCTTTCTGTTTGTTAGTTTTCCTTCTAACAGACAGGACCCTCAGCTGCAAGTCTGTTGGAGTACCCGGCCGTGTGAGGTGTCAGTCTGCCCCTGCTGGGGGGTGCCTCCCAGTTAGGCTGCTTGGGGGTCAGGGGTCAGGAACCCATTTGAGGAGGCAGTCTGCCCATTCTCAGATCTCCAGCTGCATGCTGGGAGAACCACTGCTCTCTTCAAAGCTGTCAGACAGGGACATTTAAGTCTGCGGAGGTTACTGCTGTCTTCTTGTTTGTCTGTGCCCTGCCCCCATAGGTGGAGCCTACAGAGGCAGGCAGGCCTCCTTGAGCTGTGGTGGGCTCCACCCAGTTCGAGCTTCCCGGCTGCTTTGTTTACCTAAGCAAGCCTGGGCAATGGTGGGTGCCCCTCCCCCAGCCTCACTGCCACCTTGCAGTTTGATCTCAGACTGCTGTGCTAGCAATCAGTGAGACTCCGTGGGCGTAGGATCCTCCAAGCCAGGTGCGGGATATAATCTCCTGGTGTGCCGTTTTTTAAGCCCGTCGGAAAAGCGCAGTGTTCAAGTGGGAGTGATCCGATTTTCCAGGTGCCATCTGTCACCCCTTTCTTTGACTAGGAAAGGGAACTCCCTGACCCCTTGCGCTTCCCGAGTGAGGCAATGCCTCGCCCTGCTTCAGCTTGCGCATGGTGTGCGCACCCACTGACCTGCACCCACTGTCTGGCACTCCCTAGTGAGATGAACCCGATACCTCAGACGGAAATGCAGAAATCACCTGTCTTCTGCATTGCTCACGCTGGGAGCTGTAGACCAGAGCTGTTCCTATTCGGCCATCTTCACATAAGATCATGTTTTTCTTTTATACCACATGGTCAGGCTGCAAATTTTCCAATCTTTTATGCTCTGCTTCCCTTTTAAATATAATTTCCAATTTTAGATAATTTATTTACTTAGGCATATTACCGTAGGCTATTAGAATCAGCCAGGTCATATCTTGAACATTTTGCTGCTTAGAAATTTCTTCTGCCAGATACCCTAAATCATTCTTTTCAAGCTCAAAATTCCACAGATCCCTAGACCAGGGCACATTGCTGCCAGTCTCTTTGCCAAAGCATAGCTGAGTGTCCTTTTCCCCAGTTTCCAATGAGTTTCTCATCTCCATCTGAGACTTCCTTAGCCTGGACTTTATTGTCCATATCACTATTAGCATTTTGGTCACAACAATTTAGCAAGTCACGAGGAAGTTCCAAACTTTCCCTCACCCTCCTGTCTTCTTCTGAGCCCTCCAAACTTTTTCAAATTCTTCCCATTACCCAGTTCCAAGTCATTTCCAAATTTTCAGGTATCTGGTTTTTTTAATTTTTCAAAAATTCAGTTTATTGAGAGAAGACATATATGGTAAAATGCACCCATTTGAAGTGTAGAGTTCAGTGAGTTTTGACAAACATAACCTCAAGCCACAATGAAAATACAGAATATTCTCATCATGCCCAGAAAGTTCCCTTGTACCCCTTGGTAGAGAGTCTTTCCCTCCACACCCAACCCCAGGCAACCACAGATTTGCTTTCCGTCCCTATGGATTCGTTAGCTTCTAGAATTGGAAATAAATGAAATCGTATGGCACATACTTCATTGTGTTTGGTCTCTTTTCCTGTTTTTTGAGATCCACAGACACTGCTGTGTGTATTAATAGTCATTCATTTTTACTGCTGTGTGGCATTCCACTGTTACAAACATACCAAATATCCATTTCATTCTTGATGGATGTCAGGATTATTTTCAGTTTATTGATATTATAAATAAAGTAGTAACAGTCTTTGCATGGACATAGGTTTTTGCTTATCTTGGGGAAATAAGAGTCGAATTGTTTGGTCACATGGAAGTGTTCATCTGCCTTTATAAGAATCTGCCAAACTGTTTTCCAAAATGATTGTACCATTTTACATTCCTTTTTTTTTTTTTGGCAGGGTCTCATTCTGTCCCCCACACTGGAGTGCAGGGGTCTGATCCCTGCCCACCGCAGCCTCCGCCTCCCAGGTTCAAGTGATCCTCCCAGGTTCCAGCGATTGTCCTGCCTTAGTCCCCTGAGCAGCTGGGACCACAGGCATTCACTACCATGTCTGGCTGACCTTTCCATTTGTAGCAGAGATGTGTTTCGCCGTGCCGGCCAGGCTGGCCTCAAACTCCTAACCTTAAGTGATCCACCTGCCTCGACCCCGCAAATTGCTGGGACCACAGGCGTGAGCCACTGCACCCTGCCCCATTTTACATTCCTATCAACATGTGAGCGTTTCAACTGCTCTGTATCCTTATCAACAATGAAGACTGTCTCTTTTTTATTTTAACCATTCCAGCAAGTATGTTCAGATAGCTCATTATGGGTGAATTTGCATGTTCCTGATGAATAATTATACCCTGTGTGTGCTTAATGCCCACCCATATACCTTCTGTGAGATGCGTGTTTAAATCTTTCACCCATTGTTTTACTGGGTTGCTTGTTTTCTTATTATTGAGTTCTAAGAGTTCTTTATATGCTCGATACAAGTCCTTTGTCCTATATATGTATTGTAAGTATTTTCAGAGGGTGTGGCTTGCCTTTTTATTTTCTTAACTGTCTTTCAAAGAAAGAGAGTCTTAAATTTTGATGAGATCCCACTTATCAACTTTTTCTTTTGTGGCTTGTGCTTTTTGTGTCCCAAGAAATTTTTGCAAATGTTCACTGTTTTTCCTGTGACTACTCTGTTGCCAGAGCCACCTGCAGATAAGACAATTCCTCCACCTTGAATTATCCCGGTACCTCTGTTGAAAATCAATTAACCAAAAGTGTGTGGGTTGCTTTCTGGGCTCCATTCCACCCCAATGGCCTGCGTGCCAGTCCTCTTACCAGCACCACATTCTCATCGCTGTAGCTGCACACAGTCTTAATATTGGGGTGAGTAACTTACACTGTTTTGGCTACTCTTACTCATTTGTATTTCCATATCGGTTTTAGATTCGGCTTCTCAATTTCTACAAAAAAATTCTGCTATAATTACAATAGATTGCACTGAAATTATCAATTAGTTTGGGGAGAACTGATGTAACACTCCACGAGCAAAGTCTACATCTGTTTTTATTTAGGTCTTATTATTTCAATGTGCATGTCCTACAAATATTTTCTTAAATTTATTCCTCCATATTTCAAGTTTTTATATGCTACTGAAATTCCTAATGAAATTGAATTTTTAAAATTTCATTTTCCAATTGTTTACTGCTAATACACAGAAATACAATTGGTCTTTGTATACTGACCTTGAATTCTTCAAACTTGCTAACTTTACTTATTAGTTCTAGTGGCTTCTCTGTGGGTTCCTTAGGATGTTTTATGGACACTCTAATGTTGTCTTCTCTATGGTTCCCTTGCTTCACCTCAATTCCTGGCCCACCTCAATTCCCAGTGACCCTGATACCCATTGTAAGGCAGGGAGGCAGCTGCTTTCTGTCATCTGTGCTGCAGTAGTTTGGGAAATGCCCTCAGTTGAAAAGCAGAAAACGTAAAAATGTCACGTGGTTCCCCCCTGTCTTTCAGGGGTAGATTTATCTTTGGTCTCTGCTTACCCTTTTGCCAGGCTTTCTGGGATCGCCACTGTGAACGTGTAGTTTAGTGGTCGGCCTGGGATTTGGGCAGTTCCTACTCAGATTCGGGCCTCACCTCTTGGTAGTTTTCTCGCTTCTGGGATTTTCGTATTAAATTTCCAGTATTCTTCAAGTTCCAGACTATCTCCTCTACCATCTTAGGAGAGTAAAGCCTATGTCTCACACCACTCTAGTGTGGAGATTATGAAAAACCCTTAGGCAAGAGAGCCACAGGCTCCCAGTTCAAACCCACTGCAGCTGCTGCTTTATAGGAGCAAACTCTCCTCCAGCTCTGGCCTGCTTTTGGACACTCTGAGGTCCCTTTAAATAATTTTCTGGGCCGGGGGCGGTGGTTCACGCCTGCAATCCCAGCACCTCGGGAGGCCAAGGCGGGCGGATCACGAGTTCAGGAGATCGAGACCATCCTGGCCAACACGGCGAAACCCTGTCTCCACTAAAAATACAAAAAATTAGCCGGGCGTGTTGGCGGGCACCTGCAGCCCCAGCCACTCGGGAGGCTGAGGCAGGAGAATGGCGTGAACCCGGGAGGCGGAGCCTGCAGCAAGCCGAGATGGTGCCACTGCACTCCAGCCTGGGCAACAGAGTGACTCCGTGTCAAAAAAATAATAATAATGATTTTCTGTCCAAATTTTATATTTATCTATGGGACAGTTTGTGCAACCATGGTTACCAGAAGTTACCAGAAGTTTTGGCTAAAGCCTTCTAAATATCTTGTTTCTTTCTCCTTTGCGGGAGTGTAGCTTGCTTCTTGAGTGACTGCAGCGAGCAGCTGCTTGCGTGCACTGGCTGCCTAGTGCAGCCACCCTGCTTCACCTTTAAGAGCAGGTCTGTGGGCTCCAGATACCAGCTGGCAACCGCATGGCCTGCTTCATGGTATGCCACGGTCTTCTCCTCAGGCTGCAGAACCTGCGTTTTCTTCTCTAAGCGACCAATCACTTGCTCAATTGCCTGTTCGAAGTGTTTCTGATTTATGGAATCTGACAGGTGTCTCGCAGCAATCTACGCAGCTTCATTACAGACATTAGCAACATCAGCACCTGAAAACCCTGGAGTTAAAGATGCCAGTTTTCTTGCCAATTTCTCCTTCTCCAGGGTACTGTCCAGTTTTAGTGGTCGGAGGTGAACTTTGAAAATAGAACCCCTTCCTTTTATGTCTGGTAGTCCAATAAAGATTTGCCTGTCGAAACGCCCCGGCCTAAGCAGCGCAGGGTCCAGGATATCCGGTTGATTGGTGCTGGCCAAAATGACGACATTTGTTGTTGTATTAAAACCATCCATCTCCACCAGCAGCTGGTTGAGTGTGTCCTCCTGCTCATTCTGCCCTCCAAAGTTGCCTTTTCCTGTCTTCCTTCCCACCACATTGGAAGAGGATGCAAGGGGCATTCTTCCGAGCAAGGGCAAATAAGTCTCCGACTCTAGCTGGGCCCACACCAACAAACATCTCCAGAAACTCGGATCCACTAACGGTGATGAAAGGGACATTGGCTTTTCCAGCTGTGGCCTTAGCTAGCAGCGTCTTCCCAGTGCCTGGAGGGCCAGTGAGAATGGCACCCTTTGGGATTTTTGCTCCTAGGTCTTGATACTGCTTTGGGTTTTTCAAGAAATTCACAAATTTCATGATCTCTAGCTTGGCCTTCTCACAGCCACATCTTTGAACTGCACATCAATTTCATCCTTTAAGACCTTGGTTTCTCTGACACTAAAGAGTTGGCCCATCCCTCGGCCTGTCCGGCCAATGCCAGCAGGCCCTCTTCTGATGGTGCAGAGCAAGAAGGCAATGATGAGCACCGCGGGCAGCATGCTCAGCAGGAAAGAGTCATCACTTTCAGCAATGTAGACAACAGGCACCCGATTTTCTCCTTCTATGCCCAATTCCTGCTGTAAAGTTTCCAGATTCCATTCAAAGGTGTCCACACTGCCAGTATTAAACCAAACGTGTTGCCCATCAACAGGAGTTCTTCCTGGTGTAAAGGTCACTCGAACAAAACGCTCGTTGACAACTTTCAGTCTGTCTACTACTCCTTTTGAAACATAGTTATTGACAAGTTCCTTCCAAGTGACTTCTCTCCCGGATCTCTTGAGCAGGAAGTAAAACATGACTCTACCCCAGAATAGAGCAGTCCAGACGAAGAACATCCTGAAATCCTTGTCGTCCCATGGAAAGTCACCCTTCTGGAACCTGGACCACCAGTGAGAATCATCTTTCTTGCCACCTCGTTTTCCACCGCCACCACCTCCTCCTTCAGAAGAGTGTGTGGTAGCAGCTGGCTTTGATTCTTTTTTCTGTCCCATAACTTCTTTAGGTTCATTAGCATTTTTCCCCCATTTTTTTCCATTAGGAAAGTATTTTTCAAATCCTTTTGGGGGTCGAGAACAGAATATTTGATAAGCAGCAATTACATCTGTCAAAAGAGAATTTCTGCTGGCCCTTGCTTGAGTTGTAATAAATCCATAAAGCGTCCGAAGGCAGGGCTGCTCGCCAGGGCCCATGCCTGCCATGCACGAAGAGCTGCTTTAGGCCGCGGGGCCCAGCAGCCGACCCGGCCCCACAGCTGCAAGCAGCAGCGAGCCATGGCCACCGCAGTGGCCCTCTTGGCCCGGGACGCTGCGCAGGCGCAAGCAGGCGACAACGGGCTGCCTCGGGAAGCGGGCTCCACTCCGGGAGAGGCTGCCAGGCAGCGAAGTGCGCCCGTGGCTCACTGCAGAGCGCAAGCTCTCAACCAGGTATCTTTATAGTAATATTCCACTTCTCTGGTACCAATTTTCTATATTTGTCTGTTCTTATATTGCTATAAAGAACTACCTAAGACTGGGTAATTTATAAAGAAAAAAGGTTTAATTGACTCACAGTTCTGCAGGCTGTACAGGAAGCATGACTGGGGAGCCCTCAGGAAACTTACATTCACTGGGGAAAGTGAAGGAGAAGCAAACACATCTTACATGGCGGGATCAGAAGAAAGAGTGAGAAGAAGGAGGGGACACACACTTTTAAACAACTAGAAGATATTGTGAGAACTCACTCATTATCATGAGAACAGCAAGTGGGGAAATGTGCCCCCTTGATCCCACCATGCCCCTCTTCCAACACTGGGGGTTACAATTCAACACGAGATTTGGGCAGGGACACAGACCCTAATCATATCATCATGGATATCACCTTTGAGAAAAACAAAGGTTAATCAAAAAACAATTCTTATCAGAGTATTTTTATTTGTGTTTTAAATAGTTGTCAGACAAATCTTCAGTTAGAAATCAGGCCAATTTTGACTTTTGGTTTTTTTCTAAGTTTAACTCCTATAAGTATGTATTAAATTAAAAATATCCAGACATCTTCAAAATTGCGTGATGGAAAGAAGTGATGCCTGAGTGGTTCACTCTTCATTTTATGGCCAGATTGAAGTTAAGGTTGTGAGTTATCAATGACTATGATCTTCCTTAGGAGAAAAAAAAATGTGGCTTGAGTGAAGCCTCTAATCTCAGTAGGCTAATAGCCTCCATCACTCTGTTCTTGGGTGACTCATGGCTTCAAATCCCTGAGTTCTTGCTTGAAAAACTTTGGGTTTCCCTTCTGCCCACCCATGGCTCAAATCATTTTATCTCCCCTCTCTGACACCTCCTTCAATGACTAATTTTAGAAAATATATTTAGCTTATTTTAAACAAAATCTTATTTTTATTGAATTGGAACTCTGAACTTAATTTGATAAATTGAACTTAATAGGGCATATAAATAGGATATCTAATATAAATGAAAATTCAACAAATATGCAGAGAGGTGATTCATTATTTGAAAAAAAAAACTGCTTCCAGCATGAGAAGGGTAAAGCCATGATATTCTTTAACTTGTCTGTTTCTTTAACTCATTTATCACGTCCAAAAACAGAAAAAGGGTTTTTTTCTATTACAGTTAATATTGTGTTTATCAATAAAGAATTCAAAATAAATATCCTACATGCTTTGGATGTCTTCTAGGCAATCACTAATTGCAGCTAACACAGAAAAGATGTCATGTGTTTTGGTGACATTGTTGTATTTGATAAAAGATTTTTCTTCATTTTCTGCAGCTCCTAAGCCCATGACCGTTCTGTCTCCTTACCCTAGTTCCTCATTATGACAGGCAGAACAAGTAGGACACTGTGCAGGGAATGGAAAGGACACTGGGTGGTTGTAAAAGGTTGTCTCCACTCCCCTCTGTGTTTGAAAAAACTGAACATTAAGTGCTGCATTTAAATGCACACACACAGTTATACTGTTTGAAACAGGTTAAAAATGTGGTGTGCTTTGTGATGACTTCCTCCAGAGTTTCTCAGAAGTACATTAATATGCCAATGTACTCTCATTTTTCTATGTATACCAATTATAAGATAAAGTGTTAAAATAATTCTGAAAAATGTAACTGTAATCAATTAGAATAATTAGAATAAAAGACCCTGGTGACCCCATCCTTCTGAAAACTTCAAAATCTGTAGAAAATATACAAAAAATACACCCAGTTTTAGCAAAAATTACTAAATCCTCATAGAAATTTCCATTGATCTTGGACTTCCAAGCCTGTAGAACTGCTCAGAGATACTTTCTTTTCTTCTCTTCCTTTTAAAGAGCTTCATGGTGTGAGTGGAGTGTCTGAGGAGTAGCACCTCCCAGCTTCTGCCTGGGCACTCACCTGAGCTGAGGTGCTCACTTGAGCAGAGGTGCAGCTTCGGCCACCATGGGAAAACCAGCCCTCCCTGGGAAGCACCTCTCTCCCAGCCTTGCCTAGTGGGGGCCTGGGCCATCCTGCAGGGCAGGTGCTGCTGCCTCCCCTGCAGGTCTGCAGCTCTGTATTCAGGGCTCACGGCTGGAAGCGGAGCCTTTATGCTATGCCCTGGGTGGCACGGGAGGGCAAACAGGCTCCAGGGCTGTGCACAACAGCGCAGCTAGGTGGTCCCTGCCTGGTTTCCTGGCCTCTGTAAACAGACCCCAGAGGGGACCCTCCTCAGCCTCAGTCACACCTCTGAGAAATGCTGGGGACTGGCATCTCTGCCGAGAGGACCAGGTTGTCTACCAAAGGCCCAGCTAGCCCATCCCTCCCTGCACAGCAGGCTTATGCCTGGCCTGGAGGCCTGGCACATACAGCAGCAAAGGGCAAACAGAGCAGCCGGTAGGATCGCCAGCAAAGGCAAGGGTAGACCCAGTGGCAGAAGCCTCCTTGGTCAGCGGCAGGCAAGGTTCTCCCTCCCTTCCCTAGAGTGGCCAGCTGCCCTCACAGAACTAGACCTCCCTTAATCATCCCCCCAGGGTGGCGGCTGCCTGGGGACCCGGTCCCCAGCAAGGGCCCCTGATCTTGGCTGCCTTCCTCTCGCTGCTGCACAGAGCCTGCATCCTCCTCCTCCTCGGATCCTCCTTACCCTCCTCCTCTACCTCCTCCTCCTCCTTGTGCTCCTCCTTCTTCTCCTCACCCTCCTCCTCCTCATTCTCATTTCCTTCTTGCCCTCCCCCTCCTCCTCTTCCTCTCACTCCTCCTCCTTCTGATCTTCTCCTCCTCCCCCTCCCCCTCCTCCTCCTGCTCCTCCTCCCCTCCTCCTCCTCCCTCATCCTCCTCCCTCTTCCTCCTCCCCCTTCCCTTCCTCCGTCTCCTCTTCCTCCCCCTCCTCCTCCTTCCCCCGTCCCTCCTCCTGCTTCCCCTCTCTCTCCTCCTCCCACTCCTTCTCCTGCTTCCCCTCCTCCTCCTCCACTTTTCCTTGCCCTCCTCGTCCTTGTTCTTGCATTTGCTCTTCTCCTTCACAGCCTTTCCTTCCTCTTTGCCTTTTTCTTGGGCTGGTCCTTGGAGGGAATTTGCCTTTCTAATCTTCCTTGCTGCTCTCCTTGGGGTCTGCCTCCTCCAGCCCCAGCCTTGAGGTCTGAGCAGCTTCTGTCTGAAGGCCAGGAGGTAGGACTGGGTTGCAGGGGCTGCTGGGCAGGGCCCTCTTCCTCCTATCACATCAGAGATGTTGTCTGGCACGGGAAACATCCACCCTCCGCTGTGTGTCCCACGCTTCTCTCTCAAAGTTGGGTTCATTCATGAAGAAGGACAGCATTTAGCAGCGGTGGGCCCCTCAGGGTCGCTGACAAAGATGCCTGCTCCTTCTTCCCTCCTCGGGTCTGAGAGAGGGGCCCTCGGCAGGGGCCTGGGCCTGCCCCGCTTCTGAGAGCGCCTGGGAGCCCAGGTGCAGCCCTGGTGGGAGCTTCCCGCTCCTCGGCCTCTAGGCCTTTGTGGAGGACATGTGGTCTCTGGCTCTGCCCACTGCTGGGTAGCCCGGACAGCGCCTTTTGAGGGACCTGCCACCTCCCCTGTTCGTCCTCCCTGGAAAGAGTGATGTTTTGACTGGGGTTGGGGACCGAGGGTGGCAGGGGCTTCCTGTGGTGCTGGGCTCTGAGGCCCATGTCGTCCTGGAGAACTGCCAGGGTTTCTGGGGGTGTGGCTCTCGCCCAGGGCCTCCCCAGATTGTGGCTGTTCCGCTGTGGCCTTGGCTTCCACTATCTTTGTGTCCCTGGGGGTGGGTGTGTGGCCGTTTCTGCCAGGAATATGGAGTCCAGGTGGGTGCTGGGAACCAAGTCCTCCACATTCTGGACTTTTGCTGAGGCTTCTGCAGCCGGGGCCAGCTCTGGAGGTGAAGGGGCTGCATTGGCCGCGTGATGTCCCAGACAGCCTGGAGGTGACGCTGCGCGGTGGGGCGGGGTGACCAGACGGGCCCCAGCGGCATGTGGGAGCCGGCAGGGTCTCCGACCCTGGGATGTTGAGGACGAAGAGGACGGTGGCGGACGGGGGACAGGCTGATGGGGCATTGAGGGGCCGCTGTGGGGGCGGGCGGGGTGAGGGGGTCTGGAGCTCCGGGTGGACACTGCGCTCAGAAGCGTCACTGGCTCCTGGGAGGCCAAGGACCGGCTTTGCCTGTTGGCCGCCAGCGGGGACGCGGAGCTGCGGCTGGGAGCCCCCACGTGGAGGAAAGTGCAATGCTTCTGGTCCTCAGTCTCCTGCTGCACCACCGCTCCTCCAGCGTGGAGTCCACCTCCAACTGCTTTTTCTCCCTCTGAAGCTGCAAAAATGGAATATTGAAAAATTCGTGAAGGTGCTTTAGGCCCGAGCTGTTCTTCCTGGAAGACTCGGCGGAGGGGAACAGGAGGAGCGGCCTCAGCAGGATGACTCCCACTGGCTCCTGTCCCGCAGTCCCCAGGACGCACACCTGCGCGTGGGCAGCACTTTCTGAAGCCCCAGAGAATGCACTTGAAGGCGCACTGCTTGGTGATGGGGATCACCTGGCCAGCCGGTGGCAGTTCTTGGGCACGTCCAGGAACTTGCATCCAGGTCCATTTTGGACTCCGCCTCCTTGGGTTGTTCTCCACCTGCAAGCCCCGGTCTGGCTGTTTGCATTTTCCACCCTCCACTACCTCCGAGACTTCAACTCTCACGACGTCTTCAGTGGTGGGGTGGTTCCCGTAGATGCTGTGGCCTGGATCCCTGCGTGGGGATATCCACCTCCACCAAATGCTTGCCCTGCGGACCGTGCCTCAGCGCGGTGGGGCGGGTGGCCCCGTCTCCCGGATAGCCATCTTCATGTTTTCACGCCACGGCGAAGCGCCTCCGTGGCCTCAGCTCCTGGCCTGCAGCACGCAGGGGATGTTCTTGTCCCCGCCGGGGCCTGCTCCGACCCCACCAGCTTCTTCAGGGCGGGAACCATCTTTCTACTGGGACGTCCGAGCCCGGTGGCGGCCGGGAAGCTCAGCGGCAGCGGCGGAGCAGCTCGACTCGCACTGTGTCCCCGCGGGACAGGCCTCCCGCTAGGCCCGGGACCCACGGCGCCACGCGGCCTCCAGCCAGGGCTCCCGACCTCAGCGCAGCTCCGCCATGTCCTGCGGCCTCCGGAGCCGCCGCCTCCAGCCCTCGGCGCCGCCACCTGGGAGCCGGCTGCGCAGGGCGCCAGCGAAAATCGCATTTCTGCTTAGAAGCCACCCAGTTCACGGTGTTGTGTTATGGCGGCCTGAACGGACTGAAGCACATAGTGACTATGTCTGTGCTCGCTTTTAAATTTACTTTTATCTTTTTAAAATTTTTATTAGTTTTCCCGGAAATCTTGATGTTTTACATAGCCTCAAATTCCTTCTTGGCAAAGTTATACTTGCTAAATATTTAGTAGTTTCAGCAACTGTCTGAAAAGACACAATTATGCTGCTAAAAAAACAAGGAAGAAAGAAGAGACAGCAACAGACAGAGTTTGAGAATTTGAATTTTCTATACACACAGATTAAATTTTGCAAATAATGTTTCTCTTCTTTTCTGTTGAAGTAAAAACACCCAAACTTTCCTGTATATATTTGTACAACTGAAATCCCCCCTGGACTGTCACCCTTGCCCTAACTAAAAAATCAGTTATATTCTAGAAAATGAGAAAGAAAATATAATGAAGATAAAAACATGTATTAAACATGGTTATCTGAACGGACTGAAGCACATAGTGACTATGTCTGTGCTCACTTTTAAATTTACTTTTATCTTTTTAAAATTTTTATTCGTTTTCCCCGGAATCTTGATGTTTTACATAGCCTCAAATTCCTTCTTGGCAAAGTTATACTTGCTAAATATTTAGTAGTTTCAGCAATTGTCTGAAAAGACACAATTATGCTGCTAAAAAAACAATGAAGAAAGAAGAGACAGAGCAAGAGACAGAGTTTGAGAATTTGAATTTTCTATACACATAGATTAAATTTTCCAAATAATGTTTCTCTTCTTCTTTTCTGTTGAAGTAAAAACACTCAAACTTTCCTGTATATATTTGTACAACTGAAATCCCCCCTAGACTGTCACCCTTGCCCTAACTAAAAAATCAGCTATATTCTAGAAAATGAGAAAGAAAATATAATGAAGATAAAAACATGTATTAAACAAAAATGCAGTGATAAAATCGTGAGTTTCAAAATACCCTGTGAGCTTTGTTTGTTAAGTCCAGGGAAAGAGTAACAAAGATAGGCATTAGGTGTGCAGGTCATTTACATGTGTTTATGTGGCCATGTCTACCATTTTCTCTTTAACTTTTCATAACGTGGAACTCATTTCTTTAGGTAGAAGTTATGAGTTAACTATCTTGGTAGTGTTTAAAGAACAAGCATTCTTTAAAAGTCCATTCTTTTTCTTCATTTTTGAATATGCATAGCATTACAGAAAAATTGGAAAGTAAACCAGAAAAATACCCATAATCTCACCATTCCAATACAATGCTGTCTGTGCTTTTTCAAAAAAAAGGGACCTCAATTTCTAAACTTAGAGAAAAATCTCTAGCTTTTGAATTTTTTTATATTCTGAATTTTTGATGAAGAGTTATGAATTTTTGATGAAGAAGTATTTGTTTACTGCCTCTAGCATTGTATTTTAAAAGAGACCGGTCAAAATTTGATTTTAAAACAAAGGATTAAGAACTCTTCCATTTGTGCTTATTTTACATCTATCAGGTGAGAGTAAAATCACTGATTTAAAGACCTCTGAGTTTTCACAACACAAGGAAAAATAAATAGACACCACCCTTACTGTTTTGTACATTCCACTGAAATATAAGTTCCTTGTGGACAGGGGTTTTCATCTGTTTTATTTGCTGCTGTATCCCAGTACCTGGCACCTAGTGCCACGTAGGAAGTACTCAAGTACTTGTTGACTGAGCTAATTAAAATAGTTTCACCATAGCAGAATTGCCTTTATTCTGTGGGGGCGACCCATGTAAGTTTATCTTTTATGTCAAAAATGCCATTTTAATGCATTTATGAACATCTTCAAATTGCATCATAGGTTTTGTTAATTTTTTTAACTAGAGTACTTCAGACATATTTTGCCTGCTGACTCAATGGTGTCATTATGAATATTACTATAATTTTTAGGTGGGCCAGTGAAGCTTGTGTTAATTACCATGAACTGTTGTTTTGATGACTTGGAATAGATTAGGATGAATGTTGTAAAGGTTTTTCTATTTCTGCTGGAATCTTCTGTCATTCTACTCATCATCATCTAGGTAATGGTCTAAGGCTGGCACCATTTCTCTTATCAAGTAACGCAAATGGACTTTTTGGCAGATAGTTGTTGTTTAACAACTTTTGTTTTTAGTTTCAGAGACTATGTTCTGGAATGTTGAGATTTCTTCATACATGACCTCTAGAGAAATAGGCATATTATAAAATGAGTTACACTGTGTAACTGAGGGCATGTGCTGATGGCAAAATTATTATCTTCAAGAATTTTTTTTTTAGTGTTCTGCATTTGCCCACACTGTTAGAAATGGAATGTTAGAGAATATTTATTATTTTGTTGCTATCAAAGCAAAATTTGCAGAAACTTGAATTTATTGTAATTACTGTATTAACTCTGAAATGCATGGCTATGTTTTAAGGGAGGTTTTTGCCTTCCATATTGTTCTCGTTCTACTTTTTCTTTTACTCAGAAGGACTTAATCTCTAAACATTAGAAAATGTTTTATACAGAGACAGGTCTCACTGACTACAATTAGAATTATAAGAATCTCTTCATTTGTATTAGTTGATAAAAGTATTTTTTCCTGTTTTTAGATAACAGTCCTCCAAAATTTATATTACTATTATCAATTCACTTCTTAAGATAAGCACAATGAAGTAGTGCCTCTGGGTGTTAGGATTATGTAGTTTTAACATTTACATTGATTATCTGTATTTTCTACTAAAAAAAAAAGCCTATACGATTTAATCAATATGTTACCAATAGATAACAAAAGTATAGAATACTGTTTCTGCTCCTTTAATAGCGAGACTTTACTCTAATTTCATGGTGGTTCTAAGGTAGTAGTAAGATGCAAAAAAGAGGTGCAGATGTGACAAGAAAAGTGAGCAAAAAGTAATAATGAACCCACTTAAGAAATTACATGTCTGTATAAGTATTAAAGATAAAGCTTAGGCAGGGCGTGGTGGCTCAGGCCTGTAATCCCAGCACTTTGGGAGGCCAAGGAGAGTGGATCACTCGAGGTCAGGAGTTCAAGACCAGCCTGGCGCCAACATGGTGAAACCCCGTGTTGAATAAAAATACAAAAATTAGCCAGGAATGGTGGGGCGCGCCTGTAATCCCAGCTACTTGGGAGGCTGAGGCAGGAGAATCACTTGAACCCGGGAGGTGGAGGTTGCAGTGAGCCGAGAGCTCCCCATTGCACTCCAGCCTGGGCGACAAGAGGGAAACTATGTCTCAAAATAAATAAATACATAAATAAGAAGAAATAAAAAGGTTAAGGATCTGACACAGAAATGCACACATTTTCTTCTCAACTATCAAAAGCAGGAGGAAAATTTTTAAACTTCCCAGAGATGAGTTTTCTAAGTTTTATTTTCCAAACTTCACTCTTATTAACCTTTAAAACAACACTGGTAGATCATTTCTGAAGTGAAGTTTTAAAATATTCCCTTCACTGTCTGAAAGCAAAATATAACCCTTAGTTTTATCAATTTGTAATTTTTAGTTAAAGAAACAACTTGATAATGGGGACTAAGGGAAATAAAGTTTCTCTGCGGGAGTCCCTGCTGAATGCCGCCCTGAGCTAGCGGGCGACGCTGCGCTTCCCCGCTGGAGGGCGCCATCATCCCATCCACAGAGAGCTCAGCAGGCCACGTGCCGCGGCCTGCTGCGAACCCGCAGGGACTGCTCCCTGGCTGGCGGCACCCTTATTGTTCAATAAAGACCTGGTTCAGAGACAAAGGTGGCCCTGTCAGTAGCTCTGAATAGCCCCAAGCTAGTTGCTGATCCTAACAGGCCCAATTAACTGCTACTCATTTAGCAAAGCGGCCCGGGACCCATCCCGCTTCCCGCTCCACCTTCTGAAACTCTCCCTGCCTGGGTACCTTGGCTATGGGCTTTGCAGTCTCCCTTTAGCGGATCAAAGGTGTGTGGGAAAGAATGACGGCTGGATCCGCCTCCACAGGTCCTTACACAGACGCACACATCACAGCCAGACCCAAAGCACTCATGGTGGTGAGCGAGAGCCCGAGGTGGAATTCCAGGGCCGGTCTCAGAACAACGCCTTGATTGCCGTGATTCGAAGAGCTATCTCAAAACATTTCGCTTCAGTGAAGTGCCTGAGAAGAAACACTCGTCACAACTCACTCTGCTGCTGACACTGGATGTACTCACCTTAGGTCCTCCCACTGCCAGGCTGCCTGGCCTCGGGAACACGCTGACACACACAAGAATACACACTGGAGCTGGCTTCCTTCCTCCTCACAACTAAGTATATTCCTGTTCTAGAAGTCCCCCAGGATCATGTTAGACAATGTGGGAAACAGACGGGCAGAAACAGAAAGGGAAGAAAGAGAACCCAATGTCCCCATGCAACAATTAGACTTTGGTGATGGAATTTTCTCATATTATAGAAGGTGCCTTGTCAACATCATGGGTAGTGACAATATAATATTCTATACTGTTCTCATTCATTTCCCATTCTCTAATACCTGTGGCCACTTGGTTTTTTAATTTTTTGTCATTATGAGCATTATTGTACATAAAAATTTCCCCATATTTTTGGGTAATTTACTTATTTTTCCTTTTTTTTGTTTTTTTTTTTTTTGGAGACGGTGTTTTGCTCTTGTTGCCCAAGCTGTATGTAGTGCAGTAGTGCGATCTCAGCTCACTGCAACTTCTGCCTCCCGGGTTCAAGCGATTCTTCTGCCTCAGCCTCCCAAGTAGCTGGGATTACATGCATGCACCACCACGCCCTGCTAACTGTATAGTTTTAGTAGAGACGGGGTTTCTCCATGTTGGTCAGGCTGGTCTCGAACTCCTGACCTCAGGTGATCCACCTGCCTCAGTCTCCCAAAGGGCTGGGATGACAGGCATGAGCCATTTTTGGGTAATTTTCTTAGAATTTATTTTGAAAGCAAAATTAAGTCAAATTTCAGCCTAATCAAAACTAGGTAAAAAGATGCTAGGTCAAGGGATATTGATACATGTTGCTAAATTGTTTTCCAACAGAATTGGAACATCTTTTTTTTCTGCCCAGCAATCATTGACACCAGTTTATCAGATATCCACCAGCAATGTGTTATCCTTTTTTGGAAATATTTATACAATTTTATGTTAGACTATTACTGTAATTAAACTTTCCCACGTGCTTGTTAACAGTATGTGGAAATTTTCCATGTGTTTCATCAACTTGCCGTGTCCATAACAATTTTTCTAATTGATTGCCTGATTGCTTTATATAGCATAAATATTTCCTGTTGTTTCATTCAATTTTGATTTTTTGTAGATACATCTATTTTTTCATTTTTAGGTAGTTAAATATATCAGTTTTTTAATTTATTCTATTTATTAACCTTGGTTATTTGTTATTTTTATGTATTTTACTTTTCAAATTTATTTGGAATCCAGCTTCTGAAGGTACAAATTATTTTCTGTATACCAAAGCAATGAACATTTCATGTGTCATTTTAGTAAAATGTTTTATTTCCTTTTGGATATATACTACGAATAGGATTGCTATATCAGATGGTAGTTCTGTATCAAGTTCTTTGAGAAATCTCCAAACTGTTTTCCACAGTGGCTGAACTACTTTGCATTCCCACCAACAGTGTATAAGTGTTCCCTTTTCTCCCCAGCCTCACCAGCGTCTATTGTTTCTTGGCTTTTGCATAGTAGCCATTCTGACTAGTGTGAGATGGTATTTCATTGTAGTTTTGATTTGCATTTCTTTGATCAGTGATGTTGAGCATTTTTTCATGTGTTTGTTGGCCGCTTGTATGTCATCTTTTGAAAAGTGCCTGTTTCTGTCTTTTGTCCACTTTTTAATTGGCTTATTTGGTTTTTGCTTGTTGAATGAAGTTCCTTATAGATTCTGGATATTAGACCTCTGTTGGATGCATAGTTTGTGAATATGTTCTCCCATTCTGTATGTTGTCTGTTTGCTCTGTTGATAGTTTCTTTTGCTGTGCAGATGCTCTTCAGGTTAAGCAGGTCCCACTTGTCAATATACATTTTCATTGCAATTGCTTTTGAGGACTTACTCATAAATTCTTTCCCAAGGCCAATGTCCAGAATGATGTTTCCTAGGTTTTCTTCTAGGATTCTTATAGTTTGAGATCTTACATTTAAATCTTAAATCCATCTTGAGTTAATTTTTGTATATGATGAAAGGCAGGGGTCTAGTTTCATTCTTCTGCATAGAGCTAGCCAGCTATCCCAGCAACATTTATTGAATAAGTAGTCCTTTCCCCATTGCTTATTTTTGTTGACTTTGTCAAGGACCAGATGGCTGTAGGTGTGCAGCTTTATTTCTTGGTTCTCTGTTCCACTGGGCTATGTTGTTTTGTTTTGTTTTGTTTTTTACCAGCACCATGCTCTTTTGATATAGTTTGAAGCCAGGTAATATGATACTGATACCTCCAGCTTTGTTCTTTTTGCTTAGGATTGCTTTGGCTATTTGGGCTTTTTTTTGGTTCCATATGAATTTTAGGATATCAACTTGGGTTACATCAGTGGTGGATTGGATAAAGAATATGTGGTACATATGCACCGTGGAATACTACACGCAGCCAAAAGAAATAGTGAAGTCATGTCCTTTGTAGCAATATGGATGCAACTAGAGGCCATTATCCTAAGCCAATTAACACAGGCACAGAAAACCAAATACTGCATGTTCTTACTTATGAAAGGAAGCTAAATACTGAGTACTAATGGACACAAAGATGGCAACAATAGATACTGGAGACTAATAGAGGGAGGAGGGCTGGAGTGGGGGAAGGATTGAAAAACTAACCTGGGTACTATCCTCACTATCTGGGTGATGGAATCGTTAATATCCTAAACTTCAGTGTCAGGTGATCTACCCATGTAACAAACCTGCACATGTACTCCCTGAATCTAAAAGAAAAGTTGAAATTGTTTTAAAAAATTGTTGAAAGAAAAAAAAATAATAAGTATGAAGAACATTTCTTAACAGTATTTTGTAGTCCATCTCTTCCCCACTGATGTGGATGACTTTCTTCAAGTATCTTAAGTTTTATGTAACTATAATCTACGTCTGAATGATATGTCCTCTTCTTTTTTCTTTTGTTCTCCAGCAACTTTTCTTGGTCAAAGAATGCAGAAGGATATATGGTGTCTGTGGTTTAATTAACAGGATTGTTTGTAAAACAACTTTACATTTATCTTATTTTTAAAATTCTTGCTTTTGAATAGCTGATGTATTAGAATAGACACTCTCCTATCCCATGCAAAAAGCTGTTAAAAAATGAGCAGCTTGCAAATCTATCATAAATGAGACATTGAATAAAGCATTCTTACAGTGAGGGCTAAGGAGCAGTTCAGTCTAGAATTTGCTTCAGATACTTTTTGAAATAAAATATTCAAGGCATAAAAAAGCAAAACTCGAAATATCTAAAACAGATACCTACTGATATTTTTACCCTAGTCTCTTCCCACAGTTTTTATGTGTCTCTGTGCTCCACTGATTCAAACAAACAACAAGAGCAGTAGGCATCTTCTAACTAAAAGTTAATTTACTAGTCTTCAACTAAAAAGTCACAGTGGAAGAACATATGTAAGGTGAAGAAAGCTTTTTAACCTTTCAGACTTAAATAATACTGTATTTCAACTTTAAAGAAAGGCTCCACTATATATTTTCTGCATTGACATTTTAAAATATATGAACAAGTCTTTGTGGTACAATATATACTTCAATATATCCAATATACCTTATATGAATTAAAAACATGTCAACTTGATAACTGTAGTAAGGCATTTAAGTATTCAGAGGAGCCATAAAGAAATTTCTTAATGAGTGCTGTCCTTTTAATATTAACTGGATTTAGTAGGTTTCCTTAAAATGAACAGGAAACAGGCCGGGCGCGGTGGCTCACGCCTGTAATCCCAGCACTTTGGGAGGCCTTTGGCAAATTAGACCCCACCCCATCTGAGACTTCACCTCCTGCAACTCTGCCGTCCACCACCCTTACTCTAGCCACATTACTGCCAAGCATAATCTTACCATAGGGCCTTTGAACGGGCTATGCCTCCACCAGAACCACTTTTCCCGTTTATCTGATCACTCCTTCACCTTCAAGTCTTGATCAAATGACAGCTTCACAGTGACAACTTTCCAGTCCATCGTAATACAGATTATGCTTCCCCTCTACTCAGCCCCACCCCTTGATATCTGCTTTATTTTCCTTTATATGACTTATCACTTTCTAACTTTTTAAATATTTCAGATATTTGTGATGTTTGTTGTTTGTTGGCTCCCCCTAAAATGTATGATCCAAGAATGCTGGGATTGCTGCTTGTTCTGTTTCCTGCTGTATCCCAAGCACACATTAAATCTCTTTGGTGTAAGACTCAATGACTTAAATACTTTTCAATTTTATCTCTTGACTTGGTTTGATCATCCATATTTTTTTCATTCAAAAGGAAA
Source organism: Homo sapiens (assembly GCF_000001405.40). Taxonomy (NCBI): domain Eukaryota; kingdom Metazoa; phylum Chordata; class Mammalia; order Primates; family Hominidae; genus Homo; species Homo sapiens. Next base: position 43,285,805 of record NC_000008.11, read on the forward strand.
ACACTTCTATAATGTCACTATTGATACTTTTTTCATGAATAAATTTGTTTTCAAACAGTTTTACTGTACTTTATTTTCTATCTTGTGAATGTTTGAACAACACTTTCAATTCTTTATTCAGCGTTTTGGAGATTTGGTGTTTACAAATGTTGTTTTTACTTCTGAAATTAATTTTATTGCCAAAATATATTTTATCAACCTCAAGAAGTAATTGTTGATTATTCCTATGGAGAATTTGCCAGGTGAATAATATTTCTCCCATGATCTTTTCTCACTTTCCTCCCTTATTTAATTGAAATTATCTTGAACTAGCAGACCCATTTTTAAATTTTATAATTATGAATATCAATATACATGTCTTCTTAAATCATGTTTAATTAGCTTTGTTTTGGAAAGCGTTTATGACTATAACCATTGATCTACATATAATTACATGTTTATATGGTTCCAATGCTTGTCACAAACCTTTCTACTACTTGTTTTATTCCTGCTTCTTTGAAATTCATCATAGTTTTTTATGTAATTCTCAAAGGTACATTTTTTTAAAGGAAAACTATGGGAGATAAGTTTATTTAATTCCTTGCTCCTATAATCTTATCAATGGAACAATAACTTTGCTAGGCATGCAGTTATTAGGTAACAATGTTTCCTTTCTCTGGCCTCTTTTTGTGTGCCAATTCTGAGTTCTGGAGATATGGTTCCCTCCTCTCCTAGTATTCAATGCATGGAGGGTATCCCTGCCTTCCCTTCTTCTAGTAGATAATTTTTGATAGTGGTAATCTTTGTGATTGTTGTTTTTCTATCTAGAAGTTTGCATTATTTCTTCTTCTCCTTCGTCAACTCCTCCTTTTTCTTCTTTTTTTTCCAAAACTCAACTTCTTAATAATTTGTACTAGTACCAAAAAGCTTCTTTACTTTAAGGTATGAGAGATTTCCTTACGTTTAACTCACTTTTCCACATACATATTTCTGATTGTTGCTTCTGCCCTTTTTCATTCTTGCCTCTTTTTTTATTTAACTTATCTTGTTTGTTCTTTCATTCTTTATCCTGAAATATTTCTTCATATACTGATGATGTATTTATATCCTGATCTTTCCCTTATTAAAGTCCATAATTTTTACCTTAATCTTTGTTTCTAATTTCATACATATCCTTTTATATTTCTACCTTCATCTAATCTATCTCCTTGTGTTATCTTCTTGTCTTTTATTTCTCATATATTAGGACTCTTATTTGCAAGTGACAGAAACTGAAGCTGCACTGAGCCGAGCATACAGGAGCTTAATGGTTTATAATCCTAAAACATTATAATAGCGTGTGGAGTACCAATGCAATAACACATCAATTACACCATGAACACACCATTAAAAATGAGAATTTGTAGGACACTCAAGAGACATATAAAATGCTACCCTACTAGAGAAAAATGTGATAATATTAAATATAGGCTAAAAAAGATTCCTACTGTCAAAAAAGTTGGTTATTTTACATCTATCCCAAGTTTAAGTCTGGTCATAATTACCCAAAAATAAATTTAACAAACAGGTCCCAGAGTTCACCTAATGAATAAAAATGGCTTAGCGGAGTTTTGGTTAAAAACCCTGTAGAAGTTGCATTTCAAACATCCACTAAATCACAGATGTTACTGAATTATTGGGCCACCCATTGAAATACCTAGCAGATGATATGGTCCATAAGCATCCCAGACATTTAAGAAGTATAGTGAACCAAACTCTCAATCAACAGAAGACTAATCACCCGGCCAATTAATTTGTGTAGGCTAAGGCTAAACTTACATCAAGCTCCAATACTGTGTATTCTGTGAAGATCAATAGAGAAAGATCTTCTTCCCTTCTTGTCCTCACCCTACTCTGGACCTCTGGGTTCCCAATCCCCTGAAGGCAAATATCCATTATTATTGTGGCTCAATTTGTACTTTGACAAATATTGACATCTATTTCAAAGAGACTGCAAAGAAATCTGGTGTTCCTCTGAGTTTTGTTTTCATCTTGCCTTTCTCAAGCATAAATTAAGATATTATGTTAAATGTTTGTTTTTGTAGCCTAATTACACTGAATACACTGTCGTCGATAGTGTTTACATACTGCAAGCTACTTAACATATTATATATAGTAGGAAAGATGTGTTTAAATATGTTTGCATGGCTTAAACTTGTATATCTCAAAAATAGTCTTGAATTGTTATCAAGCATTGCCATTAGTATGCTTTTTTCAGTTCTAATCAAAATATATCATTTTATTATGCTTTCCAGTTTTACTCTAGAAAATGTTGAACTGTAACTGCACATTCAAGTCTAATGTACTGCTTCAAAAGCAATTTGAGCGATCTTTTATCTATAAATATTATAATTTGGTGATGGTGTATGTGGAACAGAAAATGCTTGTTCAGGATGTGGCAAATACAGCCACCTGCCTGGGACAGTTCACGGAGGCAGGAAGACTCCAGGCTGGAGGGGAAATTAGGGGATGCTTCCGAGGGCAGGAGGCAGACATAAAGAAAAATCGTGGAGGTGATGTGGGAGCATAATTCATGGCTTTGGGTGCCAGGAAAGGAGGTGAAAATCCTAGGAAAATCCAAGTAGGGTGAATGAGATTGCAGCAAATCCATAACACTATTGAAAGGGGAATCCCCTGTTCTCTAGAGTTTAAAGGCCCTTGTTTATTCACTGAGAGTTGTCAGGCTAATTATGGGCTCTGGTTTTCTGCTCCTTGAGGGAAGTGGCCTCTTGACTCATAATACTAACAATAAACAACTCCACTTTGTAGGGCTTGAGTTGAGTTACGGTTTTTATTTTAGAGAAATGGAATTTTTCCCCTAATACTCAGACCCAGACCTGTCACAGATTTCGGTGGTTTCACAGAGACTCCTCCAAGTCTACGGCACTCTTGGTCGCTTTGCTTTATGGCAACAACATGCCCTCCATCTACTTGATTTTCTTTCACTTGGTTTGGTGAAATAGAAACGTGATGCTGAGGCCTGTGTTAGTTGAGAGTTATGTTCTTGGAGTGGCAAGACTCAGGGTCCAGGGCATCTGCTCTTGGAGTAGCTCCCTTGTGACCCGGATATTTGCCGCTAGGCGATCTTTCCAGGTCAGCATCTCACGTGCAGGAGACACTCGTCCGTTCGATGCCTCTGACCGCACCGTCCTTGCTTCTAGTCTCACCTGGACACCAGGAGCTGCCTCTTGCTATCAGCACTCAAAGCAGATGCAGCCGTTTGGTGCCTGTGCAAGGTTGCAAGTGTGTGGTTGGATGGGAGGCTTCTCCTCGACCCCCTGGTCCCATGTCTCATGCATAGAAGAGGAAAGTCAGGGCCAGAGGTCACCTGGCCCGTTGAAGGTCCTTACTCCAGGAGCAGATCCTCAATGGGAGTCCAGATTTCAGGTGCACAAGGCGTGCGGTCTTTCGGCAGCTCACGCCACCATGCACGTGGTGTGTTTCTGCTCCATGCTTCTCCTACGGAGGCCATTCCACCGCCATGGCGTAACCAGGGAGGTGGGCGAGGCCAGGGCCAGTTCCTCACAGTCGGGGGAACTAAGGGACCTGACTCCAGCAGGTCCTGGATTACCTTGATGCATCCCAGGGGGAGAGGTTGTGTTCTGAAGATTGGAGGAGTGTTTGATTTATTTACATGGGATTTGTTGCAATACATGTTGTGAATAAATTTTCTTTATAACTGTTTCAGTATAAGTAGATACTGATTATCTATAAGAAAATTCTACAATCCTTTCAAAAGTACTAAGTAAAATAAGAAGTAGAAAGTGTTATCTCGGCCGGGCGCAGTGGCTCACGCCTGTAATCCCAGCACTTTGGGAGGCCGAGGCGGGCGGATCACGAGGTCAAGAGATGGAGACCGTCCTGGCTGACATGGTGAAATCCCGTCTTTATTAAAAATACAAAAATTAGCCAGGCGTGTTGGTGCATGCCTGTAGTCCCAGCTACTGCAGAGGCTGAGGCAGGAGAATCGCTTGAACCTGGGAGGCGGAGGGTTGCAGTGAGCCGAGATTGGGCCACTGCACTCCAGCTGGTGACAGAGAATGACTCTGTCTCAAACAAACAAACAAACAAACAAACAAAAAACCAAAAAAGTGTTATCTCTTGAAATTTTTAACTCTGAAAATCCACCCTCTGCACATCTTACATAGAACAAGACAGGCAGCCACAATGTGCCATATGTGTTGATATAATACCGCTTAATGCCAGCACGTGTAAGATCTGTGTCCCTTCTCTGTGTTCCAATGAGCAGACAAAGCTTCAAAACATTAGAAATGTAGAAAGAACTTAAACTTATTGCAACTTACTCTTTATTCCCACTGCTAATCACACTTTGTCATCTGATTTTTATGTAATTTTTCTTCCAGGTGGCCTTTAGCTTGAAACTCAATTGTATAGAAATAAAGTATATTATTTTATATAAGATATGCCTTTAAATTGATATTACATGTTCATGTTACATTCAATAGGGAGCGACTTTATTCTTGGCACAAACAGTCCCTGAAAACATTAAGCTCACTGTTGACCTCAATCGTGGTCATTGTTTTCTTGTGTGTATTTGTTGCACAATGACTTTAAATATAATGTCTGAAAAATCACAGCATGGGGCTGTGAATACTGGTTGCCCTGTATAGCTGGAGATTTATAGCTCCTGTCAGTCTCCCAGGGATCTCTGAGATGGATTTAAGGTGTGAGTGGTCTCCACACTTTCTGGGCGGCTTTCTCTTCTCTACCCAGTGAAACCGACTGCTGTGATGAGCTGGGGTTGGAGCTGTGGCTGGGGCTGTCAAGATACTCTTGTTACTATGATCAATCACAGCCAGGTCCATGAAGCAGTTGCTAGTTGAGCTCAGCAATGGGATTAGCCCCTTTTTTCAAGTACTTATTTAGTTTTATAAATTTTAGTTGACAAAAATATATATTTAAGGTGTACAATATGATGTTTTGAAATAAGAATACTTTGTGGAATAGCTAAATCAAGCTAATTAACATATGCATTACCTCACATTTTTTGTCGTGAGAACAATGAAATCTACTCTTAGCAATTTTCGAGAATATGATACATTGCTATTACCTGTAGCCACCGTGAAGTGCAATAGAGCTCTTAAACTTGCTCCTCCTCCTTGTCTGAAATTTTGTACCTTTTGTCCAACCTCTCTCAATTCTGTCCCTCAGCCCCATCCTCCGCAGCCTCCCTTCCACTCTCTACTCCCATAAGTTTGAGTGTCTTCAGGTAGGTGAGATCTTAGGGTGCTCGGCTTCATGCATCTGGCTTATGTCACTTAATACCATGCATTCAGGGTTCAGCCCTGCTGCCAGAGACAGCAGGGTTTGCTTCTTGTTTAAGGATGAACATCGCTGCTGTGTTCATGTTCCACCCCATTATCTGTGTGTCAGCTGATGGATGCTTAGGGTGATTCCATGTCGTGTTTGTTTCTGTGAACGATCTCATTGATGCCTCATGCATGCCACCTGAGTCCCGCATGTCTGGTGCTCTCTGCCTCTGAAATCCCTGGCCAGCATCCGGGCACGGGGGCCTGCAGGGCAGATCCCAGCCCCACTGCCTCCAGAGTCTCCACACTGAGCACCTTGCAGCCTGCCCTCCTGGCACAGCTGCCTCCAGGAGGAGCCGCTATGGGAACGTTTTTGTTCTCAGTAATTTAAGGTGCTTGCTGAGAGCCTGATGAGAAGGAATTTGTAGCATAGGAAGCCTCTGGTGAAATTTCTCCTTGGCATTATTGGGACCAAATCCCCATAGTGTCACATTGAAGTCAACGCAACAAATGTGAACTGAAATGTCGCAGTGTACCCGATCCTGTGGCCCCCGAGTGCCCTGTCGCTGATGGTCCGGTGTTCTGGGTGCGGACCAAGGAGGAGCCGGTGGCAAAGGCGCCTCAGGCAGGCCCTGGGCTCCATGGGCGGCTTGTGCTCCGCGATTTTGAGGCCATTTGCAGCAGCTCCGCCAGCCCACCGCTCTGAGCTGCAGCCGCTGCCAGCCACAACAGCACCACCACGAGTGTCTTGGGGGCTTTCTTCAGAGGAGGCTGTCAGCGTCCTCAAGTTCCAGGCGCTCTAGCCTGCTACAACAGGCTTTTTCCCACCTGCGGCCTCTCCTCAATGGCCTAAAAGCTTGGCCAACTCCCACAAAGTTTGGCAGTAACACAGGCTGTCACTGACATTTGTGGCGCCAGGACTTGCCCACGCGGGTTGCAAACGTCAGCCACTGTCTGTGTCACGTGCAGTGACGCCGCCCGAGGTGCGCACGGTGCGCACACCGCACGCGCACGCCCACGTAACGGCTTGGCTGGGCACCCCCGCTTGGCTTGGTGGTCCTGGTTTGGATTGGCTTTACCCTGGCATTCCTTTGCTGGGCTTGACCTTTTCTTGCTGGGCTTGGCATTCCCCTGGCTGGGCTGGGTGTTTCCCCGGTGGGGCGTGCACTTTCCCTGGGTGGTGGAGGGGGCGTGGGCTCTCCCCGGGTGGTGGGGGGACGTGGGATCTCCCCAGTTGGTGGTGGGGGAGGGGTCGTGGGCTCTCCCAGGGTGGGGTTTTGGCTGGGATTGACCTTTCTCCCCTAACAGATTGGAAACTCGTAATTTCCCGCTTTTTGGTGAAACTCGTTGACAGACACCATCTGCTCGCTACTACCAGGCTGTTGAAAGCAGATGGTGGCTGAGGTTTCTCCAAAGCTGGCTGCCTCCCCTATGAAGAAGCCCTTTGGCTTCAGGGGCAAGATGGGCAAGTGGTGCTGCTGCTGCTTCCCCTGCTGCAGGGGAAGCGGCAAGAACAACATGGGTGCTTGGAGAGACCACGACGACAGCGCCTTCACGGAGCCAAGGTATCACGTCCGTCGAGAAGATCTGGGCAAGCTCCACAGAGCTGCCTGGTGGGGTGAAGTCCCCAGAGCGGATCTCATCGTCATGCTCAGGGGCCCTGGCATTAACAAAAGGGACAAGAAGAAGAGGTAACCGGGCCTGGGGCTGGGAGGAGGCGGGACCTTGGGGGATGGGGTTGGACGTGCCCTCGTGTGTGTGTGTGTGTTTGTGGGGGGCGCCCTGGCTTTCTTGCCTCCTCAGGTCCCACGCCACCCGGTGTGTGGATACTTCAGAGAGCTCGGGGCACAGGCCTCTTTATGAGCAGCAACACAAAAACAAAACTTTAGTTGATTTCCAATCCCATAATAATTTCCCTTATGGAACACTTAAGAGACTGTTTTAAAGTGATTTAACTCTCAAAATTAAGTCGATGCAGCAGATTATTTTTAATGTACACATTTTAAAACAATGTTATATACATTATAGAAAGGAGTATAATGAGAACTAAGTCCCATAATATATCAAATTCTGAGATTAAATATTCTTCAGATAAAATCCAATATGCATTTTATATCAATGTACCCCTATGTAAATATGTTCTTTACTGAGGAACCTTAGAAGGAAACTGAAATGGGAAGATAGTTCGTGTCCTTGAATAGGAAGATTTATTTTTCTTAAGATGTGAGCTCTTTTGTGTTTATCACTTTTACCCAAGCCAAATAAAAATAGTAAAGTTTTAACATTTTAAAATTACACATGCTGTCTTTTACTATTGTGATAAATGTTTGTGACAGAATGGAAAAAGACTTGCTCTTCCAGATATCAAAATGTTCATGTGCTATTTCCACAAATTGTTTACTAACAGCTCAAAAGACATAAATAAATAGAACAGAATACAAAATCCAGAAATACCCAAATATATGAATTTAGAACTTGATAGTGGTGATGTTTCATAGTAGTATAAAAAGATGAATTATTCATAAATGAAATGCATGCTGTTTGGAGAAAACTAGCTAGATTTTTTATGTCACAAAAATAAGTTCCTGGGGTATACATTAAAAATTTTAAATATACAAATTAAGAAAAGTGCCAGAAGGAAACACAAATGTCTATTTTTATATGCAGATATATTTTATGTTCACAGAGACCTAAGAACCTCAAAAACAAGTATTCTGAAGGGTGGTTTGGCAAAATAAAAATTAAAACACCCTGTAAATAAGAAAAAAATTAACAAAGGACAAAACACTTGCAAAACATGTATTTTCATTTTACAGAGAATTCTTTCAAATCAACAAGAAGACAACTAAATAAAACAAGCTCAATTTAAAATTGGGCAAAGTACTTTTTTGCATGTCTACCAATGACCTATGCACATAGGAGAACATAGTGTTCCTGATAAGAGAAGGAATTTAAATTAGAAGAGAAATGAAATACTCTTTTCTATCTAAGTTAGAAGAGGAATGAAATTCTGTTTCTATCCACAAAGTTTGTGAGGATGAAGAACAGTGGTACTTATACAGCTTCTTAAGGTTTAAGTTGCTGTGAGTTTTCAAATAGACATTTTGGTGGTAAGAACCACATTTTAAAAATGTATATGCCTTTTACCCATCAATTCCATTATACTGAAATATCTTTTGGAAATAGATACATCTGCTTTTCTTAGTATTACTTAAATAGCAGTGTATTGAGAAGAACTCATGTAAAGATTTTATGAACAAATTTCAGTCCATCCATATGATGGAATAATATGTAACCATTGAGGGTGTCAATAGATACAGAGATAAGTTGACATGCAAAGATGTACTTAGGTATATATCAAGTGAGAAAAAAATCAGTTATACGCAAACAGAATCTGCTCTTGTGTTAGCTGAAAATATGTCAAAAATATGATAAAACTTATTTCTGGGGATTTGTATTGTAAGTGAAGTTTTTCCCTTTATCTTATCTGCGATTTCTGCGATGAACGTCTGAAAAGTTTTAGTTAAGTTTCACTAGTAATGAAATAATCCTTGGGAAGAGAAGGAGTATGCTATTTGCATAAATACAACTAATTTCTCACATTCTAGTATTTATTTTTCTTTCTGTGGATGCGTATCTTCTGTGAATTTTTTTTTTTTTCGACACGGAGTCTCACTCTGTCACCTAGGCTGGAGTGGGGTGGTGCGATCTTGGCTCACTGCAACCTCTGCCTCCTGGGTTCAAGTGGTTATCCTGCCTCAGCCTCCTGAGTAGCTGGGATTACAGGCACGTGCCACTACGCCATGCTAATTTTTGTATTTTTAGTAGAGATGGGGTTTCACCATGGTGGTCAGGCTGGTCTCGAACTACTGACCTCTTGATCTGCCTGCCTCGGCTTCCCAAAGTGCTGAGATTACAGGGGTGAGCCACCATGCCTGGCCTCTTCTGTGAACTTTCATTCTTTTCAGAAGTAGAGGGAATCTGTTTACCTGTTACTGTAGATTTTATTGTGTATATATTTTATTATATAATTATCTTTTCATTGTATATAGATTAACATGTGTAAGAAGTATGGATTAATTATTTTAGTTATATATGAAAATTAAAATAGCAAATATAAATGATTATTACTATTGTGAATGTATTGCTGTACTATACAGGAGTTTTCTTTGAAAATATTGAATTCTTCAGCTGTGTTTATCAATTCTTTCAATCGATTTATTCATCAAACATAAGCCAGACACCTATTATGTGGCAGGCATATTCTACTATCTCTTAGGATCCTTCTATCTTTGAAAATTTCATGTTTCCCTGCCAGGCCTGAGCAAACTGAGAGATTTAAAATTGGACTATTAGGACTTAATCTCAATTGACGCTTTTCCTCTCTCCTTTCAGAAAAAAGCGTTTCGGAAGGTAGAAAATAATAAAACGTAAACTTTAACTGCCTTTTTGAAAATTTATAACAGTCACGGGTAAAGACTAGTTTAGGACTTTTAAGAACTAAAACATGATACTTAAACAGCGTGGAATATTATGCAGCCATAGAAAAAGAACAAGAGCATGTCCTTTGCCAGTGACTTGGATGGAGCTGCAGGCCATTATTCTTAGCAAACTAACCCAGGAATAGAAAACCAAATACTGCATGTTCTCACTTACAGGTGGGAGCTAAATGGTAAGAATGCACAGACACGTAGAGGGGAGCAACACACACTGGGGCCTATCAGAGGGTGGAGGATGGGAGGAAGGAAAGAAGCAGGAAATAAAACTAATGGGTACTGGGCTTAATACCTGTGTGATGAAATAACCTGTACAACTAATGCCCTTGGCACACGTCTGCCTATGTAACAAACCTGCACACCCTGCAGATGTACCCCTGAATATAAAAGTTGAAAAAAAATTCCACAAATAGTTTCATAAATCCATTTTAAAAAATAAAATTTATAACAATCTTAAATCCTAATATTAATGATTGTAAATATCTGATTTACATACATTCTACAAATCTAAGTATTGAAAAAAATTAGCTACACCTATTCATTTGAATTCCATGTTTTCTTTGGCTTAAAGATTTTTGAACACCAAAGTAAGAATTAGTTTATTTTAGAAATTTGTTTTTGTTTTCACCTCAGCCCTCTTAATGTGTAGTTCTTTTAAGAACTAAAATTCATCTAAATGTCAGTCATCTGACCAGAACTGCCCCAGACCTGTTATAGATACCATATTCTACTTAATGTAAGGCACCATAGATTTTATGATGCCCCATTATTTTATGTCACAAGAAGAGAGTTATTTAAATGCTGCCAATTATAGTAAATTGTGAATTATAAGCGGTATTCCAGTGTAAGAAATGTGAAAACATGGAGACAATGAACATCTTAGAATCAATAAAATACAATGTTATCTGTAATCTTTAAGACATATCTCAAAGTGTAGGTGTAATTGTATCATGTCACTTATTTCAAATAGTCTTCATTAAGTAGTAGTATTAATACAAATTATAATATCTGACAATTATTGAGCTGTTATTTGTGTTAGGAACTATTCTACATATTTTGTGTAGAGTCTCATTTAAGCATTATAGTGGTTTTCTGTGAGAAAGCTATTTTTTGCATCCCCATTTTATTGATGACGAAATTGAGACACAAAAAGACTAAGCAACAGCTAGGAAGTGACAGAGCTTAAAACAGTTTTCCAGCTCAAGTTGAATGGAATCCAAGGGCTGCGCTCTTTCTGTTCTGATACTCTGCTCTTTCATTAACACAGTGAGAATAAGAGGTAATAAATAGTGTGCTTTCTTCACAGGAATATTAAATATTTGTTTTGAAGGCTGGGATAGCATGCTATTCAGCATTTGCAATTACATGAGTCATTGGTATGGCTTTAGATAGTGCATTACAATTTCCTAAAAAAGTCTCTCACTCTCTTAGGACTGCTCTACACTTGGCCTGTGCCAATGGCAATTCAGAAGTAGTAAGTCTTCTGCTGGACAGACAATGTCAACTTCATGTCTTTGACAGCAAAAAGAGGACAGCTCTGATAAAGGTATGCAGTAGCCAACTATATCAGCATGAGGTAGATTTAAGATAATTAAAAAAATGAGTTTTCTCATGTAAATATAACTTGGTGAAATCTGTGGAATGTTTATTTTGAATTCCTAGGATTTACAATTGATTTCTTGGTCTAATACTGACAGGCCGTACAATGCCAGGAGGATGAATGTGCGTTAATGTTGCTACAACATGGCACTGATCCAAATCTTCCAGATATGTATGGGAATACTGCTCTACACTATGCAGTCTACAATGAAGATAAATTAATGGCCAAAACACTGCTTTTATACGGTGCTGACATTGAATCAAAAAACAAGGTACAGATCTACCAATTTTATTTTCAAAATACTGAAATACATTTGTTTTAACATCGACTTGTGTAAGGGTCAGTTTGCCATATTTGGAAGCTCAAGCATAACCTGAATGAAAATATTTTGAAATGACTTAATTATCTAAGATTTAATTTTAAATATTGTTACTTTTAAAGAGGCATCAGCAGGTACAGCTTTTTTTATGCACTTGTGGTAAAATTTTTTTGAAAACACTGAATTTGTAAAAGGTAATACTTATTTTTTTTCAATTTTTCCCTTCCAGGTTTTCTTTTCCCTAATCAATGTAAAATGACAAAATTTGCCCTGGAAGCAAGTTTTTCATTAAAACTCCAAGAAAACTAAAACATGTTTCAGTGAATAGAAATCTTGCTGCTTTGGCAAGTTCCTAAAAAAAAAAAAGTAATAGATATGAAGCGATGTATCTTTTAGTGGCAAGGCTTAAGATATTTCTGATTCCTTATAAGGCAGAAATAGAAAATGAAAAGGAGAGCAATCAGAAATATCGAGGCCAATTTGGAAATTAGGTAATGGAGGAAAAAGACCATGAAGAGATTCTGTGTGTGTGTGCTTTTTTTTGTTGTTTGTTCATTTCTTTCCTTTGCGTGGTGAAACAAGGTTCTCTTCAGTTTTAGAGAATGACAGTTTTTTAGTTTGGGAGAGGGAGTTAGTGGGTTGTAAACTGCCTAGAGATTAATTTTAGGAGCCCTCTGAGGAAGCAGATTGGCAGTGAATAGGTGGTATGTAATGGGAAACCCTTGAGCAGAGGGAATATCAGGGAATTATTTGACTTATTATCCTATTCTGGTAGAAATGGCCACTTAGATAGAGTCTAAACTCTGCTTTCAAATCTAGAATGTCTTGATGGGAAGGTGGGAGATAAAGAGCTTATAAGTAATAAGATCAAGTTGGATTTTGAGTTTACTAGGCCCTGTTCTAACCCCATCCAGGAAAATTAAGTGGTGTTTTCAGCAAATGAGTCTCTCACTCTTTCCTTTTTTTTGGCCAAAAGCTCAAATGATAAAGGGAATTGGCCATGTGGGTGAGAGATGAGACTGAAGTAATTGTCTGTTGCACTAGTTTTCAACTAGAAGTGTGCATCTCAGTAACTTGAGGAACATTTTAAAATAATCTACAAGCCTAGACCCTCTCCTGAAGATTTTGATACAGTAAGTCTAATAAAGCCTGGATATGTCCATTTAAAAATGTTTCCTTGAAGGCAGGCATGCTGGTTATGGATGCCTTCCTCCCAGCTGCTAGAGAGGCTGAGGTGGGAGGATTGATTGAGCTCAAGAGTTTGAATCTAGCCTGGACAACATAATGAGACCATGTCTGTAACAACAATGACAGCAACAACAACAACAACAACAACAACAACAAATTCCTTAAAATGCAGATACACTTCTGCTTAAGAACCACTGAATAGATAAGTGTAATATGTAAATTCTCATATCTCAGAAACTTAAGACATCTCTAGAAGAGTTGGAGTTGGATATGCGCAATTTCCTTTAAATCTTTCCTTTCCAATAATATTAGTTTGACTTTCTCTTTCTTTCTTTCTTTCTTTCTTCTTTCTTTCTTTTTTTCTTTCTTTCTTTCTTTCTTTCTTTCTTTCTTTCTTTCTTTCTTTCTTTCTTTCTTTCTTTCTTCTTTCTTCTTTCTTTCTTCTTTCTTTCTTTCTTTTTTTCTTTCTCTCTCTCTTTCTCTTTCTCTCTTTCTTTCTTTCTTTCTTTCTTTCTTTCTTTCTTTCTTTCTTTCTTTCTTTCTTTCTTTCTTTCTTTCTTTCTGACTGGGTCTCACATTGTTTCCCAGGCTGGAGCACAGTGGTGCAATCACAGCTCACTGCAGGCTTGACCTCCCCAAGTACAGGTGGTCCTCCCACCTCCAGTTTGTATTTTATTTATTTATTTATTTTTTTAGTAGAGATGGGTTTTTTGCCATGTTTCCCAGGCTGGTCTTGAATTCCTGTGGTCAAGCGATTCAGCTGCCTCAGTGTCCCAAAATGCTAGGATTACAGTTGTGAGCCACCATGCCTAGCCTAGTCTGACTTTCTTCTCTGTGGTTGGGACATTAAAATGAATATTATTGGTAGTATCTATCAGCTTACAGAATAATACCTTTTCCTTCCTACCATCAGTTATTCACTGCCATTCAGAAGGTCTTTAGAAATTTGCAGTGAGTATTCTTTCAATAAGTAGAGGCTGGCCCTCTCAGGATTTTGTGTCTCTTTGTTATTCAAGTGCTTAAGTCAGTAAGTCATTACTAAGAGCAGAGTTTTCTCAATTAAAATTGTAGCAAATTCCAAACCATTTTTGTCAATTAAAGCCATATTATGGACTATCCAGTATGTCTCTTAAGTTTGTAGAACTTTGGCATAATCAGGATGGTAGTATTAAACACTAAAAACCATGCAGTTATTAAGAATACACATGGGAATTCTGTTAATTTAGTTTCAGCAGTCCTATGAACTGATTATTTAGTTAACAATCAGGAAAATTAAATATAAATAGATTTCAAATGAATAAATATGGGAAAAATTCTTGAAATGGGCAGTATGAGCCTTAATAGCAATTTTTTACTGCACATTGGAGCTTGATTTTTTGGGTAAAACATCTGAAACTGAAGAAATATTTTACATGCAAATTCTTGCTTTATACACAACAATTTGTCACAGGGTTTGAGGATATAGGGATAAAAGATACAGACCCTGCCCTCAAGAAGATTTTTGTTTAGATAGGAAAAATTATTATCATCCAATAATACCATGTCACAAATGCTGGGATAGAGTCAAAGATTCTTGAAACCAGTAAATGTTTAAAGTGAGTTTTCAAGATGACCAGGGTTAATGTGGTGAGGCAGAGGAGGGGTGTTTCCAAGGGAAGAGCAGTGTGTGGGAAAGCACGGAAGAGTGAGAAGGAAACAACTACATTTTATTTACTTTCTATGAGTATAAGTCCATAGGATCTTTATATAAAGTTTCCAATTCAGTTGAGAAATATATAATTTTTTCAGTTACATATTATTTTTGGTTTCTATTGTTTTACAGGGTGGCCTCACACCACTTTTGCTTGCTGTACATGGACAAAAACAGCGAATGGTGAAATTTTTAATCAAGAAAAAAGCTAATTTAAATGCACTTGATAGGTTTGGAAGGTATAGTTATTTCTTTTAATCTCTGTGTTGTTCTAGATTGATAGCAGTCACTCAAGTCATAAATATTAAATTAATAATACTAACTTATACTTATTGGGACATAGTTATCAGTAGCAACACAAATCAGTTAAGTAGAAAAAAACAGTTATTTAGACTGGGCAACATAAAGAACAGTTTTAGTAGGACTCATTTTATTATTTTGACTGATGTTATTTGTTATGTGATGTTATTGGTTGTATGTTCTTATGTTAGCTAAAGGGATTTCATATTAGTTTTAGAAAGTGTGAACTTTAACTTTCAGTTATGACTCAGTCTTGAACTTCTTAACCCTTTCTAGTAGTTTTTAACCTCTGCTTCTTATATGGTTTTCCACTAAATATGCTATATTAAACATAAATAGGAGTTGCAAATCATTTTGTCTTTTGAATAACTCTGCTTTAAGTTGCTTTCTTTAAAGAATATTAATGTTAGCTTATCCCTACTTGACAATCAATTGCTATTCCCACATACTGTGGGTTCATCAGATTTTTCCCTTTTTATTTCCAGTGTATTTTGATGTTTTTATTTTTAATTAGTATGGAGAGAGGGAGCGAAGATAGTCTTAAGTGGATACACTTTTCCTTTCATGAAGGCAAGCCATAGGTGGGTGATAAAGAGAAAAGAGCTAGGCTTTAGAGTCACACAAGACTGGGTTTAATTCCTAGCTTTCTTACTTGCTAGGTGTGTGACATTGTGAATGTTATTTACCACCAAATATGTTGTCATGTATGAAAAGGAGGAGAATATATCCTTCAAAGTTAGCTGTGCATAGTAAGAAAGATATATATATATATATATCTTTATATATATCTTTTTATAGCATTTAATTCAGGGCCTAGCACATGCTTATTGGTATTCATTAACTGAAACCACTATGACCACTATTCTTACCATTTGTTATTACTGCTTTCAGCATGCAGATAGCTCTTATTTATCTGATCCCTAGCTGATTTTCTATTACAGTGTATCAGTCTAGGGACCTGGGAAGAAAACTTCACTTAAATCTTTGTCTACTTCAGATAAGCAGCCCTAGCATAGTTTCTTGCCCATCAAAGGCCTTTAAATTAGTAGCTGCTACTATGCAATACCCCACTGAGATAAGAGGTTTCCTTTTTGTCCCTTCCTTTTAACCTTGATGGTACTTTATAAAGATGAACCCTTGAGCACCCAAGATGCTTATGTCTTTTAGTACATGTAAATGTTTAATTCTGCATGGACGGGCAAGATATTAAATTGGCAAAGTATATTGAATTAGCTTTTAAAATCACTTGAAGTTCCTAAGGGAGAAATTATCTCTATATTATTTTAGAACTGCCCTCATACTTGCTGTACGTTGTGGATCAGCAAGTATAGTTAGTCTTCTACTTCAGCAAAATATTGATGTATTTTCTCAAGATGTATTTGGACAAACTGCTGAAGATTATGCAGTTTCTAGTCATCATAGTATGTAAGTGTTTACATTAAAAGTCTAGTTAAAACTACATTGAGGTTTAAAATAATTATAATGATTGCATCTTATATATCAGGTGAGATGTGATAGATTGATTCAGGTAGTTTTAGAGTGGCTATGATTTAGTCCACTGCATCAGCTAGAAATGAAACAAAAAACTAGACTAGTTAGAAGTACCAATGGGTGCAGGATTCTTTATCTCGGGACTTTTAAGACCTTTATCCTTAGAGATTCCAACATTGTTCATTTCATTCCATGTATAACACCTATGCATGGGATAAAAAATAGTGCCATATCTTTAATTTTTCTAGTTAGTTATTTGGGTCTTGAAATGTTCAGTTTAGGAGAAAGTCTTGTACTGTCTTCTGGGGACTGTCTCCTATATACTCCCTGAATTTTTTGAGAACCAAAGGGATTCACTAAGTCCAAGGAAGACAGTCCTTTTTTTCAAGTCATAAGGAGGAGAAAAAAAGGACATTTTAATCATTCTTTTGTTTCTGTTGATTCTGTTGCTGCATCGTTGCCACTGAAACTGGTCCTGCTGCCTGGTAATGGTTGGCCTTTGACATCAAGATGCGCTTACTGATTCAAATCCCTCAAGTCTTCATGGTGATCCATACATGGACTTCAAAGTTATAAAATTTTTTACATTCACATACCTATGCCTATGTGTTCAGCCATTGTTCCCAAAGCACCAGCACCCTGCTCTGGCAGCTTAGCATCCTGGCTTTATCCACACACAAAGTGAGCAAATTGACCCTTCCACCCACATTCAAAACCTGATGTGGAACCCACATGTTATCCTACACTTAACTGAGACTGTCATGGTAAGAGATCCTTTGAGTCCCATGTTGGTCTTTTCTCTAGCAGATATTAGCTGGGCTTGTTCTAAACTGTCAGAGAGGTTCAAATAATGTGGCAGAAAGAGGTCAGTGTTTGTTTATTCTTCTTTGCTACCATATCTGTACCCTGAGGCACATTTATATTGTGTATAGTACCTTAGGCAGTAGAAAGTCCCATATTAACCTTCCCCAGAGCAGTGAGCACCCAGTTATAGTTGACCCCTTGAATGATCCATTTTCCATAATAATGAGAATCTCCCAAGCTACTTGCATCTCTTCCTCAAGATTTAAAAATATTTTCAAATTCTACCTCACTGGAAGATATTGAAGAGATTTCTCAGGATCTCAAGTAGGTTAGTTGGACTTAGAGCCAAACCTTGTCAATGACTCATCACTGTCCATGTGTAAAAGTAGAGCTTTGTGCTTGCTTAGGCAGCACATATCCTAAAATTGGAACAATACAAAGAAAATTAGCATGGTGCCTGCATAAGGAGGCTGAACCAATTTTTGAAGGATTCCAAGTTTTGTGCAGTCACTGGAAGGTCATTTGACTATTTTCTGACTAGCTCCAAGGAAATGGTGTGAATCAAAGCAAAATGGGTGCCACCTAAATATTGAAATTGTGATTTTTTGCTACAAAAATATTCATGTAAGGTGGTCTAAGAGATGACCCCAGAGCTGAATAATGTGTGGGGTGTTGTGTGAAAAATATATTGCCAGCATGTGACTTGAAAATTCAAGAAGGTCAACTTACAACTTCTTCATGGAACCTAAAAAAAAAAAAAAAAAAGTAGGGTTTTAGTCTCCCATGTCAGCTGGAGATGAGCAGGGAGATGAAGCATCATCCTAACAAACATCTGCTGGTTTAGAGTTTGAGTCTGTAGAGAAGGATCATTGGTCCAAGCCAGGTGTTGACATCCAGTGGATTTTCTGCCCTTGTTGTGATTGGTAAACTCCGTAATAGTGGGCAATCATGTTTTCTACTTTAATGAGATATTTATGAATAAATTTAGTTACAAACTATGAAATAGTTGAGATTCCTTGAATTATAAGCCATAAAGAGTAGGACAACTAATAAGGAAAATTAGGACTTAACATTTCCTGAAAATTACAACATTTGCATATTAGGGCCTATGAACAAAATATACATTGGGTTTTATTTGGGATTCTGAGATAATTTCAGTATAAAGTTTAGGAATAGATTATTTCATTGCTTTACTATTTTTCTGAGCATTTAGAAAATGTTATATTGTTAAGTCTTTGTAACAACCTAGTGAAATAACAACCTAGTGAAATAAGGCAGCAAAGTCCCCACTTTGTAGAAATAACAACCTAGTGAAATAAAGCAGCAAAGTCCTCACTTTGTAGAAGAAGACATTGAGCCTAAGAGAAGTAACTTGTCCAAGAACAAGTTGAGCACTTAGGCATAGGTATGGATCAGCTGTTCATTATGGAGCTAGGCCTTATGCAGAGTTGGGACACTTTCTATTGTGTCAAGCTAATGCAAGTTAGTTTATTGAGTCATAATGCCCTTGATTTATGAGTATTTCACCTTACTTTTTTCTTCTTTAATTAGAAGCTTAATGAGAGGTTTGTAGAATGTACACAGAACTGTATGGGATAATATTGTTAAGTTCTGATATTCTGATACTGTTTGAAATACTCAAAGAATTTTTGCATTTGGTAAGCATTTTTATATCAGTATTAAAATAGTAATTTTATTTATTACATTTTTATACATAGAATTTGCCAATTACTTTCTGACTACAAAGAAAACCAGATGCCAAACAACTCTTCTGGAAATAGCAATCCAGGTAAGACTTCTGATAGTGAATTACTTTAGGTCAGTTGTCCCCAACCTTTTCGCCTTCTTGGCAGCAGGGACCAGTTTTGTGGAAGACAATTTTTGCATGGACTAGGTGAAGGTGTGGATGGTTTCAGAATTATTCAAGCACATTACATTTATTATGCTACTTTATTTATATTATTATTACCTTATAATATATAATGAAATAATTATACAACTTACCATAATGTAGAATCAGTGGAAACTCTGAGCTTGTTTTCCTGCAACTAGATGTCCCATCTGGGGGCAAAGGGAGACAGTGACAGATCATCAGGCATTACATTCTGATAAGAAGCACACAACCTAGATCCCTCACATGGGCAGTTCACAACAGGGTTCATGCTCCAATGAGTATCTAATGCAACCACTGATCTGACAGGAGGTGGAGAGCAGGCAGTAATATGAGTCATGGGGTGTGGCTGTAAATAGAGATGAAGCTTCCCTGGCTTGCTTGCTTCTCACCTTCTACTCTGTGGCATGGTTCCTAACAAGCCATGGACTGGTACCAGTCCATGGCCTGGGAGTTGTGGATGCTTGATCTGGGTGGTCCTATCACAGATAAAAAGGTAAAAGTAAGGAAGTTTTGATCACAAAAGAAGAGCGAAGCACAGGTTATGTTTCATATGCTTGTACCAACAAAGTCTCACTATTACTGACTTCATTCCTCCTAATTTGAAATTGAAAGAGATAGATTTACTTTGTTGGAACAAGATGTATTCTTCTACCTGCTGGTTAATTGTCATGATAAACAGTAATTTTGTTAGAACAAGATGCTTTGCTGCCAGTCGCCAAAAGATTGTCATAATAAATACACAAATTGCCCAATTCTAGGCTCAGCAGATTATAATAAAAGTACAAAAATGTTTCACAGTAAGAAAAATGCTAGTATGCTACCTGGATGTGGACACCTAACGCATCGTACAATCCAGACTCTATAAGGACATCTTTAATTTAGCCCTATGTTTATCAAAGAGCTTCTGTAAGTTAGATTGTGTACATTGCAAGAGACAAAGATGGAATAGATGTAGTTCTGATCTTTAAGGTGCTCATAATAGAATACAGCTGCCTCTATTTCATTTCTCTGCCTTTTCAACAGAATTTACAAAGAAAATATTTTTATGTTTTCACTTGTCCACTTAACAAATAACTATAAAATGTCTTTTAGGTACTAAGCATTTTTCTAATGCTAGAGAACAGAAACAATTAAAAATACAGACAGGAGTTTGTCATTATCATTGTCATTTTTATTATGTTCCTACCTTATTCAGTGCTTACTGTGTGCTAGATGCCCACTGGAAGTTTATAATTATGATTTATTGTATATTATATTGATTATGTGCCAGACATACGTGATGAGGAATGAAAGCTTTAAAAAAAAGTAGGTAGGATTTAAGGTAAGCATGCAGAGTGAGTAGAATTTTTCTACGTAAAGAAGTAGAAGAATGATGTTTGGCAGAAGGAACATGTAATGAGATTGCCTGTTGGGAGGAAGAGCAGCAAGTGCAAAAGACAAGATGCTTAAGCGAACTTTGTAGGGTTTATGAGCAGTTCACTTTTGCTAGTACAACTAGTGTGAGATAAGAGAGGTTGGGAATGAGGTGAATATTTAGCTAAGGCAAGTTTATGATAGACTTTTTAATACTGTTGAAATGAGTAGGTCTTATTCTGGGGACCACGGGAAATTTACCTTCGATATCTTCCAGTGAGGTATTTGCTTTGGACTGCAAATACTAGATGAGCAGTGGCTAAAACAGTAGGAACCAGAGTTGTTTTGGTTGTTCAGTGATATACTAGGTTCCCCTTGTCCCTCTTTCAGCTGTGCTTCATGTCTCCTTTCATGGTTGGCTAATCCACAACAGTTCCAAACATCTTGTTCTCACAACACAACATCACAAGGGCTGCTTTTCTTCACACATGTCTTTTAAATAGGGAGAAACCTTAGAAGCATGCAGTGGACTTCCTGTAACATATTATTGGCTAGGTCACAACATATGCTTATCCCTAAACCAGGCACTGGAAGAGCAAATGTAAGTATGTGATTAGCTTAGAATAATCATTTCTCTTTCTGAAGCTGAGGAGGGGGATTGGAATACTGTCTCAGAAGACTTGTGTTTCTTCTGCAAGAAAGAATAAGGAATAAGAAAGAATAAGGGAGCCAGCAATGTTTGCTGCAGGGACTCATTGGAGAAATTTGAGCAGGGGAGTCACAAGATTAAATTAGAGTATTAAGGCCTTTTGGTAATGTTGTAAAACAGGGGTTGGCAAGCTTTTTCTGTAAATGACCAGGTGGGGAATGTTTTAGACTATGTGGTCTCTGTCATATCTACTTAACCCTGCTGTTGTGTGAGAGCAACTATGGATAATATGTAAGCAAATAGGAATGAGTGAGCTCCAATAAAATGTTATTTTTTTTTTCACTTTTGGCATTTTTAATAGGATTTTTAGGCATAACATCTTACATAACCACACAGAAACTGTTTCTGGTCTTTTTTTATTATTATACTTTAAGTTTTAGGGTACATGTGCACATTGTGCAGGTTAGTTACATATGTATACATGTGCCATGCTGGTGAGCTGCACCCACTAACTCGTCATCTAGTATTATGTATATCTCCCAATGCTATCACTCCCCACTCCTCCCACCCCACAACAGTTCCCAGAGTGTGATATTCCCCTTCCTGTGTCCATGTGATCTCATTGTTCAATTCCCACCTATGAGTGAGAATATGTGGTGTTTGGTTTTTTGTTCTTGTGATAGTTTACTGAGAATGATGATTTCCAATTTCATCCATGTCCCTACAAAGGACATGAACTCATCATTATTTATGGCTGCATAGTATTCCATGGTGTATATGTGCCACATTTTCTTAATCCAGTCTATCATTGTTGGATATTTGGGTTGGTTCCAAGTCTTTGCTATTGTGAATAATGCCTCGATAAACATACGTGTGAATGTGTCTTTATAGCAGCATGATTTATAGTCCTTTGGGTACATACCCAGTAATGGGATGGCTGGGTCAAATGGTATTTCTAGTTCTAGATCCCTGAGGAATCGCCACACTGACTTCCACAATGGTTGAACTAGTTTACAGTCCCACCAACAGTGTAAAAGTGTTCCTATTTCTCCACATCCTCTCCAGCACCTGTTGTTTCCTGACTTTTTAATGATTGCCATTCTAACTGGTGTGAGATGGTATCTCATTGTGGTTTTGATTTGCATTTCTCTGATGGCCAGTGATGATGAGCACTTTTTCATGTGTTTTTTGGCTGCATAAATGTTTTCTTCTGAGAAGCGTCTTTTCATCTCCTTTGCCCACTTTTTGATGAGGTTGTTTGTTTTTTTCTTGTAAATTTGTTTGAGTTCATTGTAGATTCTGGATATTAGCCCTTTGTCAGATGAGTAGGTTGTGAAAATTTTCTCCCATTTTGTAGGTTGCCTGTTCAATCTGATGGTAGTTTCTTTTGCTGTGCAGAAGCTCTTTAGTTTAATTAGATCCCATTTGTCAATTTTGTCTTTTGTTGCCATTGCTTTTGGTGTTTTAGACATGAAGTCCTTGCCCATGCCTATGTCCTGAATGGTAATGCCTAGGTTTTCTTCTAGGGTTTTTATGGTTTTAGGTCTAACCTTTAAGTCTTTAATCCATCTTGAATTGATTTTTGTATAATGTGTAAGGAAGGGACCCAGTTTCAGCTTTCTCCATATGGCTAGCCAGTTTTCACAGCACCATTTATTAAATAGGGAATCCTTTCCCCATTGCTTGTTTTTGTCAGGTTTGTCAAAGATCAGATAGTTGTAGATATGCGGTGTTATTTCTGAGGGCTCTGTTCTGTTCCATTGATCTATATCTCTGTTTTACTACCAGTACCATGCTGTTTTGGTTACTGTAGCCTTGTAGTATAGTTTGAAGTCAGGTAGTGTGATGCCTCCAGCTTTGTTCTTTTGGCTTAGGATTGACTTGGCGATGTGGGCTCTTTTTTGGTTCCATATGAACTTTAAAGTAGTTTTTTCCAATTCTGTGAAGAAAGTCATTGGCAGCTTGATGGGGATGGCATTGAATCTGTAAATTACCTTGGGCAGTATGGCCATTTTCACGATATTGATTCTTCCTACCCATGAGCATGGAATGTTCTTCCATTTGTTTGTATCCTCTTTTATTTCCTTGAGCAGTGGTTTGTAGTTCTCCTGGAAGAGGTCCTTCACATCCCTTGTAAGTTGGATTCCTAGGTATTTTATTCTCTTTGAAGCAATTGTGAATGGGAGTTCACTGATGATTTGGCTCTCTGTTTGTCTGTTGTTGGTGTATAAGAATGCTTGTGGTTTTTGTACATTGATTTTGCATCCTGAGACTTTGCTGGAGTTGCTTATCAGCTTAAGGAGATTTTGGGCTGAGACGATGGGGTTTTCTAGATATACAATCATGTCGTCTGCAAACAGGGACAATTTGATTTCCTCTTTTCCTAATTGAATACCCTTTATTTCCTTCTCCTGCCTAATTGCCCTGGCCAGAACTTCCAACACTATGTTGAATAGAAGTGGTGAAAGAGGGCATCCCTGTCTTGTGCCAGTTTTCAAAGGGAATGCTTCCAGTTTTTGCCCATTCAGTATGATATTGGCTGTGGGTTTGTCATAGATAGCTCTTATTATTTTGAAATACATCCCATCAATACCTAATTTATTGAGAGTTTTTAGCATGAAGGTTGTTGAACTTTGTCAAAGGCTTTTTCTGCATCTATTGAGATAATGATGTGGTTTTTGTCTTTGGTTCTGTTTATATGCTGGATTACATTTATTCATTTGCGTATATTGAACCAGCCTTGCATCCCAGGGATGAAGCCCACTTGATCATGGTGGATAAGCTTTTTGATGTTCTGCTGGATTCGTTTTGCCAGTATTTTATTGAGGATTTTTGCATCAGTGTTCATCAAGGATATTGGTCTAAAATTCTCCTTTTTTGTTGTGTCTCTGCCCGGCTTTGGTATCAGAATGATGCTGGCCTCATAAAATGAGTTATGGAGGATTCCCTCTTTTTCTGTTGATTGGAATAGTTTCAGAAGGAATGGTACCAGTTCCTCCTTGTACCTCTGGTAGAATTCGGCTGTGAATCCATCTGGTCCTGGACTCTTTTTGGTTGGTAAGCTATTGATTATTGCCACAATTTCAGCTCCTGTTATTGGTCTATTCAGAGATTCAACTTCTTCCTGGTTTAGTCTTGGGAGAGTGTATGTGTCGAGGAATTTATCCATTTCTTCTAGATTTTCTAGTTTATTTGCGTAGAGGTGTTTGTAGTATTCTCTGATGGTAGTTTGTATTTCTGTGGGACCGGTGGTGATATCCCCTTTATCATTTTTTATTGCATCTATTTGATTCTTCTCTCTTTTTTTCTTTATTAGTCTTGCTAGCAGTCTATCAATTTTGTTGATCCTTTCAAAAAAACCAGCTCCTGGGTTCATTAATTTTTTGAAGGGTTTTTTGTGTCTCTATTTCCTTCAGTTCTGCTCTGATTTTAGTTATTTCTTGCCTTCTGCTAGTTTTTGAATGTGTTTGCTCTTGCTTTTCTAGTTCTTTTAATTGTGATGTTAGGGTGTCAATTTTCAATCTTTCCTGCTTTCTCTTGTGGGCATTTAGTGCTATAAATTTCCCTCTACACACTGCTTTGAATGCATCCCGGAGATTCTGGTATGTTGTGTCTTTGTTCTCGTTGGTTTCAAAGAACATCTTTATTTCTGCCTTCATTTAGTTATGTACCCAGTAGTCATTCAGGAGCAGGTTGTTCAGTTTCCATGTAGTTGAGCGGTTTAGAGTGAGATTCTTAATCCTGAGTTCTAGTTTGATTGCACTGTGGTCTGAGAGATAGTTTGTTATAATTTCTGTTCTTTTACATTTGCTGAGGAGAGCTTTACTTCCAAGTAGGTGGTCAATTTTGGAATAGGTGTGGTGTGGTGCTGAAGAAAATGTATATTCTGTTGATTTAGGGTGGAGAGTTCTGTAGATGTCTATTAGGTCTGCTTGGTGCAGAGCTGAGTTCAATTCCTGGGTATCCTTGTTAACTTTCTGTCTCATTGATCTGTCTAATGTTGACAGTGGGGTGTTAAAGTCTCCCATTATTAATGTGTGGGAGTCTAAGTTTCTTTGTAGGTCACTCAGAACTTGCTTTATGAATCTGGGTGCTCCTGTATTGGGTGCATATATATTTAGGATAGTTAGCTCTTCCTGTTGAATTGATCCCTTTACCATTATGTAATGGCCTTCTTTGTCTCTTTTGATCTTTGTTGGTTTAAAGTCTGTTTTATCAGAGACTAGGATCACAACCCCTGCCTTTTTTTATTTTCCATTTGCTTGGTAGATCTTCCTCCATCCTTTTATTTTGAGCCTATGTGTGTCTCTGCATGTGAGATGGTTTTCCCGAATACAGCACACACTCGACTCTTTATCCAATTTGCCAGTCTGTGTCTTTTAATTGGACCATTTAGTCCATTTACATTTAAAGTTAATATTGTTATGTGTGAATTTGATCCTGTCATTATGATGTTAGCTGGTTATTTTGCTCGTTAGTTCATGCAATTTCTTCCTAGTCTCGATGGTCTTTACATTTTGGCATGATTTTTCAGCGGCTGGTACCCGTTGTTCCTTTCCATGTTTAGCACTTCCTTCAGGAGCTCTTTTAGGGCAGGCCTGGTGGTGACAAAATCTCTCAGCATTTGCTTGTCTGTAAAGTATTTTATTTCTCCTTTGCTTATGAAGCTTAGTTTGGCTGGATATGAAATTCTGGGTTGAAAATTCTTTTCTTGAAGAATGTTGAATATTGGCCCCCACTCTCTTCTGGCTTGTAGAGTTTCTGCTGAGAGATCCGCTGTTAGTCTGATGGGCTTCCCTTTGAGGGTAATCCGACCTTTCTCTCTGGCTGCCCTTAACATTTTTTCCTTCATTTCAACTTTGGTGAATCTCACAATTATGTGTCTTGGAGTTGCTCTTCTCGAGGAGTATCTTTGTGGCATTTTCTGTATTTCCTGAATCTGAAAGTTGGCCTGCCTTGCTAGATGGGGAAAGTTCTCCTGGGTAATATCCTGCAGAGTGTTTTCCAACTTGGTTCCATTCTCCCCGTCAGTTTCAGGTACACCAATCAGACGTAGATTTGGTCTTTTCACATAGTCCCATATTTCTTGGAGGCTTTGCTCATTTCTTTTTATTCTTTTTTCTCTAAACTTCCCTTCTCGCTTCATTTCATTCATTTCATTTTCCATCATTGATACCCTTTCTTCCAGTTGATCACATCGGCCCCTGAGGCTTCTGCATTCTTCACGTAGTTCTCGAGCCTTGGTTTTCAGCTCCATCACCTCCTTTAAGCACTTCTCTGTATTGGTTATTCTAATTATACATTCTTCTAAATTTTTTTCGAAGTTTTCAACTTCTTTGCCTTTGGTTTGAATGTCCTCCTGCAGCTCAGAGTAATTTGATCGTCTGAAGCCTTCTTCTCTCAGCTTGTCAAAGTCATTCTCCATCCAGCTTTGTTCCGTTGCTGGTGAGGAACTGCGTTCCTTTGGAGGAGGAGAGATGCTCTGCTTTTTAGAGTTTCCAGTTTTTCTGTTCTGTTTTTTTCCCCATCTTTGTGGTTTTATCTACTTTTGGTCTTTGATGATGGTGACGTACAGATGGGTTTTTGGTGTGGATGTCCTTTCTGTTTGTTAGTTTTCCTTCTAACAGACAGGACCCTCAGCTGCAGGTCTGTTGGAATACCCTGCCGTGTGAGATGTCAGTGTGCCCCTGCTGGGGGGTGCCTCCTAGTTAGGCTGCTCGGGGTCAGGGGTCAGGGACCCACTTGAGGAGGCAGTCTGCCCGTTCTCAGATCTCCAGCTACGTGCTGGGAGAACCACTGCTCTCTTCAAAGCTGTCAGACAGGGACATTTAAGTCTGCAGAGGTTACTGCTGTCTTTTTGTTTGTCTGTGCCCTGCCCCCAGAGGTGGAGCCTATAGAGGCAGGCAGGCCTCCTTGAGCTGTGGTGGGCTCCACCGAGTTCAAGCTTCCTGGCTGCTTTGTTTAGCTAAGCAAGCCTGGGCAATGGCGGGCGCCCGTTGCCCAGCCTTGCTGCCGCCTTGCAGTTTGATCTCACACTGCTGTGCTAGCAATCAGCGAGACTCTGTGGGCGTAGGACCCTCTGAGCCAGGTGCGGGATATAATCTCGTGGTGCGCCGTTTTTTAAGCAGGTCAGAAAAGCGCAGTATTCGGGTGGGAGTGACCCGATTTTCCAGGTGCGTCCGTCACCCCTTTCTTTGACTCAGAAAAGGAACTCCCTGACCCCTTGTGCTTCCCAAGTGAGGCAATGCCTCACCCCGCTTTGGCTCACACACGGTGCACGCACCCACTGACCTGCGCCCACTGTCTGGCACTTCCAAGTGAGATGAACCCAGTACCTCAGATGGAAATGCAGAAATCACCCATCTTCTGCGTTGCTCACGCTGGGTGCTGTAGACCGGAGTTCAATAAAATGTTATTTAGAAAACCATAAGGGAGACTGGATTTGGCCTGTGGCCTATAGTTTTCTGACCCCTCATAGAGGATTGATGGAAGGTAACCATGTAAAGAAACCAGGAGACAAAGGAAGATTTGCTGTAGTCAGCTACAGTTTCCTTGTCACATGTCCTTGGACTAGTATCAATTTATTATAAGGTTTTCACCCATCCATCGTGAAATAAATAAAGTTAGGAATCTCAGTTATTCATTTTAAAATGTTGGCCTTTTTTTGGTGTTATGCCTTTTTCATTTGTTTTGTTTTAATTTTTTTTCATGTAAGAAATAACATTAACAGCTGGGTTTTTTAAAAAAATAAAAGCCACTTTGTAAATGTTTATGTTCCCAGTGGCAGTGGGAATATAAAATGGAAGCAGAAGAGAGGTATAGTCAATATGATTTAGTGACTGTTGAATGAGAAAATTTAGGGGACAGAGAGAAATCCCAGATGATTCACAGGTTTCCAGGTTGTACAGTATTATTTAACCTGAACATGAGGAAGGAGTAGGAAATTTTCTGGTGAATACAGAAGAGCAAAGAAGAGCAGCTCAAGAGGAATGACTAATTATTTTTCTGTGCATGTTTAATGGGATATTCATATAGGATTTTTGAATAGATCATTGAATATCAGCATTTATAGCTGGCATCCTACTAGTTTGACTCTCAGTAATAAGACTTGTCAAAGATCCAAGAATCTGAAAGTTGATGATAAATTTCCATGTGTATCACCATCAATGACTGAAAGTCAGCATCCACAGAATTGGGAGAGATGAACTTAATAGATAAAGATGAATTGGAGTTGTGTTTCTCTTAGAGAATGATACTCTCCATGACTTGTGTGAGTCACAGCTGCCAGAAAACAAAGAGGCCAAGGAACATATTAAAGAAGCACAGCAAATTCAGTCCTAGAGTGCCTCTGCTTGGCTTCGTGTTATAGTTCTGACTTCTAAAAAATCACTTTTTGGCAAAATATACTTTGTGTTTCTTCCCCTCTTGCAAACTGCAACCAAACAGAATCCTTTTTAGCAAGGCATTTTTGTGTTCTTTGACCAAAGCAACATATAAATAACAAAAAGAAGTAAGAGAAAGAACTTTTTTTTGTGTGTATAGGCTAGTATTTAACATAAACTTGAGAGTGAGTGCCAGTATTATATTTAGGATTTAGGGACTAGATAGGAAAACTGGATAGAAATCTAAAGATTGCTGACTCAAACACAATGTGGTTTCTTTGCTTTATTTTCACAGCTCTGAATTCACAACTATTAGTTATATTTATATGCACTATAACTTTAGAAAGCACCTTCCCAAACCAAATTTTATGTGATTTCTTATAATTTAGATGACTTTATTATAGAATTGAATTTCCAACTGTTCATAAGAATTATTGAGCATTTGCTGCATAGTATCATCTCAGCTGTGTCCACATGAGCTACCTATCACCTTGTGTTAATGAATAATGGTTCACCAGGAATATTGGTTTTGGCATTTAAAGTGATCTGTATTTAATGCAGATAGGACCAGGGACCACTCTTGAACATTAATGTCCAAGCATCTTAAAATTACACAGAATGCTTTCATAATCAGAATTCTGCCTCACTCTCCATCTTTAGCCCTTTTCCCCATGTGCCCTTTCTCTGGCATTACTGAACTGCCTGCAATGCCCTACTCACTCATCCTTCTCTTGTAGGCAAATACATTCACTCTTTCACACCTTACTCCCTCTCTTGCTGCTTCCTGGCATACTGCCAACCTTTCCTGCCCTCTACCCCTTGTAATCTGGCTAGCCTCAATATTTAAGTCTCTGCTTGGCCATGATTTCTAGAAAACCATCCCTGACATGCTTTATTTTCATTCTTTTTAAATCCTAATGCCTACTATGTATGTAGCAGGACTCAGTAAAAAATTGCTGAGTAAAATAAAGAATGTTTATACAAAGGTGATATGCAAGACTGTCCCCTACAGTCTTGGAGCCGAGGGGACAGACATGTGGAGCAATAACGTACATTTGAGATGGTAAAGATGCAGTAGAAAAATAAGTAAAGTATTAAGGCAGCCTCAAGGAAGGAGGTACCTGTTTATCTGGGGAAAGACATGCAGAATCAAGGAAGACTTCACATAGCATTGTTTTAAAAGATGAAAAAAATTGTCAGAATAGTGGAGGGAAACATTTAAATATTAGGAAGACATTGTACACTAATAAAGGTGTCAGCAGTGATTTTGGAAATCATTTACAAGGCACTATTAGGAAGTGGAGAACAGTATACTGTGTTACCTTATATGTTTCTGCCGTATTTTAATATTGTGTTCCTGGTGGTTTTGTTCATTTACGTTGGGTGGATGAATTTGTGAGTGAATGTTTGACATGTTTGTATGTCCTCAATCTGGTGGACTCTGGTATCTCCCCAAGTGGTTTGTTGAAGTTTTGGAGAATTATTACTTAAGTAACTATTTCATGAAAGATTAAGCTTCATTTAAGCGCTCAATTTATGAAATGAAATGTCTTAAATCTATTTTTATAAAAACAATAGTTTTAAATTGTTCTAAGTGGTTCATTTTAACCAAATATATGGATTTCACTTCAGAACAAGACTTAAAGCTGACATCAGAGGAAGAGCCACAAAGGCTTAAAGGAAGTGAAAATAGTCAGCATGAGGCATGTAAAATTTTAAATTTAAATTTCTGGTTTAATGTTCTTTTCTTTGCTTTGATAATAGTAGATAGTCCAAATGAAATTACCTTTCAGACTAGGCTTTGATAATCAATAAATTTTTTAAAATAATTTTTTAATAGATTCTTAAAGTTTATTTTAATAGATTTAGTGACCTTATTAACAGAAGAATCAATAGAATCTAATTTAATATTTGATATTTAACTTAAAGATTATAACCCACTATAAAATTTAAAATATTCTTATTTAAAATATTCTTATCTGCCTTCTTGATTGGCTTATAGCTAATCTTTCCCTTTGGAATAGAGGCAAAACAAATCCAGAACTTTATTTGTTCTTTTATTTTTACAACATCCTTACATGATAAAGAAAGTAACATCAATTATTGGATCATATTATCAAGCAATTGAAATTATGAACAATGTAGCAGTGATGGTCCCTGAGCTGGATTCATGGCAAAGGAGTAATCATGGCCAGTGATTGAAAATCTGCGGTTTTATATTGCCAGTCAGTGATGCCAAGGTTAAAGATGAATTCTACCTGTGGTCTCTCACTGACCTCAGGGTTTCTGTTCAGGGAGAGAACCAGGTCTTAAAAGCAACCCAACTGCCTATTACAATAATCATATCTTGCAGAATGAGACCTTTGTTGTTAGTGTACAAACACAGTAACATTTTAACATTTCAGTTGCAGAACATCAGTACATATTATTTAAAAATTTTTATCCTCTGTCATTAGTACACATTAGAATATATTAGAACTGGACTTAAGCCGATAGTCTAGATACATAACATGATCGTATTATAGTACATAATTTCAATTAAAATGTAACAATTTGCATTTCTTTCTGTTTGGTGTTGATTTTGGCTCCTAATAATTTAAAGTGTGCCTACACTCCAGTTAGTAATCTTTTAAAAAACCACCTAAATGCACTGTAGGGGCTCACTACTTAAGGTATGGTGAAGTAAAATCTTTTCAAGTGAGAAAAACCCTACAAATTACCTGCTAATTCATTTTGGTAGATTTAACACATAATGAATTAAGTTTAATCCAAACAAAAGGTGACAAAGTTAAGTTTTCCAGTTCATGTTTTTCTTCTTTCTTTGGCTAAGGTGAATTTTTTTATGTTTTAGTCAGAAGCCAGTGATGTGGCAGTAGCTAAACATAGAATAAAATGTTAATTCTTCATTTTAGTTATTTAATTATTATTTCTTTAATTATTTTAACAGGTAAATTTTAATTTTAATTATTTTCTAATTTTTTATTGTCCATACTTGATTACTTAAGAATAAAATTATTTTAAAAACATGTACTCCAAAAGAGCAGACATCTGAGAAACACAACAAGCAAATTAACCTTCTATAATTGCATCTGCAGAAAGTGACTCAAGAACCAGACATAAATAAGGATTGCGATAGAGAGGTATACCTTTATATTCAAATGTTTCCGTTGAATTAGATTTTTACATTATGTTGTTTAACAAAGTATAATAAGTTTAGGCATGTATGATTCTATCATGTAAGTAGCATAAATCATCAGTGAAAAATTTAGTATGTAACTCAGAAAGCTGAGTTGTGTACATTAAGTTTTAAAGAGAGACAAACCCTAGAAATATTCTTCATTATTATGGAATAATCCTGAATGGTGCCAAAAATGCTACGTAATGCTACTTTAGGAGCTTTGGATCAATCATTTTATCTTTCTTGGTATTAGTCTGATTATCAATAGATAATATGGCTAAAGAAGATAATTTGTTATTCTGTATATCCTCTAGCTAGAAAGTTTTATGGCCACTGAATGTGAAATTTGGGGAGCGTCTCATTTACTGGAATTCCATGCTAGCACCTCAGCAGTTTTATTCTGCTTTTTGTGTTGTGGGAAACTTTGGTTCCCATGTTTCAGTGAGCACTTTCATGTTTTTGATATCCCAGCAACCATATGAAAAAGCAATGATCACAGGCAGTGGGGGAGAAGAATATTTTAGTGCAGGAAAGGGAAATCTTCCTTTCTATTCCTGGAGCCCGACAGTGTCTCATCCTCTAAATCTGACTGCTTAATGGAAAATCCAGGTTGTAAAGATGGAAGAAGACACATTTTGCATCTTTGTGTTTTTATTTGTGTGTTCCCACAAGTCAAATGGGGTGAATATTTATATTAGATTCTGAAGAGTGGTTGGGAATAAAAGCACAAAATGAAATTTTGAAATTTTGGAAATTTTGAAATTTTGGAAAATTGTTCTATTCATTCAAAGAGAAATAAAGCAAACTTTACAAAAATTTTAATGATATACTAATGATGTAATAATTACATCTTAAAATTATATGGTAACAGTTCTGTATATATGATCAAATTTAAGTGTGAAATATTTTTAATGACAAATTATGACAAACTGAGTCAAATGATAAAATCAATTAAAACAAAAAGGTACTTTTTATTCAATAAAGCAATAACTGTCCTTAATATCAAACTTCCACTCAAGGTTGAAGAAGAAATGCAGAAGCATGGAAGTAATAATGTGGGATTATCAGAAAACCTGACTGATGGTGCTGCTGCTGGCAATGGTGATGGTGGATTAGTTCCACAAAGAAAGAGCAGAAAGCATGAAAATCAGCAATTTCCTAACACAGAGATTGAAGAGTATCACAGGTAAGCCTATGGCAACATTTAACAGGAGATAACTATGTGCTATCAAACTAATCCGAATTTGGACTAATATTCATGATGAAAAAATTTTATACTTTTCCTAGGATATTCAGCCTTGCCTGGTAATCAGAAGAATGAAAATCAGCAAACAATGAGTTATATTTTTTCCAGTCATTAATTTATTTGAAAAATAACCAGTGTTGGCAAATGTGAGGGAAAAAGCATTTTCTTTTCTTTTTAGTGAACTTTTATTTTAGCTTCAGGGGTACACGTGCAGGTTTGTTACATAGGTAAACTGTATCATGGAGATTGGGGTTACAGATTATTTCATCAGTCAGATAATAAGAATGATACCCAATAGGTAGTTTTTTGGTCCTCTCCCTCCTGCCATGCTCCACCCTCAAGTAGGCCGCAGTTGTCTGTTGTTCTCCTCTTTGTGTCCATGAGTTCTCATTGTTTGGTTCTGACAAATGAGTGAGAATATGTGGCATTTGATTTTCTGTTCCTGCATTAGTTTGCTTAGGATAATGACCTCCAGCTCCATCTGTGTTGCTGCAGAGGAAATGGACTCACTGAAAAGGATATTTTCATACACTGTTGGTAAATACATTTTGAGTGTTAATTTAGTAGCATATTCACACACACACATATATAACAGTAAGGATATAAAATATATGTATGTTATGGATATTTGTATAGATATATTACATATATACTTATGTATAAGGACATTTATTATAGCATAATTATATCAAAAAGTTGGAGCTAGTCCAAATCCTTATCAATAGGAAATAGCTCAGAAAATAATATAGTATGCAATCAGTTTTTTAAAATGAAGTTAGATCTAGAGTGTACTGATTATTTCACAATTAACATGTATTTAAAGCATTTAGTTTGCTGACCCATCTTAAGACAATTTTGTTAGAATTCTTGTAGTATCTGCTGTGTTGCAAATGGAAGCTACATGCTATGTTGACACTGTACCTTGTTAGCAACAATATCGCTAGTTATTAAATTATGGTTGTCAGTGCCTGAGTGCTGAAATAATTGGACCCTCAACTGAACATTGCCAAAGGATTGCACATGGGGATCTGTATTTTATGTAAATATTTCAGTATATTGGATAAAACTTGTTTAAATACATCAAAGGATCTTTGATCTACTAAAACAGGAATTGGCCAGCTTTTTTCTGTAAAGAGCCAGTTGGTAAATATTTTAATCTTTGTGGACTATATGTACTTATTTTTTTGAGACAGGTTCTCACTCTGTTGCCCAGGCTGGAGTGCATTTGCGTGATCATGGCTCACTGCAGCCTCAACTTTCTGGGCTCTAGTGATCCTCCCACCTCAGTCTCTCTACTAGCTGGGACCACAGGTGTGCAATATCACACCCAGATGATTGACTCTATGGACTATAAAGTAAATAAGCATGGCTGTGTTTCAAGATACCTTACTTAAAAAAACAGGCAGTGGGCTGGAGTGGGCCCACAAGTGTTAATTTGCTGACCCTTGTGCTAAAAGGAAGGTGTTGCTAATGCAGTGAATCTTATTTGTAAGTGTCCTGCATGCATGACATTATCCTTCCTTTGAAAAAAGAATATATTTCAGTATTCACCTCACCATAGTTTTCAAGTGACTTCATATAATTTTTATATTGATGTAATTCATGTAATTATACTTCATAAAATTTTTAAAATTTCATTTATAAAATAAGATTATTTTCTGCATTTCTCCTATTTTATTCCTGTTAATAGGACTCAGTATTTTACTGTGATCAATTACTTTGTATATGTGATGAGTATCAACTGTCCTAGATTTCACTGATTTTTATCAAGCAAGAAATACTCCTCTTGAAACTTTTAGTATTCCTTGGTCTTTATTTTTATTCATTTATTTTTATTTTATTTTATTATTATTATACTTTAAGTTTTAGGGTACATGTGCACAATGTGCAGGTTAGTTACATATGTATACATGTGCCATGCTGGTGTGCTGCACACATTAACTCATCATTTAGCATTAGGTATATCTCCTAATGCTATCCCTCTCCCTTCCCCCCACCCCACAACAGTCCCCAGAGTGTGATGTTCCCCTTCCTGTGTCCATGTGTTCTCATTGTTCAATTCCCACCTATGAGTGAGAATATGCAGTGTTTGGCTTTTTGTTCTTGCGATAGTTTACTGAGAATGATGATTTCCAATTTCATCCATGTCCCTACAAAGGACATGAAATCATCCTTTTTTATGGCTGCATAGTATTCCATGGTGTATATGTGCCACATTTTCTTAATCCAGTCCATCATTGTTGGACATTTGGGTTGGTTTCAAGTCTTTGCTATTGTGAATAGTGCCGCAATAAACATACGTGTGCATGTGTCTTTATAGCAGCATGATTTATAATCCTTTGTGTATATACCCAGTAATGGGATGGCTGGGTCAAATGGTATTTCTAGTTCTAGATCCCTGAGGAATCACCATACTGACTTCCACAATGGTTGAACTAGTTTACAGTCCCACCAACAGTGTAAAAGTGTTCCTATTTCTCCACATCCTCTCCAGCACCTGTTGTTTCCTGACTTTTTAATGATTGCCATTCTAACTGGTGTGAGATGGTATCTCATTGTGGTTTTGATTTGCATTTCTCTGATGGCCAGTGATGGTGAACATTTTTTCATGTTTTTTGGCTGCATAAATGTCTTCTTTTGAGAAGTGTCTGTTCATGTCTTTTGCCCACTTTTTGATGGGGCTGTTTGTTTTTTTCTTGTAAATTTGTTTGAGTTCATTGTAGATTGTGGATATTAGCCCTTTGTCAGATGAGTAGGTTGTGAAAATTTTCTCCCATTTTGTAGGTTGCCTGTTCACTCTGATGGTAGTTTCTTTTGCTGTGCAGGAGCTCTTTAGTTTAATTAGATCCCATTTGTCAATTTTGTCTTTTGTTGCCATTGCTTTTGGTGTTTTAGACATGAAGTCCTTGCCCATGCCTATGTCCTGAATGGTAATGCCTAGGTTTTCTTCTAGGGTTTTTATGGTTTTAGGTCTAACGTTTAAGTCTTTAATCCATCTTGAATTAATTTTTGTATAAGGTGTAAGGAAGGGATCCAGTTTCAGCTTTCTACATGTGGCTAGCCAGTTTTCCCAGCACCATTTATTAAATAGGGAATCCTTTCCCTATTTCTTTTTTTTGTCAGGTTTGTCAAAGATCAGACAGTTGTAGGTATGCAGCATTATTTCTGAGGGCTCTGTTCTGTTCCATTGATCTATATCTCTGTTTTGGTACCAGTAGCAGGCTTAGGATTGACTTGGCGATGCGGGCTCTTTTTTGGTTCCATATGAACTTTAAAGTAGTTTTTTCCAATTCTGTGAAGAAAGTCATTGGTAGCTTGATGGGGATGGCATTGAATCTAAAAATTACCTTGGGCTGTATGGCCATTTTTATGATATTGATTCTTCCTACCCATGAGCATGGAATGTTCTTCCATTTCTTTGTATCCTCTTCTATTTCATTGAGCAGTGGTTTGTAGCTCTCCTCGAAGAGTTCCTTTACGTCCCTTGTAAGTTGGATTCCTAGGTATTTTATTCTCTTTGAAGCAATTGTGAATGGGAGTTCACTCATGATTTGGCTCTCTGTTTGTCTGTTATTGGTGTATGAGAATGCTTGTGATTTTTGTACATTGATTTTGTATCCTGAGACTTTGCTGAAGTTGCTTATCAGCTTAAGGAGATTTTGGGCTGAGACAATGGGGTTTTCTAGATATACAAACATGTCATCTGCAAACAGGGACAATTTGACTTCCTCTTTTCCTAATTGAGTACCCTTTATTTCCTTCTCCGGCCTAATTGCCCTGGCCAGAACTTCCAACACTATGTTGAATAGGAGTGGTGAGAGAGGGCATCCCTGTCTCGTGCCAGTTTTCAGAGGGAATGCTTCCAGTTTTTGCCCATTCATATGATATTTGCTGTGGGTTTTTCATAGATAGCTCTTATTATTTTGAGATACATCCTATCAATACCTAATTTATTGGGAGTTTTTGGCATGAAGGGTTGTTGAATTTTGTCAAAGGCCTTTTCTGCATCTATTGAGATAATGATGTGGTTTTTGTCTTTGGTTCTGTTTATATGCTGGATTACATTTATTGATTTGCGTGTATTGAACCAGCCTTGCATCCCAGGGATGAAGCCCACTTGAGCATGTTGGATAAGCTTTTTGATATGCTGCTGGATTCGGTTTGCCAGTATTTTGTTGAGGATTTTTGCATCAATGCTCATCAAGGATATTGGTCTAAAATTCTCTTTTTTTGTTGTGTCTCTGCCCGGCTTTGGTATCAGGATGATGCTGGCCTCATAAAATGAGTTATGGAGGATTCCCTCTTTTTCTATTGATTGGAATAATTTCAGAAGGAATGGTACCAGTTCCTCCTTGTACCTCTGGTAGAATTCGGCTGTGAATCCATCTGGTCCTGGACTTTTTTTTGTTGGTAAGCTGTTGATTAGTGCCACAAATTCAGAGACTGTTATTGGTCTATTCAGAGATTCAACTTCTTCCTGGTTTAGTGTTGGGAAGGTATATGTGTCAAGGAATTTATCCATTTTTCTAGATTTTCTAGTTTATTTGCGTAGAGGTGTTTGTAGTATTCTCTGATGGTAGTTTGTATTTCTGGGGGATCAGTGGTGATATCCCCTTTATCATTTTTTATTGCATCTATTTGATTCTTCTCTCTTTTCTTCTTTAATAGTCTTGTTAGCGGTCTATCAATTTTGTTGATCCTTTCAAAAACCAGCTCCTGGATTCATTAATTTTTTGAAGGGTTTTTTGTGTCTCTATTTCCTTCAGTTCTGCTCTGATTTTAGTTATTTCTTGCCTTCTGCTAGCTTTTGAATGTGTTTGCTCTTGCTTTTCTAGTTCTTTTAATTGTGATGTTAGGTTGTCAATTTTGGATCTTTCCTGCTTTCTCTTGTGGAAATTTTGTGCTATAAATTTCCCTCTACACACTGCTTTGAATGCGTCCCAGAGATTCTGGTATGTTGTGTCTTTGTTCTCGTTGGTTTCAAAGAACATCTTTATTTCTGCCTTCATTTCTTTATGTACCCAGTAGTCATTCAGAAGCAGGTTGTTCAGTTTCCATGTACTTGAGCGGTTTTGAGTGAGTTTCTTAATCCTGAGTTCTGGTTTGATTGCACTGTGGTCTGACAGACAGTTTGTTATAATTTCTGATCTTTTACATTTGCTGAGGAGAGCTTTACTTCCAAGTATGTGGTCAATTTTGGAATAGGTGTGGTGTGGTGCTGAAAAAAATGTATATTCTGTTGATTTGGGGTGGAGAGTTCTGTAGATGTCTATTAGGTCTGCTTGGTGCAGAGCTGAGTTCAATTCCTGGGTATCCTTGTTAACTTTCTGTCTCATTGATCTGTCTAATATTGACAGTGGGGTGTTAAAGTCTCCCATTATTATTGTGTGGGAGTCTATGTCTCTTTGTAGGTCACTCAGGACTTGCTTTATGAATCTGGGTGCTCCTGTATTGGGTGCATATATATTTAGGATAGTTAGCTCTTCCTGTTGAATTGATCCCTTTACCATTAAGTAATGGCCTTCTTTGTCTCTTTTGATCTTTGTTGGTTTAAAGTCTGTTTTATCTGAGACTAGGATTGCAACCCCTGCTTTTTTTTGTTTTTCATTTGCTTGGTAGATCTTCCTCCATCCCTTTATTTTGAGCTTATGTGTGTCTCTGCACATGAGATGGTTTTCCCGAATACAGCACACTGATGGGTCTTGACTCTTTATCCAATTTGCCAGTCTGTGTCTTTTAATTGGAGCATTTAGTCCATTTACATTTAAAGTTAATATTGTTATGTGTGAATTTGATCCTGTCATTATGATGTTAGCTGGTTATTTTGCTCATTATTTGATGCAGTTTCTTCCTAGTCTCGATGGTCTTTACATTTTGGCATGATTTTGCAGCGGCTGGTACCCGTTGTTCCTTTCCATGTGTAGTGCTTCCTTCAGGAGCTCCTTTAGGGCAGGCCTGGTGGTGACAAAATCTCTCAGCATTTGCTTGTCTGTAAAGTATTTTATTTCTCCTTTGCTTATGAAGCTTATTTTGGCTGGATATGAAATTCTGGGTTGAAAATTCTTTTCTTCAAGAATGTTGAATATTGGCCCCCACTCTCTTCTGGCTTGTAGAGTTTCTGCTGAGTCTCATGGGCTTCCCTTTGAGGGTAACCCGACCTTTCTCTCTGGCTGCCCTTAACATTTTTTTCTTCATTTCAACTTTGGTGAATCTGACAATTATGTGTCTTGGAGTTGCTCTTCTCGAGGAGTATCTTTGTGGCGTTTTCTGTATTTCCTGAATGTGAATGTTGGCCTGCCTTGCTAGATGGGGGAAGTTCTCCTGCATAATATCCTGCAGAGTGTTTTCCAACTTGGTTCCATTCTCCCCGTCACTTTCAGGTACACCAATCAGACATAGATTTGGTCTTTTCACATAGTCCCATATTTCTTGGAGGCTTTGTTCATTTCTTTTTATTCTTTTTTCTCTAAACTTCCCTTCTCACTTCATTTCATTCATTTCATTTTCCATCATTGATACCCTTTCTTCCAGTTGACTGCATCGGCTCCTGAGGCTTCTGCATTCTTCAGGTAGTTCTCGAGTCTTGGCTTTCAGCTCCATCAGCTCCTTTAAGTACTTCTCTGGATTGATTATTCTAGTTATCCATTCATGTAAATTTTTTTCAGAGTTTTCAACTTCTTTGCCTTTGGTTTGAATTTCCTCCCATAGCTTGGAGTAGTTTGATCATCTGAAGACTTCTTCTCTCAACTCGTCAAAGTCATTCTCCATC
This sequence comes from Homo sapiens, assembly GCF_000001405.40. Classification (NCBI taxonomy): domain Eukaryota; kingdom Metazoa; phylum Chordata; class Mammalia; order Primates; family Hominidae; genus Homo; species Homo sapiens. The sequence continues at coordinate 43,325,452 of NC_000008.11, forward strand.
CAGCTTTGTTCCATTGCTGTTAAGGAACTGTGTTCCTTTAGAGGAGGAGAGGTGTTCTGCTTTTTAGAGTTTCCAGTTTTTCTGCTCTGTTTTTTCCCCATGTTTGTGGTTTTATCTCCTTTTGGTCTTTGATGATGGTGATGTACAGATGGGTTTTTGGTGTGGATGTCCTCTCTGTTTGTTAGTTTTCCTTCTAACAGACAGGACCCTCAGCTGCAGGTCTGTTGGAGTTTGCTAGAGGTCCACTCCAGACCCTATTTGTTTGTGTATCAGCAGCGGTGGCTGCAGAACAGCAGATTTTTGTGAACTGCGAATGCTGCTGTCTGATAGTTCCTCTGGAAGTTTTGTCTCAGAGGAGTACCCGGCCGTGTGAGGTGTCAGTCTGCCCCTACTGGGGGGTGCCTCCCAGTTAGGCTGCTCAGGGGTCGGGGTCAGGGACCCACTTGAGGAGGCAGTCTGCCCGTTGTCAAATCTCCAGCTGCATGCTGGGAGGACCAATGCTCTCTTCAAAGCTGTCAGACAGGTACATTTAAGTCTGCAGAGGTTACTGCTGTCTTTTTGTTTGTCTGTTCCCTGCCCCCAGAGGTGGAGCCTACAGAGGCAGGCAGGCCTCCTTGAGCTGTGGTGGGCTCCACGCAGTTCGAGCTTCCTGGCTGCTTTGTTTATGTAAGCAAGCCTGGGCAATGGTGGGTGCCCTTCCCCCAGCCTCACTGCCACCTTGCAGTTTGATCTCAGACTGCTGTGCTAGCAATCAGCGAGACTCTGTGGGTGTAGGACCCTCCGAGCCAGGTGGGGGAGATAATCTCCTGGAGCACCGTTTTTTAAGCCCCTTGGAAAAGCGCAGTATTCGGGTGGGAGTGACCCGATTTTCTTGGTGTCGTCTGTCACCCCTTTCTTTGACTAGGAAAAGGAACTCCTTGACCCCTTTTGCTTCCCAAGTGAGGCAATGCCTCACCCTGCTTCGGCTCACACATGTTGTGCTGCACCCACTGTCCTGCGCCCAGTGTCTGGCACTCTCTAGTTAGATGAACCTGGTACCGCAGATGGAAATGCAGAAATCACCCGTCTTCTGTGTCACTCATGCTGGGAGCTGTAGACCGGCGCTGTTCCTACTTGGCCATCTTGGCCTGGGACCCCCTTGGTCTTTATTTATAAGCATGAACAAAATGATAATCAGCTTATATAATCCAGAAATGTTCACGGGGTCTTTTAGTTGTATAATTTTTTTATTATTATACTTTAAGTTCTAGGGTACATGTTCACAACATGCAGGTTTGTTACATGGGTTATACATGTGCCATGTTGGTTTGCTGCCCACATTAACTCATCATTTACATTAGGCATTTCTCCTAAGGCTATCCCTCCCCCTGGGCCCCACACTCTGACAGGCCCCAGGGTGTGATGTTCCCCATGGTGTGTCCAAATGTTCTCATTGTTCAATTCCCACCTGTGAGTGAGAACGTGCGGTGTTTGGTTTTTTGTCCTTGTGATAGTTTACTGAGAATGATGGTTTCCAGCTTCATCCATGTCCCTGCAAAGGACATGAACTCATCCTTTTTCATGGTTGCATAGTATTCCATGGTGTACATGTGCCACATTTTCTTAATTCAGTCTATCATTGATGGATATTTGGATTGGTTCCAAGTCTCTGCTATTGTGAGTAGTGCCCCAATAAACATATGTGTGCATGTGTCTTTATAGCAGCATGATTTATAATCCTTTGGATATATACCCAGTAATGGGATGACTGAGTCAAATGGTATTTCTAGTTTTAGATCCTTGAGGAATCACCACACTGTCTTCGACGTGGTTGAACTAGTTTACACTCCCATCCACAGTATAAAAGTGTTCCTATTTCTCCACATCCTCTCCAGCACCTGTTGTTCCCTGACTTTTAAATGATCACCATTCTAACTGGTGTGAGATGGTATCTCATTGTGGTTTTAATTTGCATTTCTCTGATGACCAGTGATAGCATTTTTTCATGTGTCTGTTGGCTGCATAAATGTCTTCTTTTGAGAAGTGTCTGTTCATATCCTTCAGCCAATTGTTGATGTGATTGTTAGTTTTTTTCTTGTAAATTTGTTTGAGTTCTTTGTAGATTCTTGATATTAGCCTTTTGTCAGATGGGTAGATTGCAAAAATTTTCTCCCATTCTGTAGGTTGCCTGTTCACTCTGATGGTAGTTTCTTTTACTGTGCAGAAGCTCTTCAGTTTAACTAGATCCCATTTTTCAATTTTGGCTTTTGTTGCCATTGCTTTTGGTGTTTTAGTCATGAAGTTGTTGCCTATGCCTACATCCTGAGTAGTATTGCCTAGGTTTTCTTCTACGATTTTTATAGTTTTAGGTCTAACATTTAAGTCTTTAATCAATTTTGAATTAATTTTTGTATAAAGTCTAAGGAAGGGATCCAGTTTCAGCTTTCTACATAAGCTAGCCAGTTTTCTCAGCACCATTTATTAAATAGGGAATCCTTTCCCCGTTTCTTGTGTTTTTTTTTTTTTTTTTGAGAGGGAGTCTCGATCTATCACCCAGGCTGGAGTGCAGTGGCGTGATCTCGGCTCACTGCAACCTCTGCCTCCTGGGTTCACATGACTCTCCTGCCTTAGCCTCCCAAGTAGCTGGGACTACAGGCGCTTGCCACTACGCCCGGCTAATTTTTTGTATTTTTTAGTAGAGATGGGGTTTCACCATGTTAGCCAGGATGGTCTCAATCTCCTGACCTCGTGATCTGCGCAACTTGGCCTCCGAAAGTGCTGGGATTACAGACAAGAGCCACCACACCTGGCCCCCCATTTCTTGTTTTTGCCAGGTTTGTCAAAGATCAGATAGTTGTAGATGTGTGGTATTATTTATGAGGGCTCTGTTCTGTTCCATTGGTCTGTATCTTTGTTTGGTACCAGTACCATGCTGTTTTGGTTACTGTAGCCTTGTAGTATAGTTTGAAGTTAGGTAGCATGATGCTTCCAGCTTTGTTCTTTTGGCTGAGGATTGACTTGGCAATGCAGGCTCTTTTTTGGTTCCATATGAACTTTAAAGTAGTTTTTCCAGTTCTGTGAAGAAAATCATTGGTAGCTTGGTGGGGATGGCATTGAATCTATAAATTACCTTGGGCAGTATGGCCATTTTCACGATATTGATTCTTCCTATCCATGAGCATGGAATGTTCTTCCATTTGTTTGTATCCTCTTTTATTTCATTGAGCAGTGGTTTGTAGTTCTCCTCGAAGAGTTCCTTTACGTCCCTTGTAAGTTGGATTCCTAGGTATTTTATTCTCTTTGAAGCAATTGTGAATGGGAGTTCACTCATGATTTGGTTCTCCGTTTGCCTGTTATTGGTGTATAAGAATGCTTGTGATTTTTGCGCATTGATTTTGTATCCTGAGACTTTGCTGAAGTTGCTTATCAGCTTAAGGAGATTTTGGGCTGAGACGATGGGGTTTTCTAGACATACAGTCATGTCATCTTCAAACAGGGACAATTTGACTTTCTCTTTTCCTAATTGAATGCCTTTTATTTCCTTCTCCTGCCTGATTGCCCTGGCCAGAACTTCCAACACTACGTTGAATAGGAGTGGTGAGAGAGGGCATCCCTGTCTTGTGCCAGTTTTCAAAGGGAATGCTTCCAGTTTTTGCCCATTCAGTATGATATTGGCTGTGGATTTGTCATAAATAGCTCTTATTATTTTGAAATACATCCTATCAATACCTAATTTATTGAGAGTTTTTAGCATGAAGGGCTGTTGAATGTTGTCGAAGGCCCTTTCTGCATCTATTGAGTTAATCATGTGGTTTTTGTCTTTGGTTCTGTTTATATGCTGGATTACATTTATTGATTTGCATATGTTGAGCCAGCCTTGCATCCCAGGGATGAAGCCCACTTGAGCATGGTGGATAAGCTTTTTGATGTGTTGCTGCATTCGGTTTGCCAGTATTTTATTGAGGATTTTGCATCGATGTTCATCAAGGATATTGGTCTAAAATTCTCTGTTTTTGTTGTGTCTGTGGCAGGCTTTGGTATCAGGATGATGCTGACCTCATAAAATGAGTTAGGGAGGATTCCCTCTTTTTCTATTGTTTGGAATAGTTTCAGAAGGAATGGTGCCAGCTCCTTCTTGTACCTCTAGTAGAATTTGGCTGTGAATCTATCTGGTCTTTGACTTTTTTTGGTTTGAAAGCTATTAATTATTGCCTCAATTTCAGAGCCTATTATTGGTCTATTCAGAGATTCAACTTCTTCCTGGTTTAGACTTGGGAGGGTATATGTGTCCAGGAATTTATCAATTTCTTCTAGATTTTCTAGTTTACTTGCATAGAGATGTTTATAATATTCTCTGATGGTAGTTTGTATTTCTGTGGGATCGGTGGTGATATCCCCTTTATCATTTTTTATTGCATCTATTTGATTCTTCTCTCTTTTCTTCTGTATTATTCTTGCTTGCAGTCTATCAATTTTGTTGATCTTTTCAAAAAACCAGCTCCTGGATTCTTTGATTTTTTGAAGGGCTTTTTATGTTTCTATCTCCTTCAGTTCTGCTCTGACCTTAGCTATTTCTTGCCTTCTGTTAGCTTTTGAATTTGTTTGCTCTTGCCTCTCTAGATCTTTTAATTGTAGTGTTAGGGTGTCAGTTTTAGATCTTTCCTGCTTTCTCTTGTGGGTACTTAGTGCTATAAATTTCCCTCTATACACTGCTTTAAATGTGTCCCAGATATTTTGGTACATCATGTCTTTGTTCTCATTGGTTTCAAAGAATATCTTTATTTCAGCCTTCATTTCATTATTTATCCAGTAGTTATTTGGGAGCAGGTTGTTCAGTTTCCATGTAGTTAAGTGGTTTTGAGTGAGTTTCTTTATCCCGAGTCCTAATTTGATTGCACTGTGGTCTGAGAGACCGTTTGTTGTGATTTCTGTTCTTTTACATTTGCTGAGGAGTGCTTTACTTACAACTATGTGGTCAATTTTGGAAAAAGTGCAATGTGGTGCTGAGAATGTATATTCTGTTGAGTTGGGGTGGAGAGTTCTGTAGATGTCTATTAGGTCTGCTTGGTGCAGAGCTGAGTTCAAGTCCTAGATATCCTTTTTAAACTTCTGTCTTGTTGAGCTTTCTAATATTGACAGTGGGGTGTTAAATTCTCCCATTATTATTGTGTGGGATTCTAAGTCTCTTTGTAGGCCTTTGAGGACTTGGTTTATGAATCTGGGTGCTCCTGTATTGGGTGTATATATATTTAGGATAGTTAGCTCTTCTTGTTGAATTGATCCCTTTACCATTAGGTAATGGCCTTCTTTGTCTCTTTTGAGCTTTGTTGATTTAAAGTCTGTTTTATCAGAGAGTAGAATTGCAACCTCTGCTTTTTTTTCCTTTCCATTTGCTTGGTAGATCTTCCTCCATCCCTTTATTTTGAGCCTATGTGTGTCTCTGAATGTGAGATGGGTCTCCTGAATAGAGCACACTGATGGGTCTTGAATCTTTATCCAATTTGCCAGTCTGTGTCTTTTAATTGGAGCATTTAGCCCATTACATTTAAGATTGGTATTGTTTTGTGTGAATTTGATTCTGTCATTATGATGTTAGCTGGTTATTTTGCCCGTTAGTTGATGCAGTTTCTTCCTGGCATCTATGATCTTTACAATTTGGCATGTTTTTGCAGTGGCTGGTACTGGTTGTTACTTTCCATGTTTAGTGCTTCATTCAGGAGCTCTTGTAAGGCAGGCCTGGTGGTGACAAAATCTCTCAGCATTTGCTTGCCTGTAAAGTGTTTTATTTCTCCTTCACTTATGAAGCTTAGTTTGGCTGGATATGAAATTCTGGGTTGAAAATTTTTTTCTTTAAGAATGTTGATACCTTACATCTACAACCATCTGATCTTTGACAAGCCTGGTAAAAACAAGAAATGGGGAAAGGATTCCCTGTTTAATAAGTGGTGCTGGAAAAACTGGCTATCCATATGTAGAAAGCTGAAACTGGATCCCTTCTTTACACCTTATACTAAAATTACTTCAAGATGGATTAAAGACTTACATGTTAAATCTGAAACTTTAAAAACCCCAGAAGAAAACCTAGGCAATACCATTCAGGACATAGGCATGGATAAGGACTTCATGTTTAAACACCAAAGGCAATGGCAACAAAAACCAAAATTGACAAATGGGATCTAATTAAACTAAAGAGCTTCTGCACAGCAAAAGAAACTACCATGAGACTTAACAGGCAACCTACAGAATGGGAGAAAATTTTTGCAATCCACTCTTTTGACAAAGGGCTAATATTCAGAATCTACAAAGAACTCAAACAAATTTACAAGAAAAAAACAACCCCATCAACAAATGGGCAAAGGATATGAACAGACACTTCTCAAAAGAAGACATTTATGCAGCCCACAAACTCATGAAAAAATGCTCATCATCACTGGCCATCAGAGAAATGCAAATCAAAAGCATAATGTGATACCACCTCACACCAGTTAGAATGGTGATCATTAAAAAGTCAGGAAACAACAGGTGCTGGAGAGGATGTGGAGAAATAGGAACACTTTTACACTGTTGGGAGTGTAAACTAGTTCAACCATTGTGAAAGACAGTGTGGCAATTCCTCAAGGGTCTAGAACTAGAAATACCATTGGACCCAGCCATCCCATTACTGGGTATATACCCAAAGGATTATAAATCATGCTGCTATAAAGACACATGCACACGTATGTTTATTGTAGCTCTATTCAGAATAGCAAAGACTTGGAACCAACCCAAATGTCCATCAATGATAGACTGGATTAAGAAAATGTGGCACATATGCGCCATGGAATACTATGCAACCATTAAAAATGATGAGTTGATGTCCTTTGTAGGGACATGGATGAAGCTGGAAACCCTCATTCTCAGCAAACTATCGCAAGGACAAAAAAACAGACACCGCATGTTCTCACTCATAGGTGGGAATTGAACAATGAGAACAGTTGGACACAGGAAGGGGAACATCATACACTGGGGCGTTTTGTGGAGTGGGGGGAGGGGGGATAGCATTAGGAGATATACTTAATGTAAGTGATGAGTTAATGTGTGCAGCACACCAACATGGCACATGTATACATACATAACAAACGTGCACGTTGTGCACATGTGCCCTAGAACTTAAAAAAAATGTTGAATATTGGCCCCCACTCTCTTCTGGCTTGTAGAGTCTCCCAAGAGATCTGCTGTTAGTCTGATGGGCTTCCCTTTGTGGGTAACCTGACCTTTCTCTCTGGTTGCCCTTAACATTTTTTCCTTCATTTTAACCTTGGTGAATTTCACAATTATGTGTCTTGGGGTTGCTCTTCTTGAGGAGTAGCTTTGTGGTGTTCTCTGTATTTCCCAAATTTTAATGTTGGCCTGCCTTGCTAGGTTGGGGAAGTTCCCCTGGATAATGTCCTGAAGAGTATTTTCCTAGTTGGTTCCATCCTTCCTTGTCACTTTCAGGTACACCAATCAAACGTAGATTTGTTCTTTTCACATAGTCCCATATTTCTTGGAGGCTTTGTTCATTTCTTTTTACTCTTTTTTCTCTAAACTTGTCTTCGTTCTTTATTTCATTAATTTGATCTTCAATCACTGATACCCTTTCTTCCACTTTAGCAAATCAGCTATTGAAGCTTGTGCTTTCATCATGTAGTTCTCATGCCATGGTTTTCAGCTCCATCAGGTCATTTAAGGTCTTTTCTACATTGTTTATTCTAGTTAGCCATTCATCTAATCTTTTTTCAAGGTTCCTTGCAATGGGTTCGAACATCTTCTTTTAGCTTGGAGGTTTGTTATTACCGACCTTCTGAAGCCTACTTCTGTCAGCTCATCAAAGTCATTCTCCAGCCAGCTTTGTTCCGTTGCTGGTGAAGAGCTGCGATCCTTTGGAGGGAAGAGGGGCTCTGGTTTTTAGAATTTTCAGATTTTCTGCTCTGGTTTCTCCCCATCTTTGTAGTTTTATATACCTTTGGCCTTTGATGTCGGTGGCCAGAAATGGGGTTTTGGTGTGGATGTCCTTTTAGTTGATGTTGATGTTATTCCTTTCTGTTTGTTAGTTTTCCTTCTAACAGTCAGGTCCCTCAGCTGCAGGTCTGTTGGAGTTTGCTGGAGGTCCACTCCAGAGCTTGTTTGCCTGCATATCACCAGTGGAGGCTCAGTTGGAAATGCAGAAATCACCCATCTTCTGTGTCAATCATGCTGGGAGCTGCAGATGGGAGCTCTTCCTATTTGGCCATCTTGGAACGTAATATTTTAGTTCTATAATTTTAAGAATATAATACCTTGGTCTGGCATGTTTAAATGCCATTTTGTATAATTTTTATAACCTTTAAAATATACAATTGTTACTTAAAATTTGAAAACTGCACCATTTATATAAAATTATAAACTACTATTTCTTATCTATCACTAGTCCATGACTGTGGAAGAAAATTACATCATTCACTGTCATGACTCCTAAATATGATGTCCTTAAAAGAACTGTCTGCACTCACAAACTGAAATTTTCTTTCCATTCATTCTTGATCTTATTTCAGTAGTCTTCAATTTCAGCACTCCTCCAAAGTTGTTTTTCTCAAGATTATCACAACTTTTATTGTGTAATAAATCTAGGCATTTTTTCTTACATCTCATTTTATTTAATTTATCAGCAGTATTTGACCCAGTGGAGGATATCTCCTTCATAACAGCATCTTCACTTGGTTTTCAAGACCTCACTCCCTCAGGCTTTTTCTCCTGCCTTCGTAGTCCATTCATCATGGTCTGTTTTTGTTGCTCCTCCTCATCTTTCACCTTTTGCACATTGTTGTTTCCCAGGGCTCAGTCCCTAATCTTCTTTCTCATGACTTTTTTTTTTTTTTGAGGTGGAGTCTCACTCTGTCACCCATGCTAGAGTGCAGTGGTGAAACCTCAGCTCATTGCAACCTGTCTTGTGGGTTCAAGCAATTCTGCTGCTTAAACCTCCTGAGTAGCTGGAATTACAGGCACCTGCCACCATGCCTGGCTAATTTTTGTCTTTTTAGTAGCAGCATGGTTTCTCCATGTTGGCCAGGCTGTTCTCAAACTCCGGATCTCAGATGATCTGCCCACCTCAGCCTCCCAAAGTGCTGGGATTAAGGTATGAGCCAGCACCCCAGCCCCTCATGACTTTTTCTAATGTGTATATGCTAGTGATTTCCAAATGTATGTCTCTAGCTCAGACCTCTCACCTTAATTCCAGATCTCTATATCAACCTGCCTACTTGACATCTCTTTTTGGTTGGCTATTGGGCATCACACACTTGCCAGATCCAAAATTGGGCTACTGGTGCCCTTCCTGAAATCGACACCTCATGCAATCTTTCCTAATTTGGTTAGTGGCCACTCTTCCAGTTGCTCTACCAAAAACCTTGGTGTCATTCTTGACTCATCTTTCTTTCTCTCTTATACCTCACATCCAATCTATCAGTAAATCTTGTCAGGTCTACTGGAAGAATATATCCAGAAGCCAGTCATATCTTTTATATCTGAGCCACCATCATCTGTAGTCTAGATGAGTGTCATAGACTGGTAATGGATAGTCCTGGTTTTTAAAAAATTTCCTTTAAATCTATTCTTAACTCAGTGGCAAAACATAAGTCGAATTGTGTCATTCCTCTGCCCCAACCCTTCTGATTGCCTTCCATTTCACTCTGAGTATGTGACAAAATTCCTCCTAATAACTAAAAGGCAGTACACCATCTAGCATGTTTTCTCTCCTGCTTAAACTTCTATTACTTCTCTCCTTTGCTCTGCTTCAGCCACACTGAACTTCTCGCTATTCCTTATCTATCTCTCTTGCTGAACGACTCCAGGTACACCTCTATACTTGGCAGTTCCTTGTGTTCTTCAGTTCTTTACTTAAAAATCCCCTTTCTCAGCAGGGACCTTTCTGGCCATCCCAACTTTTCCACCACCCTTCCCCTCAAACACATAATCATTTCATTTTCCTGCTTTAGTTTTTCTCCTCTAACATACTGTATATTTTGCCTTATCTGTCTATTGTTGTGTGTTTATCTCATTCTCATGAATAGGATTTTTATTGTTCACTACCATATCCTCAGTGCCTAGAAAAAGGCCTAGCATATCGGATGTATCTACCTAACAAATACTCGTGGGTATATTACATTTGATTGATTCTCACTTAAAAAATGTTTGACAAGGTTCACTCTAACAACTTAGCCTGGTAATTATATGCATAAATTCTTTTGGCTCTTTATAATAAGCTACATTCTTAATATTTTTTCATTTAGGGAGAAAATCCCAATATTGTGGTTATTCACCATTTATTATTTTACTGGTAATCATGATAATTTTAATTATGGTAAAATGCATCAGAGGAATTGCAAACTTTACTGGTATTTTATCTGAAAAATATTAGGGTGGTAAATTTAATGGACTTACAAATTCTTTCCAACGGATTATGAAACTTCAGTATTTGAAATAAAAAAACAGAGTTGGAATTTTTTGCTTGCTGTATAAGAGGTGTACTGATCAGGCACTGTCTGCTCTGATGGAGCAGCTGCTGCTGCTTGGCTGTCTTTCAGAAGCAAGCTGCTCACATTGATATTGGTGGGCAAGCAAGGGCAGCGGTCATTGATCGATTGACTAGATTTAGAACTTGCCCTGGGTGGCTTCTTGTTATCATGGCTACAGGTCAGTTCTTTTCTAAGTTTGTGCTGTTTAAAGGTTGCCTTCCATTAACTATTTTCAAAATGAAACTATTTTATATTCCAGAATTGCATACTTAATTTTAAAGTTTTTTCAAGATGAATTGGTTAATAATAGCTCTCAGGAAGACCTTTTTTTTTTTTTTTTTTTGCTACATAGTCTTGTCTTAACCAGAAGAGTTCTCTGTATAATTTATTTCTTAAAAATAATGGTTTTGTTTTTGTTTTCAGTGTTTTTAGAAGCTTTTGCTCAAGTCCTAACATAAACTCCAATGGGAGATTTTAATCTCTTTGTCAGTTCATGGATGTGTATGATAGTGATATTCTCTCTTTTTAAATTCCTTTTCTTGTTCACTTTCTTCTTTGTACAATAATAGTGATATTCTTGTGCATGTTTACCTCATTAAAAAGTAATTACAATTTTCTGCTGGCAAATCCAGCTTTTTATATTTTGACTAAATAGGAGGCTAAAAGTGAAGAACATTTACCAGATTGTTTTATTTTCAAACAAAATCATAACTAATCAAAAATTGCTATTTTTGAAATATAAATAATGACATTTAGATATTTTAAAAGTAAGGATAGCCCCCGATGTAGGTTGGCTTTGTGTCCCCACCCAAATCTCATGTCAAATTGTGATTCCCAGGTGTTGTGAGAAAGACCTGGTGGGAGGTGATTAGATCATAGGGTTGGTTTCCCCCATGCTGTTCTCATGATAGTGAATGAGTTTTCACAAGAGCTGATGGTTTCTTAAAGGGCTCTATCCCCTTCACTTCTCTCTCTCCTGCCACCTTATGAAGAAGGTGTCTGCTTCCCCTTCACCTTACCATGATTGTAAGTTTTCTGAGGCCTCCCCAGCCATGTGTAACTGTGAATCAATTAAGCTTCTTTCCTTTATGAATTACCCCATCTCAGATATTTCTTTGTAGCAGTGTGAAAATGGACTAATACAGAGAATTGGTACCAGGGATAGTGGGGTATTGTTAAAAAGATAATGTGAAAAGGTGGAAGTGACTTTGGAACTGAGTAACAGAGGTTTTAACAGTTTGGAGGGCTCAAAAGAAGACAGGAAGATGTGGGAAAGTTTGGAACTTCCTACAGACTTGTTGAATAGTTTTTTTTACCAAAATGCTGATAGTGATATGGCCAATGAAGTCCAGGCTGAGGTGATCTTAGGTGGAGATAAGGAACTTGTTGGGGACTGGAACAAAGGTGACTCTTGATATGCTTTAGCAAAGAGACTGACAGCATTTTGCCCCTGCACTAGCAATCTGTAAAACTTTGAACTTGAGAGAGATGATTTAGGCTATCTGGTAGAAGAAATTTCTAAGCAGCAAGGCATTCAAGAGGTGACCTGGTTGATTCTGAAAGCATTCAGTTTTATGCATTCACAAAGAGATGGTTTTAAGCTGGGGCTTATGTTTAAAAGGGAAGCAGAGCATAAATTTGGAAAATTTGTAGCCTGACCATTTGGTAGAAAAGAGAAACAACACATTTTCTATGGACGAATGCAAGTTGGCTGCAGAAATTTGCATAAATAACGAGGAGCGGAATGTTAATTGCCATGAAATGGAGAAAGTGTCTTTAGGGCATGACAGAGATCTTCGTGGCAGCCACTCGCATCACAGGCCCAGAGTCCTGGAAGGAAAAAATGGTTTCATAGGTTTGGGTCCAGGGCCCTGGTACTGTGTGCAGCCTCAGGACTTGCTGCCCTGCATTCAGCCACTACAGGTCCAACTGTGGCTAAAAGGGACCAAGGAGAAACTTAGCCTTTATGAATTACCCAGTCTTCAGTATTTCTTTATAGCAGTGTGAAAATGGACTAATACACCCTCCCTGAAGACATTTTCCTGATTTCGTCTTTCATGTTTTATGTGCCACAGCTACTTTTGAAATTGTATTTAAAGGTAAACATTATTATATTGAATAATAGAAACAGAAATATAGCCCAAATCTAATTGTGATTTTCATGTTTAACAGTCATTTCTCATATTCAGTGGACTCCAGCTTTTTAATATAGCATTCAAGTGTAGTGTAGATTCATCTCCTATTCTTAGCTTCCAAGTATTTTACACTTTTCCTTTCAAGTTCTTAGTAAGCATCTAGACTTCATGTGCTTAATCTTTGTGCTCACATTCTGTTCTCTAACTGGAAGGATTTTCTCTCACTGTTTTTCCCTAGTGGGCCCTTCTTATATTTTGCCTCTTCTCTAAAGCCTTCCTTGTGCTAAAATATAACTTTTTAATATATCAACTCTTACAGAACACAATGTATTATAATTGTATATTACCTTGTTTTTGAAGCAGGGGATGCACATTTCCTTTTATGTTGTTTGTAGTTCTAAACATTTAAAAAATTAATCAGTGCAATGAGATGGAAAACAGTTGGAGTTTTACAAAAATTGTGGTTTTTTTGTTCATTGTCAATAGAGTTATTAGGAAACATTGGCTTTTTATAGAGTTTTTAAAGTAGAGCTTTTGCCTTGCATATGAAGAAAGAAACATGAAAATAAAAAACGGACCTCAAAATAATCTGTGATTACACCCATATTTGAGAAGGCCAATTTACTAACTCATGGTCTGCAACAAGTAAATGATGATAGCAGTTTAAGTGAAATAGATGGTAAAGAAGGTAAAATTTATAAGTCCTTTATAAGAAATATCTGGGAACACCCCCTCAAAAAGTGGGCAAAGGATATGTGCAGACACATCTCAAAAGAGGACATTTACGTGGCCAAGAAACATGAAGAAAAGCTCATCATCACTGATCATTAGAAAAATGCACATCAAAGCCACAATGAGGTACCATCTCATGCCAGTTAGAATGGTGATCATTAAAAAGTCAGGAAACAACAGATGCTGGTGAGCCTGTGGAGAAACAGGAACACTTTTACACTGTTGGTGGGAGTGTAAATTGGTTCAACCATTGTGGAAGACAGTGTGGTGATTCCTCAAGGATCTAGAACCAGAAATACCATTTGACCCAGCAATCCCATTAGTGGGTATATACCCAAAGGATTATAAATCATGCTACTATAAAGACACATGCACACGTAAGTTTATTGCGGTATTATTTACAATAGCAAAGACTTGTAACCAACCCAAATATCCATCAATGATAGACTGGATAAAAAAAGTGACAAATATAATCCATGGAATACTGTTCAGCCATAAAAAAGAATGAGTTCATGTCCTTTGCAGGGACATGGATGAAGTGAGAAACTATCATTCTCAGCAAACTAACATGGGAACAGAAAACCAAACACTGCATATTCTCACTCACAAGTGGGAGTTGGACAATAAGAGCACATGGACATAGGGAGGGGAACATCACACACTGGGGCCTGCCTGGGGGTGAGGGAGCAAGGGGAGGGAGAGCATTAGGACAAATACCTAGTGCATGCAGGACTTAAAACCTAGATGACAGGTTGATAGGTGAAGCAAATGACCATGGCACATGTATACCTTTGTAACAAACCTGCACGTTCTGCACATGTATCCCAGAACTTAAGGTTAAAAAAATTTTAAAGTCAAAAAAAAAAAAAAAAAGAAAGAACAAAAAAGAAAGAAAAGAAAATAAATCTCTAGGAAAGAACGTTAACACCAATTACTTTTCCTGGAACTAGAATAATATAGTCTCCTCAAACTGGAAATACTCAACTGTATCAGTGCTGTTGAAAGATTGATTATAATAAGGATTAGTGACTTTGACTAGGAGAAGTTTCAACAAATGATAGCCATGGAAATCTGTAGTGGATGAATGTAGACAACTCTTGAGAGAAAATTTGCTGGGAAAGGCAATATAGAAATGGGCAATAATTAAAAAAGAGTGTGGGATTTGAGGGAGTTTTCTCTCTTTGTGTTTCAAAACAGAAATTTTTAGAGTTTATTTTTTACTGTTGGGAATGATCCATAAGAGAAGAACATGGTTATGAAAGGTAATTTTGTTTGCTTGGTTGCATGTCTAAGCATTAGACAGCTTGATTCATTATCTTTTATGGATTTTTAGCAAACTAATTGCCCTTAGAACTTCTATTCATGTATAGTTTTATGATTAGAGTTGTTTTTTCAGAATTGGTTCAGAAGTGTAACATGTTAGTGTAACTGTACATGCCGATGATGACCTAAAACTTAAACTGTCATACACAGATTTTTAAAAAGAATTATAATAAACATTCACACACTTAGGCCATGCTGAATAGAATTTAAATGTTCCTTCATAATTGCACATCTTGCACTACCTTTGACAGTAGCATCATGAATAGCCATGATTTGCTTAGGTACTTACTCTAAAATATCAGGTGTATCAACTTTATGATTGTTTAGATTCTGGGGAGTAGGGAAGGATTTTGTTCATGAAGTTGAGAAAAGCAAACTATTGACAATCTATTGCAGATTATTACTTCAGGATTATAAACTCCTAAAGCATCAAAGCCATATTTTCCTGGGCCAGCAATGTTATCAGCATATATTGTATGCTCAATGAGTATTTGTTGAATGCATGAATAAACAGTTGAAGAAATAAATGAATGACATTGATAAATTTCTTTTAAAAACTAATTTTTAGTTTTTTGAAAGTAGTAGGTTTCCAAACTTGCCTCTGTATAAAGTCTTTATTTTTTAAAAAAGTGCAGGATTCATGTTCTCACTCATAGGTGGGAATTGAACAATGAGAACACATGGACACAGGAAGGGGAATATCACATACCAGGGACTGTTGTGGGGTGGGGGGAGGGGGGAGGGATAGCATTAGGAGATATACCTAATGCTAAATGATGAGTTAATGGGTGCAGCACACCAACATGGCACATGTATACATATGTAACAAACCTGCACGTTATGCACATGTACCCTAAACTTAAAGTATGTATATATAAAAAAAAGACACTGCAATTTTCAAAAGGTGAAAAAAAAGTGCAGGATTCAGAAATTATTAGTTATAGCCAAAAACAGAATGATAATCAGAAATTTTTAGTTATAGCCAAAAACAGAATGATAATATGGATTTGTCTGCTATCATATCTCTTAAAAACACTTGAATATAAATATTACCTTCACAGCATATTGCAAAACACATGTTTTGGAGGGAGAATTCTTGGATTTCAATGCTGTGTCAATTACTGACCAGCTCTATGGGCTGGGAAAATTTATATGGCCTTTCTGGGCCTAGTTTCTTTCTTTATAGAAGCCCTAATATTACCTACCTCAAAGAATTGTTATGATGATTAAAATGAGCTTGACACATGCACAGTGCTTAGAATGATGCATAGTGTCTGCATAATAAGTCCTGAAAAAGCTAATATTATCATTTAAAAAAGGGTTCCCCTCACATAAGAACATAAATAATGTTTTCCAAATAGGTTTCAGTGCCAGTAAAAGCTTGTTTTTATTGAAAAGGACAGCAATGAGAAGTCCTGGTATATGTCTTTCTATCACATAATATCAGTAACATGTTTTTCCTTTTGCCTTGACTGTCAGAAAGCTTGATCTAAATTCAATTCTTTGTAATGATATTATTATTATCATATTTTCTTTCTCCCTTAATGTTACTCTTTCTGTTTATAGTTTAATTCCCCATGTGGAAAATAGTTATATTTACATTACCTGTTAAAAAATGACCTGAACACTTAATGGATAGAATAAATAACTTATAAATGCCGAGATTTTATATAATAAAATAATAGATTTGGACATTATTTGTATTTTATGTATTTGTTTGTCTAAGAAGAATTGTTTCTTTTTTCAGGCCTGAAAAGAAATCTAATGAAAAGAACAAGGTATTGTAATAAGTAAATTATCTGAAACATTATTGTTAAAAAAACACATTATAAAAGGTAAAGTGAGAACCTTTTTTAATAAAGACAATTAGTTAGAATAAAAGGGCTTAATAACAAGTACCCATTGATAACGGTACCCTTTTAAGAAAAATCTGTTGTTTTAAGAAGCACCTGTGGTTTTGCTCATATAAAAATATGAATAAATACCACTTCTGTACAACTGGTATATTCTATGAATATTTTGAGGACATTTGAGGCAGTATTATTTATCTTAC
Organism: Homo sapiens; assembly: GCF_000001405.40. Lineage (NCBI taxonomy): Eukaryota > Metazoa > Chordata > Mammalia > Primates > Hominidae > Homo > Homo sapiens. The sequence continues at coordinate 43,342,185 of NC_000008.11, forward strand.
AGGTCAAAAGCCAAATACATTCAGTGGATAACCTTGATGACATAACATGGCCATCAGAAATAGCGTCAGAGGATTATGATTTGCTTTTCTCTAATTATGAGACTTTTACATTGCTCATTGAACAACTCAAAATGGATTTTAACGGTAGGACCATTGCATAAGTAGAAGGCCTTTTAATGTATCCCACAGTAATATTCACACACATTGCTTAGTATTGCACCACAGAGCACTGACGTGTGATAGGGATGATCATCTCAGAAACGTGTTTGACATTAAAATAGACTGAGAAATAATGTATATTGTATACCAAAGAGCTATGATAACTCCACTGTACCTTTCTCAGTGTGAAGGGCAGTCTCAGCCTTTTTATTGACTCTGCTTCTCCCAGATCGGGTTACCATTCTCTCCCACTCAGAATACTGCAGTAACCTTAGAACTATTTTTCCTGCTACCCCACTTCCTGAGACCATGGTCTACTCTGAAACTATAATTATTAATTTAAAAAAATTCAGATCTGATGTTGTCTCTTCCTTGTAACTCAGCATACCACTTGCCATTGCTATTAGGTTAAGATCTGAATATTCTAGCTCTCTCTTGCATCATTTAATACCCTTTTTTCCCTGCCCTAGCCATTGTCTTAGATGTTTATTCCTGCAATTTATAGCTTTAGTGAGGTATAACTGATATATGATAGGCTGAATGTACGTAAAATATACGATTTGATAAGTTTTGGCATACGTATGCACATGTGAAACCATCACCATAATCAAGAGCAGTAACATGCCCATCATCCATAAAAATCTCTTCCTGTCCGTTTGTATTCTCCTTATTAAGAAACTACTAAATGTTTAAGTATTTATACTGTATTCCATTCCCATCAGCAGTATATGACAATTCTCATTGTGCAATGTCATCATGAGCTCTTAGTATTGCTGTTTATTAGTTTTTACTGTTAGCCATTCCAATGGGTGCATATTGTGCGTGTCACTGTGGTGTGAATATGCATTGACCTAAGGACTAAGAATGTTGAACATCTTCCCGTGTGCTGATTTGCCACCTGTATATCTTCTTTAGTGAACTGTCTTTTCCAATCTGGATAGCTTATAAAGATTTAAAAATTAGATAGTTTTTATTCTTATTTGCTGAGTTTTAAGAGTTTTTTAAAATAAATTCTGGATATCATTCCATTATTATGCTTTTTCAGAAAGATTTTTTCCCAGTTTGTAGCTTGACTTTTTGTTTTCTTAATAATATATTTTAAAGAGCTGAAGTTTTTCGTTTTGATGAAATGTGATATATCTGTTCGTTTAATTACAGACTTTGCTTTTTGTCTCATGCCTAAAAAAAGTCTTTGTCCAGCACAGGGTCCCAGAGATTTTTCTCCTCTGCTTTCTTGAAGAATTTTTATAGTTTTAGGTTTTATATTTAGATCTGTGATCCACATTGTGTACATTTTTGCATATGAGTGAGGTGTGATGTAAGTTCATTGTATGGATGTGGATATCTATCTGTTCCAGCAGCATATGTTGAAAATGCTGTCTTTTCTCCATACATTGCTATTGTCCCTTTGTGAAAAGTAAGCTGGCATATGTGTGTGTGTCTATTTCTGGACCATTTGTTGTATTCCATCAATCTGCGTATTCTTCTAGAGTTATACTGATGAACCAATCATAATTTGAAAATCAATTTAATACCCCAATAAACCCATTGTACAGTTGAAAAATTCTAAGTAGAACCATCTTAAACTGGAGACTATCTCTATCTGGCTTTCTTCATGTAGGTCTAGCATCCCTAATCCAAAATCCAAAATCAGAAATGCTGCAAAATCCAAAACTTTTTGAGTGCCAAAATGATGCCACAAGTAGAAAATTTCAAACTAGACATCAGGTACACAAACTTTCATCTGCAAATTTACTAAAAGTGTTCCATAAAATTACCTTTAAGCCCTGCATATAAGGTGCATGTAACATAAGTGTATTTTGTGTTTAGAGTTCGATTCCATTTTTGAGATATCTCATTATATATGTGCAAATATTCCAAAACCCAAAACACTTTTGGTACCATGCACTTGTAGAGATATTCCACCCATATCACACTGTTTCATTACTGTAAATTTATACTAAATCTTGACACCAGCCCTTCAGTTTTCTTCTTTTTTAAGGGTTATTTTGATTATGTTGGATCTTTTGCATTTGCACTTGAGTTTTAGAATCAGATTGTTAATTTTTTTTTGTAGTTCAAATTTAACTTTTTAAAAAATTTTATCATTATTATACTTTAAGTTTTAGGGTACATGTGCACAACGTGCACGTTTGTTACATATGTATACATGTGCCATGTTGGTGTGCTGCACCCATTAACTCATCATTTAGCATTAGGTATATCTCCTAATGCCATCCCTCCCCCCTCCCCCAACCCCACAACACTCCCCGGTGTGTGATGTTCCCCACCCTGTGACCAAGTGTTCTCATTGTTCAATTCCCACCTATGAGTGAGAACATGTGGTGTTTTTTTTTTTGTCCTTGCAATAGTTTGCTGAGAATGATGGTTTCCAGCTTCATCCATGTCCCTACAAAGGACATGAACTCATCCTTTTTATGGCTGCATAGTATTCCATGGTGCATATGTGCCACATTTTCTTAATCCAGTCTATCATTGATGGACATTTCGGTTGGTTCCAAGTCATTGATATTGTGAATAGTGCTGCAATAAACATACGTGTGCATGTGTCTTCATAGCAGCATGATTTATAATCCTTTGGGTATATACCCAGTAATGGGATGGCTGGGTCAAATGGTATTTCCACTTCTAGATCTCTAAGGAATCGCCACACTGACTTCCACAATGGTTGAACTAGTTTACAATCCCATCAACAGTGTAAAAGTGTTCCTATTTCTCCACATCCTCTCCAGCACCTGTTGTTTCCTGACTTTTTAATGATCACCATTCTAACTGGTGTGAGATGGTATCTCATTGTGGTTTTGATTTGCGTTTCTCTGATGGCCAGTGATGGTGAGCATTTCTTCATGTGTTTTTTGGCTGCATGAATGTCTTCTTTTGAGAAGTGTCTGTTCATACCCTTCACCCACATTTTGATGGGGTTCTTTGTTTTTTTCTTGTAAATTTGTTTGAGTTCATTGTAGATAGCCCTTTGTCAGATGAGTAGGTTGCAAAAACTCTCTCCCATTCTGTATGTTGCCTGTTAAGTCTGATGGTAGTTTCTTTTGCTGTGCAGAAGCTCTTTAGTTTAATTAGATCCCATTTGTCAATTTTGGCTTTTGTTGCCATTGCTTTTGGTGATTTAGACATGAAGTCCTTGCCCATGCCTATGTCCTGAATGGTATTGCCTAGGTTTTCTTCTAGGGTTTTTATGGTTTTAGGTCTAACATGTAAGTCTCTAATCCATCTTGAATTAATTTTTGTATAATGTGTAAGGAAGGGATCCAGTTTCAGCTTTCTACATATGGCTAGCCAGTTTTCCCAGCACCATTTATTAAATAGGGACTCCTTTCCCCATTGCTTGTTTTTTGTCAGATTTGTCAAAGATCAGATAGTTGTAGATAATGCAGTGTTATTTCTGAGGGCTCTGTTCTGTTCCATTGTTCTATATCTGTGTTTTGGTACCAGTACCATGCTGTTTTGTTTACTGTAGCCTTGTAGTATAGTTTGAAGTCAGGTAGTGTGATGCCTCCAGCTTTGTTCTTTTGGCTTAGGATTGACTTGGCAGTGTGGGCTCTTTTTTGGTTCCATATGAATTTTAAAGTAGTTTTTTTCCAATTTTGTGAAGAAAGTCATTGGTAGCTTGATGGGGATGGCATTGAATCTATGAATTGCCTTGGGCAGTATGGCCATTTTCACGATATTAATTCTTCCTACCCATGGGCATGAAATGTTCTTCCATTTCTTTGTATCCTCTTTTATTTCATTGTGCAGTGGTTTGTAGTTCTCCTTGAAGAGGTACTTCACGTCCCTTGTAAGTTGTATTCCTAGGTATTTTATTCTCTTTGAAGCAATTGTGAATGGGAGTTCACTCATGATTTGGTTCTCTGTTTGTCTGTTATTGGTGTATAAGAATGCTTGTGATTTTTGCACATTGATTTTGTATCCTGAGAGTTTGCTGAAATTGCTTATCAGCTTAGGGAGATTTTGGGCTGAGACGATGGGGTTTTCTAGATATACAATCATGTCATCTGTAAAGAGGGACAGTTTGACTTCCTCTTTCCCTAATTGAATGCCCTTTATTAACTTCTCCTGCCTGATTGCCCTGGCCAGAACTTCCAACACTGTGTTGAATAGGAGTGGTGACAGAGGGCATCCCTGTCTTGTGCCAGTTTTCAGAGGGAATGCTTCCTGTTTTTGCCCATTCAGTATGATATTGGCTGTGGGTTTGTCATAGATAGCTCTTATTATTTTGAGTTATGTCCCATCAATACCTAATTTATTGAGAGTCTTTAGCATGAAGTGTTATTGAATTTTGTCAAAGGCCTTTTCTGCATCTATTGAGATAATCATGTGGTTTTTGTCTTTGGTTCTGTTTATATGCTGTATTACATTTATTGATTTTCATATGTTGAACTAGCCTTGCATCCCAGGGATGAAGCCGACTTGATCATGGTGGATAAGCTTTTTAATGTGTTGCTGGATTCAGTTGGCGGTATTTTATTGAGGATTTTTGCATCAATGTTTATCAAGGTTATTGGTCTAAAATTCTCTTTTTTTTGTTGTGTCTCTGCCAGGCTTTGGTATCAGGATGATGCTGGCCTCATAAAATGAGTTAGGGAGGATTCCCTCTTTTTCTATTGATTGGAATAGTTTCAGAAGGAATGGTACCAGCTCCTCCTTGTACCTCTGGTAGAATTCGGCTGTGAATCCATCTGGTCCTGGACTTTTTTTAGTTGGTAAACTATTAATTATTGCCTCAATTTCAGAGCCTGTTATTGGTCTATTCAGAGATTCAACTCTTGCTGGTTTAGACTTGGGAGGGTGTATGTGTTGAGGAATTTATCCGTTTCTTCTAGATTTTCTAGTTTATTTGCATGGAGGTGTTTATAGTATTCTCTGATGGTAGTTTGTATTTCTGTGGGATCGGTGGTGACATTCCCTTTGTCATTTTTTATTGTGTCTACTTGATTCTTCTCTCTTTTCTTCTTTATTAGTCTTGCTAGTGGTCTATCAATTTTTTTGATCTTTTCAAAAAACCAGCTCCTGGATTCGTTGATTTTTTGAAGGGTTTTTTTGTGTCTCTATTTCCTTCATTTCTGCTCTGATCTTAGTTATTTCTTGCCTTCTGTTAGCTTTTGAATGTGTTTGCTCTTGCTTCTCTAGTTCTCTTTTATTGTGATGTTGGGGTGTCAATTTTAGATCTTTCCTGCTTTCTCTTGTGGGCATGTAGTGCTGTAAATTTCCCTCCACACACTGCTTTGAATGTGTCCCAGAGATTCTTGTACGTTGTGCCTTTGTTCTCTCTGGTTTCAAAGAACATCTTTATTTCTGCCTTCATTTCGTTATGTACTCAGTAGTCATTCAGGAGCAGGTTGTTGAGTTTCCATGTATTTTAGCAGTTTTGAGTGAGTTTCTTAATCCTGAGTTCTACTTTGATTGCCCTGTCATCTGAGAGACAGTTTGTTATAATTTCTGTTCTTTTACATTTGCTGAGGAGTGCTTTACTTCCAACTGTGTGGTCAATTTTGGAATAGGTGTGGTGTGGTGATGAAAAAAATGTATATTCTGTTGATTTGGGGTGGAGAGTTCTGTAGATGTCTATTAGGTCTGCTTGGTGCAGAGCTGAGTTCAATTCCTGGATATCCTTGTTAACTTTCTGTCTCGTTGATCTGTCTAATGTTGACAGTGGGGTGTTAAAGTCTCCCATTATTATTGTGTGGGAGTCTAAGTCTCTTTGTAGGTCACTAAGGACCTGCTTCATGAATCTGGGTGCTCTTGTATTGGTGGCATATATATTTAAGATAGTTGGCTCTTCTTGTTGAATTGATCCCTTTACCATTATGTAATGGCCTTCTTTGTCTCTTTTGATCTTTGTTGGTTTAAAGTCTGTTTTATCTGAGACTAGGATTGCAACCCTTGCCTTTTTTTGTTTTCCATTTGTTTGTTAGATCTTCCTCCATCCCTTTATTTTGAGCTTATGTGTGTCTCTGCACGTGAGATGGGTTTCCTGAATACAGCACACTGATGGGTCTTGACTCTTTATCCAATTTGCCAGTCTGTGTCTTTTAATTGGAACATTTAGCCCATTTATATTTAAGGTTAATATTGTTATGTGTGAATTTGATCATGTCATTATGATGTTAGCTGGTTATTTTGCTCATTAGTTCATGCTGTTTCTTTCTAGCCTTGATAGTCTTTACAATTTGGCATGTTTTTGCAGTGTCTGGTACTGGTTGTTCCTTTCCATGTTTAGTGCTTCCATCAGGAGCTCTTTTAGGGCTGGCCTGGTGGTGACAAAATCTCTCAGCATTTGCTTGTCTGTAAAGTATTTTATTTCTCCTTTGCTTATGAAGCTTAGTTTGGCTGGATATGAAATTCTGGGTTGAAAATTCTTTCTTTAAGAATGTTGAATATTGGCCCCCACTGTCTTGTGGCTTGTAGAGTTTCTGCTGAGAGATCAGCTGTTAGTCTAATGGGCTTCCCTTTGTTGTTAATCCGACCTTTCTCTCTGGCTGCTCTTAACATTTTTTCCTTCATTTCAGTTTTGGTGAATCTGACAATTATGTGTCTTGGAGTTTCTCTTCTCCAGGAGTATCTTTGTGGCATTCTCTGTATTTCCTGAATTTGAATGTTGGCCTGCCATGCTAGATTGGGGAAGTTCTCCTGGATAATATCCCGCAGAGTGTTTTCCAACTTGGTTCCATTCTTCCCATCACTTTCAGGTACACCAATCAGATGTAGTTTTGGTCTTTTCACATAGTCCCATATTTCTTGAAGGCTTTGTTCATTTCTTTTTATTCTTTTTTCTCTGAACTTCTCTTCTCACTCATTTCATTCATTTTGTCTTCCATTGCTGATACCCTTTCTGCCAGTTGATCGCATCAGCTACTGAGGCTTGTGCATTTGTCACATAGTTCTCATACCTTGGGTTTCAGCTCCGTCAGGTCCTTTAAGGACTTCTCTTCACTGGTTATTCTAGTTAGCCATTCATCTAATTGTTTTTCAAGATTTTTAACTTCTTTGCCATTGGTTCCAACTTCCTCCTTTAGCTCAGAATAGTTTGATCTTCTGAAGCGTTCTTCTCTCAACTCATCAAAGTCATTCTCCGTCCAGCTTTGTTCCATTAGCTAGTGAGGAGCTGTGTTCCTCTGGAAGAGGAGAGGACCTCTGATTTTTAGAGTTTCCAGTTTTTCTGCTCTGTTTTTTCCCCATCTTTGTGGTTTTATCTACCTTTGGTCTTTGATGATGGTGACATACAGATGGGGTTTTGGTGTGGATGTCCTTTCTGTTTGTTAGTTTTCCTTCTAACAGTTAGGACCCCCAGCTGCAGGTCTGTTGGAGTTTACTGGAGGTCCACTCCAGACCCTCTTTGCCTGGGTATCAGCAGCAGTGGCTGCAGAACAGCGGATATTGGTGAACAGCAAATGCTGCTGCCTGATCGTTCCTCTGGAAGTTTTGTCTCAGAGGAGTACCCAGCCATTTGAGGTGTCAGTCTGCCCCTACTGTTGGGTGCCTCCCAGTTAGGCTACTCAGCAGTCAGGGACCCACTTGAGGAGGCAGTCTGTCCATTCTCAGATCTCAAGCTGTGTGCTGGGAGAACCACTATTCTCTTCAAAGCTGTCAGACACGGACTTTTAAGTCTGCAGAGGTTACTGCTGCCTCTTGTTAGTCTGTGCCCTGCCCCCAGAGGTGGAGCCTACAGAGGCAGGCAGGCCTGCTTGAGCTGTGGTGGGCTCCTCCGAGTTAGAACTTCCTGGCAGCTTTGTTTACCTACTGAAGCCTGAGCAATTGTGGGTGCCCCTCCCCCAGCCTCACTGCTGCCTTGCAGTTTGATCTCAGACTGCTGTGCTAGCAATGAGTGAGGCTCCGTGGGCATAGGACCCTCTCAGCCAGGTGTGGGGTATAATCTCCTGATGTGCCATTTGTTAAGCCCATTGGAAATGCAAAGTATTAGGGTGGGAGTGACCTGATTTTCCAGGTGCCATCTGTCACCCCTTTCTTTCACTAGGAAAGGGAATTCCCTGACCCCTTGTGCTTCCTGGTGAGGTGATGCCTCACCCTGCTTTGCCTCATGCATGGTGTGCTGCACCCACTGTCCAGCACTCCTCTGTGGGATGAACCCAGTACCTCAGTTGGAAATGCAGAAATCACCCATCTTCTGCATGTCTCACGTTGGGAGCTGTATACTGGAGCTGTTCCTATTTGGCCATCTTGGCTCCACCCCTCTCCCAGATAGTTAATTTTTTAAAAACCTGCTGTGCTGGAAATTACACTGAGTTAGTGATGAATCTATACATTAATTGGGGGAAGATTTACATTTTAATGAGAATGCATTTTTTGACTCCTGTGAAATGGTTTCTATTTATATAGGTCAAATTTAATTTTCTCAGTAATATTTTATAGATTTTAAAATATGGCTTTCCTTTCTTTTTGAGACAGTTTCACTCCAGGCTGGATTGCGGTGCCTCGATCTTGGCCTACTGCAACCTCTGCCTCCTGGGTTCAAATGATTCTCCTGCCTCAGCCTCCTAAGTAACTGGGATTATAGGCATGAGCCACTGCACCCAGCTAAGTTTTGTATTTTTAGTAGAGATGGGGTTTCACCATTTTGTCCAGAGTGGTCTTAAATTCCTGAACTCAAGTAATCCTCCCGGCTTGGCTTCCCAAAATGCTGGGATTACAGGCATGAGCCACTGTGCCCAGCCTTGGTGTTTCCTTATTTTATCAGATTCATCTGTATCTCATTTTTTAATGAAGTTATAAATGACATTTAAAAAAATTTCAAGTTGATTGTTTACTGCTAGGATATAGGAATACAGCTGATTTTTGTATGTTGATTTTTGTATCCTCCCTCCTTGCTAAACTTAGACTTACTTATTAGTTCTAGTAGCTTTTTTGGTAGATTTGATCAGATTTTATACATACAACAAAGATTATCAAATCTTTTCATTCTCAAACTACTTTCTTACTATGGATAGGAAGTCTTTTAGACTTGTGGCAAAGCAGTCTCTGTTGCAGCTAGTCAACTCTGCCATTGTAGTATGAGAGCAGTCAGGGAAGTTACCTACATTAATAAACTCAGCTGTGTTCCAATAAAACTTTATTTACAAAAGCCAGAAGCTGGCCCAGAGGCTGTAGTTTATCTGCCCCTATTATGTGATCATGGTTGTGAATAAAGACAGTTTTACTTCTTCTTTCCAACCTGGATAACTTTTATTTATTTTTCTTGTCTGACAGCACTGGCTAGAATCTTCAGCACAATGCTTACTAAAGTGTTGAAAGCAGGCATTATTGTGTCATTCCTGATACGGGGAAAGCATTCAGTTTGTCATCATGATACACATTAACTGTAGGTTTATTATAGATGCTTTGTATCATGCTGATGAAGTTCATTTGTATTCTTAGGTTGCTGAGTTTTTTTTTCTTTTTAAATCAAGAATGAAGTTGAATTTTATCAAATGTCTTTATTTACTGAGATAATCATAAGGTTCTTCTCTTTTAGTGTTTTAATGGGGTGAATAACTGATATTTTAATGTTAAACCAACCTTTCATTTTAGAATAAAACTTATTTTCTTAGGATGTAGGCTTTTAAAAAGTATATCATTGGGGCCGGACACGGTGGCTCATGCTTGTAATTTTAGTACTTTGGGAGGTCAAGGCAGGAGGATTGCTTGAAGCTGGAGTTCGAGACCAACCTGGGCAAAAAAATGAGACCCTATATTTATTTGTATTCAGTTTGCCAAAATTCTGTTTAGAAAATTTTAAAAGACTATGTAAATGTAGTTTTAGGTTCACAGCAACATTGAAAGTATGGTACAGAGATTGTCTGTGCTTCCTGTCCACAGACATGCATAGCTTCCCCCATTATCAGTATCTCTCACTATAGTGGTACAGTTGATATGATTGATGAACCAAAATTGCATGTCATAATCATCCAGATTTCATAGTTTATATTAGTGTGCACTCTTGGTGTTGTACATTCTGTAGGTTTGGAAAGGACTGATATTCATCATTATAGTATTGTACAAAGTAATTTTACTGCTCTAAAATTTATTTATGTTTCACCTATCTGCCCTTTCATGCCCTCCTCAACCACAGGTAACCACTGATCTTTTTACTGTATCCATAGTTTTGCCCTTTCTACAATGTCATATAGCTGAAATCATACAGTGCATAGCCTTCAGATTGGCATCTTTCACTTAGTAATATGCGTTTATGTTTCCATCATGTCTTCTCATGACCTGATAGCTCGTTTCTGTTTAGAACTGAATAATGGTTCATTGTGTAACTGTACCAGAGGTTGTTCACTCACCTATTGCAAGGTATCTTGGTTGCTTCAGAAATTTGTGAAATATTTTGTCAATGTTCATGAGGGAGTTTTCTTTTTTGTAATATCATTGTTTGGTTCAGGGTAATGCTAGCATTATAGAATGAGTTGTGTTGTATTTCTCCTCTTTATTATTTGGGAGAGAGGTTGTGTAAAATTATATTACATCTGCCTAAACTGTTTGATAGAATTCACTAGCATAGCTATCTGGGCCTGGAGTTTTCTCAACTTTATTTTCTTTCATAGATATAGGGTGATTTGGATTATCTATTTCTTCTTGATTGAGCTTTGGTAATTTTTATTTTTTAAGGAACGTGCCCACTTAATCTAAGTGGTAATGGTTAGTTACATAAAGCTTGCACTATTATCTTGCTATTCTTTTAATATCTGTAGAATGTATAAAAATGTTACATTAATTATCTCTGAAGTTAGTAATTTATTCTCTTTTTTATGATCAGCCTGGCTAGGTCAAGGTTTATCACTTCCACTGATGACCTCAAAGTATTTGGTTTTATTGATTTTCCCTATTGTTCTCCTGTTTCATCTTTGATGTCATCATCGGTTTGGCCTGCTCTCACAAAATACCATAGACTTGGTAGCTTATAAACAACAGAAACTGATTTCATACATTCCTAAAGGCTGCAAAGTCCAAGATCAAGGTGCCAGAAGATTCAGTGTCTGGTGAGGGACAAATTCCTGATTTCTATATTCCTTTATTTCCCCTGTGTGCTTCATATGGCAGAAGGGGTGAATGAGCTTTCTGGGGTCTCTTATATAAGAAGGGCACTAATCCCATTCATTAGGGCTTGGATTCCATGAGCTATCACCTCCACAAAGCTGCAGTATCTAATAACATCACCTCTGTGATTAAGTTTCAGCATATGAGTTTTGGGAGGACAAAAATGTTCACACTATGTTCTGATGTTTATTATTTTCTCTGCTTCTGTTGGGTTTAATTTGCTCTCTTTTTTTGTAGTTTCTTCTTTTTTACTTACTTTTCGTTTGTTTGCTTGTTTTTGAGACAGAGTCTCATTCTGTCATCTAGCCTGGAGTGCAGTGGTGTGATTTCAGCTCACTGCAACCTCTGCCTCTGGATTCAAGCAATTCTCATGCCTCAGCCTCCTAAGTAGCTAGGACTACAGGTGTGCACCACTGCACCCAGCTAATTTTTGTATTTTTAGTAGAGATGGGGTTTCACCATATTGGCCAGGGTGGACTCGAACTCCTGACTTCATGACCCATCCACCTAGGCCACCGAAAGTGCTGGGATTATAGGCATGAGCCACTGTGTCCAGACCTTTTTTACTTTCTTAAGATAGAAGTCAAGGCTATTGATCTGAATGTCTTCCAGTATAGACATTCCGTGCTAACTTTTCATTTAGGAACTGTTGTAGCTATATTCCACAAAGTCTAACATGTAGTATTTTCATTTTTATTCAGTTCAAAATAGTTTCCAATTTCTCTTTGTGTCACCACTTTGCCTAGGATTATTTAGATATGTGTTACTTTGTTTCCAAATTTTTGAGTATTTTGATGAGCTATTTTGTTACTGATTTCTAATTTTATTCTTTTGTGGTCAGGGACCATACTTTGTATGACTTAAATACTTTTGACTTAATACTTTCATGAAGATTTATTGTATGGCCTAGAATGTGGTCTGTTTTGCTAAGTGTTCCAAGGGCACTTGAGAAGCATAGTGTTCTTCAAGTCTACTCTTGTCTTGCTGATTTTCTGCCTCCTTGTTTTATCATGTATTCAGTACGCAATATTGAAATCTCACACTATACCTGTGAATTTGTCAATTTCTTCTATCAGTTTTTAGCTCATATTTCGAAGCCGTTATGTTACCAGGTACATAAACATTTAAGATTATGTGTTCTTGAATAACTAAATATTTTATCATTCTGAAATGATGTTGTTTATAACTAGTAATATTTTTTGTTGTGAAATCTACTTTAGTATTAATATAATGATTCCTGATTAGATTTCTTTTGTCATCTGTTTGCATGGGATATATTTTTCTTCCTTTTAACCAATTTGTGTCTTTATATTTAAAGTGTGTTTCTTATAGGTAGCATGGAGTAGGATCTTGCTTTTTATACAGTTTGACAATTTGTCTTTTAATTTAGGTTATTAGACCCATTTCATTTATAATGTGATTATTGATATATTAATATTTAAGTTTATCTGTCATCGCGCTGTTTGATTTTCATTAGTCCCAGCTATTCTTTGTTCCCTTCTTTTTCTAATTTCCTTTCAATTAGTTATGTAACTTTTATGGTTTAGTTTTATCTCTCATTTTTTGGCTTATTGGCTCTATTTTTTTTTTTGCTATCTTAATGGTTGCATTACAATTTGTACTGTATGATTTTAACTTATCACAGTTCACTTTCAGACAATATTATATCATATCACATATGGCATAAGAAAATCAGAATAGTATGCTTTCATTTCCTCTCTCCCAGCCAGATTCTTCCTGGATTTGTGGAATTATGGTTTTCATTAAGTTTAGAAAGTTTCTGTTCATTTTCTCTTTATGTTTTGTCATTGTCTCTCCCTCCCTCTTTGGGGACAGGTATATTATTGCTTAAAGTTTTTGCATAATTCTCTGATGTCCCAAATTTATGAATCTTCTCTTTTGTGGTATCTAGTCTGTATTTACTTCTACCAGTGTCCTTTCCGTCATGACTTTGTTTTTGTTTGTTTGTTTGTTTGTTTTTTGAAACAAAGTCTGACTCCATTGCCCAGGCCGGAGAGCAATGGCTCGATCACCTCTCACTGCATCCTCTGCCTCCTGGGTTCAAGCCATTCTCCTGCCTCAGCCTCCCGAGTAGCTGGGGTTACAGGTGCCTGCCATGATGCCCAGCTAATTTCTTTGTACTTTTAGTAGAGATGGGATTTCACCATGTTGGCCAGGCTGGTCTCGAACTCCTGACCTCAAGTGATCCACCTGCCTTGGCCTCCCAAAATGCTGGGATTACAGGCATGAGCCACCATAACTGGCCCAGTCCTGACATTTTAATTTGAATTCCTACTAGTGTAATTTTCTTTCAAGAAATATCTTCCATGTCTCTACTTGAGATTTATTTGGGGACACAGTTGACTTATAAACAACTTGATCTTTCTGGTCTTGTTTTTTGATTTGGTCTAATTTTCCACTCCTGAATCAAGGTGTTTCTGATAACTCTATTCTTTGCCCTGTGAAGTCTTGAGTTTTTTCAGCATCATTCAGACGAATGGACACTCTTCCTGGTACACTGTGAGCAACAGGCACTGTTTCTTACAATTTTTTAAGGATTTTTTCCCCCTGGTCTCAAGTAGTTTCCTAGGACAAATATACTGTTCATTATTCTGCTAAATAAATACCCAATGAGATTCTCAGCTTCATTGTTCGAACTCAGAGAATCTGGGGCTCTACCTCAGTTTTTGGTAGACTCTACCTCAGTTTTTTTTCCTTCAATTGTCATGGCCTGGAAACTTTGCCAAGTCAGGGGGCTGGGGTGTTTGTAAGGCTTATTTCTCTTGTTTCCTATCTTACAGGGTTCATTGTCTTCATTACCTGAAATCCTTGTTCTTGAAAATCGTGGTATTATGTATTTTGTCTTTTTTGGTTTTGTTTTAAGTGAGAAGGTAAATCAGTATCTGCTGCTCCATCGTGGCCAGAAGCAGACTGCAGCAGAGCTTCAGTACATGACATAGACTAGCTAGAATGCTTTTCTACCCCCTTTACTTAACAGCTTCCTTCTCACCCTTCATTTCTCAGTGTAGCCCGCTCTTCCCCAGGGGAATCTTCCTGAGCCCAGTATAGATCAAATCCTGTGTGATCATAGAACTGTTTTCTTGCAGCATCTATCTGAATTTGTAATTTCACTTCTTTGTATTTTTTCTTCACTACACCTAAAGCTAAACAAGAGCAGAGTTACTGTTTGTTTTATCTGCAGAGCTCAGTAGACTGTGTTCGCCATGGTAGGAACTCAGTGCATATTTGTTTGGTGTATGGATGGGTGAAGGTTAAAATGCACGGGACTTTATATCCAAAAACTACTCTTATATTTTATTTCCACCTTGTTTCCCCCCGATGCAGATTCTGCTAGCCTATCAAAAATCCAGGATGCAGTTATTTCAGAAGAACACTTACTAGAACTCAAAAATAGCCACTATGAGCAACTTACAGTAGAAGTTGAACAAATGGAAAATATGGTTCATGTACTACAAAAATAGCTATCTGAGGCAAAAGAAACACAATTACAGTTAGCTCCTCAGAAAGGTGAATGTGAGCAAGAACGCTACAGTTCGAGGTATGACATTCTAGTTTTAGAGAAATATTTTAACTCTTTATTCTAAATATATATGTGAGAATTGTGATTGCTGACTTTCTGGGGCTTAATGGGAGAAAACGTCTTGGTCTTATGGAGTCTGAAAATCTTGGAAATAATACAACAAATTCTTAACTGTGCTTCTTTTATTTATTGCATATGCTTTTAAATTGTGATTTTAATGGCTATTTAGAAGTTTACCATATAGAAATCTCATTATTTAACAAACAGAATTTGGGGTTTTTGATTCTTTTGTATTAGAATTAATGCTGCAAGAAATACTTTTTATTATTACTATTATCATTATTATTATGATTATTATTATTAGAATTTTGCTCTGTCACTGAGGCTGCAGTGCACTGGTGCAAACATAGCTTACTACAACTTTGAACTTTTGGGGTCAAGGGATCCTCTTGCCTCAAATTCCTAAGCAGCTCAGACTGTAGGCACATGCTCCCATGCCTGGCTAACTTTTGAAATTTTTCATTGAGACAAGGTCTCACTATCTTGCCCAGTCTGATCTCCAACTCCTGACCTCCAACAGTCCTCCTGCCTTGGCCTCCCAAAGCATTGGGATTACAGGAGTGAGCCATCACGCCCAGCCCAGAATATCTTTTATATAAATCATTTTCTGCATTTCTAATTATTTACTTTGTATAAAGTCTTCAATATAGAATTTTTTGGTTAAAATATAGAAACTTTTTCAAAAAGGCCTTGGATCAATATTTCTAAATTGTCCTCAAGAATATTTGTATTGAATGCATGCTGAGCTTAATACCTAGGTGATGGGTTGATAGGTGCAGCAAACCACTGTGGCACATGTTTACCTATGTAACAAGCCTGCACATTCTGCCCATGTACTCTGGAAATTAAAATTAAAATTAAAAAAAGAATATTTGTATTAATTTACAGTTCAACCAACAGAGCATGAAATGGCCATTTGTCTCAAACCAGAATACTTTTTAAAAACTTTATACAGTTTTATTCTTTTTTTAACTCTCTGTTTAAATTGATTTATTTTTATTTCAATAGCTTTAGGGGTACAAGTGGTTTTTGGTTACATGGATCAATTTTATAGTGGTGAAGTCTGGGATTTTAGTGTACCCATCACCCAGTAGGTAGTTTTATTGCTCACTTTTCTTCTCCCCTTCCTTCTTCTGAGTCTCCAATGTCATTATACCACTCTACCTGCCTTTACATAACCTAGCATAGCTCCCACTTATAAATGAGAACATGTGGTATTTGTCGTTCCATTCCTGAGTTACTTCACTTAGAATAATGGCCTCTAGCTCCATCCAATTTGCTGGAAAAAACATTATTTCATTCTTCTTTATGGCTGAGTAGTATTCTGTGGTGTGTGTGTGTGTGTGTGTGTATATATACGTATCTATACATGTATGTATATGTAGATGTATGTATATAAGTATATATATACACACATAGATATATGGACTCACACACATATATGTGTATATATATCACATTTTCTTTATGCCATTCATCAGTCAATGGACACTGGTTGATTCCATATATTTTCATGTTGTAATTGTGCTGCAGCAAACATATGTATGAAGGTGTTTTTTTGAGAGTACGATTTCTTTTGTAGATATCCAGAAATGAGAATGCTGGGTACAATGGTAGGATCTACTTTTAGTTCTTTGAGAGTCTCCACAGATTTTGTACTAACTTGCATTCCCATCAGCAGTGTATAACTGTTCTCTTTTCACCACATCCACACCAACGTCTGTTGTCTTTTGATTTTTAATAGTGGCCATTATGGCTGCAGTGAGGTGATATCTCATTGTTGTTTTAGTTTACATTTCCCTGATGATTAGTGATATTTAGTATGTTTTTATATGCTTGTTCAGCATTTGCTCATCCTCTTTTGAGAAATGTCTATTCATGTCATGTGCACACTTTTTAATGGAATCATTTGTATTTTTCCTGCTGATCTGTTTGAGATTCTTGTAGGTTATGGATATTAGTCTTTGACAGATTCATAATTTGCAAATATTTTTCCCATTCTATAGGTTGTTGGTTTACTCTTATGATTATCAATTTGCGGTGCTGAAGCTGAAGCTTTTTAGTTTAATTAGGTCTTATTTATTTATTTTCATTTTTGTTGCATTTGCTTTTAGGGTCTTCATCATAAATTCTTCACCTAGGTCAATGTTTTCAGGTCTTAGTTTTAGGCCTTTAATCCATCTTGAATTAATTTTTGTATATGATAAGAGATAGAGATCCAGTTTCATTCTTCTACATGTGGCTATCTTTTTTTCCTAGCGCCATTTATTGAATAATGTGTACTTTCTCCAGTGTATGTTTTTGTATCCTTTCTCAGAGATCATTTGGTTGTAAGTGGCTTTATTTCTGAATTGTCTATTCTGTTTCATTGATCTATGTATCTACTTTTATACCAGTATGGTGCTGTTTTTGTTACTGTGGCTTTAGAGCATAATATGAAGTCAGATAATGCGACGCCAACATGTTTGTTCCTTTTGCTTGGTACATCTGTTGTTATTCAGGCTCTTTTATGGTTCTACATAAATGTCAACTTTTTTTATAATTCTGTGAAGAATGACATTGGTACTTTCATAGGAATTGTATCAAATCTGTAGACTGCTTTGGGTACTATGGTCATTTTTCACAATATCAGTTCTTTCAGTCCATGAACATAGGATGTATTTTCATTTGTCTGTGTCATCTATTATTTTCTTCGGTAGTGTTTTCCAGTTATCCTTATATAGATCACTCACCTCCTTCATTAAGTATATTCCTAGGTATTTTACACTTTTGCAGCCATTGTAAAAGAGATTGGGTTCTTGATATGACTCTCAGCTTGGTTGTATTTGGTGTATAGTTGTGCCACTGATTGGTATTCATTTATTTTGTAACCTCTGAGACTTTACTGAATTTATTTATCAAATCTAGGAGTGTTTTGTAAGAGTCTTTGGGGTTTTCTAGGTATAAGATCATATCATTGGTGAAGAGATAGCTTGACTTCCTCTTTTAAATTTGGATGCCCTTTATTTCTCTTGCCCAATTGCTCTGCCTGGGACTTCCCAGTTTTATTCTTAATATGCATGAAATAAAAGTAAAATGGAAAATGATTCACGATTAGTTTATTTCACATCTCTGTCTCATAAACAGATAAAATTAATTCACCTTGAATTAATTTTGTTATATGTTAAATACATATATTATATGTATAATAAAAACATGTAATATATTATATGTATAATAAAAACATATATGTTAAAAACAAAATATTAGACCCTGTCTTGTTCAAAAGAATGTCTAAGTTGCTTATAAAATACATAGGAATTAAGAATATAAGTTAAAAATGTTTCCAAAAAATAAACATGAAAATTATGGGTTAACACAGGGGTTCCCAATCCCCAGGCCAAGGACCAGTACCAGTCCCTGGTCTGTTAGAAACTGGGCCACACAGCAGGAGGTTAGTGGCAGGTGAGCAAGTGAAGCTTCATCTGTTTGCAGTCCCTCTCCATCACTCACATTACCGCCTGAGCTCCTCCTCCTGTCAGATCAGTGGTGGCACTAGATTGTCATAGGAGTGTGACCTGAACCCTGTTGTAAGTTGCTCATGCAGGGGATCTAGGTTGTTCACTCCTTATGAGAATCTAATGCCTTATGATCTGTCACCATCTCCTGTCACCCCCAGATGAGACCATACAGTAGCAGGAAAACAAGCTCAGGGCCCCCAGTGATTCTTCTACATTATGGTGAGTTATAGAATTATTTCATTATTAATAATAGTAGAAATAAAGTGCAGAATAAATGTAATGTGCTTGAATAATCCTGGAAGCATCCCCCCACCTCAGGTCTGTGGAAAAATTACCTTCCACAAAACCAGTCCCTGGTGCCAACATGGTTGGGGACAGCTGGCTTAACAGATGTGAGACCCCTTTGCCTTTTCTTGGATTAATCTGCAAGATATACATTGTGTGAATGATATCTGATGATGACACCTTGGCCTGTAAATCATTTTAGGGATACCTTCAGTATCTCATGAAAATTAAAATTTCTTCTAGTGAAGAACAAAATGATACCCGGAAGCAACTTTCCAAGGAACAGAATGCTAGAATATTACAAGATGAGATTCTGACTACTAAACAGAAGCAGATAGAAGTGGCCGAAAAAAAAATGAATTTTGAGGTATTTTCTTTAGTCATTTTCAAATGCTTTTATATAAAATGTATGTATTTAAAAAAACAACTATATATTTCAGAAAGTATAAAGGATTTTTAAATCACATATATATGTATATATGTATATATCATTTATCATGTGTCTATATATGTACATATAGGATAAAGCCATGTTCTTAATTCAACTCCATTTGCCTGCAACAGTTGAGTAGTGACATTCACAATGGCCTAAATCCAAAGAAGCATTTGATATTTTCCATAAGAATTGATGATCTTTCCAATATCAAAAATAAGTTTTGCTAACAACAGATTTTCCAGTTTTTGGACATTAGTTCATCTTTTAAAAATATTAATAGAGAAGTCAGTTTATTATTTTCACTGCTAAGAAAGTAGGAAATGTATAGTTGGGTCAGAGGCCATATTGTGGATATCATTATCCTTACTTTTGAGGACAGTAACAGTTTGCTCCAAGTAGTTTCTCATTTCAATGCAAAGAGCTTTGAAAACAATGACATGCATGATATACATTGAGTGATAATTTATTGATAAGTATTTTGTTCCCAGAGAAAGAGTTCAGTATATTTTCCTCTATTTCACACTTATTACTGTTTCAAACATTATAAAGAAGAAATAAGTTATTGCAATGGCAAATAATCTCATGATTTCTAAGAAAAGCTCTATAAGTTGTATGCTACCATTCATATTTTGAAATAAAAGGCTTCTTTTGTATTTATATATTTACACCACAGAAGTAACTGTGATTTTGTGGAGGATCACTAGAAGTAGCATCAGAAGACCTGGAGAAAATCCTGCATCTTGTGTATATACATATGTGTATATTTGAATATATATGTATATATTCAAAAATATGTATATATTTTTGAGATGGAGTCTCGCACTGTTGCCTGGGCTGGAGTGCAATGGCACGATCTTGACTCACTGCAACCTTTGCCTCCCTGGTTCACTCGATTCTCCTGCCTCAGACTCCCAAGTAGCTTGGATTACAGGTGCACAACACCATACCTGGCTAATTTTTTGTATTTTTAGTAGAGACAGGGTTTCACTATGTTGGCCAGGCTGGTCTCAAACTCCTGACCTTGTGATCTGCCTGCCTTGGCCTCCCAAAGTGCTGGTATTATAGGTGTTAGCCACTGCAATCAGCTGCATATATATTTTTTTAACTTCTTTTAAGAATTGTGATCTTAAATGAGTTCAGTGTCGTACATAGAGGTGCAATGTTTAGATGCAGATGTGTACAATGTAGAAGGGTACAATGTTTAGATTTAACAGTTATGAATAAGTGTAATTCTCATAACTGACTATAACATATTAGAAAAGTAGAATATTGATAAAACATTCTTGAGAAAAAGTAACTTAAAGAATTTTGAGAAATTGCTTCTGCCCTAACATATGTATAGCTAAGGCTCCTACAATGTTATGGTTTATAGGTGAGATATCAGAGTGTAAACCCAATTTAAAAAATATAGTCAAATGTATTAATCTTATATTTTATGCCTCTGGGTTTTTTGTAATTCAGAGAAATGCATTTACAATTCTGAGTTTCTTAAAAATCCTCCAGTGATTTAATTTTCATAATCTTTAAATAAATATTTAGATTTGTGGAGTTTACACTCTATTAGGTTTGAAGTTTTGTCCAACTTGTTTTTAGGTAAATATCCACTATGGGAATTCTTTCATTATACAAACATACAGGTTACTTTTTAATTTCAGAAGAAATTATGATATGTCCCTCTATTGAGTGCTAACTAAAATTTCCCTTTGTTTACTCAGATTTCTCTTAGCCATAAGGAAGAAAAAGAACTCTTGCATGAAAATAGCATGATGCAGGAAGAAATTGCCATGCTAAGAATAGAACTAGACACAATAAAACATCAGAACCAGCTAAGGGAAAAGAAATATCTGGAGTACATTAAAAGTGTGAAAGAAAAGAATGATAATCTTCTAAAGGCTATACAATTGAATGAGGAAGCACT
This sequence comes from Homo sapiens, assembly GCF_000001405.40. Taxonomy (NCBI): domain Eukaryota; kingdom Metazoa; phylum Chordata; class Mammalia; order Primates; family Hominidae; genus Homo; species Homo sapiens. Next base: position 43,363,154 of record NC_000008.11, read on the forward strand.
AACAAAAGCAGTAGTTCAGTACAGTGGACAGCTTAGCATTTTGACAACTGAGAATAAAATGCTCAGTTTTGAACTGCAGAATGTAAGACACAACAATGAAACACTGGAAATGGAAATTCAATCATGTCATTTTAGACTGGCTACTGCTCTACATGATTGTGACTGAAGTCAGATAGCAGAAAGAGACTTCTTTCCAGAGAACAAGACATGAACAGGTTTATTTACAGGAGACAATGAATTCTCATATATCTAACCTAAAAGGTAACAGTGAGATTCTTTCTGAGCAACTCTAATGCTAACAGTAAAATTAACAGCCTGAAAATTAAGGTCCATCACACAAGATAAACTCTGAGAGAAAAGACGGGGCAGGCCACCATTTTTCCTTTTTGGGCAACTTAGTCATTCCAGCCTGCAGGCTTTGGAGAGTACAAACCGACCAGGGGAAGAAGACATCCTGCAGCACAGCACAGCTGCTTTATCAAATCATGGCCAGACTGCTTCTGTAAGCAGGCCCCTGATCCTGTTTCTCCTCACTGGAAAGGACCTCCCAGCTGAGGCCTCCAGCTACCCCCACCAGTGTTCCCTGGCCAACAGAGATTTAAATCCCCCCTGGGACAGAGCACCCAGAGAGAGGGGTGGGTCACCACCTTTGCTGTTTGGGCGACTAGCCATTCAGGCCTGCAGACTTTGGAGAGCCCAAGCTGACCAGGGGTGGAAGTGGTACCTCAGCACAGCACAGCTGCCCTATGAAAATGTGACCAGACTCTTTTTTAAGTCAGTCCCTGACCACATTTGTTATCACTGAGTGGAGTCTTTCAACCAGGGTCTCTGGCTACCTTCAGTGCTGTTCTCTGGCTGACAGAGGTTTCAGGCCTTCCTGAGTCAGAGCTCCCAGGGGGAGGACCAGATTGTCATCTTTGCTGTTTGGGCAACTCAGCCATTTCAGCCTTAGGGCTTCAGAGTGTCTGAGGTGATGAGGAGCTGAAGTGAACCCCCAGCATAGCACAGCTGCTTTACCAAAAAGTGGCCAGACCTACATTTTAAGCAAGTCCCTGTTCTTGTTCCTCCTGATTAGGCAAGAGTTTTTTCCACTTGCCTCCAGCCACCTCCTACAGGTGTGTTCAGATTGGCAACAAGTTTGTACCTCAGTGGTACAGTACTCCCAGAGGAAGGGGCAGGCTATCATCTTTGCCTTTTCACAGCCTTCATTGGTGATACCTTCAGGCCCTGGAAAATATGAGGCAGTTAGGGACTGGAGTGCACCCCCAGCATACCACAGCCCCCCTACGGAAAAGTGGCCAGACTGTTACGTGGGTGCCAGTTTCCATATCTTCTTGATGGGCAGGTCTTCCCATCCTGGGTCTCTAGCCAGCACCCCACTGGAGCTACCAAGCCAGTAGCAACTCAGCAATTCCCTGGACAGAGCTTCCAGGAGCAACTGAAATCCTCTATGCCACTGCCTCTGCAGTGGAACTGTCCTTGCTACCCTTGGAATATCAAGGGAGCAAAGACTTTAAGTGCTGTATTGACATGTCCAACAAGTTGCAGTTGACCCAGTGAGCAAGCCAGTCCATCTCCCATGGGTCCCACACACTCTCCACTGTTCATCACCCGACAGGGAACGCTGGCTTGGGCCCACAGCACAGACACTCCATCCTGGGCTGATCGCACTAAGTGATTGCTAACTCACATCTCTCTGGGGTGGAGCCCCTAGGAGAAAAGCCAAGTGGTAGAGCAGCAAGCCAGCTGATGCGGAGCCCAAAGGGCAGGGACAGCTATCTCTCTAGGCACCATTTGCTCTTATGAGACACTTTATCCCAGCACTTTAGGAGTGCTGAGGTCAGACCAGCCACATCTTATGTGCAAGATTGCCCAGCAGAGATCAGGTCTGAGAGTTCCCCTCTTAAAAAAAGGGGACTTGCTTAAAAAAGAAGTCTGGCCACATTTTTGTAGAGCAGCTGTGCTGTGTTGGGGCTTTAGTTTTGAGAGAGTTCTCCTCTGAGACCTGATCTTTGCTGGGAAGTCTTGCATATGAGATGGGGCTGGTCTGACCTCAGCACTCCTTAGTCTGTTTGCCTCTCCCAGGGCCCCAGCCTGGCCACACCTGCTTACAGGGCACTCTCAGGTGCTCACACCATAGCTTCTGTGCCAGTGGACCATGTCTGACCAATGGAGGGTTGCAGCAAGGTGGCCCCTACAGCCATGGACCAGCCTGCATATTGCCTCTACATACTGCAGCTCTTTATATGCAAACTTCCTACATCCCTTTGCTGGTGTGTGTTTACATGGGTGGGTTTTGCTGTACTTGCCCTACCAGCACACGGGAGTGCATCACACACCCCAACCCACACCAACTGCCATTGAAGATGGAGCCCTGGCAGGCACAGAGCCAAAAATCCCCCACCCCCACCAGCACCTCACCCTTGACCTAATGCTGCAGAGAGGAAAAGGGACCCTCTTATATCCTGAGGGACCACTGTTGCTTGGGGAGCACAGAGAAGGCACCTAGACCCGTGCTGGCCAGCACCTCACCCCAAACCAACACTATCTCCAGTGCAACAGCACACACAGTCAGCAGGGGCCCCCTGGTCCCCACCCTAGCTGTCTTGCCTCCACCACTGGGTGAATGCCCACAGGGAGGCAGGCACTTTTGCATCCGCTAGCACTCTGCTGCAGTTGCCGCACTTTGGTCCCCTCAGTGCAGTGGACCCCAAACCTCGAGGAGCCAGAGAACAAAGTTGGGGCCCAGTACAATTTCCTCAGAGTTAAAGCACACAGTCCAGGAATTGGGAGCTGAACACTGGCTCCCTAAAATCCTCCAGAAACAAAGCCAGTTGGCTGAATCCACCTGACACCACAATCAAACCCTCAAGGTCATCAAATGTGATAAAAGAAAAGTACTCTGTCCAAAGGTCAGCAACCGCAATGGTTGAAGGTGGATAAGCCTATAAAGATGAGAAAGAATCTGTGCAAGAACACTGAAAACTCAAAAAGTCAGCGTGTCTTCTTTCCTCCAAATGACTGCATCAACTCTCCAGCAAGTGTTTGGAACTGGGCTGAGGCTAAGATGTCTGAAATGATACAAGTAGAATTCAGAATATGAGTAGGAACAAAGTTCACTGAGTGAGAGAAGTATGTTGTAATCCAATGCAAGGAAGCTAAAAATCACTGCAAAACATTGCAGGAGCTAACAGACAAAATAGCCATTATAGGCCGGGCGCGGTGGCTCACGCCTGTAATCCCAGCACTTTGGGAGGCCGAGGCGGGCGGATCACGAGGTCAGGAGATCGAGACCATCCTGGCTAACACGGTGAAACCCCGTCTCTACTAAAAATACAAAAAATTAGCCGGGCGTGGTAGCGGGCGCCTGTAGTCCCAGCTACTCGGGAGGCTGAGGCAGGAGAATGGCGTGAACCCGGGAGGCGGAGCTTGCAGTGAGCCGAGATCGCGCCACTGCACTCCAGCCTGGGCGACAGAGCAAGACTCTGTCTCAAAAAAAAAAAAAAAAAAAAAAAGCCATTATAAAGAAGAACATAACCGACCTGATAGAGCTGAAAAGCACACTAGAAGAATTTTCATAATGAAATCACATGGTGATTATGTGTGATTGCATTATGAAAATTCTTGTAGTGTGTGTGGGCACCTGAGAGTGCCCTGTAAGCAGGTGTGGCCAGGCTGGGGCCCTGGGAGAGGCAAGCTGACTAAGGAGTGCTGAGGTTAGACCAGCCCCATCTCATGTGCAAGACCACCTAGCAGAATAGACCAAGCAGAGGAAAGAATCTCAGAGCTTGAAAACTGGATTTCTGAAATAAAACAGGGAGACAAGAACGGGGGAAAAAGAATGAAAAAGAATTAACAAAACCTCTGAGAAATATGGGATTATGTAAAGTGACCAAATCTATGACTGATTAGTGTACCTGAAAGAGATGAGGAAAATGGAACCAACTTGGAAAACATATTTCAGAATGTCATTCATGAGAATGTCCCCAACCTAGCCAGACAGGCCAACATTCAAATTAAGGAAATCCAGAGAACCTCAGTTAGATATGCCACGAGAAAGACATCCAAGGTCAAAATGAAAGAAAAAATGTTAAAGGCAGCTAGGAAAAAAGGTGAGGTCACCTACAAAGGGAATCCCATCAGACAAATAGTGGACCTCTCAGCTGAAACCTTACAAGCCAGAAGAGATATTCAACTTCTTAAAGAAAAGAAATTCCAATCCAGAATTTCATGTCCAGCTAAACTAAGTGTCATAAGTGAGGGAGAAATAAGATTCTTTTCAGACAAGCAAATGCTGAGGGAGTTAATTACCACCAAATCTGCCTTACAAGAGCTCCTGAAGGAAGCACTAAATATGGAAAGAAAAGACCATTACCAGCCACTACAAAAGCCCACTGAAGTGCACAGACCAGTGATGCTAAAAAGCAACCACATACACAAATCTGCAAAATAACCAGCTAACAGCATGATGACAGGATCAAATCCACATATATTATTACTAAACTTAAATGTAAATGGGCTAAATGCTACAACTGAAAGACACAGCGGGGCAAGGTGGATAAAGAACCAAGACCCGTTTGAGTATGCTGTCTTCAAGAGACCCATCTCACCTGCAGTGCCACACACAGGCTCAAAATAAAGGAATGCAGAAAAATCTTTCAAACAAATGGAAAACAGAAAAAAGCAGGTGTTGCAATCTAGTTTCTGACAAAACAGACTTTATACCAATAAAGATTTATCAAGACAGAGAAGGACATTACAAAGGTGGCCCTGACCTTTGATAAATCTCATTATTGGTTGATACCAACCTGGGCTGTCTTTTTTTGTTGTTGTTTTTTGTTTTTACTTTTGAGAAGGAGTCTCACTCTGTTGCCCAGGCTGGAGTGTGGTGGCATGATCTCTGCTCACTGCAACCTCCACCTCCCAGGCTCAAGCAATTCTCCTTCATCAGCCTCCCATGTAGCTGGGATTATAGGTGCATGCCACCACACTCGGCTAATTTTTATAGTTTTAATAGAGACCGGGTTTCACCATGTTGGGCAGACTGGTCTTGAACTCCTGACCTCAAGTGAACCGCCCACCTTGTCCATCCAAAGTGCTGGGATTACAGGCACGGGCCACTGTGCCTGGTCAATCTGAGCTATATTTATTGCTGAAACCAATAGGATAATTTGCTGAGGTTGAGAAGTTTCTCCCCTCCAGAGAGTCCCTGATCTTCCAAAATTAGGTTGAGATCTAAGGTTGATTTTACTGTACAACTCCTTTTCTGAAGTTCTACTTATTTCCAACAAGGAATGCAAGTTTTCCTGCTTCCATGATGATGGAGAGCAGGCACCTCCTTTCTTAAGTTTCAGCTTGCAGGGAAGGTGAGTGTGAATTTTTTCCTGCTTCTAAGATGATAGAGAGTGATCATCAGCCTGAGACTTTTTCCAGGTAAGTAGCTGAAGTAGAGATTTGTCTTAAAAATTTTCCTTAATGACTAAAAGTTAAGATTACCAACCAACTGGTTTTAATTTCTCCTTGCCTTTAGAACAGCCAGTAATCATATGAATTGTGCATTTGTTTGTTTTGCTTAACGGTTTTTGTTTGTATATGTTTGGGGTTTATTGTTGTTGTTTTACTTTTCTCCCATCAAGTATGATCATCTCTTCCTGACTTGGTCAAATCCAAAGGAATGTTCCAAATTGTGAGGAACAAGGCATCAGAATAGGCCAAAACTCCTGTAGCTGCAAAAAAAAAAAAAAAAAATCCAGTTAGAAATAATTTTTATAAAACTTAGAAAAAATTAAAAAAAATTTTTTTTTCTTAAGAGGTTTCATGTACATAACCAGGCCATCTTTTGCCAGCCAAGAGCAAATTGAAGAAGCAGTGGTGGCCACCCAGTGCTAAGATTCTGCCCAAACAATGTTTACTACAGCAACCTGAGTTTGTTTCCTAAGTCTAGTTCTTTCTGGTTTGGTATTTGTGTTACTTTTAAAATGCCAGCAGTTTGTCCTAGCTATGAGGCTGTAGTAAGAGATTCAAATGATTTTTTTTAAGAGCTCCATGATAAAAAGCTTCATTAAAAACAGGTATTATATATATGTAAAAATATATTTAAATATAATTACATATATGTCAAAAATATATAAATATATGACATATTTATATATAAACATATAAATACACATATTTATGTTAGAAATATGTTTATAATTTGTTATATATATTTTTTGTATTTGTGTGAATCTAAAAGGCCTTTCTCTTTTTGGATTTTTTTTTTTGAGAAACATTTGATTTTGTTCTCAGTCAACTGAATTCTATCTCTCCATTTTACGTATGTCTGTCCTTTCTTTTTCTTGCTACCCTTAATGCCCACATAAAAGACGTAAAGTAATTTCTGATAACTGGGGATTGCTTAAAACAGAAAGGGCACCAGACTTCTTTTTGCAAGGAATCACTGTTTTTGTTTCTAAAATCCCAATAGTTGTAAACAGACAAGTTTTTTTGCAGCTCTTAAACTGCTCACTTTTTAAATTGCATTATTGGATCTTAATGGCTTTTTTCTTTTTTTTTTTTTTGAGACGGAGTCTCGCTCTTTCACTCAGGCAGACTGCAGTGGCCTATCTTGGCTCACTGCAAGCTCCACCTCCCGGGTTTATGCCATTCTCCTGCCTTAGCCTCCCGAGTAGCTGAGACTACAGGTGCCCACCACCGTGCCCGGCTAATTTTTTGTATTTTTAGTAGAGGCGGGGTTTCGCCGTGTTAGCCAGGATGGTCTCGATCTCCTGACCTTGTGATCTGCCCGCCTCGGGCTCCCAAAGTGCTGGGATTACAGGTGTGAGCCACTGCACCCGGCCCTTAATGGCTTTTGAGGGTTTCAAGAATCACTTTGCACAGTGAGAAAGTTTTTGACCTTGGAGTGTGTAATAGCTAAGTAGGAGATATATTTTTAGGGCTGGTTATTATGGGATATATTTTTTCTTCCTTTTAACTAATTTGTGTCTTTACATTTAAAGTGTGTTTCTTATAGGTAGCATGGAGTAGGATCTTGCTTTCTACATAGTTTGACAATCTGTGTTTTAATTTAGGTTGTTAGGCCCGTTTCATTTATAATGTGATTATTGATATATTAATAGATAAGTTTATCTGTCATCATGCTGTTTGATTTTCATTAGTCCCAGCTATTCTTTGTTCCCTTCTCTTTCTGGTTTCCTTTCAATTAGTTATGTAACTTTTATGGTTTAGTTTCATCTCTCATTTTTTGGCTTATTGGCTCTAATTTTTTTTTTTTGCTATCTTCGTGGTTGCATTACAGTTTGTACTGTATGATTTTAACTTATCACAGTTCACTTTCAGACAATATTATATCATATCACATATGGCATAAGAAAATCAGAATTTCTATTCATTACTACTTTCATTTCCTCTCTCCCAGCCAGATTCTTCCTGGATTTGTGGAATTATAGTTTTCATTAAGTTTAGAAAGTTTCTGTTCATTTTCTCTTTATGTTTTGTCATTGTCTCTTCCTCCCTCTTTGGGGACACGTATATTATTGCTTAAAGTTTTCGCATAATTCTCTGATGTCTCGAATTTATGAATCTTCTCTTTCTTGGTATCTAGTCAGTATTTGCTTCCACCCAGTGTCGTTTTCAGTCATGACTTTGTTTTTGTTTGTTTGTTTGTTTTTTGAAACAAAGTCTGACTCCATTGCCCAGGCTGGAGTGCAATGACTCGATCACCTCTCACTGCAACCTCTGCCTCCCAGGTTCAAGCCATTCCTTCTCCTGCCTTGGCCTCCCGAGTAGCTGGGGTTACAGGTGCCTGCCATGATGCCCAGCTAATTTCTTTGTATTTTTAGTAGAGATGGGGTTTCACTGTGTTGGCCAGGCTGGTCTTAAACTCCTGACCTCAAGTGATTCACCTGCCTCAGCCTCCCAAAATGCTGGGATTACGGGCATGAGCCACCATATCTGGCCCAGTCCTGACATTTTAATTTGAATTCCTACTAGTGTAATTTTCTTTCAAAAAATATCTTCCATGCCTCTACTTGAGATTTATTTGGGGACACAGTTGACTTATAAACAACTTGATCTTTCTGGTCTTGCTTTATGATTTGGTCTAATTTTCCACTCCTGAATCAAGGTGTTTCTGATAACTCTATTCTTTGCCCTGTGAAGTCTTGAGTTTTTTCAGTATCATTCAGAGGAATGGACACTCTTCCTGGTAGGTTGTGAGCAACAGGCACTGTTTCTTACAATTTTTTTTTTTTTTTTTGTGTTTAACTCATCTGCATGTATTTTCTTTTTTGCATTTTTTTTTTAATGTTTTTTTTTTTTTTATTATACTCTAAGTTTTAGGGTACATGTGCACATTGTGCAGGTTAGTTACATATGTATACATGTGCCATGCTGGTGCGCTGCACCCACTAACGTGTCATCTAGCATTAGGTATATCTCCCAATGCTATCCCTCCCCCCTCCCCCGACCCCACCACAGTCCCCAGAGTGTGATATTCCCCTTCCTGTGTCCATGTGATCTCATTGTTCAATTCCCACCTATGAGTGAGAATATGCGGTGCTTGGTTTTTTGTTCTTGCGATAGTTTACTGAGAATGATGGTTTCCAATTTCATCCATGGATTTTTTCCCCCTGGTCTCAAGTAGTTTCTTAGGACAAATGTACTGTTCATTATTCTGCTAAATAAATACCCAAGAGGGTGTTTTTGCAGATCTCCAGTGTTCTTTCCCTTTACTGCTGTCTCCTTTCAAGTATTCTGTGATTTCTGTCTGCCTTGGTTTTTTGAGACTCTCGGCTTCATTGTTCAAACTCAGGGAATCTGGTGGGCTCTACCTCAGTTTTTGGTAGACTCTAACTCAGTTTTTTTTTTCTTTCATTGTCATGGCCTGGAAACTTTGTCAAGTCAGGGAGCTAGGGTGTTTGTAAGGCTTATTTCACTTGTTTCCTATCTTACAAGGATCATTGTCTTCACTACCTGAAATCCTTGTTCTTGAAAATCGTGGTATTATGTATTTTGTCTTTTTTGTTTTTGTTTCAGGTGAGAAGGTAAGTCAGTATCTGCTGCTCCATCATGGCCAGAAGCAGACTGCAGCAGAGCTTCAGCACATGACATAAACTAGCTAGAATGTTTTTCTACCCCCTTTACTTAACAGCTTCCTTCTCACCCTTCATTTCTCAGTGTAGCCATCTCTTCCCCAGGGAAATCTTCCTGAGCCCAGTATAGATCAAATCCTGTGTGATCATAGAACTGTTTTCTTGCAGCATCTATCTGAAGTTGTAATTTCACTTCTTTGTATTTGTTCTTCACTACACTTACAGCTAAACAAGAGCAGAGTTACTGTTTGTTTTATCTGCAGAGCTCAGTAGACTGTGTTCCCCGTGGTAGGAACTCAATGCATATTTGTTTTGTGTATGTGTGGATGAAAATAGCCACTATGAGCAACTTACAGTAGAAATTGAACAAATGGACAATATGGTTTGTGTACTACAAAAGGAGCTGTCTGAGGCAAAAGGAACACAATTACAGTTAGAGACTGGGTTTCACCATGTTGGCCAGGCTGGTCTTCTCACCTCAAATCAACCACCCGCCTTGGCCTTCCAAAGTGCTGGGATTACAGGCATGAGTCACCGCGCCTAGCCAACCTGAGCTATTTGTATTGCTGGAAACAATAGGATAATTTGCTGAGGTTGGGGAGTTTCTCCCCTCCAGAGAGTCCTTAATCTTCCAAAATTTGGTTGAGATCCAAGGTTGATTTTGCTCTACGACTTTTTTTCTGAAGTTTTACTCATTTCCAATAAGAAGGCATGTTTTCCTGCTTCCATGATGATGGAGAACAGGCACATCCTTTCTTGAGTTTCAGCGTGCTTCTGACAGGGAGGGTGAGTGTGAGATTTTTCCTTCTTGTAAGATGGTAGAGAGCCATCATCAGCCTGAGCCATATTTCCAAGTAAGTAGCTGAATTAGAATTTTGTCTTAAAAATTTTCCTTAATGACTAAAAGTTAAGATTACCAATCAGCTGGTTTTTATTTCTCCTTACCGTTAGAACAGTCACTAATCATATGGATTGTGCATTTGTTTGTTTTGCTTAAATGTTCTTGTTTACATTTGGTGTTTTATTGTTGTTGTTTTACTTTTCTCTCATCAAGTATGGTCGTCTCTTCCTGACTTGGTCAAATCCAAAGGAAAGTTCCAAATTGTGGGGAACAAGGCATCTGAATTGGCCAAATCTTTTGTAGCTGCAAAAAAAAAAAAAAAAAAAAAAAAAGTTCCAGTTAGCAAAAATGATGTTGTAAAACATTTTTTTTTTTTTAACCTAAGAGTTTTCGTCTACATAACAAGGCCATCTTTTGTTAGCCATGGGCAAACTGAAGGAGCAGTGGTGGCTACCCAATGCTAAGATTCTACCGTATTCACTACAGCAACTTGAGTTTTGTTCCTGTCTAGTGCTTTCTGGTTTGGTATTTGTGTTACTTTAAAAATAACAGCAGTTTGTCTGAGTTATGGTGTGTTAGTAAGAGATTCAAAAGTTTTTTCTAAGAGCTCCATGATTAAAAGCTTAATTAAAAGCAACTTTGATATATATGTAAATTTATATTTATAATTACATATATGTCAGAAATATATAAATATATGACATATTTATATATAAACATAAATGTACATATATATGTTAGAAATATGTTTACACATTATATTTTTAACCTATAATTTTTTTTGTGTTTGTGTGTGTCTAAAAGGCCTTTCTCTCTTCGGATCTTGTTTTTTGAGGAATATTTGTTTTTGTTCTCAGTCAACTGAATTCTGTCTCTTTATTTTACTTATGCCTGTCCCTTTTTTCTCTTGCCACCCTTGATGCCCACATAAAAGATGTAAAATAATTTCTGATAACTGGGGATTGCTTAAAACAGAAAGGGCATCAGACTTCTTTTTCTCCAAATCACTGAAATCACAGATTTTGTTTATCAAATCCCAAGAGTTGTAAACAGACAAGTTTTTTTGCAGCTCTTAAACTGCTCACTTTTTAAATTGCATTACTGGATCTTAATGACTTTTGAGGGTTTCAAAAATCACTTTGCATAATGAGAAGGTTTTTGACCTTGGTGTGTGTAATAGCTAGGTAGGAGATATATTTTTAGGGCTGGCTATCAGAAGAGATATTTGTATGCCTTTGGCTGCCTGGAAGGTATGGAAACATCCCAATGCTCCACTGAATAGTGAGACTACCATGGGATATGAGCTGATTATTGAATGGGCTAATTGGCTTTTCTTGGCTACCAACCTCAGGGGAAATGTAGTGAAATGCATGTTAAAAACATGGCATTGTCTCATCCCATAATGTTTTCCTCTTTTCAGGGCCTGAGGATTTTATGTAAAAATCAAATACTTGATTTTTGGATATCTGTTCTGCCTTACAGCTGTGCCTTCATGTTAGGCCCTAGAAGCTGCATGCTTCCTTGGCCCTGTTTCTTAAAAGGCTCCAGCCTAAAGCCAGTAAGCCAATTTTTAAAAATCTTCAAGGAAATCACATTTAAGTGTGTCTGCTTTCCTTGGCCATCTTAACTGAACTTTTACACCATTTTTTTTTTTGGCTTTAGTAAAATATAAATCCTCCATCTTGTTTCACATGAGTCATCTCTTTAAAAATGCAAATTTAGAATTGCCTCACTAATAACTGTTTACAGTAGGGAACAAGTATTCAAAAGACGAATGTGCTAAAGTGGAGAGGAAAAACTGGCAAATGAAAAATCTTTTGAATCCCTAAGATCTACTTCTGTGTGCCTATATGTCTAAATATTTATATGAATTATGCATGTAATGTTTGAATACCAAAAATATGTGAAAAGGCTCTAATTGGCTTTTTAAAAAGTTCTTAAATATTGTATCAGAAATTAGAAATTAGAAACTTATTCCCAAATACTTTTTCAAGTTTTGGTTAAAAAGAAACTTCAAGATGTCTTCACAATAGTTAGCATACATTATTGTTTAGATGTATTGGTCCAGTGGTTTTTTTCCTTTTTTCTTTTTTTTATTTTCTGGTCAAGTGGTTTTATTTTATATCTTCTAGCTACTATAACATGTCAAAATTTGCCACAAAGTTACAAACTATAAACCCAGACCCAAACAATAATTTTTGTTCATGTAATTTTTGATAAATATTTAATATTGTTGATTTAATGAAAACAGCTCAATCCAGAGTTATCAGTAAATAAAACTATTAATAATAAGTTAGGTAAATGTAATAGAATAAAAGCTTATAAATGAACTTGTCATATAAGTTAAATCTTAACATTATATTAAATCAAATAATAGATATTAGATGTCTGGATCATTATCAATTTTTAAACTATATTATTGGAAACATTTTCAAAATAATTATAAGATAGTCCTCATCTATAAAATGCTGATGTGACAATAAAGATTTCTTACTTCTTAGGTTTTCACCAAAAATTTATTACCAAAAATCAAAATTTTAGTTAATATGTGATTTTACATATAAAGTGTGCCAAAATAAGTTTTATTCTGATGAAAAAAGAAAAATTGTGAGAAATAAAAATGAAATAAAGAAATGATAAGAAACAGAATGAAAATAATTGTTGTCCAATTCAAAGATTATTGAAGGATTCCTTATGAAACAATGTAAAGGGAACCAGTAAGTGACAGAGAGATTTAAAGAAAGTTATAAAGAGATTATAAAGAGATACATTCAGTAAGAAATACCACAAAGATGCTGGGCACGGTGGCTTATGCCTGTTATCACAGCACTTTGGGAGGCCAAGGTGGGCAGACAAGATCAGGAGTTTGAGACCAGTCTGTCCAACATAGTGAAATCTCGTCTCTACTAAAAATACAAAAATTAGCTGGGTGTGGTGGTGTGCACCTGTAATCCCAGCAACATGGGAGGCTGAGGCAGGAGAATCACATGAACCCAGAAGGTGGAGGTTTCAGTGAGCCGAGATTGCACCATTGCACTCCAGCTCAGGTGACAGTGTAAGACTCTATCTGAAAAAAAAAAAAAAAAAAAAAAGGAATTATTACAAGGAAAATAATTTTGTATAAAAAATTGTATGGTAGATTTTTATCCTAAAACAAAATGGCTGGTTATTTAAGAAAGAGGATATTTAGGACAAAACAGAAAGTCTAAGCATGTTATAATTGGTCTGTGTAATAATACGCTTCATTAAAAAGAAAATTCTTTTAAGAATTTTGTGTGTGATTCAGTTGGCTAGAATGGAAGGAAAATTATTCATAATAGCCTTTCTGAAAAATTAAGCTTTGATTTTTAAAATACACTAGAAGAAAACAAAAAAATTGATTAGAACCACAAGATGCTTTTAAGCATTAATTTAATAAAATTGTAAGATTTTTTAATGTTTAATTCTATAATCTGTTTCTAAAAGGTTTCTCAGATGAATATCTCAAAAGTTTAATTTTTGCTGAACCCCATTGCTTCCAGCTTACTCAGCTTATTCTCCCTTTGAGAAACCTGGGATAGTAACTCTCTTCTTCAACTTTTCTTGACTCCAGTAGCATTTTTTTTCTTCCTCCAATTCTAAATCTGTTGTTATGGCCTGATGATGAAATGTTTTATCTTGAAAAGTATTTTTTTTTAAAGGCAATGTTTTCCTCCAGTATAAGTTAATTCTACACTGTTGCCTTTTCTTAATATGTTTATGGGCCTTGAGCCCTCTGAAGGTTAGCTTAAAAATCAACTCAGAAAAGACCAATCGATTAAAGAGAGGACAGGCAGATTTGTTTCTGAATATATACATGAAAGTTTTCAAAATAGAGGCCCAATATATAGGAGAAATTGTCTATTTTTCATTGTTTAGTTTCAACAAATTATGGAAAGCCTTGTAAACAATATGCTTGAAAAAACTTTATAATGTAGTTCTGGTGGACTTTGAGGGAATATCCAAGAAGGCCTGTCTCTCTAGATTCTTCTAAACCTTTCTGAGTTAGCATTTCTTCTTTTTAGCTATGGGGCACCTATAACCTATAGTACAACAAGGAAGGTCAGATAAGTTCTTTATGGCCAGTTCTTAGACAGAAATTTGAAGAAAAAATTAGATTAATACTTTAAAAGTTTTATGGCTGGCTCTGAACAAAAAGTTACAGATTCTAGGGCCCACCTGGAAAATGAAGATTCTAGTTTCTGTGGCCAGGCTTGAGGGAAACTGGAACTGAGGAACACAAGGACAGGAGAAAGCCAAATAAAAAGTTTTATTTCTGAGGGTGCTTCTGAAGGTTTCATTTTGGGGTATTGTTTTTTTCAGTCCAACATATGTCCAAAGTGTTCAATATAATTAGGCAACTTCCCATGCTGTGGCTAAGAGTCACATATTCTGCTCAAGACTTCTATGATATAGTGTTTGCATGTTACACTGGGCATACTCTTTCTGTATCTGACTAGTTCACGTTTTCTTTTCATCAGGTTTGACTGTCAGGTTGTCCAAATAGGCTTCCCATAAAGGAGAAACAGTCACTGAAGAAGGTTACTTTTTTCTTTTATTGTTAACTAATCAACAAACACTTTAAGATAATTCCTGTGTTGTTTTAATTAGTTTTTAAAAATTATTACAAAACTAAACTTTAACAGGGTTAAGGGCCTTACATCCATGTAACTTCCTATATTGCTGTTAAGATCTTTTCATTTCACTCTGGTTAAATGAAGAACTATTATTTTATAATGGCCCGTGATTCTGTTGTAATCAAACATTTTGAGTTTTCTAATATCTTTTGACAAACAGCCTCAAATATCAAATACTGAATAAAGTCTCTGACTTAGACTTGTAGCTGGTGGCTTATCAAAACTATAAAAATTAACCACTGCAAGGTCATAAAATCTTCTTACAGCTTCCAGTTAAGTCATGAACTCCAGTATCACCCTCTCCAGGCTGATGATTGGGCATCAGCTGAGAGACTCCTCCAGCGCCATTGAAAAGGGTTTTTATCAAATAGTGTAAATTAAACTTTTTGCTGTTAAGTTGCAGGGCTTTGACTCCTGAGTACTTCTATCTCATCTAAAAGGTAGCACTGGCTCCTGCTGAAACTTAAACATCAATGCTGATATCTGGCACCAAATTCTAGTTAATGAAAGCCCCACCTTCAAACCTGGGAGAAGATGAGAGTCAAAACAACTTGCTAATGCTATACTTTCATGGGTCATTTCTATAGTTTGTTATTAGAGAAGTTTCTCTGAATGTGTTGAGCACCAGAAACCACGAGGAGATGCAGCATTCTCTCCTGAACGGGAAGCCAGCTTTTGGCATTGCTTTGATGCAACTACCATTTGCCATTGATGGCAATGCATCGCTTCCTCTAGGAGTGTAAGAGGGAGTGGATGCAGTCAGAGTGGTTTTTTAAATTAAAAAAATTTAAAAAAAAATCCAGGCTGGGCATGGTGGTTCACACCTTTAATCCCAGCACTTTGGGAGACCAAGGCAAGCGGATCACTTGAGCTCAGGAGTTCAAGATCAGCCTGTGGGCAACATGGCAAAACCCCGTCTCTACAAAAAATTTAAAGTAGCTGGGTGTGTTGGAATATACGTGTAGTCCCAGCTACTTGGGAGGCCAAGGTGGTAGGATTGCTTTAGCCCAGGAGGTTGAGGCTGCAGTGAGTGGAGATGGTGCCACTGCACTCCAGCTTGGGTGACAAAGTGAGACCCTGTCTCTCTCTCTCTCTCTCTCTCTCTCTCTCTCTCTCTCTCTCTATATATATATATATATATATATATATATATATATATATATATATATACTTTCTTGTGATACTGTGCTAGGCCTCTATACAAAGACATAAATACTAAATCATTTTCCTCTATTTTAATATAATTTGTTCTATGCCTTAAAACTAGATAATTTAAATGTTTAGCTACCTGTGGGTTTTTTTTTTCTGTTATTGTCAGAGCTAGGCAGGGCTTATGTCCTTTGTGTTTAAACATTTTTAATTCTGGGCCAGGTGCGGTGGCTCACATTTGTAATCCCAGCACTTTGGGAGGCCAAGGCAGGTGGACTAATTGAGGCCAGGTGTTCGAAACCAGCCTGTCCAATGTGGTAAAACCCTGTCTCTACTAAAAATACAAAAATTAGCTAGGCGCAGTGGCACACGCGTGTAACTCCAGATACTTGGGGGGCATAGAGAGGAGGATCACTTGAACCTGAGAGGCAGAAGTTGCAGACAGCTGAGATCCTGCCACTGCATTCCAGCCTGGGTGGCAGAGCAAGACTGTACAAAAAAATGCCAATTCTATATGTAGCTTATAAAATTGGGTAAAACAACAAAACTTACCTTTCTCTTTCTATGTGGTATTTCCAAAATTTAAAACTATTTTAAATCTCACTGGGCCCAATCTATTTTTATTGCTAATGTACCACTGCTAAAACGATATAAACACCTTTTCTTACAGGTGCAGGCACTCATGTAGAAAAATTGAGCATGTGGAACTGTAAGGGCCAGTTTTGAGAGATAAAATTAGTTTAGCCCCTTCAAATAAAGGACAGGCACACATGCCTAAACAGCTGACAAAATAAGAAACTTTGCCTCCTGGGTTCTTTCCATTCATCCTAATATAAAGAATTACCTACTCTCCATAAAATTAAAAAAGAATTACTTACAGGATATTAAGATACTTAAGTGACAAAGCCTCCTGGGTAGAGTGCTCCAAGTTATGAAATTTTTACAGATACATATAGAAAGCTGTTTTAAATCAGCGATCTTAGTACAAATTACTAAAAAGACTACACACCAAAAAACTTTGTGGAATAACAGAAGTGTCTAAATTCCTTAACTTAAATGGTTTTAATAAAATGTTTGTGTTTCACATAACTAATTACTATAGTTTGTAACTAAAACCAAAATTATGCTAGCTTAACACACAGAAGTTGTTATAAGAAAAACTTCAGCCAAATTAAACTTCAAAGAATATTGAGCAATAAATAATTTGCAAATTGGTCTGCCTCCTGAGCCAGAGTAGACTCAGAGACTCAGTGAAGCTGTGTGGTGGAAGAAGGTTTATGGACAGAAAAAGGAAAGTGATATACAAAAAATTGAAATGAGGTACAGAAACACCTGGATTGGTTACAGTTCAATGTTTGCTTTATTTGAACATGGTTTCTACATTTGATTAGCCAAATCTCAGTGATTGGCACAAATGTAGGCTACAGTCTGTTTACAAGTTTACTTGTTATAGTTCAAGGACAGGGAAATCTTTGGCCTAAACATTTAGGCCAAACTTAACATTTGTAGGGAGGCAGCTTTAGGTTAAACTTAACAATTTCCCTCTTTGGTCATCTTCTCAATTTTGAGAGACTGACAAAAATTTAGTCATTGATGTCACTATTAGTATGTACTTACTTGGTCTTGAAACCCACTGGGAAGTGGGTTTTGTAAGGTGGGAGCAGTTGGTTTTGTAAGGTGGGAACAAGGACTTGGGATTATTTTATTTTATTTTTATTTTTGTAAGGGTTATAGTAGAGGGTACCTCCTTATGCTGGAACATCTTTTTATATGAGAAAAAAACAAAACCTGATCCATTCTAGGATCTGTGTGTTTCCTTAAAGTCTTAGTTTATGTCATGAGTGACTCAGTTTGGTTTGGTCTGGTCTGTTGAGGCCTGATGCATGAGCTGAGTCCAAAAAAATGGCCTCTCATAACTTTGTTTAAAAATTCTCCCCTTTTGGTCAGGTTCTCACTTAGGTGATTTAGACTGTGACCAAAACTTAGGGTCTGAGTGCCACTCTTAGTTGCCATCACTTTGGATTTCTGGTCTCAGCATGCCATTTATAGGTTACAGTGTCCTCATGGTCACACATATTTTGTTTCAGCTCTTGTCATTCCAGTTGAAGAGAGATCATTTGACATTCCAGAGATGGCTGCATGGAAACATTCAAAATTTTAAAGAGAATACAGTGTACCAGGAAGACTATTATTACTATCAGAAAGATAATAACAAGATTTTGGAGTAGTTCCTTACTTAGTGTCCTCATAAACCAAACCACTGAAAATCAAAAGAATGAGCTAAAGAGTCTGCTTGATTAACTAAGCAGTCTCTTCATTAAAACTCTACAAATCCATATAATACCTGGTGTGATGTATTTCTCTGTAGGCCACACATGCCAGCAGCTGCACAGATAATTTCTCTGTTTAGCCAGTAAGTAATCTAGAGCAATTCTATCATTGAGCATAACTTTCCCAAGATAAAGTCTGTTGTGTAACTTTAGCCTTTACAGTAGAATCTGCTATAACACCTATCATTAGGGATACATTTGTAATCATTCCCTCTTGTACTTCAAACCATGGAGAAAATAGGGCTTAACAAATGATGCCCTTCTAGAAGAGTGAAGGCCTCCTCTCAATGCTCTCTTAAACCCATGATGTAGGTTAAGAGGAGTGAACAAATATTCTGTTTCTGACTGATTATGAGGCAACATACGTACCATTAAAATTTCTCACATTTGGCCTCTATCTTCCATCAAAGAATAAGGTTATCCAGATGTGAGGGTAATCTGGCTGTGACATCTGTCACTCAGTTGATCTCCAGGGTTGATTTGGCTGATCTGGCTGGCCAGGCACACTTTCCCTTCCTCCCTCACCACTCCATGTGCATCCCTCCTGAAGCTGCATGCTCAGTCCAAGAGGATGACCATCTCTGTTAGAGGAGGACCATTCTTTGGTCAAGGGTATACGAGTAGCTGCACTCCCCTGGTAGAACTTCCAAACAAGCTTTCAAGTTATAAAGTTGTATATGTATAAGACTAGCTACAAAATCTATCACAAAAGTATATCCCATGAGTGTGCACAACAGACCCCCCCTTTCACATCTATTGTTCATAAAGGCATAAGCAAGGGAAAAAAATATTCAGAATCTAATGTTAGCAGAGCAGTCTTTATCCGTTGTTCACATCAAGTTTGCCATCTTCTGGGGAGAAACTTTTCTGGTTAGCTTTACCTTAAGGGTTATAGTGGGTGTACAGTTTCAAGACTGTGGAGGGACCCTTCTTAGTTGTAAGATTATGAACCCAGAGTTCAAGGTTCCAAAGCTTTTCTGTAGTGTGGATGTCAAGGGCAGTCTTTCTCTGATGTTCTCAGAAGATCCAATCTATAGGCTCTAGATTATGAAGAGGTGTTGATCTCAGTGAATCATAAAAAAGCTTTTTTTACCTGGTGAAAATACACTGTGGCATAATAATCTGTTATAACATCAGCTCTCTTGCATGGGAAAGCTTTAATACAACCAGAAAACACGCACTGAAAATGATAATTCAATGAAATCCCTTTATAAATGTTTAAATGGCCCATCAGGTAGTGGATTGTATCTGAAGCTTTCATTGTCCTTCCAGGAATATGAGTTTGACAAACCAAACATTGGTCATAAGCTATTTTAGCAATTTAGAATTCACCACACCAATATATATTTAACTTGGATCATTTTATCTTTTCTATGATAAGTCATGGAATGCAGAACTTTTAATAATGAAAGCTTTAAGGATGGACTCAGGAAGGATAAGGCAGCTGTCCTGGTTCTCCATGAGTCCATGCTTAACATTGAACTTATGTAGTCTTGAATTCCAGTTGTTTCTCCAATTTAGGTTTATAGCAGTAACAACTGAAGGGTTGTCATAGGTAATTTGACTTAGACCAAGGCGTTCATTCAAACTGTGTATTTAAACAATTTCAGTATTGGTTAATTTAGCGTGAAAGTCTGACAATGTGTTTTCTTGGTATTCAGTTAATTTTCGTTCTACTTTTAAAAACAAGTAAGTCTTTTCGTTAAAGTTCCAGGTACTCTGACACAGTCCAAATGATATGATTCTAAAATTTCCAGAAATCTGTATTCAAGAGCTCTTTTCAGGGTCTTTCCATCCTTTCAGGAATCTCCCAAAAGACACCATATTCTGGGACATTTTGGGCTTGTGAAGTTTTCAGAAACTGCATCAGTATTAAGCAATTAACTGTGGAAATGATGTTAAATAGTCATAGTTACCCAATTAACAGGAAAATTTGGTTATTTCTGTGGTCTACAATTTATCATGATAACCATAATTATAATTCATAGCATATGTTTATACATATTAGAATTTTAGAAATTCCATATAATTTTGGAACATATATTAACATTCATTAGAATATAACCTGAATAAGGTTAAACATTTCTTATTTTGACAGTGTTTCCCATGTAACTTAATGTGTCAAATAATCCTGTTTACCCCTGTTTTGAATTCTTCAGGGCCCTCTGTAGCATCCCAAAGTTAGAAGTCAAAAAGACTTAATTTTGAAACTGAAATTTGATTTTGGGAAGCCCATAAAATATATTAAAGGTTTAAAACACTTGATATTATAAAGTGGAATTCCAGATCACAATGTCATTCATTTAGCCAAAATGATAACTCAAAAAATGTTTAAAGGCAAAAACCCTTACTCATTGATAGATGACTTAGCTTTTCAAGCAATCTGTCTTTCCCCTCTTTTTCCTGTAGTTTATTTGGAGGGGAAAAAGACATCTTTTATTATCCTTTAGTATTACATGAAAATCTTATTCAAAAGAGAAAGCCAAATTTCATCCTTGCATTAGTGTACTATTAAAGTCAACTCCAATTTTTAGTAAAACCTTATAGACAAATTTATCCAGTCTTTATCAGTTTGACCATAAGGTGAGATTCTCAAAAACTTCTGATAATGTTTTACAAATTTGCATTAAAGAGCAGATGAGTGCTCTAAGAAAACCCTGTTTTGATTTCATTCCAATGTTCAATTTATGGAAAAGCTGAATAATACTCCTTTAAATTTAACCAATATGTTCACACACAGTATTTCTCTTACAAGATTATTTTTTTCACAAACCTTCCACAACTTGCTCAAACTTTTAGCTTTATTTTATCTAAATTAAAACAATCCTTTAACTCTCTAAATTAGGCAAAAATTTACATTTTAATGCCTTCTTATAATCTTTTACTGAAAGCACATTTCACTTTCCTCACACAGCTTCCATAGATAACTTTTTTCAGTAGTCTGAATTACATGTTACAATGTTAACCCTTAGCAATTTTTATTTTTGGTGAAAAATCTGGCAAGTAAGTGACTTTAATTATGTACTAGGTGTGGAGCCTAGGACACCAGACAGAAGTGCAGATAAAGTCTGACCCTTTCAAGCATAGCCAGGGGCATGGCTAACTCCACATGTCCCCAGGCATTACCTAGAATCTAATGGCTCCAGAGCAGGTAAACTGAACAGATTTTAAAACTCAAGGAAGCAGTTTATTACTTTAAAGCATTTTACAGACCTAATATCTGACCTGCCTAATTTAGACCAAATGTCTTTATTTTACCAATAAACTTTAAAGCTATCTTTATTTTCAAAGCTTACTAAAGTCATGTGAACTAAAAGGCATTACAGTTTTTATTTCTCTGAAAAAAATTTGATTTAAGCACTCATTGTTTTTAAGCCAATTAGAGCTTTTTTATTTATAAACATCACACACAACACATACACAGAAGTAGACCCAGTAGTTGTAAGACTTTTCATTTGCCAGTTTTTAAGTTTCTTAGTTGGATTACTAGCTTCAGGGTGGAGTCCCCTGAGGAAGAAGGCTAGGAAAATATGCAGTTTCTAGGACCTAATAAACAGGCACAACTGAAAGGCAAAACAGATCCCCAAAAATTTAGGGTCCCATTTTATACTGGATCCCCAAAGAGAAATGCTATGGAGCAGGACAGTTCAATGATCCTTACCATGCATTTTGTTGCAGAGCAATAGAAAGCCAATTAGTTCATTTTGTGATCAGCCCATCCCTATGGGAGCCTTATTTCTCAGTGGTGGGGGAACATTGTCATACTTTCTAGGTAATCGAGAATGTGCTTCTCTGATTGAGATGTGCAAAGAGCTGAATATCCCCCCATAACTGCCATTTGCCATCCCCCAAAAATATATTTAGCCTTAGACTTTGTGAGGAATCTATCTGCTTTCAATTCCTGGGATTTCATGAGGAAAACAGGTTTTTCCCAAAATGGGGTCTGTGGTGCCTCCTCTGTTTTTCCCAAGGAGTCCCAGGCTGTTAGAAATTAATCTTATGTCCTCTCATGCATGCATCAAGTTTGGCAAGCCAAAATGGAGAAAAACAATTGAGTTGACTGAAGAGAAAAAAGAGATCCAAGAAGAGAAAAAATCATGAAGGACTTTTAAATACACCTATATCTTTGATATCCTATTTTAATTAAGCTGACTTTTAACTATAGTGCTCTTTAAAAAAATCGTTTTAAATCTCTTATTACCTGACTTTACCTAGGCCAAACAGCCAATATTTCTGGCTTTTGAACTTTTACAAAATTAATCTCCCAGGTGAAACCAATAAGTCATAACTAAGGTTATGACTTAACCACGAGTGATGAGGTATTTTCAAAGAGGTAGTAAGCAATTTTTACAAAATCTAAAATCTCCAAAAATAGCTTAGAGAAAGAAAAATTCAAGATGGATGTCAGAAGTTGTTTATGGAGAGAAAGAGAATCAATAAATGGCAAAGGTCACACAGATATCAAACCAGAAAGGACTGATTCCCTGAGCCAAGAATTGAAACCAGGTTGCCGTTGTAAAAAGGCAAAACCTTAGCCACTAAGCCACAGTATTGGGTAGTTTCCATTGTTCTTCCCAGAAGGAGCCTAGAGCAGCTGATTTTGAACTTGCAGAGGCTTTTAACTGCTCAAGATAATTTTTAGAACTATGACATGAACTCTAAAATTCCTGCCCTCCAGATGGTGGAGACCAAGGAAAGTACTACCATGTGGTAACAAGGTCAAGCTCCCAAGGACATAAAACTAGATGAGAGGGAAACCTCATCTTTATTTATATATTTATTTATTTATCTTTTTTTTTAATGTTTCAGGAAGCTGCAGCAAAGTTTGTAAATGACCAGTTTGCTGGGCTGGCTTGAACTTCGAGCTTTTGGGGGTCCTAGGCCTGCATTCTATCCAATGGTACCCCCACAGACCAATTGGTAGCACAAAGTACACCAGGTTTGCCATAGTTTAAGACTAGTCACACATATCCTTGTTTTCATTATTTAAAACTTTGCAGAGGAGACTGATTTTTACCATTTCTACAACTAGTTCACACACACACACACACACACACAGAGGCCAGAAGTCTGAGGATACCCTTTTGGAGGCATGTCAGGCTTCTGGGCTTCCTTTCCCTTAGTGTTCCTAGCAACCCTGCTCACTGCACCATAGCCTGGGGGGCCTAACTTTTTCTATTTTATAAAACCATAGGTATAGGTGAATTTAAAATGTTCTGGTTGAGAATTGGTGGAGTTTGTCTAAAGACCTGGGATTCATAGAAAGGGAATATTCAGGTTAAGATAAAGGTTGTGGAGACCAAATTTCTTTTGAAGTCTTATAGTGGCTGCCCTGCCCTTAGAGACAATAGATGACAAATGTTTTCTATTCAGATTTAGTTAATCTCTTTACATTTGGGGGGGTCTGGAAGAAAATGATCCAGCTATATTAATAGAGATTCTTTACAGATGTAAATTCTCCCCTACAAATAACAGGTTTGCAGGGCCATTTCAAGATATGGCAAAGAAATATGTTTTGGGATAAAATATTTTGATTTTCTTCCTTGTCTCATAATGTTATGCCAGAGTCAGGTTGGAAAATAAGTCATGACATACAAGTTTAAATAAAACCCTTCTGATGGGAATTTACGTTTTGTAGGACATGACTACCCAGACCCTTTAGATAGGAATTTGGACAAGATAAAATTAGAGTTTAGCCCTCAAACATTTAAACTGGCTATAAGCCTTTTGGCTTTAAGTCTGTTGGTCATAGCAGCCCCACCAAGGAACAGAATGATTCCAGGGCAGGGAGCTGCACCACCCTGACAACAGGGACAAAATTAAACTTTGACTTTTTTGTTTGTTTGTTTTTCTGGGACAGAGTCTTGCTCTGTTGCTTAGGCTGGAGTGCAGTGGCATGATCTTAACTCCCTACAACCTCTGCTTCCCGGGTTCCAACATTTCTCCTGCGTCAGCCTCCCAAGTAGCTGTGATTACAGATGCCCACCACCACACCTGACTAATTCTTGTGTTTTTTGTAGAGACAGGGTTTTGCCATGTTGGCCAGGCTGGTCTTGAACTACTGGTCTCAAGAGATCCACCTGCCTCAGCCTCCCAAAGTGTTGGGATTACAGGTGTGAGCCACTAAGCCCAGCCAAAGTTTGACTATTGATGTTGCCTTGCAAATATTTGCCAGAAAGAGCAGGATGTAAACCACAAATAAAATTCTAAGTTCCCCAACTGACTAAGTGGACCTCTCAGCCAAGGAGGACCAAACAAACCTGAAACACTAGCTCAGGCCATGATGGGAAGTGAGGATAGACATGCCTCATTGTACCCTTCTATCCTTGGACTTGAGGCCCGAGTAAACAGTATTAACATTACAATTATAACTGACATAACAGACTCTGTAACAATAAGACCAGCTCCAACCTGACTGTGGTATAACTTCACATGACAAATAACAGGCCCTAAAAGAAAAAGTATTGTAAGCCAAAATATATTACTTTGACATATTTTGAAATGGCCCTGCATGTCTGTCTCTTGGGGAAATTTGCATTCTCTAAAGAATCTCCCTCCCTCACTAGGTCTCTCCAGAGAGTCTGACACCTCTGATAAGAGATATTCATATCTATTCTCTCTGAAACCTGCTATCTAGAGGCTTCATCTACAAGAGAAGAACCTTGGATTCTGCAACCTTCCCCCCTTAACTGAAGCTGATTCCAACTAGGTGATACTAATTTACATTGCAAACAATACTGTTTATGCATTCACTTTTTTCTGGATCCTCACCAACATTTTTTTTTTCTTTTTAAATTTTAAAAATAGCCATTCAAACTGGTGTTAAGATGATATCTTACTGCAGCTTAAATTTGCATTTCTCTGAAGATTAGTGATGAGCATCTTTTCATAAGCTTGCTGCCCACTTGTATGTCATCTTTTGATAAATATCTGATTATGTCCTTTGCCTACTTTTTAATGTTTTTTGTTGTTGTTGTTAAGTTCCCTATAGATATTAGATATTACTTCTTTGTCAAATGCATAATTTGCAAGTATTTCCTCCCATTGTTCAGGTAGTCTGTTTGCTGTGGTAATTATTTCTTTTGCTGTGCAGAAGCTCTTTGTTTAATATAATCCCATTTGTGTATTTTTTACTGTTGTTTCATTGACTTAGTTATAAATTCTTTGCATAGGCCAATGTCCTGAAGAGGTTTTTTAGGTTTTCTTTTAGAATTTTTATAGTTTCCAGTCTTAAATTTAAGTCTTTAATCCATTTTCTGTTAATTTTTGTATATGGTGGGTATAGGGATTCAGTTTTATTCTTCTACACGTGGCTGTTTAATTTATTTTAGGACAAGTTATATAGATTGTTTTTTCTATACATATGTACATATGAGGGCCCTGGTCTGTTCCATTATCCTATGGGTATAATTCTGTACCATCATCATGCTGTTTTGGTTACTACAGTCTTGTAGTGTAATTTGAAATCAGGTAATAGGGTGCCTTCATCTATGTTATTTTTGCTTAGGCTTTTTTTTTCATTCCATGTGAATCTTAAATTATTTTACTAATTCTTTGAAAAATGATGGTAATAGTTTGACCAGAATGCATTGAATTTGTATATTGCCTTGGACAGTATGGTCGTTTTAATGACATTGATTCTTTCAAATCCATGGTTATAGGATATTTTTTACATGTTTGTTTCATCTATGATTTCTTTCATCAGTGTTTTGTCTTTGCCTGGAGTGTAGTTCTCCTAACACAGATCTTCCACCTCCTTGACTAAAATGAACTTCTAGGTATTTCATGTTTGTGTGGCTATTGTAAATAAGATTGAGTCCTTGATTTGGTTTTCAGCTTGAACATTAATGATGTATAGAAATGATACTTCTTTTTGCACATTTATTTTGTATCCTGAAACATTACTGAAGTCATTTATCAAGTCTAGGAGTTTCTTGTAGGAGTCTTTAGGGTTTACCAGGTATAAGATCAATAAGCAAACAGAGATAATCTGACTTTCTCTTTTCCAATTTGGATGCCTTTTATTTCTTTCCCTTGCTTACTTGCTTAGTCTAGGACTTCCAGTAGTATCTTGAATAGGAGTGGTAAAATTTGGTATCCATATCATGTTCCAGTTCTTAGGGAGAATGCTTTTAACTTTTGCCCATAAATATGATGTAGGGTGTGGGTTCAGCATATGTGACATTTTTTTGAGAAATGTTCCTTCAATGGCTTGTTTTTTGAGAATTTTTATCATGAAGGGATATTGGATTTTATCCAATACTTTTTCTGCATCTATTGGGATGATCTTATGGTTTTTCTTCTTAGTTCTCTGTGTGGTGAATCACATTTATTGATTTGCATATGTTGAACCATCCTTGCATCCCTTTTTTTTTTAATTTCTGTGTTAATTTTTTTTTTGTTTACCCAAAGATCATTCAGAAATGGTGTTTAGTTTCCATATATTTGTGTAGTTTTGAGGTTTCCTCTTGGTATTGATTTCTAATTTTATTCAAAATTAGAATAAGATTACTGTAGTCTGAGAAGATATCTGATATGATTTTGGTCTTTTTAAATTTGGTTTAAAGTTCATTTTAAGTGAAGACTTTCCTTGTGGATTTTTATCCTCGATGATTTGTCTACTGCTGTCAATGGGTGTTGAAGTGCCCTGCTATTACTGTATTGCTGTCTATGTCTTTCCTTCAGTCTATTTGTATGTGGTTAATGAACCTAGGTTTCCAGTTTGGGGTGTATATATTTTAAGAATAGTTATATCTTTTTGTTGAATTGTTGAATTGAATCCTTTATCATTATGTAATAACCACCTTTTTTTCCCACTGTTCTTAATTTAACATCTGTATTATCTGATAAAAGTACAACTGCTTCTGCTCATTTTCATTTTCTGTTTGCATGGTACACCTTTATCCACCCCTTGACTTTCAGTCTAAGTGTGTTTATTCACTAGGTGATTCTCTTCTTGGCAGCAAATGGATGAATCTTGTTGTCTTACATTCAATTTGCCATTCTCTATCTTTTAAGTGGAGCACTTAGGCCATGTACATTCAAGGTTTTCATTGATACTTGAGATTTTGTTCCTGTCATAGTGTTGTTACCTAGTTTCTTCAGAGTCTCAATTGTGTCATCATATTGTTACCTAGTTTCTTTGGAGTCTCAACCACTTCATAGGATTTGTG
This sequence comes from Homo sapiens, assembly GCF_000001405.40. NCBI lineage: Eukaryota > Metazoa > Chordata > Mammalia > Primates > Hominidae > Homo > Homo sapiens. The sequence continues at coordinate 43,390,394 of NC_000008.11, forward strand.
AGGTTTGTACTGATATGTTTTTTAAAATTTTAACAATTATTTATTTATATATTTGTGTGAGACATTGTCTCACTCTGTCACCCAGGCTGGAGTGCAGTGGCATGATCTTGGCTCACTGCAACCTCCACCTCCTGGGTTCAAGCGATTCTCCTGCCTCAGTCTCTTGAGTAGCTAAGATTACAGACATGTGCCACCACACCTGGCTAATTTTTTTTTGTATTTTTAGTAGAGATGTGGTTTCATCATGTTGGCCAGACTGGGCTCAAACCCCTGACCTCAAATGATCCACCCACCCCAGCCTCCCAAAGCACTGGGATTACAGGCCACTGCTCCTGGCTAACAATGATTTTTGATGCAGAGGTACATGTGCTTGATCATTGCAAGGGTATATTGCACCCAGTTAGTCAGAATAGTACTCAGTAGGTAGTTTATCAATCCATATTCCTCTTTCTTCCTCCTCACTCTAGTAGTATATATATTTTATTCCCATGTTTATGTCTCAGTGTGGTGAATGTTTAGCTTTCACTCATAAGTGAGAACATGTGGCATTTTATTTTCTGTTTCTGTGTTAATTTGCTTAAGATTATAGCCTCCAGTTTTATCCATGTTGCTGATAAGAACATGATTTTATTCCTTTTATGGTTGTGTAGTATTCCATGGTGTATATGGACCACAATTTCTTTTTTTTTGTTTAATTATACTTTAAGTTTTAGGGTACATGTGCACATTGTGCAGGTTAGTTACATATGTATACATGTGCCATGCTGGTGCGCTGCACCCACTAACTTGTCATCTAGCATTAGGTACATCTCCCGATGCTTTCCCTCCTCCCTCCCCACACCCCACAACAGTCCACAGAGTGTGATATTCCCCTTCCTGTGTCCATGTGATCTCATTGTTCAATTCCCACCTATGAGTGAGAATATGCCGTGTTTGGTTTTTTGTTCTTGCAATAGTTTACTGAGAATGATGATTTCCAATTTCATCCATGTCCCTACAAAGGACATGAACTCATCATTTTTTATGGCTGCATAGTATTCCATGGTGTATATGTGCCACATTTTCTTAATCCAGTCTATCATTGTTGGACATTTGGGTTGGTTCCAAGTCTTTGCTATTGTGAATAATGTCGTAATAAACATACGTGTGCATGTGTCTTTATAGCAGCATGATTTATAGTCCTTTGGGTATATACCCAGGAATGGGATGGCTGGGTCAAATGGTATTTCCAGTTCTAGATCCCTGAGGAATCGCCACACTGACTTCCACAATGGTTGAACTAGTTTACAGTCCCACCAACAGTGTAAAAGTGTTCCTATTACTCCACATCCTCTCCAGCACCTGTTGTGTCCTGACTTTTTAATGATTGCCATTCTAACTGGTGTGAGATGATATCTCATTGTGGTTTTGATTTGCATTTCTCTGAAGGCCAGTGATGGTGAGCATTTTTTCATGTGTTTTTTGGCTGCATAACTGTCTTCTTTTGAGAAGTGTCTGTTCATGTCCTTCGCCCACTTTCTGATGGGGTTGTTTGTTTTTTTCTTGTAAATTTGTTGGAGTTCATTGTAGATTCTGGATATTAGCCTTTTTTCAGATAAGTAGGTTGTGACAATTTTCTCCCATTTTGTAGGTTGCCTGTTCACTCTGACGGTAGTTTCTTTTGCTGTGCAGAAGCTCTTTAGTTTAATTAGATCCCATTTGTCAATTTTGGCTTTTGTTGCCATTGCTTTTGGTGTTTTAGACATGAAGTCCTTGCCTATGCCTATGTCCTGAATGGTAATGCCTAGGTTTTCTTCAAGGGTTTTTATGGTTTTAGGTCTAACCTTTAAGTCTTTAATCCATCTTGAATTGATTTTCATATAAGGTGTAAGGAAGGGATCCAGTTTCTGCTTTCTACATATGGCTAGCCAGTTTTCCCAGAACCATTTATTAAATAGGGACTCCTTTCCCCATTGCTTGTTTTTGTCAGGTTTGTCAAAGATCAGATAGTTGTAGATATGCGGCATTATTTCTGAGGGCTCTGTTATGCTCCACTGATCTATATCTCTGTTTTGGTACCAGTACCATGCTGTTTTGGTTACTGTAGCCTTGTAGTATAGTTTGAAGTCAGGTAGTGTGATGCCTCCAGCTTTGTTCTTTTGGCTTAGGATTGACTTGGCGATGTGGGCTCTTTTTTGGTTCCATATGAACTTTAAAGCAGTTTTTTCCAATTCTGTGAAGAAAGTCATTGGTAACTTGATGGGGGTGGCATTGAATCTGTAAATTACCTTGGGCAGTATGGCCATTTTCACGATATTGATTCTTCCTACCCATGAGCATGAAATGTTCTTCCATTTGTTTGTATCCTCTTTTATTTCCTTGAGCAGTGGTTTGTAGTTCTCCTTGAAGAGGTCCTTCACATACCTTGTAAGTTGGATTCCTAGGTATTTTATTCTCTTTGAAGCAATTGTGAATGGGAGTTCACCATGATTTGGCTCTCTATCTGTGTGTTGTTGGTGTATAAGAATGCTTGTGATTTTTGTACATTGATTTTGTATCCTGAGACTTTGCTGAAGTTGCTTATCAGCTTAAGGAGATTTTGGGCTGAGACAATGGGGTTTTCTAGATATACAATCATGTCATCTGCAAACAGGGACAATTTGAATACCCTTTATTTCCTTCTCCTGCCTAATTGCCCTGGCCAGAACTTCCAACACTATGTTGAATAGGAGTGGTGAGAGAGGGCATCCCTGTCTTGTGCCAGTTTTCAAAGGGAAAGCTTCCAGTTTTTGCCCATTCAGTATGATATCGGCTGTGGGTTTGTCATAGATAGCTCTTATTATTTTGAAATACATCCCATCAATACCTAATTTATTGAGAGTTTTTAGCATGAAGGGTTGTTGAATTTTGTCAAAGGCTTTTTCTGCATCTATTGAGATAATCATGTGGTTTTTGTCTTTGGCTCTGTTTATATGCTGGATTACATTTATTGATTTGCATATATTGAACCAGCCTTGCATCCCAGGGATGAAGCCTACTTGATCATGGTGGATAAGCTTTTTGATGTGCTGCTGAATTCGTTTTGCCAGTATTTTATTGATAATTTTTGCATCGATGTTCATCAAGGATATTGGTCTAACATTCTCTTTTTTGGTTGTGTCTCTGCCCGGCTTTGGTATCAGAATGATGCTGGCCTCATAAAATGAGTTAGGGAGGATTCCCTCTTTTTCTATTGATTGGAATAGTTTCAGAAGGAATGGTACCAATTCCTCCTTGTACCTCTGGTAGAATTCGGCTGTGAATCCATCTGGTCCTGGACTCTTTTTGGTTGGTAAGCTATTGATTATTGCCACAATTTCAGCTCCTGTTATTGGTCTATTCAGAGATTCTACTTCTTCCTGGTTTAGTCTTGGGAGAGTGTATGTGTCGAGGAATTTATCCATTTCTTCTAGATTTTCTAGTTTATTTGCGTAGAGGTGTTTGTAGTATTCTCTGATGGTAGTTTGTATTTCTGTGGGATCGGTGGTGATATCCCCTTTATCATTTTTTATTGCGTCTATTTGATTCTTCTCTGTTTTTTTCTTTATTAGTCTTGCTAGCGGTCTATCAATTTTGTTGATCCTTTCAAAAAACCAGCTCCTGGATTCATTAATTTTTTGAAGGGTTTTTTGTGTCTCTATTTCCTTCAGTTCTGCTCTGATTTTAGTTATTTCTTGCCTTCTGCTAGCTTTTGAATGTGTTTGCTCTTGCTTTTCTAGTTCTTTTAATCGTGATGTTAGGGTGTCAATTTTGGATCTTTCCTGCTTTCTCTTGTGGGCATTTAGTGCTATAAATTTCCCTCTACACACTGCTTTGGATGCATCCCAGAGATTCTGGTATGTTGTGTCTTTGTTCTCGTTGGTTTCAAAGAACATCTTTATTTCTGCCTTCATTTCGTTATGTACCCAGCAGTCATTCAGGAGCAGGTTGTTCAGTTTCCATGTAGTTGAGCGGTTTTGAGTGAGATTCTTAATCCTGAGTTCTAGTTTGATTGCACTGTGGTCTGAGAGATAGTTTGTTATAATTTCTGTTCTTTTACATTTGCTGAGGAGAGCTTTACTTCCCAGTACGTGGTCAATTTTGGAATAGGTGTGGTGTGGTGCCGAAGAAAATGTATATTCTGTTGATTTGGGGTGGAGAGTCCTGTAGATGTCTATTAGGTCTGCTTGGTGCAGAGCTGAGTTCAATTCCTGGGTATCCTTGTTGACTTTCTGTCTCATTGATCGGTCTAATGTTGACAGTGGGGTGTTAAAGTCTCCCATTATTAATGTGTGGGAGTCTAAGTCTCTTTGTAGGTCACTCAGGACTTGCTTTATGAATCTGGGTGCTCCTGTATTGGGTGCATATATATTTAGGATAGTTAGCTCTTCTTGTTGAATTGATCCCTTTACCATTATGTAATGGCCTTCTTTGTCTCTTTTGATCTTTGTTGGTTTAAAGTCTGTTTTATCAGAGACTAGGATTGCAACCCCTGCCTTTTTTTATTTTCCATTTGCTTGGTAGATCTTCCTCCATCCTTTTATTTTGAGCCTATGTGTGTCTCCGCACATGAGATGGGTTTCCTGAATACAGAACACTGATGGGTCTTGACTCTTTATCCAATTTTCCAGTCTGTGTCTTTTAATTGGAGCATTTAGTCTATTTACATTTAAAGTTAATATTGTTATGTGTGAATTTGATCCTGTCATTATGATGTTAGCTGGTTATTTTGCTCATTATTTGATGCAGTTTCTTCCTAGTCTCGATGGTCTTTACATTTTGGCATGATTTTGCAGCGGCTGGTACCCGTTGTTCCTTTCCATGTTTAGCGCTTCCTTCAGGAGCTCTTTTAGGGCAGGCCTGGTGGTGACAAAATCTCTCAGCATTTGCTTGTCTGTAAAGTATTTTATTTCTCCTTCACTTATGAAGCTTAGTTTGGCTAGATATGAAATTCTGGGTTGAAAATTCTTTTCTTGAATAATGTTGAATATTGGCCCTTACTCTCTTCTGGCTTGTAGAGTGTCTGCTGAGAGATCCGCTGTTAGTCTGATGGGCTTCCCTTTGAGGGTAATCCGACCTTTCTCTCTGGCTGCCCTTAACATTTTTTCCTTCATTTCAACTTTGGTGAATCTGACAATTATGTGTCTTGGAGTTGCTCTTCTCGAGGAGTATCTTTGTGGTGATCTCTGTATTTCCTGAATGTGAATGTTGGCCTGCCTTGCTAGATTGGGGAAGTTCTCCTGGATAATATCCTGCAGAGTGTTTTCCAACTTGGTTCCATTCTCCCCGTCACTTTCAGGTACACCAATCAGACGTAGATTTGGTCTTTTCACATAGTCCCATATTTCTTGGAGGCTTTGCTCATTTCTTTTTATTCTTTTTTCTCTAAACTTCCCTTCTCACTTCATTTCATTCATTTCATCTTCCATCGCTGATACCCTTTCTTCCAGTTGATTGCATCAGCTCCTGAGGCTTCTGCATTCTTCACATAGTTCTCGAGCTTAGGTTTTCGGCTCCATCACCTCCTTTAAGCACTTCTCTGTATTGGTTATTCTAGTTATACATTCTTCTAAAAATTTTTCAAAGTTTTCAACTTCTTTGCCTTTGGTTTGAATGTCCTCCCGTAGCTCAGAGTAATTTGATCGTCTGAAGCCTTCTTCTCTCAGCTCGTCAAAGTCATTCTCCATCCAGCTTTGTTCCGTTGCTGGTGAGGAACTGCGTTCCTTTGGAGGAGGAGAGGTGCTCTGCTTTTTAGAGTTTCCAGTTTTTCTGTTCTGTTTTTTCCCCGTCTTTGTGGTTTTATCTACTTTTGGTCTTTGATGATGGTGATGTACAGATGGGTTTTTGGTGTGGATGTCCTTTCTGTTTGTTAGTTTTCCTTCTAACAGAGAGGACCCTCAGCTGCAGGTCTGTTGGAGTACCCTACCATGTGAGGTGTCAGTGTGCCCTGCTGGGGGGTGGCTCTCAGTTAGGCTGCTCGGGGGTCAGGGGTCAGGGACCCACTTGAGGAGGCAGTCTGCCTGTTCTCACATCTCCAGCTGCATGCTGGGAGAACCACTGCTCTCTTCAAAGCTGTCAGACGGGGACATTTAAGTCTGCAGAGGTTACTGCTGTCTTTTTGTCTGTCTGTGCCCTGCCCCCAGAGATGGAGCCTACAGAGGCAGGCAGGCCTCCTTGAGCTGTGGTGGGCTCCACCCAGTTCGAGCTTCCTGGCTGCTTTGTTTACCTACGCAAGCCTGGGCAATGGTGGGTGCCCTTCCCCCAGCCTCACTGCCACCTTGCAGTTTGATCTCAGACTGCTGTGCTAGCAATCAGCGAGACTCTGTGGGCGTAGGACCCTCTGAGCCAGGTGCGGGATATAATCTCGTGGTGCGCCGTTTTTTAAGTCCATGGGAAAAGCACAGTATTCGGGTGGGAGTGACCTGATTTTCCAGGTGCCATCCATCACCCCTTTCTTTGACTCAGAAAGGGAACTCCCTGACCCCTTGTGCTTCCCAAGTGAGGCCATGCCTCACCCTGCTTCGGCTCGTGCATGGTGTGTGCACCCACTGACCTGTGCCCACTGTCTGGCACTCCCTAGTGAGATGAACCCGGTATCTCAGATGGAAATGCAGAAATTACCCGTTTTCTGCGTCGCTCATGCTGGGAGCTGTAGACCGGAGGTGTTCCTATTTGGCCATCTTGGCTCCTTGGATCCACATTTTGTTTATCCAATCTACTGTTGATGGGTACTTGGTTTGATTTTCCATGGCTTTGCTATTGTGAATAGCACAGTAATAAACATATGAGCACAAGTAGGTTTTGGTATAATAACTTATTTTCTTTTGGGTATATTCCCAGTAATGGGATTCCTGGGTCTAATGGTCTCTCTGTTTTAAATTATTTGAGATGTCTCAAAACTGCCTTTCCCACCAACAGTGCATAAACATTCCCTTTTCTCCACAGCCCCACCAGCATCTGTTGTTTTTTGAGTTTTTGGTAATAGCCATACTGACTGGTGTGTGATGGTATTTATTGTGGTTTTGATTTGGATTTGTCTTATGATTACTGATGCTGAGCAGTTTTTTATATATTTTTGGCCACTTGTATGTGCTTTATGATGTTATGATTCTTTTGTTTCCATGTTTAGAATTCTTTTGAGCATTTCTTGTAGGGTTGGTGTAGTGGTGACACATTCACTTAACATTTGCCTGACTTTGAAATACTTTATCTCTCCTTCATTTGGCAGGATATAAAATTTGGGGCTGGCATTTTTGCTTTAAGAAGGCTTAAATAGGTCTTTAATTTACTGGTCTGTAGACTGTCTGCTGAGAAATCTGCTGTTAGTCCAATGGGATTTACTTTATAGATGATTTGATGCTTTTCTCTACGTGCTCTTAAGATTTTTTTCATGTTGACTTTGGATAGGCAGATGACTGCATGCCTTGGTGATGTTCACCTTGTAAAGTATCTTCTAGTTATTCTCTGAGCATCTTGCATTTGCATGCCTACATCTTTATCAAGACCATGAAAACTTTCCTAAAGTGTCTCCTCAAATACGTTTTCCAAGCCTTTAACATTTTCTCCCTCAGGCATGCTTATAACTGGTGGGTTTGGTCACTTTACGTAATCCCATATTTTCCAAAGGCTTTGTTCATTTTTGAAAATTCTTCTCTTATTTTTATGTGAGTAGGTGAATTTGAAAGACCACTCTTTATGTTCTAAAATTGTTTCTTGTGCTTGATCCTAGGACAGTGTGAAAACCTTTGACTGTATTTAACTTTTCATTTTCAGAATTTCTGCTTTTTCAAATTTGTCTTTCCTTTTACATTTTAAACTGTTTTTGGTGTTTTGATTTTTTTTAAAATTTTAACTTTTATTTTAAATTCAGGGGTACATGTGCAGGATGTGCAGGTTTGTTATATAGATAAACATATACCATGTTGGTTTGCTGCACAGATCATCCCACCACTCAGGTATTAAGCCCAGAATCCATTAGCTATTTTTCCTAATCCTCTCCCTTTTTCCACCCCCTGCCCTCCTACAGGTTCCAGTGTGTCCCCCTGCCCAATGTGTTTCCATGTGTTCTCATAATCTATCTCCCACTTAGAAGTGAGAACATGCAGTATTTGGTTTTCTGTTCCCACATTAGATTGCTAAGGACACTCACCTCCAGTTCCATCCATGTCTCTGCAAAGGACATGATCTCTTTCCTTTTATGGCTGCATAGTATGCCATGGTGCATACTTAACATATTTTCTTCATTTAATCTGTCATTGATGGGCGTATATGTTTCTTCCACACCTTTGCTATTGTGAATAGTGCTTCAATGAACGTGTGCGTGCATGTGTTTTTATAATAGAACAATTTATATTCCTTTGGGTATATACCCAGTAATGGGATTGCTGGTTTGAATGGTATTTTTGCCTCTAGACCTTTGAGGAATCCCCACACTGTCTTTTAAAATGGTTGAACTAATTCATACTCCCACTATCAGTGGAAAATCATGCCTTTTTCTTCACAACCTCACCAGCATCTGTTGTTTTTTTGACTTTTAAATCATAGCCATTCTGACTGGTGTGAGATTGTATCTCACTGTGGTTTTGATTTGCATTTCTCTAATAATTAGTGATTTTTTTTCATATGTTTGTTGGCCACATGTATGTTTTCTTTTTTTTTTTTTTTTTTTTTTTGAGACGGAGTCTTGCTCTGTCGCCCAGGCTGGAGTGCAGTGACGCAATCTCGGCTCACTGCAAGCTCCGCCTCCCAGGTTCACGCCATTCTCCTGCCTCAGCCTCCCAAGTAGCTGGGACTACAGGCGCCCGCCACTACGCCCGGCTAATTTTTTGTATTTTTAGTAGAGACGGGGTTTCACCGTTTTAGCCGGGATGGTCTCGATCTCCTGACCTCGTGATCCGCCCGCCTCGGCCTCCCAAAGTGCTGGGATTACAGGCGTGAGCCACCGCGCCCGGCCGTATGTTTTCTTTTGAGAAGTGTCTTTGCCCACTTTTGAATGGGGTTGTATGGTTTTTTTCTGATAAATTTGTTTAAGTTTCTTATAGATCCTGGATATTAGACCTTTGTCAGATGGGTAGATTGCAAAATTTTTTTTCCCATTCTGTAGGTTTCCTGTTTACTCTGTTGATAGTTTCTTTTGTTGTGCAGAAGCTCTTTAGTTTAATTAGATCCTATTTTTCAATTTTGCTTTTGTTGCAATTGCTTTTTTGTCTTCATCCTGAAGTCTTTGCTCATGCCTATTTCCTGAATGATATTGCCTAGGTTTTCTTCTGGAGTTTTTACAGTGTTTGGTTTTTCATTTAAGTCTTTAATATTGAGTTGAATTTGTATATGGTGGAAGGAAATATTACAGTTTCAATTATCTGCATATGGCTAGCCAGTTCTCCTAGCACTATTTGTTAAATAGGGAATTCTTTCCCCATTGCGCATTCTTGTTAAGTTTGTCAAAGATCAGATGGTGGTAGGTGTGTGGTCTTATTTCTGGGTTCTTTATTCTGTTCTTTTGGTCTATGTGTCTGTTCTTGTACTAGTACCATGCTATTTTGGTTACTGTAGCTCTGTAGTACAGTTTGCATTCAGGTAGTTTGATGCCTCGAGCTCTTTTTTTTTTTTTTCTTTTTACTTGGGATTGCCTTGGTTATTCAGGCTCTTTTTTGGTTTCATATTAATTTTAAAATAGTTTTTTCTAATTCTGTGAAGAATGTCAGTAGTAGTTTAATGGGAATAGCATTGAATCTGTAAATTGCTTTGGGCAGCATATTAGTCTGTTTACACACTGCCATATAGAACTACCTGAGACATAGTAATTTATAAAAAAAGAGGTTTAATTGATTCACAGTTATGCATGGCTGGGGAGGCCTTAGGAGACTTATGATTATGGCAGAAGCTGAAGGGGAAGCGAGGCACATCTTATCTAGTGGCAGGAGGTAGATAGCAAGGGGGAGACTGGCCATACACTTTTAAACCATTAGACCTTGTTAGAACTCACTATCATGAGAACAGCATGGGAAAAACCACTCTCATGATCCAGTTACTTCCTACTAGGTCCCTTTCTTGGCATGTGGGAATTACAACTGGACATGAGATTTGGGTGGGGACATAGAGCCAAACCTTATTATTTAACTCCTGGATTCTCCTAAATCTCATGTCCTTCTCATGTTTTGAAACCAATCACACCTTCCAAACAGTCCCCCAGCCTCTTAATTTATTCCAACATTAACTCAAACGTTCAAGCCCAAAGTCTCATGTGACACTATGCAAGTTCCTATCACCTATGAGCCTGTAAAATAAAAAAAATTTAGTGATTTCTTAGATACAATGGGAGTACAAGCATTGGGTAAATGCTCCCATTCCAAATGCAAGAAATTGGCCAAAACAAAGAAGTTACAGGCCCCATGCAATCCAGAACCCAGCAGGGCAGTCATTAAATCTTAAAACTCCAAAATAATCTCCTTCAACTCCATGTCTCACATGCAGGCCACACTGACACAATGCATGGCCTTCTAAGGCCTTGGGCAGATCCTCCCCAGTGATTCCACAGGGTAGAGCCCCTGTGGCTGCTTTCTTGGGCTAGCATTGAGTGCCTGTGGCTTTTCCAGGTGCATGGTGCAAGCTCTCAGTGGATCTATCATCCTAGGTTCTGGAGCATGGTGGCCCTCTTCTCATGGCTCCACCAGGCAGTGCCCCAGTGGGCACTCTGTGTGGGGCCTTCAACCCCACATTTCCCCTCTGCACTGCCCTAGTAGAGGTTCTCCATGACGGCTTTGCCCCTGCAGCAGACTTCTGCCTGGACATCCAGGCGTTTCCATACATCCTCTGAAATCTAGGCATAGGCTCCCAAACTGTTGCCTTCTGTGCACCCACAGGCTCAACAGCATGTAGAAGCCACCAAGACTTGGGACTTGCATCCTCTGAAACTACTGTCTGAGCTGTACCTTGGCCTCTTTTAGTCACAGCTGGAGCTGGAGCAGCTGGGACACAGGGCACCATATCCCAAAGCTGCACAGACCAGCAAGGTCCTCGGCCCAGCCCACAAAAGTATTTTTCTCTCCTAAGCCTTCAGGCCTTTGATGGGAGTGGCTGCCATAAAGATCTTTGAAATGCCCTGGAGACATTTTCCCCATTTTCTTGGTTATTAACATTCACCTTCTCTTTACTTATGGAAATTTCTACAGGCAGCAGCTTGAATATTTCCCCAGAAAATCCATTTTTGTTTTCTAACACATGGTCAGGTTGCAAGTTTTCCAAACTTTTATGCTGTTTTCCTTTAAAACATAAGTTCCAATTTCAGACCATCCCTGTGAACACACATGACTGTACACATTCAGAAACAGCCAGGTAATGTCTTGAATGATTTGCTGAGCTGCTTAGAAATTTCTTCTTCAATGGGCACCATGGATCATGCCTGTAATTTCAGCACTTTGGGAGGCCAAGGTGGGGATGACTTGAGGTCAGGAATTTGAGAACAGTCTGGTCAACATGGTGAAACCCCATCTTTACAAATCATACAAAAATTAGCTGGGTGTGGTTTCATGTGCCTGTATTTCCAGCTACTCAGGAGGCTGAGACATGAGAATTGCTTGAATCCAGGAAGCAGAGGTTGCAGTGGGCCATGATCACACCACTGTACTCTAGCCTGGGTGACAGAGCAGAACTCTCTCAGAAAAAAAATTTGTTCTGCAAGATACCCTAAATCATCTCTCTGAAGTTCAAAGTTCCACAGTTCTCTAGTTTAGGGGCAAAATGCTGCCAGTCTCTTTGCTTAAGCATAGCAAGAGTGACCTTTACTTTACATCCCAATAAGCTCCTCACTTCCATCTGAGTTCACCTCAGCCTGGACTTCATTGTCCATATCACTATCAGTATTTTGGTCAAATCCATTCAAAAGTTTGTAGGAAGTCCCAAACTTTCCCCAATATTCCTGTCTTCTTTTGAGCCTTCCAAACTGCTCCAACCTCTGCTCATTACCCAGTTTCTATGTTGCTTCCACATGTTCAGGTACCTTTATAGCAGTGCCTTACTCCCAGTATCACTTTTTTGTATTAGTCTGCTTTCACACAGCTATAAAGAACTACCTGAGCCTGGGTAATTCATAAAGAAAAGATGTTTTGTTGACTCGCAGTGACACACATCTGGGGAAGCCTCAAGAAATGTACAATCGTGGCAGAAGGTGAAGAGAAGCAAGGCACATTTTACACAGTGGCAAGAGAGTGAGGGGGGAACTGCCACACACGTTTAGTCCATCAGATCTCATGAGAACTCAGTATCATGCAAACAGCATGCGGGGGTGCGGGTTGCTCCCATGATAAAATTACCTTGCACCAAGTTCCAATCTCCATGTAGGGATTACAATTCGATTTGAGATTTGGGCATGAACATAGAGCCAAACCATATCAGGTAGTATGGCCATTTTGATGATATTGATTCTTTATCCATGAGCATGAAATGTTTTTCCACTCGTTTGTGTCCTCTCTGGTTTTCTTGAGTAGTGTTTTGTAGTTCCTGAAGAGGTTCTTCACTTTTCTTGTTAGCTGTATTCTTAGGTATTTTCTTGTGTGGCAGTTGTGAAGGAGAATTCATTTACTATTTGGCTCTTGGCTTGCCTCTTGGTGTATAGGAATGCTGGTGATTTTTGTACATTGATTTTGAGTTCTGAGACTCTGCTGAAGTGGCTTTTCAGTTTCTTCTGTGAAGTTATTGGGCTGATATGATGGGGTTCTGTTGAAATAGGAATAGAATCATGTCATCTGCAAACAAAGATAGTTTGACTTCTTCTCTTTTTATTTGAATATGCTTAATTTCTTTCTTTTGCTTGATTGCCCTGGCCAGAACTTCCAATACTGTGTTGAATAGGAGTGGTGAGAGAGGGAAACTTTCTCTTATGCCAATTTTCAAGGGAAATGCTTCTTCTTTTTCTTCTTCTTCTTCTTCTTCTTCTTCTTCTTCTTCTTCTTCTTCTTCTTCTTCTTCTTCTTCTTCTTCTTCTTCTTCTTTTTTTTGAGACAGAGATTTGTTCTTGTTGCCCAGGCTGGAGTACAATGGTGCTATCTCAGCTCACTGAAACCTCTGCCTCCAGGGTTCAGGAGATTCTCCTGCCTCAGCATCCTGGTGTTTTGGGTAGCTGGGATTACAGGCATGAGGCACCATGCCTGGCTAATTTTGTATTTTTAGTACAGATGGGGTTTCTCCATGTTGGTCAGGCTGGTCTCAAACTCTTGACCTCAGGTGATCCACCCACCTCGGCCTCCCAAAATGCTGGGATTACAGGCCCGAGCCACTGCACCTGGCCCTCAAGGCGTCAAGATAGAATAAGCTTCTATCTTTTGCTTATTCAACATGATATTTGCTGTGTGTTTGTCATATATGGCTTTTATTATTTTGAGGTTTGTTCTTTCAATACCTGTTTATTGAGAGTTTTTAAAATGAAAGGATGTTGAATTTTGTCAATGGCATTTTATGCCCCTATTGAGATAATCATGTGGTTTTGTCTCTAGTTCTGTTTATGTGATGAATCACATTTGATTTGCATGTGTTGAGCCAGCCTTGCATCCTGGGAATAACTTCTGCCTGATTATGTGTTGCGGGAAGTCAGGGACCCCAAACAGAGAGACTGGCTGAAGCCATGGCAGAAGAACATAAATTGTGAATATTTCATGGACATTGATTAGTTCCTCAAATTAATACTTTTATAATTTCTTACACCTGTCTTTACTGCAATCTCTGAACATAAATTGTGAAGATTTCATGGACATTTATCCCTTCCCCAATCCATACTCTTGTGATTTCCTATGCCTGTCTTTACTTTAATCTCTTAATCCTGACATCTTTGTAAGCTGAGTATGAATGATGCCTCAGGATCCTGTGATGATTGCGTTAACTGCACAAATTGTTTGTAGAGCACGTGTATTTGAATGATATGAAATCTGTGCACCTTAAGAACAGGATAACCACGATTTTCAGGGAACAAGGGAGATGACCTTAAAGTCTGGCTGCCTGTGGGCAGGAAGGACAGAGCCATATTTCTCTTACTACCAAAAATGGGTAAGATAAATGTCACTGAACTCTTTCCCCAGTAAGGAATATTAATAATTAACAGCCCTGGGAAAAGAATGCATTCACAGAGGAGGCCTCTGAAGTGGCCGCTCTGGGGGTGTCTGCTTTATGCAGATGTAGATAGGGATGAAACATGCCCTCGTCTCCTGCAGTGCCCCCAGGCTTGCTAGGATTAGGAAATTCCAGCCTGGTGAATTCTAGTCAGACCAGTTCTCTGCTCTTGAAGCCTGACAATGCGTGCACAGTGGGACATAGAAGTTCATTAGTGATTCTAGTTTCACCCTGACCTTCTGCCTTGTGATCTTTTGTTGCCCTTGAAGCATGTGATCTCTGTGACCCACACCCTATTTGTGCACTCCCTCCCCTTTGAAAATTCCTAATAAAAACTTGCTGGTTTTACAGCTCAGGGGCATCATGGAACCTACCGACATGTGATGTCTCCCTGGGCCCCCAGCTTTAAAATTTCTCCTTTTGTACTCTGTCCCTTTATTTCTCAGACTGGCTGACAATTAGGGAAAATAGAATAGAACCTACATGAAATATTGGGGGTGAATTTTGCCCAATAATTATGGTGGATAGGCTTTTTGCTGTGGTGGATAAGCTTTTTGCTGTGCTGATGGATTCAGTTTGCCAGTATTTTGTTGGGGATTTTTGCATTGATGTTCATCAAGAATATTGGACTGAAGTTTTCTTTTCTTGCTATATCTCTGCCAGGGTTTGGTATGTTGGCCTCATAGAATGAGTTATGGAGGAGTCCCTCCTTTTTAATGTTTTGGAATAGTTTCAGTAGGAATGGTACCAGCTCTTCTTTGTACCTCTGGTAGTATTAAGCTGTGAATTCGTCTGTTCCTGGGCTTTGTTTTTGGTTTGTAGAGTATTTTTTACTGTCTCAAGTTCATAACTCATTATTGGTCTATTCAGGATTCAGTTTCTCCGTGCTTCAGTCTTCAGAGCATGTATGTGTCCAGCATTTTATCCATTTCTTCTCAATTTTCTAGTTTATGTGCATAGAGGTTTTTGTAGTATTCTCTGATATTTGTATTTCTTTGGGGTCAGTGGTGATACACTTCTTATTATTTCTGGTTTTGTCTACTTGAATTTTTCTCTCTTTTCTTCATTAGTCTAGCTAGTAGTCTCTATTTTAATAATTTTTTTCAAAAAGCCAACTTCTGGATATGCTGATTTTTGTTAAGGGTTTTTCGTGTCTCTATCTCTTTCTGTTCTGCCCTGATCTTGACTACTTCTTGCCTTCTGCTAGCTGAGGGGTTTGTTTGCTCTTGGTTCTCTAGTTATTTTAGTTGTTATTTATGTTATTAACTTGAGATCTTTCTAGCTGTTTGATATGGGCATTTTAGTGCTACAACTTTCCCTCTTAACACTGCTTTAGCTGCATCAAGGAGATTCCCAGATGTGTTGTATATTCTCATTAGTTTGAAAGAACTTCTTGATTTCTGCCTTAAGTTTATTATTTACTCATTCAGAAGCAGGTGGTTCAACTTCCATGTAGTTATATGGTTTTGCATGTATTTCTTAATCTTGAGTTCTAATTTGATTGTGCTGTTCTCTGAGAGACTGTTTATTATTATTTCAGTTCTTTTGCATTTGCTGAGGAGTGTTTTACTTTCAATTATATGGTCAATTTTATACTAAGTGCCAAGTGGTGATGAGAAGGATGTATATTCTGTTGTTTGGGTGTGGTGAGTTCTGTACCTATCAGGTTCACTTGATTCAGAGCTGAGTTCAGGCCCTGAATATGTTTCTTAATTTTCTGTCTTGATGATCTGTCTAATATTGTCAGTGGGGTGTTAAAGTCTCTCACTATTATTGCCTGGGAGTCTAAGTCTGTTTGTAGGTCTCTAAGAACTTGTTTTATGAATCTGGGTGCTCTTGTACTGGGTTCATAGATATTCCAGATAGTTAGCTCTTCTTGTTGAATTGAGCCCTTTACCATTATGTGATGCCCTTCTCTGCCTTTTGGATCTTTGTTTGTTTAAAGTCTGTTTTTTCAGAAACTAGGATTGCAACACCTGCTTTTTGTTTGGTAAATTTTCCTCCATCCCTTTATTTTGAGCTTATGTGTGTCTTTGCACATGGGATGGGTCTCTGGAAGGCAGCATACCATTTGTTCTTGGTTTTTTATACAGCTTGCTATTCTGTGTCTTTTAATTGGGGCATTTAGCCCATTTACATTTAAGGTTAGAATTATTATTTGTGGATTTGATCCTGTCATCATGATCCTGCCTGGTTATTTTGTAGACCTGTTTATGTGGTCTACAGTGTCACTTCATAGTGACACTGGTCTGTGTACTTCAGTGTGTTTTTATAGTGGCTGGTAATGGTTTTTCCTTTCCATATTCAGTGCTTTCTTCAGGAGCTCTTGTAAGTCAGGTCTGCTGGTAACGAATTACCTCAGCATTAGTTTGTTTGAAAAGGATCTTATATCTTCTTTGCTTATAAAGCTTAGTTTGGCCAGATATGAAATTCTGGGTTGGAAATTCTTTTAAGAGTGCTGAATAGTGGCCTTCAATCTATTCTGGCCTTTAAGGTTTCTGCTGAGAGGTCCACTATTTGTCTGCTGGGCTTCCCTCTGTAGGCGATGTGGCCTTTCTCTCTGGCTGCCCTGAGCATTTTTTCCTTCATGTGGACCTTGGAGAATCTGCTGATTATGTGTCTTGAGGACGATTTTTTTTTGTGGATTATCTTACTGGGGTTCTCTGCATTTTTGAAATTTGAATGTTGGCCTGTCTAGGTAGATCAGGGAAGTTCTCCTCGATGGTATCCCGAAATGTTTTCCAAATTGGTTTTACTCTCCTCATCTCTTTCATGTACCTCAGTCAGTTGTAGATTCAGTCTCTACATAACCCCATATTTCTGTGAAGTTTTGTTCATTCCTTTGTTCTTTGTTTTTATTCTTGCCTGCCTGTCTTATTTCAGAAGGTCAGTCTTCAAGCTCTGAGATTCTTCCCTTTGTATGGTGTATTCTGCTACTAGTACTTGTGATTGCATTATGGAGTTTGTTAGTGTGTTTTTCCGCTCTATCAGGTCAGTTATGTTTCTCTCTATGCTGGCTATCAGCTCTTGCATTATTTTATCAAGATTCCTAGCTTCCTTACAAGGGGTTGCAAGTGGCTTTTTTAGCTCAGTGCAGTTCATTTTTACCCACATTGGAAGCCTACTTGTGTCATTTCAGCTATTTCTAGCCTCAGTCCAGTTCTGAATCCTTGCTGGAGAGGTGGTGTTGTGGCCATTTGGAGAAAAGGGGGCACTCTGGGTTTTTGAATTTTTATTATTTTTGCACTGATTCTTTCTCATCTTTGTGGACTTATCTACCTTTGATCTTTGAGGTTCCTGATCTTAGGTTTTTTTTTTTTTTTTTTGGATGTTTATTTGCTTGGGTGCTTTTCTTTCAGCAGTCTGGCCACTGTTTCATAGGGGTGCTGCAGTTTGTTGGGGTTCCATTCTAGACCCTTGTTGCCTCAGTTTTTCCAGTACCTGGAAGTATCACCAGAGAAGGCTGTGAAACAGCAAAGATGGCATCCTGCTCCTTCCTCTGGTAGCTTCATTCCAGGGGGCCTGAATGCACCTATAGGAGTTGGCTGGAGACCTGGGTTGGAATACCTCACCCAGTCAGAGGGAAAGGGATCGGAGACAAACTTGAAGACGCAGTCTGGCTGAATTTTGTAGAGCAGCTGTGCTGTATTGGGGATCCCTTCAGCCTCCCAGTTGGTTTGGATCCTTTAAGGTTCACAGGTTGGACCAGCTCAGATGCCCAAATAGGAAAGGTGGTGGCCTGCTTCACCCATCAGGCACTCCATCCCAGGGATAAATTAGAACTTTGTTTGCAATAGAACATGAGCAGTGGTGACCAGAGGCTTTGGCTGGGAGAGCCAGCAAGGAGGAATGGATCTGAGTCCTGTTGAAAGAAGCAGTCTGGCCACTTCTCAACAAAACAGCTATATCATGCTGTGGAATTGCTTTTTGCCTTGTCTGCTTATACTCTCCAAAGCCCACAGGCTTGAAGGGCTGAGTCATCCAAACAGCAAAGATGATGACCCACCCCTCCCCACAAGCACTTTTTGGCAGAAAGATATCAGAACGCTGTCCATAGTATACAGGTGAGGGTGGCCAGAGGCCTTGGCTAGGAGGACTGACCTTGTGAGAAGGAGTAGATCAGGGACCCATTTAAAGAAGCAGTCTGGCCATGCCTCAACAAAACAGTCATGACAGGCTGTGGAACCACCTTTGCCCTGTTGGTGTTGGACTCTCCCTAGGCCTAAGGCTGGAATGGCTGAGTTGTCCAAACAACCAAGGTGGCAGCCCATCCCAAGGAGAGATCAGAACTCTGTCTATAGAATATGAGTGGGAGGGGGTGGCTGGAGACCCAAGTTGGGAGGTCTCACCCAGTGAGGAAGAATGGATTGAGGTTTCACTTAAGCAGTCTGGCCACGTTCTGGCAAAGCAGCTGTGCTGCACTGTGAGGACCTTTTCTCATTTGTACCATCTGGACTCTCCAAATCCTGCTGGCTGGAACAGCTGGGTTGACCAAACAGCAAAGATGATAGTGTGCCCCTTGTCTTGGGGGTTCCATCCCATCTCAGGCAGGCTCCACCCTGTTTTTAGTGGCTGGCTGGAATTCCAAGCCAATGGGTCTTATCTTGTGACATGCCATGGAAGTGGGGCCCGCAGACTGCTGCTGCTCAGCTCCTTCAATTCTGCCCCCTTCCTATGGGTATGTACGGACCTTTGACCTTGCCTGAGTTGCAGTCACCTTTGTCAGGGATCCTGGGCTCAGAGTCTATAAAGCTCCTGGGTTTCTGTGCATGCCTGAGCAGTTGCTCTGCCAAGACTCCACACAGCTGTGTGTTGGACCCAAGGCCCCTGTAGTGTGGGCTCACAAGGTAATCTGCTGATTGGAGGGTTGCAAAGATCTGGGGGAGAAGTGTGGTTTCCCTGGGGTTGCACATTGACTCACTGCTTTTCTTGGCTGGGGGTGAGGGGCTCCCTTTCCAAATTGTTAATCTGATTTCTTTGTGGTGGTTTTCAACTCTCTTGTATCTCATTGGGCTTTCTTACAAGCCATAGTTTGCCATTTGTGGAATTGGTGGAATTTGTCCTTTCAGAATTTTTATTTTGTTTAGGACCCATGTCTAGACCGCTAGTGTGATCCTTATGGGTGCTGCAACACTCTGTTTTTTGTGATGCCACAGTTCTTATTCTGATTTTTTTTGAATTTACTTCTGTTCAGATGGGGATTTTACCCCCCGAGGGTTTATTTCATATGTTGAGTAGCATTTTTTTTGGCTTTGCTTCTTTATGCTATTAGGGGGCAAAGCTTTGTTTGAATTCCTTGGTAGTAGATAGCCTTTGTGTAGTGGTGTTCTCAAATGCCGGTTGTTTGTAGCATGTAGTAGTGGTGTACTATGCATGTGAGTAGGCTTGCTGTCTTCTGCAGAGATGGGTAGGAGGCTCATCATTTTTTACAGCAGTGTGAACTTCTGTCAGCAGGAATTATTTTAAATTCTGCCGTCCATCCTATAGACCAGTAGGTGGCACTTGTAAGAGCTAGCTGAATGCTGCACAGATGTGTCAGCATAAGCTGTAATCATTTTTGCAGACTGGCATCAAAGTCAGTAGGTTGTACTTGCAAGAAAGAGGCAGCTTCAGTGGTGGCAGTGAGATTTTTACTTGGCCATTTAAAACCAGGAGAAGTGCCAGGGTATCTCAGTGATGGGCAGGGCTGTGGAGCTCCTGGGGATCCCTGTCCGGTTCTTTGCTACCAAGGTGACTAGAGTGGGCAATGCTGGTCATGGCTGGGTTGGTATGTCAGTGAGCAGGCTCTTGAAGGCAGGCATAAGTACCAACGTTTGCAGCAGTCTAGGCACAGCTCCCAGGCTGCTGGAGCAACTCTTAAGGGAGGAATAGAGGTGTCTGTCCACCACAGAGCCTACTGAGGTGAAGAAGGGCATGGCCCAGAGTGTTCAGCATAGTAGGTGGCTGTGGGATCCACCTAATTCCCACACCCCTGACCTGAAAGTTCTCCCTCCAGGCGCTAGCTGCTGCCAGAATGCCAGAATGCTTAGACTGGTCCCAAAGAGTCTACATTCAGATTGTTGAACAGTTCCAGAAACTGTAGCTATGAGGCCACACCCTCTCAGGACTAGTCTTGTGATGAAAGGCGGGCCCAGCTCCTATGCCACAGCATACATTCACACAACAGTCTTCTCTGTGTTCTGTCAGTGGGAATTCCTCCCCTGTTGGAGGTCACATAACAAATCTCATCTTCATGCACCTGAGTGATTGTGTTGAGTCCTGGGGAACTGGGATAAGGTCAGTAGGTTTTTCCCCTGGCCACTCAGGCTGTAGCACCTGCTGTGATCAGAAGGGGTAAACAGCTTCCAGGCCACCAAAAGAACACTCAGGTGTGGCAACAGCAACTGTGCCACATATCTCAACTTCCTGTGAGAATGGGAAGGCAGGCAGTCTTGGGATGAACTGGCAGGCATGGGATGTGTGGCTTGAATGTACTTCATTCCCAACACAATGGTGGTGGAACCTGTTTAGGGAGCAAGAGAGTGCCTTGGGCCCCACTCATTCCCTGGCCTGACAGGCAACAGCAGCATCACCTCAAAATAGGATGCAAAGCCTTCAGGGATGGGCACCAAAATTGTGCTTTGCTACAGCAGCCCAGCACATGGAAGTCCTTCATGTTTTGTTTAAATGCATACATTTGTTTGAGGGATGGAGAAGGTGTACTTATATACCTCAGCATGTTTCATTTTTCTTTTTATCATGCAAGGAGTTGATTTGGTTCAGGCAAATATTCATTGAAGTTTAAAATGTACATACCTCACCATGCAGTAAACACCTGTTTAATGTCTGACCTGCTCAGATTTCATTTACTTGTACTGATAATGCTTTTTTGTTTTATTTATTCATAACATTTTACATATTTATCAGGTACTTGTGATTGTTACATGCATAGAATGTATTATCAAGCCAGGAGTATTTGAGGTATCCATCAACTTGAGTGTTTGTCATTTTTGTGTTGGTACCATTTCAAGTCTTCTAGCTACTTTGAAATATACTCTGCTATCTGAAGTCACCCAACTCTGCTATCAAACATTAGAATTTATTTCTTCTAACTGTATGTTTGTATCCATTAACCAGCCTCTCTTCATCCTCCCTTCTACCCTCACATCTTCCCAGCCTCAGGTAGTTATCATTCTCTGTCTTCATGAGATCAACTTTTTTAGCTCCTCCAAATGAGTGAGAACATACAAGATTTGTCTTTCTCTGCCTGGCATGTTTCACTTAGCATGGTAACCTCCAGGTACATCCATGTCATTGTAAATGACATCTTATTTCTTCAATTACTGAATAATAATCCATAATGCATATATACCACATTTTCTTTATCTGTTTTATTGATACTTCTGTTGATTTCATAGCTTTGCTGTTGTGAAGAGTGCTATAAACAATTGAGTGCTGGTATCTCTTGGATATACTGTTTTCTTCTCTTATGGATAAATACCCCATAGTGGGATTGCTAGATTGTATGATAGTTCTACTTATAGCTTTTAAATAAATGTTTACGCTGTTTTTCATAGTAGTTGTACTAATTTACATTCCCACAAACTGTGTAATAAGCATTCCCTTTATCCGCATCCTTGCCAGTATCTGTTTTTGTTTGTTGTTGTTTTTGCTTGTTTTGTCTTTCTAATCATTTTAGCTGGGGTAAGATGATGTCTCATTGTGGTTTCAATTTGCATTTCCCTGATGATTAGTGATGTTGAGCGTTTTCTATGTAACTATTGGTCATTAGTATGTTTTCTTTTGATAATTATTTATTTATTTATTTATTACTTTTGATTATGAATCCTCCTGGAACTTGATTCTTTAAAAATTTATTATTATTATACTTTAAGTTTTAGGGTACATGTACACAATGTGCAGGTTAGTTACATATGCATACATGTGTCATGCTGGTGCACTGCACCCACTAACTCGTCATCTAGCATTAGGTATATCTCCCAATGCTTCCCCTCCCCACTCCCCCCACCCCACAACAGTCCCCAGAGTGTGATGTTCCCCTTCCTGTGTCCATGTGTTCTCATTGTTCAATTCCCACCTATGAGTGAGAATATGTGGTGTTTGGTTTTTTGTTCTTGCGATAGTTTACTGAGAATGATGTTTTCCAATTTCATCCATGTCCCTACAAAGGACATGAATTCATCCTTTTTTATGGCTGCATAGTATTCCATGGTGTATTGTGCCACATTTTCCTAATCCAGTCTATCATTGTTGGACATTTGGGTTGCTTCCAAGTCTTTGCTATTGTGAATAATGCCGCAATAAACATACGTGTGCATGTGTCTTTATAGCAGCATGATTTATAGTCCTTTGGGTACATACCCAGTAATGGGATGGCTGGGTCAAATGGTATTTCTAGTTCTAGATACCTAAGGAATCACCACACTGGCTTCCATAAGGGTTGAACTAGTTTACAGTCCCACCAACGGTGTAAAAGTGTTCCTATTTCTCCACATCCTCTCCAGCACCTGTTGTTTCCTGACTTTTTAATGATTGCCATTCTAACTGGTGTGAGATGGTATCTCATTGTGGTTTTGATTTGCATTTCTCTGAAGGCCAGTGATGGTGAGCATTTTTTCATGTGTTTTTTGGCTGCATAAATGTCTTCTTTTGAGAAGTGTCTGTTCATGTCCTTCACCCACTTTTTGATGGGGTTGTTTGTTTTTTTTCTTGTAAACTTGTTTGAGTTCATTGTAGATTCTGGATATTAGCCCTTTGTCAGATGAGTAGGTTGTGACAATTTTCTCCCATTTTGTAAGTTGCCTGTTCACTCTGATGGTAGTTTCTTTTGCTGTGCAGAAGCTCTTTAGTTTAATTAGATCCCATTTGTCAATTTTGGCTTTTGTTGCCATTGCTTTTGGTGTTTTAGACATGAAGTCCTTGCCTATGCCTATGTCCTGAATGGTAATGTCTAGGTTTTCTTCTAGGGTTTTTATGGTTTTAGGTCTAACGTTTAAGTCTTTAATCCATCTTGAATTGATTTTTGTATAAGGTGTAAGGAAGGGATCCAGTTTCAGCTTTCTACATATGACTAGCCAGTTTTCCCAGCACCATTTATTAAATAGGGAATCCTTTCCCTATTGCTTGTTTTTGTCAGGTTTGTCAAAGATCAGATAGTTGTAGATATGCAGTGTTATTTCTGAGGGCTCTGTTCTGTTCCATTGATCTATATCTCTGTTTTACTACCAGTACCATGCTGTTTTGGTTACTGTAGCCTTGTAGTATAGTTTGAAGTCAGGTAGTGTGATGCCTCCAGCTTTGTTCTTTTGGCTTAGGATTGACTTGGAGATGTGGGCTTTTTTTTGGTTTCATATGAACTTTAAAGTAGTTTTTTTCCAATTCTGTGAAGAAAGTCATTGGTAGCTTGATGGGGATGGCATTGAATCTGTAAATTACCTTGGGCAGTATGGCCATTTTCATGATATTGATTCTTCCTACCCATGAGCATGGAATGTTCTTCCATTTGTTTGTATCCTCTTTTACTTCCTTGAGCAGTGGTTTGTAGATCTCCCTGAAGAGGTCCTTCACATCCCTTGTAAGTTGGATTCCTAGGTATTTTATTCTCTTTGAAGCAATTGTGAATGGGAGTTCACTCATGATTTGGCTGTCGGTCTGTCTGTTGTTGGTGTATAAGAATGCTTGTGATTTCTGTACATTGATTTTGTATCCTGAGACTTTGCTGAAGTTGCTTATCAGCTTAAGGAGATTTTGAGCTGAGACAATGGGGTTTTCTAGATATACAATCATGTCGTCTGCAAACAGGGACAATTTGACTTCCTCTTTTCCTAATTGAATACCCTTTATTTCCTTTTCCTGCCTAATTGCCCTGGCCAGAACTTCCAACACTATGTTGAATAGGAGTAGTGAGAGAGGGCATTCGTGTCTTCTACCAGTTTTCAAAGGGAATGCTTCCAGTTTTTGCACATTCAGTATGATATCGGCTGTGGGTTTGTCATAGACAGCTCTTATTATTTTGAGATACGTCCTATCAATACCTAATTTATTGAGAGTTTTTAGCATGAAGTGTTGTTGAATTTTGTCAAAGGCCTTTTCTGCATCTATTGAGATAATCATGTGGTTTTTGTCTTTGGTTCTCTTTATATGCTGGATTACATTTACTCATTTGCGTGTATTGAACCAGTCTTGCATCCCAGGGATGAAGCCCACTTGATCATGGTGGATAAGCTTTTGGATGTGCTGCTGGATTTGGTTTGCCAGTATTTTAGTGAGGTTTTTTACATCAATATTCATCAAGGATATTGGTCTAAAATTCTCTTTTTTGGTTGTGTCTCCACCTGGCTTTGGTATCAGGATGATGCTGGCCTCATGAAATGAGTTAGGGAGGGTTCCCTCTTTTTCTATTGATTGGAATAGTTTCAGAAGGAATGGTACCAGTTCCTCCGTGTACCTCTGGTAGAATTTGGCTGTGAATCCATCTGGTCCTGGACTCTTTTTGGTTGGTAAGCTATTGATTATTGCCATAATTTCAGCTCCTGTTATTGGTCTATTCAGAGATTCGACTTCTTCCTGGTTTAGTCTTGGGAGAGTGTATGTGTCGAGGAATTTATCCATTTCTTCTAGATTTTCTAGTTTATTTGCGTAGAGGTGTTTGTAGTATTCTCTGATGGTAGTTTGTATTTCTGTGGGATCGGTGTTGATATCCCCTTTATCATTTTTTATTGCGTCTATTTGATTCTTCTCTGTTTTCTTCTTTATTAGTCTTGCTAGAGGTCTATCAATTTTGTTGATCCTTTCAAAAAACCAGCTCCTGGATTCATTAATTTTTGGAAGGGTTTTTTGTGCCTCTATTTCCTTCAGTTCTGCTCTGATTTTAGTTATTTCTTGCCTTCTGCTAGCTTTTGAAAGTGTTTGCTCTTGCTTTTCTAGTTCTTTTAATTGTGATGTTAGGGTGTCAATTTTGGATCTTTCCTGCTTTCTCTTGTGGGCATTTAGTGCTTTAAATTTCCCTCTATACACTGCTTTGAATGGGTCCCGGAGATTCTGGTATGTTGTGTCTTTGTTCTCGTTGGTTTCAAAGAACATCTTTATTTCTGCCTTTATTTCGTTATGTACCCAGCAGTCATTCAGGAGCAGGTTGTTCAGTTTCCATGTAGTTGAGTGGTTTTGAGTGAGATTCTTAATCCTGAGTTCTAGTTTGACTGCACTGTGGTCTGAGAGATAGTTTGTTATAATTTCTGTTCTTTTACATTTGCTGAGGAGAGCTTTACTTCCAAGTATGTGGTCAATTTTGGAATAGGTGTGGTGTGGTGCTGAAAAAAATGTATATTCTGTTGATTTGGGGTGGGGAGTTCTGTAGATGTCTATTAGGTCCGCTTGGTGCAGAGCTGAGTTCAATTCCTGGGTATCCTTGTTGACTTTCTGTCTCATTGATCTGTCTAATGTTGACAGTGGGGTGTTAAAGTCTCCCATTATTAATGTGTGGGAGTCTAAGTGTCTTTCTATGTCACTCAGGACTTGCTTTTCGAATCTGGGTGCTCCAGTATTGGGTGCATATATATTTAGCATAGTTAGCTCTTC
The DNA here is from genome assembly GCF_000001405.40 of Homo sapiens. Taxonomy (NCBI): domain Eukaryota; kingdom Metazoa; phylum Chordata; class Mammalia; order Primates; family Hominidae; genus Homo; species Homo sapiens. The sequence continues at coordinate 43,416,068 of NC_000008.11, forward strand.
TTGTTGAATGGATCCCTTTACCATTATGTAATGGCCTTCTTTGTCTCTTTTGATCTTTGTTGGTTTAAAGTCTGTTTTATCTGAGACTAGGATTGCCACCCCTGCCTTTTTTTGTTTTCCGTTTGCTTGGTAGATCTACCTCCATCCTTTTATTTTGAGCCTATGTGTGTCTCCGCACGTGAGATGGGTTTCCTGAATACAGCACACTGATGGTTCTTGACTCCTTATCCAATTTTCCAGTCTGTGTCTTTTAGTTGGAGCATTTAGTCCATTTACATTTAAAATTAATATTGTTATGTGTGAATTTGATCCTGTCATTATGATGTTAGCTGGTTATTTTGCTCGTTATTTGGTGCAGTTTCTTCCTAGTCTCGATGGTCTTTACATTTTGGCATGATTTTGCAGTGGCATGTACCGGTTGTTCCTTTCCATGTTAGTGCTTCCTTCAGGAGCTCTTTTAGGGCAGGCCTGGTGGTGACAAAATCTCTCAGCATTTGCTTGTCTGTAAAGTATTTTATTTCTCCTTCACTTATGAAGCTTAGTTTGGCTGGATATGAAATTCTGGGTTGAAAATTCTTTTCTTTAAGAATGTTGAATATTGGCCTCCACTCTCTTCTGGCTTGTAGAGTTTCTGCCGAGAGATCCGCTGTTAGTCTGATGGGCTTCCCTTTGTGGGTAACCCGACCTTTCTCTTTGGCTGCCCTTAACATTTTTTCCTTCATTTCAACTTTGGTGAATCTGACAATTATGTGTCTTGGAGTTGCTCTTCTCGAGGAGTATCTTTGTGGTGATCTCTGTATTTCCTGAATGTGAATGTTGGCCTTCCTTGCTAGATTGGGGAAGTTCTCCTGGATAATATCCTTCAGAGTGTTTTCCAACTTGGTTCCATTCTCCCTGTCACTTTCAGGTACACCAATCAGACGTAGATTTGGTCTTTTCACATAGTCCCATATTTCTTGAAGGCTTTGCTCGTTTCTTTTTATTCTTTTTTCTCTAAACTTCCCTTCTCGCTTCATTTCATTCATTTCATCTTCCATTACTGATATCCTTTCTTCCAGTTGATCACATCGGCTCCTGAGGCTTCTGCATTCTTCACGTAGTTCTCAAGCCTTGGTTTTCAGCTCCATCAGCTCCTTTAAGGCCTTCTCTGTATTGGTTATTCTAGTTATACATTCTTCTAAACTTTTTTCAAAGTTTTCAACTTCTTTGCCTTTGGTTTGAATTTCCTCCCGTAGCTCAGAGTAATTTGATCATCTGAAGCCTTCTTCTCTCAGCTCGTCAAAGTCATTCTGCTTCCAGCTTTGTTCCGTTGCTGGTGAGGAACTGCGTTCCTTTGGAGGAGGAGAGGCGCTCTGCTTTTTAGAGTTTCCAGTTTTTCTGCTCTATTTTTTCTCCATCTTTGTGGTTTTATCTACTTTTGGTCTTTGATGATGGTGATGTACAGATGGGTTTTTGGTGTGGATGTCCTTTCTGTTTGTTAGTTTTCCTCTAACAGAGAGGACCCTCAGCTGCAGGTCTGTTGAAGTATCCGGCCATGTGAGGTGTCAGTCTGCCCCTGCTGGGGGGTGCCTCCCAGTTAGGCTGCTCGGGGTTCTGGGGTCAGGGACCCACTTGAGGAGGCAGTCTGCCCATTCTCAGATCTCCAGCTGCATGCTGCGAGGACCACTGCTCTCTTCAAAGCTGTCAGATAGGGACATTTAATTCTGCAGAGGTTACTGCTGTCTTTTCGTTTGTCTGTGCCCTGCCCCCAGAGGTCGATAATTATTTATTAATGTCCTTAGCCCACTTTTAGATAGGATTTTTTAAAATTGTTGAGTTCCTTGTATATTCTGGATATTAGTGCCTTATTTGATGAATAGTTTTAAAATATTTTCTTCCATTCAACAGGCTGTCTCTTCCATCTATTGATTGTTTCTTTTGCTGTGCTGTGATTGTTTCTTTTCGGTTTCTTTGTATCATCTATAATTTCTTTCATCAATGTTTTACAGTGTTTTCTTGTAGAGATCTTTCACGTCCTTCATTAAATATAGTCCTCGGTATTTTATGTTTTGTTTCTATTGTAAAGAGGATTGAGTTATTGACTTGGTTTTCAGTTTGACCATTATTGGTGTATAGAAATGGTACTGATTTTTTGTATTTTTGTATGTTAATTTTGCTGTATCTTGTAACTTTACTGAATTTGCTCTCAGCTCTTAGAGGGTTCTTTTTGGTGAAGTTCTTTGGTTTTTCTAAATATAAGTTTATGTCATCTGCAAAGAGGGATGAGAAAGGTTTAATTGAAAAAGCTTATCCCCATCTTGGAAATTTATGGAGCCATTAACGGTGGGCTTTTTGCAGCTGTGACATGTTAGCTACAACTCTCATTGGAAAATGGGAAAGGCTTTTCTGACCCATAAGGGCTGTCTGATACATGAAGATAAAAACCTAATGTTTGGCCACTTTGTTGTTGTTTCTTGTTCTGTTGTTAATTTTAGGGAATTTATTTATTTATTTATTTATTTAGTGTGTGTTATAGCAGTGATTTATTTTATTATTATTATTATTATTATTAATATTATTATTTTTTATTTTTTTATTGATCATTCTTGGGTGTCTCTCCCAGAGGGGGATTTGGCAGGGTCATAGGACAATAGTGGAGGGAAGGTCAGCAGATAAACAAGTGAACAAAGGTCTCTGGTTTTCCTAGGCAGTGGACCCTGTGGCCTTCCGCAGTGTTTGTGTCCCTGGGTACTTGAGATTAGGGAGTGGTGATGACTCTTAACGAGCATGCTGCCTTCAAGCATCTGTTTAACAAAGCACATCTTGCACCGCCCTTAATCCATTTAACCCTGAGTGGACACAGCACATGTTTCAGAGAGCACAGGGTTGGGGGTAAGGTCACAGATCAACGGGATCCCAAGGCAGAAGAATTTTTCTTAGTACAGAACAAAATGAAAAGTCTCCCATGTCTACTTCTTTCTACACAGACACGGCAACCATCCGATTTCTCAATCTTTTCCCCACCTTTCCCCCCTTTCCACTCCACAAAACCGCCATTGTCATCATGGCCCATTCTCAATGAGCTGTTGGGTACACCTCCCAGACGGGGTGGTGGCCAGGCAGAGGGGCTCCTCACTTCCCAGGAGGGACGGCCGGGCAGAGGTGCCCCTCACCTCCCAGACGGGGCGGCTGGCCGGGTGGGGGGCTGACCCCCCCACCTCCCTCCCGGACGGGGCAGCTGGCCGGGCGGGGGGCTGACCCCCCCACCTCCCTCCCGGACGGGGTGGCTGGCCGGGCAGAGGGGCTCCTCACTTCCCAGTAGGGACGGCCAGGCAGAGGCGACCCTCGCCTCCCGGATGGGGCAGCTGGCCGGGTGGGGGCTGACCCCCCCACCTCCCTCCCGGATGGGGCGGCTGGCTGGGTGGGGGGGCTGACCCCCCACCTCCCTCCCGGACGGGGTGGCTGGCCGAGCGTGGGGCTGACCCCCCCCACCTCCCTCCCGGACAGGGCGGCTGGCTGGGCGGGGGGCTGACCCCCCCACCTCACTCCCAGATTGGGCGGCTGCCGGGCAGGGTGCTGACCCCCCCACCTCCCTCCCGGACGGGGCGGCTGGCCGGGTGGGGGGCTGACCCCCACCTCCCTCCCGGACGGGGTGGCTGCAGGGTGGAGATGCTCCTCACTTCCCAGAAGGGGTGGCTGCCGGGCGGAGGGGCTCCTCACTTCTTAGATGGGGCAGTTGCCAGGCAGTGGGTCTCCTCACTTCTCAGACGGGGCAGCTGGGCAGAGATGCTCCTCACCTCCCAGATGGGGTCACGGCCGGGCAGAGGCGCTCCTCACATCCCAGATGGGGCGGCGGGGCAGAGGCGCTCCCCACATCTCAGACGATGGGCGGCCGGACAGAGATGCTCCTCACTTCCTAGATGGGATGGCGGCCAAGCAGAGACGCTCCTCACTTCCCAGACTGGGCAGCCAGGCAGAGGGGCTCCTCACATCCCAGACGATGGGCAGCCAGGCAGAGACACTCCTCACTTCCCGGACGGGGTGGCGGCCGGGCAGAGGCTGGACTCTCAGCACTTTGGGAGGCCAAGGCAGGCTGCTGGGAGGTGGAGGTTGTAGCGAGCTGAGACCACGCCACTGCACTCCAGCCTGAGCACCATTGAGCACTGAGTGAACCAGACTCCGTCTGCAATCCCTGCACCTCGGGAGGCCGAGGCTGGCGGATCACTCGTGGTTAGGAGATGGCGACCAGCCCGGCCAACACAGCGAATCCCCGTCTCCACCAAAAAAATACGAAAACCAGTCAGGCGTGGTGGTGGGCGCCTGCAATTGCAGGCACTTGGCAGGCTGAGGCAGGAGAATCAGGCAAGGAGGTTGCAGTGAGCTGAGATGGCAGCAGTACAGTCCAGCTTCAGCTCGGCATCAGAGGGAGACCGTGGAAAGAGAGGGAGAGGGAGACTGTGGGGAGAGGGAGAGGGAGAGGGAGAGGGAGAGCAATTTTAGGGAATTTATTAAGCTTCATAAATTTATGGGATAAATGGAGGCCCCTAGGTTAGGGGTGATGCCACTGTGAGATTCAGAGTCACTTCAGTGTAAGGAGGCTGCAGCAGTGTTTAGAAAGTGTGTCATAATTATAGCCATATTTTGACTTCTGGAGGCAAGGGCAGGAAGTGTGGCTTTTCCCTGACATACAGTTGCCAGGTAGGCAGTTATTTGGTTGCATAAATAATTGTAATTTTATGGAAAAATTTTGGAGATTGAAAATAGAAATTAAAATTACTCCACCATTCAAAAGCAATTGTTATTACCATGTTTGTATAATTTACTTTAGAGTTTAAAATTTTCATGTATATATATTTTTAACTTACAATGTAGATTAAATAAATAGAGATGAGGTTTTGCCACATTGCCCAGGCTGGTCTTGAACTCCTGGGCTGAAGCTATCCTCCCACCTCAGCCTCCCAAATTGCTAGGATTAAAGACATGATTTATTGTGCCTGGCCTCATGTATATTATGGAAACTGTTAAGATTATTTTACATGAGAGCTTTATATTTGCTTAAGGTTTGAAAGGCTTCAGAGTTTATGTAGGAAGTTACAGACAATGTTTCTGTTCATGTATCAAAAGAAAAATAATATTCAGAGACTGAAGTTTTTCTAGGGCAGTGCCACAAGGGTTCATGTCCTTAGAAGTTAGCAGTGGCCTATCTAGGACAGTGTAATTGTGGTGATTGTTTTTTGTTTTGTTTTCCCTATTATCTCTTATCCCTGGAAAACATCTTTCAGCATTAGGCAATGTGCTATTTGACATTGATCAGTCCCTTAATTTATGGCCACTTTTCCTGCAGGTTTTTATGCAGCCAGTGTTAAACAGCTGCTGGTCTTAAGCTAAAGGTGGGAAGGTCATGGCACGCAGTGTGGGCTGGATTTAGAATATGAATTGCTACAGTTTTATTTTGAAGAACATAGAGCATCAGTAGATGATGGGCATTTAGGGCCTCCATAAAGACTGCAGCTGAGGAAAAGATTCACTTATAAGTACAGGAGCATCATGTTGGGAGGGGTCAAGTTAATTATTGACCACAGCTTTTACAATCTGCTTTATCAACCAGGGCTGCAGGCTGGGAACTTAGTACAGCTAAATTTTATGTATAAAGAACTAGTGTGTAAGTGGGATTTATGTTATGTGTGCAGAGGTAGGCTGGCACTCACTTTTTGCACTATTTTTGGCTGAATTAAGGGCCTAAAGATGGGCTAATTCATGGATATACATGGCTTCCACATAGGCTTTTAAAAGCCACTCCCCACTCTGTAGTTTCAAGTTGGCCATGGATTTGTTAATCAAAGTCAACTGTGATCTTAGTACTAGACCATTCTGAGACATACAATGCACCCTTGTCCACAGAAGGGTGGTAGAATTTTATTAACAATCTTGCAAAAAGACATGAGACTTATTATTAAAAATGGTCCCTTTTTGGGTTGAAGTAGAAAAACACCTCAGTGAAGCCATTACCACACCAAAGTCTAGAAAGCCGGTGCCTGGAGGACTACATCTCAAGAATCAGCTTTGCTGAGGAAGCCAGAGATGAGTTTGAAGAGTATGCTTCAACCCTTCTATAAGAACAAGTGCAACAGAATATTGAGAATAACAGAATAAGACATTTAGGAATATTTAACTGAAGGAAGCAAAGGATTTCCTTATGAGAAAGGTTGAGGTTTTATTGGTTAAAATCAACAGATGTGAAGGGGAAGCAAGAACTGTAAGGACAGACAAATGTAGATGGTCTACCTGTTCTCAGAAGGTTTTAGAAAATGCGTTGTGCTTTCATTGTTGCTATATCAGAAAGAAAGACCGGAGCCTGACAAAATTTAGAGAGGAAGCAAGGCAGGATCTCATAAAGTAGAGTGATCCCTGAGAGGGTGTGCCCAAATGCTGCAGACTCTCTCATAAGTGTTAGGAGAAACCAATTCTCCAAGCATATATTGGGACAACAGTATGACTTGATCCAGAATGTTAGGACAAATTTGAGGGGGAAAGGTGGGGCAGAACAGAGAAAAACTCAAAACATAGGAGGTGACTTAACTATTATGTACTGTATTAAAAGTATTATATGCTGTTCCTTGAAGAAACATCCCCAAGCAATTTTTGGTTAGGACTCAAGGTAAAGCACAGAAAAGATGAGTTATATTGGAGGGATGTAGACAGAAGAACTATAATATGTACTGAGCCCATTATAGATGTTGAGTGATGGAAGGGTATCTTCTGGGATGGATAATCTTCCTAGGAGCCTGGATGTACACAAAATATGTTTAAACAGCAGATATTTTTGGCAGACCCAGAACCTGATGTTTTCATGTATCTCACCATGGAAAACTCTATAACCACAATCTAACAGAATACACTAGTAAAATGTCCGGGCCTGAGAGCAATGCCAAAGTAAAAAGAAAGAACTCGGATCTTACAAACATTGTGATCCTACTTGGCAGAAGAAAAGAAACCTCTGAGGTAGGTTAATCAGCTAAGTCTTCTTGAAACTATTAGAGGGGAAAATGAAAACACTTGAGGCATATAGCATAAAAGACATAGCATACAGAAATATTCAGAGCTGGTAGCATCCTAAACCAGAGGAAATGTCATTTCTTGGGGAGTAATCATGAGGGAAATTTTTTCCGTGAGGGTGCTAGGGGTGCAATTCACCAGAAACAGCTTTATTTAAGGAAGTTGCTGAAGGTGATTCTCTAGCTGGAACACTTCTAGGGACTGAGGGACAGGAGGATCTTCACTGGGAGGCAGGTTTCACAGGTCCAAACAATTCTGTAGTGAGTGACAGCAGCCACTGTGGCTCAGGACCAAAACTACCAGTTCCTGGGATACAGTGTTAGCTACCTGGCCAGATGGAGTCCACTCTTAGTATAGCATTAGAAGGGTACTCAGTGGGGAGATTGAGACTAAAAGGCTGAGAAAATACTGAATGGGAAGAACTTCTCAGTAGTACCTGATGCCCAGTGAGTGGGGTGGGGGGTGATTTCATTGCAAATTTTAGAGATTAAAAAGCCAGGAGTATCTCAGATGACAATAATTGGGAAAGAAGATAAGCGAATAAGCCTTTAACCCACTCTGGTGCCATAGTTATGATAAATCCCATATGGTCAAATTTAATCTCTTATGACAGGTTTCTCTCAATGTAAGGGTTTTTTTTTTAATGTGATATAATCTATATAACGTAAAATTCACTGTTTAAAAGTGTAGAATTCAGTGATTTCCAGCATATTAACTATGTAGTGCAACCATCACTATTGTCTCACTCTAGAGTATTTCTGCCACCCCCCCAAAAAAAACCCTGTACCAATTAGCAGTGAGTCCCAATTTTTCCCTTCTCTCATCTCCTAATGACCAGAAATCTGCTTTTTGCATCTACAAATTTACATAGTCTGGATAGTTCATGTCAATTGAATCACGTTATATGTAGCCTTTTGTGACTGGCTTCTTTCCATTAGCACAGTGTTTTCAAGATTCATCTATATTGTATCACATAGCAATATTCATTTCTTTTTATAGCTGAATATGTTTTGGATATATACCACATTTTATTCATTTATGCATCAGTTGATGGGCATTACATTGTTTCAGTTTTTTAGCAATTATGCATAATGCTGCTGTGAACTTTTCTGTACAACTCTAATGGATTTTTAGGGTAATGCTCATATACCCCAGACAAGCATCTCCTGTAGAGATCTTTTACCTCCTTGGGCAGATGTATTCCTAGGTTTTTATTTGTTTTATTGTTTGTTTTGGCTATAAGTGGGATTGCATTCTTGATTTGGTTCTCAGCTTGAATGTTGATGGTGTATGGAAATAATACTGATTTTTATATGTAGATTTTGTATCCTGAAACTTCACCACATCATTTGTCAAGCCTAGGAGTCTTTTGGAGAAATCCTTTGGGTTTTCTATGTACAGAATTATATGTTCAGTGAAGAGAGATAGTTTGACTTCTTTTTCTATTTGGATGCCTTTTATTTCTTTCTCTTGGCTGATTGCTGTGGTTAGGATTTCCAGTACTACATTGAATAGGAGTGGTGTAAGTGGACATTCTTGTTTATTCCAGTTCTAAGAGGGAATGTTTCTAAATTTGTCTTTTCATTATGATGTCAGCTGCAGGTCTGTCACAGATGGCTCTTAATATTTTGAGGTATGATGCTTAGTTCATTGAGGGTTTTTATTATAAAGGGGTGAGTTGATCAGCTATTTAGTAAAGTTGAAACTAATATTTCTTTTTCAGATACTTTTGAGTTTCTATAATGACCTTTACAACAGTATATACTAGGTTCTAGAACATAATTATGTTTGCGATAACATTACTAGCAAATGGGATTGCTTTATTTTCTAAAACGTGTGGGTGCGGAAAACATGATGTTCAGTTTTGTATGTTCTAGTAATGCATTTGATCCTTAAAAATGAGGCTTCTGAGTTGACTTAGGAGTGAACAAACACAATTTCTGAGGTCCTGAAGAAACTGCAGCCACTCCTGAGAAAGAGTCAGGCTGTAGCTGCTGAAAGAATGCAGATATGGAGAAAATTCATCTAACTGAAACTGAAGAGAATGAGAAGTTGGAGAGAATAAGTTTAGAATTTAAGTTGGGATTTGAGACATTAATTTCTTTGGATTCATACTGCACAACAAAGACAGCAGGAATTTTTCAGACTTTAGCTTTTATGGATTTTAAGGTTAAGAATTTGAATTTTTTAAAGCTTTTAATATTTGAATTTAATTATAATTCCTGGGAAACTATTAATGAGAGGGAAATTATATTTAATTTTGGAGTATCAATATGTGGTGACATACGATTATTGGACTATCTTACGGTCATTATTTAATATCATTGCAGAAGCTTTGAAAGGATATATTAGGTAATATGGCTGGATACAATTTAAGATAGGAAATAGAACAGAAGTGAAGTTCCAGCTTTACTGATCTCTCAGCAGAAACTCTACAAGCCAGAAGAGAGTGGGGGCCAATATTCTTAAAGAAAAGAATTTTCAACCCAGAATTTCATATCCAGCCAAACTAAGCTTCATAAGTGAAGGAGAAATAAAATACTTTACAGACAAGCAAATGGTGAGAGATTTTGTCACCACCAGGCCTGCCCAAAAGAGCTCCTGAAGGAAGCACCAAACATGGAATAGAACAACCTGTACCAGCCACTGCAAAAACATGCCAAATTGTAAAGACCATCAAAGGCTAGGAAGAAACTGCATCAACTAATGACCAAAATAAACAGCTAACATAATGACAGGATCAAATTCACACATAACAATACTAACCTTAAACATAAATGGGCTAAATGCTCCAATTAAAAGACACAGACTGGCAAATTGGATAAAGAGTCAAGACCCATCAGTGTGCTGTATTCAGGAAACCCATCTCACGTGCAGAGACACACATAGGCTCAAAACAAAGGGATGGAGGAAGATCTACCAAGCAAATGGAAAACAAAAAGAGGCAGGAGTTGCAATCCTAGTCTCAGATAAAACAGACTTTAACCAACAAAGATCAAAAGAGACAAGGCCATTACATAATGGTAAAGGGATCAATTCAACAAGAAGAGCTAACTATCCTAAATATATATATGCACCCAATACAGGAGCACCCAGATTCAAAAAGCAAGTCCTTAGTGACCTACAAAGAGACTTAGACTCCCACACAATAATAATGGGAGACTTTAACACCCTATTGTCAACATTAGACAGATCAACAAGACAGAAAGTTAACAAGGATGTCCAGGAATTGAATTCAGCTCTGCACCTAGCAGACCTAATAGACATCTACAGAACTCTCCACCCCAAATCAACAGAATATACATTCTTTTCAGCATCACACTGCACCTATTCCAAAATTGACCACATAGCTGGAAGTAAAGCACTCCTCAGCAAATGTAAAAGAACAGAAATTATAACAAACTGTCTCTCAGATGACAGTGCAATCAAACTACAACTCAGGATTAAGAAACTCACTCAAAACCGCTCAACTACATGGAAACTCAACAACCTACTCCTGAATGACTACTGGGTACATAACAAAATGAAGGCAGAAATAAAGATGTTCTTTGAAACCAACGAGAACAAAGACACAACATACCAGAATCTCTGGGACACATTTAAAGCAGTGTGTAGAGGGAAATTTATAGCACTAAATGCCCAAAAGAGAAAGCAGGAAAGATCTAAAATTGACACCCTAACATCATCATTGAACGAACTAGAGAAGCAAGAGCAAACATATTCAAAAGCTAGCAGAAGGCAAGAAATAACTAAGATCAGAGCAGAAGTGAAGGAGTTAGAAACACAAAAATCCCTTCAAAAAATCAAGGAATCCAGGAGCTGGTTTTTTGAAAAGATCAAAAAAATTGATAGACCTCTAGCAAGACTAATAAAGAAGAAAAGAGAGAAGAATCAAATAGATGCAATAAAAAATGATAAAGGGGATATCACCACCGATCCCACAGAAATACAAACTACCATCAGAGAATACTATAACCACCTGTACATAAATAAACTAGAAAATCTAGAAGAAATGGATAAATTCCTCGATACATACACCCTCCCAAGTCTAAACCAGGAAGAAGTTGAATCTCTAAATAGGCCAATAACAGGCTATGAAATTGAAGCAATCATTAATAGCTTAGCAACCAAAAAAAGTCCAGGACCAGATGGAATCACAGCCAAATTCCACCACAGATACAAGGGGGAGCTGATACCATTCCTTCTGAAACTATTCCAATCAATAGAAAAAGAGGGAATCCTCCCTAACACATTTTATGAGGCCAGCATCATCCTCATACCAAAGCCTGGTAGAGACAACCAAAAAAGAGAATTTTAGACCAATGTCCCTGATGAACATCAATGCAAAAATCTTCAATAAAATTTTGGCAAACTGAATCCAGCAACATATCAAAAAGCTTATCCACCATGATCAAGTGGGCTTCATCCCTGGGATGCAAGGCTGGTTCAGTATATGCAAATGAATAAATGTAATCCAGCATATAAACAGAACCAAAGACGAAAACCACGTGATTATCTCAATAGATGCAGAAAAGGCCTTTGACAAAATTCACAGTGCCTCATGCTAAAAACCTCTCAATAAATTAGGTATTGATGGGACATAACTCAAAATAATAAGAGCTATTTATGACAAACCCATAGCCGATATCATACTGAATGGGCAAAAACTTGAAGCATTCCCTTTGAAAACGGTCACAAGACAGGGATGCCCCTCTCACCACTCCTATTCAACATAGTGTTGGAAGTTCTGGCCAGGGCAATCAGGCAGAAGAAAGAAATAAAGGGTATTCAATTAGGAAAAGAGGAAGTCAAGTTTTCCCTGTTTGCAGATGACATGATTATATATCTAGAAAACGCCATCATCTCAGCCCAAAATCTCCTTAATCTGAAAAGCAACTTCAGCAAAGTCTCAGGATACAAAATCAATGTGCAAAAATGACAAGCATTCTTATACACCAATAACAGACAGACAGAGAGCCAAATCATGAGTGAAGTCCCATTCACATTTGCTTCAAAGAGAATAAAATACCTAGGAATCCAACTTACAAGGGATGTGAAGGACCTCTTCAAGGAGAACTACAAACCACTGCTCAAGGAAATAAAAGAGGATACAAACAAATGGAAGAACATTCCATGCTCATGGGTAGGAAGAATCAATATCGTGAAAATGGCCATACTGCCCAAGGTAATTTACAGATTCAATGCCATCCCCATGAAGCTACCAATGACTTTCTTCACAGAATTGGAAAAAACTACTTTAAAGTTCATATGGAACCAAAAAAGAGCCCACATCACCAAGTCAATCCTAAGCCAAAAGAACAAAGCTGGAGGCATCACACTACCTGACTTCAAACTATACTACAAGGCTACAGTAACCAAAACAGCATGGTACTGGTAGTAAAACAGAGATATAGATCAATGGAACAGAACAGAGCTCTCAGAAATAACACCGCATATCTACAAATATCTGATCTTTGACAAACCTGAGAAAAACAAGCAATGGGGAAAGGAGTCCCTATTTAATAAAGGGTGCTGGGAAAACTGGCTAGCCATATGTAGAAAGCTGAAACTGGATCCCTTCCTTATACCTTATACAAAAATTAATTCAGGATGGATTGAAGACTTACATGTTAGACCTAAAACCATAAAAACCCTAGAAGAAAACCTAGGCATTACCATTCAGGACACAGGCATGGGCAAGGACTTCATGTCTAAAACAACAAAAGCAATGGCAATGAAAGTCAAAATTGACAAATGAGATCTAATTAAACTAAGAGCTTTTGCACAGCAAAAGAAACTACCATCAGAGTGAACAGGCAACCTACAGAATGGGAGAAAAGTTTTGCAATCTACTCATCTGACAAAGGGCTAATATCCAGAATCTACAATGAACTCCAATAAATTTACAAGAAAAAAACAAAGAACCCCATCAAAAAGTGGGTAAAGGACATGAACAGACACTTCTCAAAAGAAGACATTTATGCAGCCAACAGACATATGAAAAAATGCTCATCGTTACTGGCCGTCAGAGAAATGCAAATCAAAACCACAATGTGATATCATCTCACACCAGTTAGAATGGCAATCATTAAAAAGTCAGGAAATAACAGGTGCTGGAGAGGATGTGGAGAAATAGGAACACTTTTACACTGTTGGTGGGACTATAAACTAGTTAAACCATTGTGGAAGACAATGTGGCGATTCCTCAGGGATCTAGAACTAGAAATACCATTTGACCCAGCCACCACATTACTTGGTATAAACCCAAAGGAATATAAATCATGCTGCTATAAAGACACATGCACCCATATGTTTATTGCAGCACTATTCACAATAGCAAAGACTTGGAACCAACCCAAATGTCCAACAATGATAGACTGGATTAAGAAAATGTGGCACACATACACCGTGGAATACTATGCAGCCATAAAAAAGGATGTGTTAATGTCCTTTGTAGGGACATGGATGAAGCTGGAAACCATCATTCTCAGCAAACTCTCACAAGGACAAAAAGCCAAACACTGCATGTTCTTACTCTTAGGTGGTAAATGAACAATGAGAACACATGGACACAGGAAGGGGAACATCACACACTGGTGCCTGTTTTGGGGTGGGGGAATGGGGGAGGGATAGCATTAGCAGATATACCTAATTTAAATGAGGAGTTAATGGGTACAGCACACCAATGTGGCACATGTATACATATGTAGCAAACCTGCACGTTGTGCTCATGTACCCTAGAACTTAAAGTATAATAAAAAGAAAAAAAAGTATGTGTATGTATCTATACATATTTATAAAAGAAGGCAACATAGTGACAGCCTGTTAGAGACCCAATTTGCATAATAAAAGATCAGGGTGGGGTGGCCAGCCTCTTCACGTACTATATAAAGGGCACACCTGGTTTAACCAATCCTCTGTGCCCTATATAAGGCAGACATGACTTCCTCAAGCTCATCTATAAACCAACTGCATCTTGCTATGAACCTGGAAACCATTTGGGATCTCTTCCTCTGCACCAGAAAGCTCTCTTCTTTGTTTCACTTATTAAACTTCTGCTCTTAAACCCACTCCTTTTGTCTGTGTCTGTGTCCTTGATTTCCTCGGTGTGAGGCAATGAACCTTGTGTATTACCCCAGACAAATGAGGCAGCTTCATTGTGGGGGCTTGTCCAGGATTATCAAAAGGGTGAGTATAGGAGTGGACCTCAACTCTGTCCTTTTATTTCAGGGCTCTCAGCCTCCATTTTAATTATTTAATTATTTTATTTTTTTGAGACAGAGTCTCACTGTATCACTCAGGCTGGAGTGCAGTGGCATTATCTTGGTTCACTGCAACCACCACCTCCCAGGTTTAGGTGATTCTCATTTCTCAGCCTCCTAAGTAGCTGGAATTATGACACATGCCACCACACCTGGCTAATTTTTGTATTTTTAGTAGAGATGGGGTTTTGCCATATTGGGCAGGCTGGCACCAAAGTTCTGGGATGAGGTGTGAGCCACCACACCTGGCCCTTAACCTCCATTTTAAAGTCAAATCAAACCATATACTGTGTGTCTGATGGCCACCTAGATACCTCTAGTGTGAGCCATGCTTCTCAAGGCTCAGATGACAGGCTTGTTGGGCTGTCATGATAGTGAATCCACTAGTGCCCTCAGGTTGCTGGGCTTATTGGTTATGTTTCAAACCAATTTTCCTTCATGGAGGAACTAGCCATCTCATGGGGCTTGAAGAAGTCCTAGGGCAACTGACAATTTCTGGCCAGGGCTAAACCTTGATGTAATTCAAAAGCTTTGGGACTGAACTCAGCCTCCAGCTGCTCAATTGGATCAGCAACAGAATCTCCAGCTTTTCTATTGCAGAATGTTCTCCTTTCCTATCCACCACCATCATGTCTCCTCTCTCTGTATGCAATATCATGGGAATTTTTACAGTTCAGAGAAATAGTCCTGTTAGGAAAGATCAAAAAATGCTATAGTAACTACAAATATAGCTCAAGGGAATGCCACTTTTGTAACTTTCTAGAAGCAGAGGTCTCCCCCAGCGAGTGTTTCTACCCTTCCTCTGGCAAGCATATGGTATTTCTAGGTCAGCAGCGTCAACTAGTGGAGTATCCTTACCATGAGTCTCAGTGTTGGTCCTTTGCTGAGACACTCCAGCTTCCCAATTCTCCCTTTTTGTGCCCCTCTACCAGATTCCAGGGTTTATGGCTTTCTGTAAATGGGAAAAACTATGCCATGAAAGATCAGGAGGAAAATGTCCTCTGAAACTGTTTTAGTCTGAACACTGTCCCATCAGCAGGAAAACCACCATTTGATCCCTATGTTCTTTTAACACACCAATCCTGCTTGCAGTTAAGACAATACTTAAATAGTAAGGGAATTTTAAGTCCAGAAGTTAACCACTACCATTCTCTAGGGGTAAATCCTTTAGCACGACCCACAATAGCAGGATATAGAGTTCAATCTTGTACACCCCCTCCATTAAAGGGGCCATGCCCAAATTCAACTATTACATAGTCTTTCCTGAGATCCATTTTTCAGGGAGCCATGAAGATCATACAAGTCTAGGAAGTCAGGGTAATCAAAAACAGAGAACTAGGGCTGCATGGGTACACATGACTAAACTCATCACTTAATTCCTCTGGTTCCATGGCTGGGGAATCATGCCTGCAACCATGGGTAGCATGTTTAACAAGGTGCCAGGAGCCCAGGAACCAAAGAGAGAAAACAGTAGGGGGAATGCCCCCACTGTCTTCCCCTCCACCCTGGGCCATCCCAAGGAAAGGATCCTTTTATTCTCAGTTCTCTTTCTAGATGGGTAACAGACCATCTTTGGCCTGTACTCCTCTCAAGTGTATTCTAAAGCACTGGGACTCATTTAACCCCAAAACTTTGAAGAAAAAAGCAGCTCATTTTTCTTTGCACAAGGGGATGGCATTCTTTCTAGACCTTTGCAAGCATTGCAAAATCAACCCAGCTTTTTTAGCAGTCATATCAGGCAGGTCTGTAGAGAATGATTTCCCACAGTAAGAGAAGCAACTTTTGAGGGAACCATCTGAGAATTCCCCTTATCTGAGGCCCCTTTAAGTTCCCTTCTCATTACAGAACCTTAGGCAGATTAAGGGGGTCTTAGGCCATGCTGCTCCTAAGCCAAACCCTCACTGCTACTCAAAAACAGGCAGCTCTGTAGGCAGTAGAACATTTTGGAGATGAACAATATATCTCCTATAATAGGCCAAAAAGGAAAAAAGGAGATAGGGAAGGTGATATGGTTTGGTTCTGTGTTCCCACCCAAATCTCATCTTGAATTATACTCCCATAATTTTCATGTGTTGTGGGAGGGACCCAGTGGGAGATAATTTGAATCATGGGGGTGGTTTTCCCTATACTGTTCTCATAATAGTGAAGGAGTCTTATGAGATCTGATTGTGCTATCAGGGGTTTCTGCTTTAGCATCTTCCTCATTTTTTCTAGCCACTACCATGTAAGAAGTATCTTTCACCTCCTGTCATAATTCTGAGGCCTCCCCAGCCATGTGAAACTGTAAGTCCAATTAAACCTCTTTTTCTTCCCAGTCTTAGGTATGTCTTTATCAGCAGGATGAAAACATGGTACATCCTACATCAGCAAGATGTAAATTGGTACCAGTAGAGTTGGCGTTGCTGAAAAGATACCCAAAAATGTGGAAGTGACTTTGGAATTGGGTAACAGTTTGCAGGGCTCAGAAGAAGACAGGAAAATGTGGGAAAGTCTGGAAATTTTGCAAAGACTTGCTAAATGGCTGTGACCAAAAGCCTGATAGCAATATGGACAATAAGGTCCAGGCTGAGGTTGTCTGAGATGGAGGTGAGAAACTTGGGAACTGGAGCAAAGGTGACTCTCATTATGTTTTAGCAAAGAGACTGGTGGCATTTGGCCCCTGCCTTAGAGATTTGTGGAGCTTTGAACTTGAGAGAGATGATCTAGGGTATCTGGCAGAAGAAATTTCTAAGCAGCAAAGCATTCAAGAGGTGACTTGGGTGCTGATAAAGGCATTCAGTTTTATAAGGAAAACAGAGCATAAAAGTTTGGAAAATTTGCAGCCTGACAATGTGATAGAAAAGAAAAACCCACTTTCTCAGGAGAAATTCAAGCCAGCTGCAGAAATTTGCATAAGTAATGAGGAGCCAAATGTTAATCCCCAAGCCAATGGGGAAAATGTCTCCAGGTCATGTCAGAGGTCTTCCTGGCAGCCGCTCCCATCACAGGCCCAGAGGCCTAGGAGAAAATGGTTTTGTGGCCTGGGGCCCAGGCCTAGGGACTTGGTGCCCTGCATCCCAGCCACTCCAGCTGTGGCTGAAAGGGGCCAACATAGAGCTTCAGCCATGGATTCAGAGGGTGCAAGCCCCAAGCCTTGGCAGCTTCCACGTGGTGTTGAGCCTGTGAGTGCACAGAAGTCAAGAATTGGCTGGGCATGGTGGCTCATGCCTGTAATCCCAGCACTTTGGGAGGCCGAGGCAGGCAGATCATGAGGTCAGGAGATCGAGACCATCCTGGCTAACACAGTGAAACCCCATCTTTACTAAAAATACAAAAAAATTAGCTGGGCATGGTGGCGGATGCCTGTAGTCCCAGCTACTCGGGAGGCTGAGGCAGGAGAATGGCGTGAACCTGGGAGGCAGAGGTTGCAGTGAGCAGAGATCGTGCCACTGCACTCCAGCCTGGGCGACCTTCACCTAGATTTCAGAAGATGTATGGAAACACCTGGATGCTCAGGCAGAAGTTTGCTGCAGGGGCAGGGTGATCATGGAGAACCTCTGCTAGGGCAGTACAGAAGGGAAATGTGGGGTCCCATACAGAGTCCCTACTGGGGCACCACCTATTGGAGCTGTGAGAAGAGGGCCACCATCCTCCAGACCCCAGAATGGTAGATCCACTGACAGCTTGCACTGTTTGCCTGGAAAAGCCGCAGACACTCAATGCCAGCCCATTAAAGCATCTGGGAGGTAGGCTGTACTCTGCAATGCCCCAAGGATAGAGCTGCCCATGACCATGGGAACCCACCTCTTGCATCAGCATGACCTGGAAGTGAGACCTGGTGACAAAGGAGATTATTTTGGAGCTTTAAAATTTGACTGCCCCTCTAGATTTCAGACTTGCCTGGGCCTTGTAACCCCTTTGTTTTGGCCAATTTCTCCCATTTGGAATGGCTATATTTACTCAATACCTGTACCCCATTGTATCTAGGAAGTAACTCACTTACTTTTGATTTTACAGGCTCATAGGCAGAAGGGACTTGCCTTGTCTCAGATGACATTTTGGACTGTGGACTTTCGGGTTAATGCAGAAATGAGTTAAGACTTTGGGGGACTGTTGTTGGAAAGGCATGACTGGTTTTGAAATGTGAGGACATGAGATTTGGAGGGGCCAGGGGCAGAATGATATGGTTTGGCTCTGTGGCTCCACCCAAATCTCATCTTGAATTGTACTCCAATAATTTCTGCGTGTTGTGAGAGGGACTCAGTGGGAGATCATTTGAATCATGGGTGCGGTTTCCCCCATGCTGTTCTAGTGGTAGTGAATAAGTCTCATGAGATCTGATGGTTTTATTAGGGGTTTCTCTTTTTGCATCTTCCTCATTTTCTCTTGTCGCTGCCATGTAAGAAGTGCCTTTCACCTTCCATCATGATTCTTAGGCCTCCCCAGCCATGTGGAACTATAAGTCCATTCAAACGTATTTTTTCCCCCTTGTCTCAGGTATGTCTTAATCAGCAGTGTGAAAACACACTAATACAAAACACAAAGAAATAATGGAAACACCTTTCCCAATAGGAAGGGAAACAGTCCCTCCTGACAATCCCTATTGAAACTCTGGTAGCTCTGCAAAAGAATGGAAAAGGCAACACTTTTTTTTTTTTTTGAGACGGAGTCTCCCTCTGTTACCCAGGCTGGAGTGCAGTGGTGCAATCTCGGCTCACTGCAAGCTCCACCTCCCAGGTTCATACCGTTCTCCTGCCTCAGCCTCCCAAGTAGCTGGGATTACAGGCACCCGCCACGACGCCCAGCTAATTTTTTGTATTAAAGGCAACATTTTTTAATGTACTTATGAGAGGGCTTACAAAGAACTAGGGCTAAACCTGTTAATTACTCTAAGCTGTCCTTGATAGACCAATAGCCAGATAAGAATTACACAGCCTTTATGGAAAGGCTGAGAGAGCTACTAACAAACCACCCCTCCTTATCCCTTGATTCAGTTGAGGGACAGCTCATCCTAAAGGACAAGTTTATCACACAGGCTGCTCCTGATATTAGAAGGAAACTGTGAAAGGAGGCTATAGGAGGATACACCACCTTGGAAAACCTCCTGAGGGTGGCCACTTCAGTCTTTTATAATAGATATCAGGAGGAGGCCCAGCAGCAGAAAGAGAGGAAGCACAAGAAAATGACAGAGGCTGTAGTATCTACCTGCTTTGCAGGCTTGCAAAATTCAGGATCCCCAAGGTACATCTGCTAGTGGCTATCAATGTGGCAAGTCAGGGCACTTTAAGAAGGAGTGCTCAGGCAGCAAGGAAATGCCACCTCAGTCTTATCCAGCTTGTGGCAAAGACCACTAGAGATCAGACTGCCCCCAGTGATGGAGGTCACTGTGTTCAGAACCAGTCTCACAGATGGTCCAACAGGACTGATGGGTTCTGGGGCTCAAACCCGTGGCTCCAGTGGCTCAAACTGCCATTACAGCACAGAAACCCCAGGTGATTCTGGAAATTGAAGAAAGGAAGGAAGACCTCCTCCTGGACACTGGAGCCAGCCTCTCTCTCTCTCTCTCTCTCTCTCTCTCTCTCTAATCCAGGCCTTCCCACTTCTTGTAGCACCACCATAAGGGACATCTCAGGAAAAACTCTAATATTTTTCTCGACCCCTTAGTTGCAGCTAGAGGGACCTATTATTTACAAATACCTCCAAGCCATTGTCACAGTGACCCTACTGGTCCTAGATGCCACAAATTAACCTCGGAAATGACTTAAATGTTTACACCTCACATAATGTGGAAGGATTACTGTCCTCTAGGGGGAGCCTTTGGCTAATAGTCGGCTCCTTAAATATTAGGCTCTGCTCTTAGAGGGTTCCACAATCCAGTTAAAAACTTGTTCTCACCTAAACCTAGCCACTTTCCTCCCCAAGGAAAGTGGGGAAAATGAACATGACTGTGAACAAGTTATAATACAGACCTATGCAGCCAGGGAAGATCTCAGGGAAAATCCCCTAGAAAATCCAGACTGGATCCTCTTCAAAGATGGGAGCTCCTTTGTAGAGAAAGTAATCAGTACGGCAGGATTATGCAGTAGTCACTCTAAATGGCATCATTGAAAATGTGTCTCTCTCTCCAGGCACAAGTGCTCAATTAGCTGCACTGACAGATCTTAAAAGACCACTTGAATTAAGCAATTGAAAGATAGGTAACATTTACACTAATTTGAAGTATGCTTTCTTAGTTCTCCATGCTCATGCTGTCATTTGTAAGGAAAGACACTGTCTTACAGATAATTTATGGCCTATAAAATACCACCCCAAAATTAACTGGTTATTATCCTCAGTTTTCCTTCCATGAGAAATAGCAGTAATGCATTATAAAGGGACATCAAAAGAGAGCAGATGAAGTAGATGAAGAAAATAGGTTTACTGATCAGGTAGCTAAGTCAGTGGCAAGGAAGCCTTAGCACATCAATATACTTCAAGCCCCTCTAATCTGGAAAGGCTCCATAAGAAAAATTAAACCTCAGTACTCCCCTGCAGAAATAGAATGCATCACTTCTCAAAGGTATACTTTCCAGCCTTCAGGGCGGCTACACTCAGAGGATGGCAAACTCAACCTGCCAGCCTCCAGCCAATGGAAAGTCCTTAAATCCACCAAGCATTTCACTTAGGAAAGGATAAAATTTATCAGTGTGTCCAGAAATTATTTTCAAGAGAGAATTTATTAAGAACAGTGAAACTGGTTGTTAACACTTGTGAAGGTGGGTTTTTTCTTCTCAAACCCAAAGGATGGGAAGCTTTCCAGGGGAGGACTGGCAGACTTCACCCACATGCCAGAGATGAAGTGTAGTCAATACCTCCTGGCATGTGTAGAAACTTTCACTAACTGCATAGAAATCTTTCCATGCCATACAGAAAAGGCCTCTGAGGCAATAAAATTGTTAACGAAATAAGTCCTCACTTTGGTCTACTTAAGTACCTCCAAAGAGGCAATGGCCCCCCATTTAAGGCAGGTGTCATGGGCGGGGATGTGGGGTGGATCTCAAACACACTAGGCATACAGTGTCATCTCTGTTGTGCTTGGAGACCCCAGTCCTAAGGAAAGGTAGAGAAGACAAATGATACTATCAAAAGACACCTCAGAAAACTGTCCCAAGAAACTCATTTTCCTTGCACTACTCTTCTTCCCATGGTCTTACTGTGGGCAAGAAATACCCCTTCAAAGTTAGGTCTGAGCCCTTTTAAGATGCTGTATGGATGCCCTTTTCTTACCAATTATTTTCTGTTAGATCAGGAAATATCTGAGTTAGTTAAGCATGTAACCTCTATGGCTCACTTTCAACAGGAATTAACACAGTTAGCCAAAGCCCAACCCCAAGAAATAGGACCACCTTTATTTAACCCTGGAGATTTGGTATTGGTGAAGGCTCTCCCTTCTCTTTCTTTCTCCCTGAGCCCAAGCTGGGAAGGGCTCTACACTGTTCTTCTTTCAACCCCCTCAGCGGTAAAAGTTACAGGTATCAACTCCTGGATACATCACACTGGAGTCGAAGCCTGGAAAGCTGTGGGAGCAACCCCTGACAGCCCTGAGGAACATCCTGAATATCAATGTGAATAAATAGGAGATCTGAAGCTACAAACCATAAAAGGTAAGTGAGGGCTACCCATCTTACTCAGTCCCACCTTTATCTCATGAAATACTTTCAGTCATTTCTACTTTTCTGTTTAGATTTGCCACCAGATATTAGAACTTCTTTTTAATGCATATTTGCAGAAAGATTTTAATTATCCTTGGGATTACATGTACAACTTCATAGACCCCCAGACAGAAATTCTATGTCTTGGCAAGTAAAAATTTTCAATGGAAATTATCTACTACACCACCTTTGCAGGACTGTATACTCACTCTATTTGCAGTAGGACTATATACTGTAGAATGCCCAGAGTGGAATGCTGGATAAAGAGTCTCAACTACTGTAATATTTTGCTGAATTATTATCCTTATAGCAGGCATAATAGTTACCTGACAGGAAGTAAACATAAAAGTTTTACTATCACTAAGTCTGCTAGGATGTTTTATTGGGTTTGTCAATATGTCACACTCTAGTTATTCAAAGAAGGTTATAAAGAAAGGTGATTTTATATAAGAAAGGATCTTCTATGGTAAATTATTGTCCTAAAAGGAAATAACTGGTAGTTCAAAGAGGGATGTTTAGCACAAATCAGAAAGTTTAAGCATGTCATAGGTAGTCTGTGGAGGTTGTGAAAGTATTAATAGTTGCTGGAAAATTTAGCCAAAGTTAACACTAAAGTTACTCTAGCCACCCAAATCCAATGCCACTTATCCTAAAAAGAATGTTCCTTTTTTTTTTTTTTTTTTTTTTTGAGACAGAGTTTTGCTCTGTTGCCCAGCCTGGAGTTCAATGGCATGATCTTGGCTCACTGCAACCTCCACCTCCCAGGTTCAAGAGATTCTCCTGCCTCAGCCTCCCAATTAGCTGGGATTACAGGCACCTGCCATCATGCCCAGCTAATTTTTGTATTATTGTAGAGACAGGGTTTCACCATGTTGGCCAGGCTGATCTTGAACTTCTAACCTCAGGTGATTGGCCTGCCTAAGCCTCCCAAAGTGCTGAGATTGCAGGTGTGAGCCACTGCACCTGGCCAAAGAATGTTACTTTTATATTAACGTTTCTGCTAAGGTACAGCCACATTTGGTGGAGGCAAACTAGTATTACAATCCATTAGAATAGCTAACAGATATCAAACTCTACTGCCATGCTTATCACCTATAGTACCTCCACTAATAATGGTAATCTCAATACTTATATTCAAACCCTATATTCTAAATCTTCTTGTAAAATTTATCTCTTTTCATCTAGAAGTAATCAAACTCCAAATGGTGCTGCAGACAGAACCATCCATGGACACGCCTTTCTTCTGAGGACCCTTAGATTGACCCCAGGAGGAGCCCTAACTGCTGTTCCCTACACAACACTCCTTTTCAGCAGTAAGTACCAGAAAGACTCATCATCCAACACCCCCTAACAGCAGTTAGGGATACCACTCCTGAGGGGGAAATGATACAGCAGCTAAACATAAATTATTTAGGCAGATTGTGAGGACAAAAGAGTCCTCAGTAAGGTTTCCTTTTAACAAATAGCAGCCCCAAAATTATTTCTAACAAAAAGCAGCCTGAAAAATCAAGCTGCAAGCATACATAAGCAAGCTGGAAGCTTGCGCTGGCAGCTCTGCCAATAGAAAAGGGATAGCTGGAAGCCGGCTATAGTCAGCATGGAGGTTCCTTTTCCCCTTTTTCACCACATGTGCAGTAAAAAGCAGACAACATGGTACCAGTCCAGTAGAGACCCCATTTGCATAATAAAAGATTACAGTGGGGTGGCCAGTCTCTTTATCTGCTATGTAAATAGCACACTTGATCCAATGAATCCTCTGTGCCCTACATAAATCAGACAACACTTCCTCAAGCTCATATATAAAACCAACCCAGAAACCTGTTTGGGACCCCCTTCTCTGAATGAAGAAGCTCTCTTCTTTCTTTCAACTATTGAACTTCTGCTCTTTAACCCACTCCTTGCATGTCTGCATCCTTGATTTTCTTGGCATGAGGCAACGAACCTCAGTTATTACCCTAAACAATGCTGTGTCAACTCCTCTCGTAATGCTAGTTTGCACAGCTCATGGCTCCAAAAGAGACCCCTTCCTTTTGAGGAAAGGAAGAGAGAAGAGCACGGAGAAGTTTGTCTTACATCTTGGATATCAGCTTAGCCACAGCAGGACAGGAACTGGTCAGTCATAAGACCCCAATTCCAGGCCCTAGCTTCCAGATGACATTTCTAGACACACCCTGAGCCAGAAGGTAACCCAATGCCTTGAAAGAAAGAATCAAGTTTTGGCAGCATTCATCACCTGGTAACTGAGGAGCTCTTGGGCCATGAATAATCAGCAGTAATACCCAGGTACTCTGTTGAGGACATTTGGTGATTCTCTGAGACTTACTGGCTTCAGGTGAGATCCAGCACATTGCCAACTGTGTTGACTACGAGGCAAAACTCCTGCTTGAGAAAAGCAGTAGAAAAAATAAAAGAGATTTTGGCTCGCACCTTAGGTACTAGCATGGCCACAGGGTTGTAGAGCACCAAGAAGGCTCATGGGGACCCTATTCCATGACTTCACTTTTGAATTACATTTCTGGATCTGCCCTGGGCCAGAGGGGAGCCCACTGTCCTGAAGGGTGAGTCCCAGACCAGGCAACATTTACCACAAGCTGACTGAAGAGCCCATGGGCCTTGAGGGAACACTGGTGGTAGTCTGTCAGTACTCCGCGTGGCCTGGTGTGGTGGTGGCAATGAGGTGAAACTTTTCTTCCTTTGGAAAGGGGAAGGGAGAGTGAGAAGAACTGCATCTTGTGCTTTGAGTGCCACCTCAGCTGCAGTATAATAGAACACCAGGCAGACCTCTAAGGTTTTTTACTTTAGTCTCTGACACCCACATGGCAACTCTGGACCCACATGGGGCCTGGGGGAGCTGGCTGTCCTGAAGGGAAGAACACTGGCCTGGCTGGCTTGCCATAAGCTGATTATAGAGCCCTAGGGCCTTGAGTGAGCATAAGTAGTAGCCAGAAAGTGGTCACAGCAGACCTTAGGTGAGACCCAGTGCTCTGTGGGCTTCAGTTCTGACCCAGGACAGTCACACTAACAGCAGGGAGAGTCATAGTGTTGGTGGCCATAGGGGTGCTTGTGTCACTCCACCTTCAGCATTAGGTGGCTCAGAACAGAGAGAGATTGTTTGATTAGCAGAAAGTAAGAAAAGCTAACAAAAGCCTCTGCCTGGTAATCTAAAGAATTCCCACAGATTTTGTTTAAGACCATCAAGGTGGTACCTCTCTGAGTCTACAAGAACCATAGTGTTACTGTGCTTGGGGTGTCCCCTAAAGCAGATACAGCTTAGATCACAACACCCAAGTTCTTTCTAATATCTGGAAGGCCTTCCAAAGTAAAATGGCTACAAATAAGCCCAGACAGTGAAGACTACAATAGATACCTAACTCTTCAATGCCCAGACACAAACTAATATCTACTTGCATCAGTATCATTTAGGAAAACATTACCTCATCAAACGAACTAAATAGGGCACCAGGGACCAATTTGCCTTAGTATCTGTTTTCTTTTGGTTACTCTTTAGTGCCTTCAGGAAGGTTTATTTTGGTTGGTTTGTCCAGAGTTTATAGTTGTTACCTGTGTGTATGTGTTGAGAACAGGGGACAGAGAGGTCAGTCACTTTTAGAAGTGGAACCTTAAAGAGCTTTTTTTGTGTCATATCATGTGCAAACCTGTTAGAATTCATGTTAAAATTAGACATGAATGATACCAAAAACATTTCAGCACTATGGTATAAAACCATACCTTACTGTTGACCTTTCTTTTGCCTATTTTGTTCATACTTACTATTTATTTACTTAAATCCCTCCTCAGTTTTAATTCTTGTTTTCTAATGAGTTACTGAGTACTTACCAGATGGAAAGCACTATGATAGATTCTCCATCTGTTGAAATATTGCTCATTCAAAATCCAAATCAAATGCAAACACCCTCCAAGGATCACTCCCTTGCCTCCTCCTAAGCAGACGTGATTTACTTTTATCTGAATGCCTTTGGTACTTTGTTTTTACCTTATGACATTAGATTTATTAATACACTTGCTTTCTCCCCACCACAATCAGTTCTTTGTCCCTATTAGATCATACACTTCATCAGTAAGGGCAAGTCTCACTCATATTTCCATCCATCCATGCTGCCTTAAACATGCTTTCTAAAGTCAGGAACTAAAAAATAAAAAGAAAGAATATCTTTGCAGCTGCTCAGAAAGAAAAGAAAATAGGACATTAGTTTCCTGTCTGTGTTCTCAATAGTAGGATCGGACATCAGTTAACAATGCATTCTTTATTTTTAGCGAACATCTAGACAGAGAAAACTGTCTTTTCCCTTCTCCTCGTTATTTTTCCTCTTTCTTCTTCCTCCTCTTCCTTCTTCCTTTTTCTTCCTCCTTTTTTCATCTTGTCCTCTTCCTCCTACTTACCCTTCCCCCTTTATCTTCCTTTGTCCCTCCTCTCTTCTCACTTTCTTTTTCTCACTAATTATAGTCTCATTTAAACTTTTTTTGTATGCTTAGTCTCATCTTTAAAATGGGGAAACATATATGTGTCATTATGAAATGTTTTTTGCTTTAAATTGTTAAAGATCAGTAAGGGAGTCTTTTTTCTTCACCTTTGAAATTGTAGTGCCAAAACTCAGACAAACCAGTGATGTTCCAAAAGTTGATGGGAGAAGAACCCAAACATTTGATTCTTCCTTCATTGATTTTTCTTTCATTGGTAAGATATTTTAGTGAAATATTATATGTTGAATTGTCAATAACAAAAGCCATCTACAAGCATTCTTTTTCCTCTTTTAGCCATAGCAACAAACATGCCATAAAATGGAAGTTATAGAAATAAGGTTAAGTGAATTAAACTAGGTTTTGTAATAAGCTCACTTCTTCCTTAGACTCAGGTCAGAAGACATTTAAAAGAAGAGGATCTATCATAAACTGGGGCTGTTGCTGGGGTTCTAGCACTTGCCTGGACAATGTGTCTGCACCATCAACATCACCTATGCCTGGACAGCTCTTTGGAGTTTCTCTGCCAAATATGTGTGAGAATGACAATCTGCTCAAACCTGTCCTGGTAAGGCTCACTTGACCTGTTAGCTAATGGGAAAGGGGGTTTGGGAAAGGAGAGCTCTGAGAGGTAAATATGTCACCAAATGGAAAAATTATAGACGCCACTGTCTTTGGCTAAAAATCTGATTTAACTACTGTAGAATCATAAGGAAGACATATAGGGAGAGATCATATAGTTTCCTGATTTCAGGAAAGACCCACATAAACCTACTCAGATAAATTAGAATTTTCTCTTTAGACAGAGAATTCACATTCTCTCACACAAATCCTTTCTTCAACTCCACATTGTTATGAAAGTCCTCTTTTATCAGTGTAGCAGCAGAGACTACTCAATGTTATGCTTAAGTTTTAAAAACTTTTATTATTTATATGTCAAGTACTTAAGCATAAAGGTACGTTCCCTGGCATTCATTTATCTTTTGTCTGTAGAATGGGTCAGATGAAAACCACTGAGTTATTTCCAGTTGACATATTAAAGAATCACTACTAAGCAGCATTTATTGAGTATTCATTATCCTTCAGGTGTTATACTAGATGTGTGGCATTTAATGCTATATTGTTCATCTATAAGTGCCAGACACTCATCTAGCCACCTTATTATTTATCCTTCACAGCAAACGTAGGAGGTGGTTCTTACTATGTCACCATCTCTACTTCATGGTCTGTGTTTTCAAAAGCCTCAGTACTTTACTCAAGGATACATAGTAGCTAAGTGGCCTAACTAGGTTTTAAATCCTACAGATTGCTTGTCTCCAAAACCCATTCTCTTCCTGCACTGTAAGCAGAGGACATACTGATACAAAGAAAGCAAAATTAGAGAACACTTAAAATCCACTCTCTTAGCCATTTTTAGAAATGCAGTACCTTGTTATTGAGTATAGTAATCATGTTATTTAATAGAGCACCTGACCTTACTTCTGCTATCTAACTGAACTTTTGTATCCTTTGACCAATATCTCCCCAACCTCACCACCACCCCAGCCCCTGGTAACCACCATTGCGCTCCCCAAAAAAATTGACTTGAATCTTTCTAGCTGTTCTTTTAGTCCCAATCTTTTAGTACTTTTACCCTAGCACAACCCCATAGCCTCTGGTAGCCAAAGGGGGTAAGTATGTGCCAAAAAGGATAAGTATTCCCTTGTCTGTATGTGTGAAATGCCATTTTGCTTATTTCCTTTGTTTCCCTATTGGATGTACTTTTCTTTCTTAATCAAAAAGGACCCCTCACCAAAGGTGTCTTCAGGAAAGCAGCCAGTTTAAAATCCTGCAGAAAATGAGAAATTAAATTCTGGAGGTGAAGTAAACCTAGATTGTGAATCTATTTTTGAGATAGCCTCTGTATTGAAGGTAAGAAAAATTTTCTTTTAATCTACCTGATGGTATAGCTCTGGAGCAAGAAAAAGGTGTTTTTATTTTTTTTATGAACATTATTTATATTTGCAAAGACCCATAATCAATTTATAACTTTAACACTAAAAGAGTGTTACAAACACTTTTATAAAGTCAACATTGGACTTTAAAAACTACCACCAGTGATATGACATATCAAATATGTTTAAAAATTTTTTTTCCCACACTAACCTCATCTTTACTTCTGCAACCCCATGTAAAAAATAAAACTTTGTTAAAATAATAAAAAGACACACACATTTACCAAAACAAACATCATGCCTATTAGTATTTTCTGTCTTGGCCAGGCATGGTGGCTCACACCTGTAATCCCAGCGCTTTAGGGGGCTGAGGAGGGGCAGATCAGTTGAGGTCAGGAGTTTGAGAACAGCCTGGCCAATAATGGTGAAACCCCATCTCTGCTAAATATACAAAAATTTGCATGGTATGGTGGCTCACGCCAGTAATCCCAGCTACTTGGGAGTCTGAGGCCTGGGAATCGCTTGATTCTTGGAGAGGAAGGTAACAATGAGCCGAGGTCACACCACTGTACTCCAGCCTGGGTGACAGAGCAAGACTCTGTCTCAAAAAAAAAAAAAAAAAAAAAAAATTCTGTCTCACTACCTTCATAATAAAGGCAGTTTTCAAAACTAAACTTTTGTTGCATGTTTGAAAATAGTTACAGAGGTTTGCCATAATAAACATTTGCCTCACAACTGAAACAAAAAAAATTGCTGAGATCACTGAAATTTTTGTTTACATAACCATTACGCCCAAAAATACTCTTTTCCTTGTTCCCTAATGCCTTTTACTCTAAAAGTGGAGTGGGAACAATCTCAGCATCTGAGTTCCTTTTACCTTTACCACATTTGATATTCTTTGTGGTTCTTACCCTTTAGCCATGGCTACAAAAGTCACATATATAGTTACAGAGATAGAGTTCTAATTTTTTTTCTGCCCCACATTCTTGCAAATGCCCTACCTTTTTGGAAAACCTCAAGTCAAAACTAGCTTAAAGCAGAGATTTTGACCCTACAGTATCTTCTGCAGACCTGCCTCAGGCTCCCACCTTCCAAAGGGCTGAAATGCACCAGAGCCCGGAGTAGAGACAAGGCCCCAGCCCATATCTCAGGGCCTGCAGCATAAAAACAAAATTAAGGAAAATATGGTGAAGAAGACTCTTGCATACCCCTACTTCAGCGGAGTGGCTAGATGCCGATAAAATCTTATGTCATGACTTCATGTACAATCAGACATTTTTTGATAAACGAGCCATGTCTTTTCTTAAACCCAGCCGTAGACTTTTGCAATTAAATATTAGGCCAGAGAACTGAAGGGCTTGAGCTAAGGTCATTTAACCTGTTTGCAGAGGGTTTGTGATTACTCTTCAATCCTGCAAAACAATAAAGACCTTTTTTTTTTTTTTTTTTTGAGACGGAGTCTGTCTCTGTCGCCCAGGCTGGAGTGCCTTGGCGCGATCTCTGCTCACTGCAAGCTCCGCCTCCCGCGTTCACGCCATTCTCCTGCCTCAGCCTCCGCAGCATCTGGGACTACAGGCTCCCGCCACCACGCCCGGCTATTTTTTTTTTTTTTTTGTATTTTTAGTAGAGACCGGGTTTCACCGTGTTAGCCAGGGTGGTCTCGATCTCCTGACCTCGTGATCCACCCACCTCGGCCTCCCAAAGTGCTGGGATTACAGGCGTGAGCCACCACGCCCGGCCAATAAAGACATGTTTGATTTATTTAGCCCCAGATATATATGCCAAGGATTTTTATGCATAATGAATTTTTCTTTTTTCTTTCCATATAATTAGGTTTTCTTCTACTTCTTAGTTTACAAAGGTAAAGCCTGTGTTTCATGGAATAATTTTTTGAAAACCAAAAATGTCTGCAAAAATTTATCTTACTATGCTATTTTTCATAGCACCATACTTCTTAAAATTTTGTGCTATTGATGCTGTTGTAAAGAAGCATGATTCTTGAAGGTTAAATGTGTTACAAATTGGAGAAATATTTGTCCAAAAATAATGAAAAGACAAAAAATGATCCACATGATTGAAGAGTCTGTTTAAATGGGTTCCAAGTAAATGACATTTTATCATATAAGTAGGTTTTACTCACTTTTCTTCCAAGTGGTTGCAGGAAGGGACATAATTTTTGCCAAAGTTTTTGAGTTTTTGTTTTGTTTCTTGTTTTAAAGTCTATTTTGAAGTGGCACTTAAGTTTTCTTGTAATTTTTCACTTATGCACTGGTTATGCTTAGATATAAGTTTAGTTTAAGCCTCACCTTGACTTTTCAAACTATAATTGGACAAAAATGCTTGAGATACTATAGCTTGGATCCATCAGATTTTGAGAAAAAGTTCATATTTACTCCTGCACTATCTCAACTCATGAGTTTGGGAATTCTGCCGATGATCTGGGCTCTGGTTTTGGAGGAGAGGAGACTTTTAGTTACATGCTGTGAGTTGGTGATTGCAATTCAGAACCAGCTTTCACATCCTTCTCAGCTGTGATGGTGGCTGAATTTCAAAACTTGTTATTTCACCTGTGGGAGAGTTCATTGAGATGTTATGAGTTATTTTCTTTCAAGTGTAGGTTTAAGATTTAGTGGTGTTTTTCTTTAAGACAGATCATAAGTATATTTTTCACTGAGATTTAAAAGGAAAGCTATTGTCACTATCCCGTTTTGAAATAACAGATTTTGCTGCTTCTAAACTGGACTTCTAATGTGCATACAGCAGCTAAAATTAGTTTGGAATTATGAAAATTTAATAGCTGTATCCCCAAAGAGGTAACTTTTGTAATTATATCCCTGAATCACAAATATTCAGGTACATTTCTACTACTGGAAGATATAATAGAACAAAGGAAGAGTTTGAATCAATCAGTCTTCTTTCTTTCTAAAAAAGGTATAGCAATAAATTGATACCACTACAAAGAGGTTCTTCAAATTGTTTTAGAATCTCAGTTCCAGTTGATTGGTTTTTTCTCGGCTCTCATTAATATTTGGCCATATGACATATGACAGCACTTCACTAATGACCTCCACTGTGGCTGGGACTGTGCTTGACATTGACATGTAAAAAGAAGGTTAAGAGTCTGCTCCTACCCTGGAGGAGCTCATAAGCAAGTGGGAAAGATGCCTACACAATCAGCCAACTGTAACAATAAGTTATCACAGCTTCCATATTAGTGTTAGAAACATGATATCTAAGTAAAACATGGTGTGTTGCCTTTCATAAGACATATAGAGAAAGTTATTGATTTGGTTTTCCAGCAAGAGTTAAAATTGCCCAATTGAAGACTTTTACCTGTCCCCATGTTGTAATCAGGAAATTGCAAGAAGGTAAACAACCATGGGTACAGTGCTTAAATATGATATTGAGTTCACTCTGCCTAAAGTTTACTGAGGTGGAGAACAGACTGCAAGCTTGATCTTGGTAATGTCATGCCAACAGCAACAGAGAGAGTTGGCCTAAAATCAACTCTCTAGGATCAGGACAAGAATTGAATTTAGTTATTTTTAAGCTTTTTGTAAACAAAAGCCAAACAACAAATGCCATTGGTCATATCCTTTTGTGTCATAGTGTGGTTTCATCACACTCAGCCCTGCCAGTGGTCTCAGCATAATAGAATCTCTAAGAAAAGAATATACTGTGGACATGTTATTTAGTGTACATCAAGTGTGAGAATGCTGCCCCCATGCTTCCAAATACAGCCATCACGTGGAATGCTTTCTCTCTCCAAATGTAAGAGAACTTTTCTATGGGGAATATAGGGAAAAAGCTTACATACCTCATGATGCAATCATGGAATACTGCTGGATATAAAGTTCTAAGATAATAGGGACTGTGTTTTATCTACTACTCTATCCCTAGTGACTCAAATAGTGGTTGGCACACAAGAATAAATGCACATAGAATGATTGACTGAATGACCACCAAATTATTAACCTCATAGATACCTTAGTGCATTTCCATGAACTAGCCATCTAAGGAAAGAGAAAAAAAATGATTTAGTATAGTTTACTGCCAGACCCTGTCAGATTTGACTAGTTTGCTAAAATGTATGCAAACAGGAGGTTTCAGCCAAATTGGTTGTTCTTTGCCTTTCCCATCATAATGCAGACTTCAATTATTTCTATAATTTTTTTTAGAAAAAAACAAAAAATACTTCTGTTTCCACAAGTCAGTGGAGAGTTGGCACAGAGGTCTGTGTAGTTCCCTGAAGAGAGTACTTAAGTGAACTTTTCAAGAAAATACTTTCTGATTTATCTAACACATACTTGGCATGAGAATAATAATTTAAAATACCTGTTTTTCCATCAATGTAAAGATTTTCTGCAAAGTATTCCAGGAAGTGTTTTTTGTCAGATCTCTGTGATCACTGGGTCTGGGTAATGGATGAGGGAAATGATGAAAAGAAAATAAATTCTGTTCAAATGTAATTAGTCTAATTTGGTCGTGTCTCAAAAATACTATTAAAAAGATTTTATAAGCTTGTTTATTAAAATAATGACAAATATCAAAGTCATATCCATGGGGACCAGATTACAATATATTTATGCTGGCTTATCATTGTTATTGTTTTTCTCCTTTAGCTTATTAACATGAAATATTTAAGCATTGTATACCTTCTGTATATCCGAATCTGATAGGAGTTGATATTCATTAGTCTGCTAGCTAATACTGTAGGCCCAATCTACAGTTTATGATTGTAATTTTGGTAAATATTTAACCAGACAACTCATCATATATTTCATTCACCAGGTGAAGTCATAGAGATTATGACTTATTCTCTCTTCTCAGGGAACTCACACTCTGGTAAAGTAGATAGATGACCAAGAATTACAATTACGATGCAGTATAATCAGTGCTGTAAGAGATATTTGGAGAGTGCTGTGGAAGCATGGTAGAGAGGCAGTTAGCTACTTAAAAAGTGTCAAGGAAAAGGGGGATTGCTACTCTCTCTACTCATGCAAAAAAACAAAAATGCTGGTAGAACTCAGGACCCCATGCCTAAATATTTCCTGCATTATAAAAGAATAGGAAAGAAATATCCATTAACAAAAAGCAATACTTCTAGTTCTATGAAAACTCAATATTTTTCACTTGCATGTTCTTATTTAGTACTGTGTGTTTTTTTTCTTGAGCAATTTTCAAATATGAATTATCTACATCTTTCACCAATAGGAGAACATAGTACAGCTGCTGAGGACACCAGAAACCAAGGGCATTTATCAAAACACTATCTTCACTTACATTATAGTTTGGCGTAAGTCATTCAGATAGTGAGCATCAAATTCTATACTTTATTTCTAATTGTCTAAAACCTTATATATCCTATAAGCTGTTAAAGGATTTTTTAAAGTAAAATTATGACTCTCATACAAATGTAAAATAAACACATGAAAGATTTTATTTAAGTCATTTATGAGGGAACCAGTAAGATGTTACAACCAGTTCAAAGGAGACTTCAAAGTTGAAATATTATATATATAGTTGAATCAGAAGTGCTAAAATGTGGGGCCAGGCACGGTGGCTCACGCCTGTAATCCCAGCACTTTGGGAGGCTGAGGTGGGCGGATCACCTGAGGTCAGGAGTTCAAGACTAGCCTGGCCTACATGGTGAAACCCTATCTCTACAAAAAATACAAAAATTAGCTGGGCATGGCGGTGCCTGCCTGTAATCTCAGCTACTTGGGAAGCTGAGGTTAGAGAATTGCTTGGACCCGGGAGGCTGCAGTGAGTCAACATCATGCCACTGCACTCCAGCCTGGGTGATAGAGTGAAATTCCATCTCAAAAAAAAAAAAAACAAAAAAAAACAAACTCCCCAAACAAACAAACAAACAAACAAAAAATGCTAAAGTAAATTTACAAATTGATACAAACAAAACTGGCCTTTTCTACCAGGGCAGGGGTACATGCGGCTAAATCACTTGTCTCTCCACCAGACATACTTTTCACATCATTAGACCAGTGTTAGATGGGCTGCTGTCAGTTATTTATAACTTGTAAAGTTACAAAATAACTCTTCTTGTGAAGAAGCTTGGGGCCCCGTAGAAGCAGATAACCCAGACGCTTATGCTAGATGTCTTATTTTCCATTGAATACACCCAGTAATTTTTTTGTTCTATTTAAAAGTCTTTCATAATTTATCCTTACAAAAACTATATTCATTGTTAGTCCATTGTATTGCAAAAGACCTGCCTGCTATTTGTGGAGCATTATTCAGACTACCTTGTTTGCCCTAGCTTGC
Source organism: Homo sapiens (assembly GCF_000001405.40). Lineage (NCBI taxonomy): Eukaryota > Metazoa > Chordata > Mammalia > Primates > Hominidae > Homo > Homo sapiens. Next base: position 43,450,730 of record NC_000008.11, read on the forward strand.
AGGTTTTTATTGAAAAAAAGAACAGTCATCAATATCAGCATGCACACACACACACATACACACACAAGCATATATATATATATATATACACACACACACAAGCACATATACATATATATGTTTAAATAGTAGTAATCATTTTTGGTGAGTGACCATTTCAAAATCTCTTATCAACTACAAAATGAGAACTGTAGAAAATATAATACTATAAGCAACTCATATGTGAAAATGGTACAATGAGACAGATTTAGGACAAAATTGACCTTAAGGTTTTGATTCTTTCCAAGACAGCATTTCTGGGTTACTGCTTGGAAATAAAGGTATACTTTAAATTTCATTGCTGTCTAATTTGATCAGAAAGCTTTTTGTGGGTTTTAGTTGTTAATATTCTGAAATGTTAAAGGGTTGACCTAAGTTTAAATGCATTGTACTAGTTTCAGGGAAATATTTCAGGCATCATTTTTATGAGGCATTTTCTGCATTATTTTACATTTTTGAGTTGTGAAGACAGTGTACAAAAACAAAAAAATTCCCAGTGCTTATTTTTTCTTTCTGTCCAGACAGTCCTCACTTGTGTGGTATCATGTTAACTGAAACTTCTGCATATATGAACCATGTTGTTGATTTGCACTCTTCCCCATGCAAAGTGAAAATTGCATGCCTTTGCAAGTTTTTAAATACAATGTCTTGCTTAAAGAGTGCATTTTTCTTTCTTTACGCTATGAGACCAGCTTCTGAGTGCCAATGTTGTTAGCCTAAGGTATCTCTTTGGTATATTACACAATATTGAGCAACAATCCTCAATCAATCACATGAATGCATATAATTTAGTGGTATGTGTCACTTCAAGCATTATTTGGTCTCCTACCTCCTCCATCCAAGAACTAAAAGATGAATTTAAAAGAAAGGTAATAAAGTTTTTCACTTTTATGCCTTGGGGGACTGAGCCCCCATTTTGAAACTGAAATCCAGAGTATCAATTCTGAAAGATGATTTCTTACATAACTTAAGTACACATACTTCTTATAAATTTGATTTTACTGATAAACTATAGGAAAGTGATTTGTTAAGTAGAAAAGTGATCACAATCAGGTTGCTTCTTTCTTCCCTTTAAGGAGTCTAAACACTAAGAGTAAATTAATCATAAAGTGATAAAACAGTTGATATGAGTTTTCAGATTCAAAAAACAAGAGAACTTTGGAGTTAGGCCAGCCCAGATTCAATTCTCAGTCCCACTTCTTGCCAGGCGTACAATCTTGGGCATCATTCGTTACATTGACCTAAAGTGTTATCTGAAAAAAAAATGGGGTTGGTGATAATAGAGTAGTTACTTGAAATCACAGTTTTGCAGTGCCTGACAGTTAATAAGGGGCTTGGAGATATCAGTTGCCTTTGCTCTCAACGTTTCTCCTGCCCCTTGGCCCCAGTCCTGGAGCACAGAAACTACAGAAAGGTTCCAGTGCATCTCAGTGGAGGCACACAATGTCCCTAGTAATCTCTGACCTCTCCCCCAGGTGCCACTAGTTAGGGAGTCTAGTGAAATGCTACACAGGGGTAGACCAGTCAGTCCAATGCATGCATGGGTAGAGACTAGACAGGGAAAATACAAGTTTTTTTCCTAGCTGTCTTTCTTTTTCACGATGCACCCACAGATGAGCCCTCCTCCCAAGTTTATGACAACCTGCCCTTTATATAAGGAATACTTTTCATAAGCCTTTGTCTAATGATGCTTTATAAACATTAATAACACAGTGTATTTGTTTACCCCAAACATCCTATGGAGAACACTTATATCCAAATTTTAAAGACAGAGTCACTGGTATAAAATTGTAGCATTAAGCCAAGGCCAGAAGTAAAAACTTTAGTCCACTAATTAAATTTGTATGCGCAAACTACCTTTGAGAGTATCATAGATTTTTTTGGGGAAAGTGTTTCATGTACTTTTAAACAGATATAATTTCTTTTGAGTACATTTGCTTTTTTTGCTGTTAAAATTAGGATTCATAAATGAAAAGGGATTTATAAACCTAATGTGAAAAGTAATACTTCATTTGTTCTTTTTTTGTACAGTATTGCTGATTATACAATTTCCGATTGAAAATTGTTGTATAATATTTGGAGAAAAAATCACTTTTCTCTTGGGAGAGGTTTCAGTGAGATGTGACACTGGGGAGAATGCCTCAGGTATTGTGAATAATTGGATTGGTTTTTGTGAATAATTAGGTTGGTTTTCAAGAGAAACAGACACATGTCTGTGAAGATGCTGGGGCAAGAGTGTTCCTGAAGCCCAGAGCAGCTAAAGTAAAAGTAGCCTCTGACCTGGGTCACTGGGGCCCAGGGCTTCTGATCCTTTCTTAGAAAATCTGCTAATAGGTCAATGTATATGAACAATATAGTGGCAATAAGAAATGTATAAGACTGGGTTCCAGCTTTAAAGTTGTTAGTGGCAGCATGCTATAGTACTAAGGTTTGATGCTTTTTTTGAACAAAACAAACATTACGAGTAACCCTAATACATATAATAATAGAAATGCTGTGGTTGAAACTCAAGTAGAAAACCCAGAGCTAGAGGGGCAGGTATGTTTTTTTCTTTCTCTACTTCCTTGTACTGGTCCCTGAGACACATCAGAATTCTAGTGTGTATGAAACAGTTTGACAACTACTGGCATCATTTGGTTGGTGGGGGTAGACAGAAATTTCAGATATACAACCTTCCAGAAAATGACTTCTTGTATCAGCCATTCCTAAATGTGTTATCTTTGGCCAGGAACATCACTGTTTTCAACCCTAAAATATGAGTAAAAATAATGTCGAATTTTTATGGTTGTTGTAAAGATTAAATTAATTAAATAAAAAATTATTAAAGAACTTTTTAGAAGAGATATTGATAGAGTAGTAAATAATTTTTTTTAACAACAGTTAATATTAGTGTGTAACCACAAGCAATTGATGTTGGAAGGCAGAGGCTTACTTAGAATCTGGGTATACTTGGCCTTAATTCTTTCATATTTTACACTATTTCTTGGTTATACAACATGTTCATTGCTTTAAGAAATTCTTACTTATGGAAAGCCCATTGATCAGAAACTGAGATAAATCTCTTGTATCCTAACAGTTTTATTTTTATTCTGCACTAACAATTGGGGAAATTATAAAATATTTTCTCTTTTTTTTTTTTTTACTATGCTTTAAGTTTTAGGGTACATGTGCACAATGTGCAGGTTAGTTACATATGTATACATGTGCCATGCTGGTGTGCTGCACCAATTAACTTGTTATTTAACATTAGGTATATTTCCTAATGCTATCACTCCCCCCTCCCCCCACCCCACAACATGCCCCAGTGTGTGATGTTCCTCTTCCTGTGTCCATGTGTTCTCATTGTTCAATTCCCACCTATGAGTGAGCACATGCGGTGCTTGGTTTTTTGTCCTTGCGATAGTTTGCTGAGAATGATGGTTTCCAGCTTCATCCATGTCCCTACAAAGGACATGTACTCATCCTTTTTTATGGCTGCATAGTATTCCTTGGTGCATATGTGCCACATTTTCTTAATCCAGTCTATCATTGTTGGACATTTGGGTTGGCTCCAAGTCTTTGCTATTGTGAATAGTGTTGCAATAAACATACGTGTGCATGTGTCTTTATAGCAGCATTTTTTATAATCCTTTGGGTATATACCCAGTAATGGGATGGCTGGGTCAAAGGGTATTTCTAGTTCTAGATCCTTGAGGAATCACCACACTGTCTCCCAAAATGGTTGAACTAGTTTACAGTACCACCAACAGTGTAAAAGTGTTCCTATTTCTCCACATCCTCTCCAGCACCTGTTGTTTCCGGACTTTTTGATGATCACCATTCTAACTGGTGTGAGATGGTATCTCATTGTGGTTTTGATTTGCATTTCTCTGATGGCCAGTGATGATGAGCATTTTTTCATGTGTCTTTTGGCTGCATAAATGTCTTCATTTGGAAGTGTCTGTTCATATCCTTCGCCCACTTTTTGATGGGGTTCTTTGTTTTTTTCTTATAAATTTGTTTGAGTTCATTGTAGATTCTGGATATTAGCCCTTTGTCAGATGAGTAGATTGCAAAACTTTTCTCCCATTTTGTAGGTTGCCTGTTCACTCTGATGGTAGTTTCTTTTGCTGTGCAGAAGCTCTTTAGTTTAATTAGATCCCATTTGTCAATTTTGGCTTTTGTTGCCATTGCTTTTGTTGTTTTAGTCATGAAGTCCTTGCCCATGCCTCTATCCTGAATGGTATTGCCTAGGTTTTCTTCTAGGATTTTTATGGTTTTAGGTCTAACATTTAAGTCTTCAATCCATCTTGAATTAATTTTCGTATAAGGTGTAAGGAAGGGATCCAGTTTCAGCCTTCTACATATGGCTATCCAGTTTTCCCAGCACCATTTATTAAATAGGGAATCCTTTCCCCATTTCTTGTTTTTGTCAGGTTTGTCAAATATCAGATGGTTGTAGATACGTGGTATTATTTCTGAGAGCTCTGTTCTGTTCCATTGGTCTATATCTCTGTTTTGGTACCAGTACCATGCTGTTTTGGTACCAGTACCATGCTGTTTTGGTTACTATAGCCTTGTAGTATAGTTTGAAGTCAGGAAGCATGATGCCTCCAGCTTTGTTCTTTTGGCTTAGGATTGTCTTGGCAATGCGGGCCCTTTTTTGTTTCCATATGAGCTTTAAAGTAGTTTTTTCCAATTCTGTGAAGAAAGTCATTGGTAGCTTGATGGGGGTGGCATTTAATCTATGAATTGCCTTGGGCAGTATGGCCATTTTCATGATATTGATTCTTCCTAACCATGAGCGAGGAATATTCTTCCATTTGTTTGTGTCCTCTTTTATTTTGTTGAGCAGTGGTTTGTAGTTCTTCTTGAAGAGGTCCTTCACATCCCTTGTAAGTTGTATTCCTAGGTATTTTATTCTCTTTGAAGCAATAGTGAATGGGAGTTCACTCATGATTTGGCTCTGTTTGTCTGTTATTGGTGTATAAGAATGCTTGTGATTTTTGCACATTGATTTTGTATCCTGAGCCTTTCCTGAAGTTGCTTATCAGCTTAAGGAGATTTTGGGTTGAGACGATGGGGTTTTCTAAATATGCAATCATGTCATCTGCAAATAGGGACAATTTGACTTCCTCTTTTCCTAATTGAATACCTTTTATTTCTTTCTCCTGCCTGATTTCCCTGGCCAGAACTTCCAACACTATGTTGAATAGGAGTGGTGAGAGAGGGCATCCCTGTCTTGTGCCAGTTTTCAAGGGAATGCTTCCAGTTTTTGCCCATTCAGTATGATATTGGCTGTGGGTTTGTCATAAATAGCTCTTAGTATTTTGAGACACGTCCCATGAATACCTAATTTATTGAGAGTTTTTAGTATGAATGGCTGTAGAATATTGTCAAAGGCCTTTTCTGCATCTATTGATATAATCATGTGATTTTTTTCTTTGTTTCTGTTTATATGCTGGATTACGTTTATTGATTTGCATATGTTGAACCAGCCTTGTATCCTAAGGATGAAGCCCACTTGATCATGGTGGATAAGCTTTTTAATGTGCTGCTGGATTCGGTTTGCCAGTATTGTATTGAGGATATTCTCATCAATGTTCATCAGGGATATTGGTCTAAAATTCTCTTTTTTTGTTGTGTCTCTGTCAGGCTTTGGTATCAGGATGATGCTGGCCTCATAAAATGAGTTAGGGAGGATTCCCTCTTTTTCTATTGATTGGAGTAGTTTCAGAAGGAATGGTACCAGCTCCTTCTTGTACCTCTGGTAGAATTTGGCTTTGAATCTGTCTGGTTCTGGACTTTTTTTGGTTGGTAAGCTATTAATTATAGCCTCACTTTCAGAGCCTGTTAGTGGTCTATTCAGGGATTCAACTTCTTCCTCGTTTAATCTTGGGAGGGTGTATGTGTCCAGGAATTTATCCTTTTCTTCTAGATTTTCTAGTTCATTTGTGTAGAGGTGTTTATAGTATTCTCTGATGGTAGTTTGTATTTCTGTGGGATTGGTGGTGATATCCTCTTTATCATTTTTTTATTACATCTATTTGATTCTTCTCTCTTTTCTTATTAGTCTTGCTAGTGGTTTATCAATTTTGTTGATCTTTTCAAAAAACCAGCTCCGGGATTCCCTGATTTTTTGAAGGGTTTTTTGTGTCTCTATCTCCTTCTTTTCTGCTGTGATCTAGTTATTTCTTGCCTTCTGCCAGCTTTTTCTCCTGTTTCTCCTGCTTCTCTAGTTCTCTATGTTTGCTCCTGCTTCTCTAGTTCTTTTAATGGTGATGTTAGGGTGTCAATTTTAGATCTTTCCTGCTTTCTCTTGTGGGCATGTAGTGCTATAAATTTCCCTCTATACACTGCTTTAAATGCATCCCAGAGATTCTGGTATGTTGTGTCTTTGTTCTCGTTGGTTTCAAAGAACATCTTTATTTCTGCCTTCATTTCGTTATGTACCCAGTAGTCATTCAGGAGCAGGTTGTTGAGTTTCCATGTAGTTGAGCGGTTTTGAGTGAGTTTCTTAATCCTGAGTTCTAGTTTGACTGCACTGTGGTCTGAGAGACAGTTTGTTTTAATTTCTGTTCTTTTACATTTGCTGAGGAGTGCTTTACTTCCAACTATGTGGTTAGTTTTGGAATAAGAGTGATGTGGTGCTCAGAAGAATGTGTATTCTGTTGATTTGGGGTGGAGAGCTCTGCAGATGTCTATTAGGTCCACTTGGTGCAGAGCTGAGTTCAATTACTGGATATCCTTGTTAACTTTCTGTCTCGTTGATCTGTCTAATGTTGACAGTGGGTTGTTAAAGTCTCCCATTATTATTGTATGGGAGTCTGTCTCTTGCAGGTCTCTAAGGACTTGTTTTATGAATCTGGGTGCTTCTGTATTGGGTACATATATGTCTAGGATAGTTAGTTCCTCTTGTTGAATTGATCCCTTTACCATTATGTAATGGCCTTCTTTGTCCCTTTTGATCTTTGTTGGCTTATAGTCTGTTTTATCAGAGACTAGCATTGCAACCCCTGCCTTTTTTTGTTTTCCATTTGCTTGGTAGATCTTCCTCCATCCTTTTATTTTGAGCCTATGTGTGTCTCTGCATGTGAGATGGGTTTCCTGAATACAGCACACTGATGGGTCTTGACTCTTTATCCAATTTTCCAGTCTGTGTCTTTTAATTGGAGCATTTAGCCCATTTACATTTTTAATATTGTTTTGTGTGAATTTGATCCTGTCATTATGATGTTAGCTGGTTATTTTGCTCATTAATTCATGCAGTTTCTTCCTAGCATCGATGGTCTTTACATTTTGGCATGATTTTGCAGCGGCTGGTACCCGTTGTTCCTTTCCATGTTTAGCGCTTCCTTCAGGAGCTCTTTTAGGGCAGGCCTGGTGGTGACAAAATCTCTCAGCATTTGCTTGTCTGTTAAGAATTTTATTTCTCCTTCACTTATGAAGCTTAGTTTGGCTGGATATGAAATTCTGGATTGAAAATTCTTTTCTTTAAGAATGTTGAATATTGGCCCCCACTCTCTTCTGGGTTGTAGAATTTCTGCTGAGAGATCCACTGTTAGTCTGATGGTCTTCCCTTTGTGGGTAACCCGACCTTTCTCTCTGGCTGCCCTTAACATTTTTTCCTTCATTTCAACTTTGGTGAATCTGACAATTATGTGTCTTGGAGTTGCTCTTCTCAAGGAGTATCTTTGTGGCATTCTCTGTATTTCCTGAATTTGAATATTGGCCTTCCTTGCTAGATTGGGGAAGTTCTCCTGGATAACATCCTGCAGAGTGTTTTCCAACTTGGTTCCATTCTTCCCGTCACTTTCAGGTACACCAATCAGATGTAGATTTGGTCTTTTCACATAGTCCCATATTTCTTGGAGGCTTTGTTCATTTCTTTTTATTCTTTTTTCTCTAAACTTCTCTTCTTGCTTCATTTCATTCATTTGATCTTCCATCACTGATACCCTTTCTTCCAGTTGATTGAATCAACTACTGAGGCTTGTGCTTTCATCACGTAGTTCTCTTGCCTTGGTTTTCACCTCCATCAGGTCCTTCAAGGAGTTCTCTGCATTGGTTACTCTAGTTAGCCATTTGTCTATTTTTTTCAAGGTTTTTAACTTCTTTGCCATGGGTTCAAACTTCCTCCTTTAGCTCAGATTAGTTTGATCATCTGAAGCCTTCTTCTCTCAACTCATCAAAGTCATTCTCCATCCAGCTTTGTTCCATTGCTGGCGAGGAGCTGCATTCCTTTGGAGGAGGAGAGGCACTCTGATTTTTAATTTCCAATTTTTCTGCTCTGTTTTTTCCCCATCTTTGTGGTTTTATCTACCTTTGGTCTTTGATGATGGTGACATACAGATGGGGTTTTGGTGTGGATGTCCTTTCTGTTTGTTAGTTTTCCTTCTAACAGTCAGGACCCTCAGCTGCAGGTCTCTTGGAGTTTGCTGGAGGTCCACTCCAGACCCTGTTTGCACGGAGGCTGCAGAACAGTGGATATTGGTGAACAGCAAATGTTGCTGCCTGATCTTTCCTCTGGAAGTTTTGTCTCAGAGGAGTACCTGGCCGTGTGAGGTGTCAGTCTGCTCCTACTGGGGGGTTCTTCCCAGTTAGGCTACTCGGGGGTCAGGGACCCACTTGAGGAGGCAGTCTGTCCATTCTCAGATCTGCAGCTGCATGTTGGGAGAACCACTACTCTCTTCAAAGCTGTCAGAGAGGGACATTTATATCTGCAGAGGTTTCTGCTGCCTTTTGTTTGGCAATGCCCTGTCCCCAGAGGTGGAATCTACAGAGGCAGGCAGGCCTCCTGGAGCTGCTGTGGGCTCCACCCAGTTCGAGCTTCCCAGCCACTTTGTTAACCTACTCAAGCCTCGGCAATGGCGGGCACCCCTCCCCCAGCCTCACTGCCACCTTGCAGTTTGATCTCAGACTGCTGTGCTTGCAGTGAGCCAGGCTCTGTGGGCATAGGACCCTCCGAGCCAGGCATGGGATATAATCTCCTGGTGTGTCGCTTGCCAGGACTGTTGGAAAAGCGCAGTATTCGGGTGGGAGTGACCGGATTTTCCAGGTGCTGTCCATCACCACTTCCCTTGGCTAGGAAAGGGAATTCCCTGACCCCTTGTGCTTCCTGGATGAGGTGATGCCTCACCCTGCTTCGCCTCATGCTCAGTGGGCTGCACCCACTGTCCTGCTGTCTGACAAGCCCGAGTGAGATGTACCCGGTACCTCAGTTGGAAATGCAGAAATCACTCATCTTCTGCGTCGCTCATGCTGGGATCTGTAGATTGGAGCTGTTCCGATTCGGCCATCTTGGAACACAGAGCCCCAGGAAATTTTTTTATTTTCTGGATTCAGGTGAATAATGACAAGACCCCACAATTTGAAAAGACGTTTACTGTTGTTCCTTGCACCAACTTTTTTCACCCATGAATTATTCTTGACCTCAGTGCTGAAAGAGTAAGTATGCAATAAGACTAAAAGGGCATAATGCATTCAATAAGAATGCTTTTTAATGAATGCCAGGTGCCCAGCACTATGATGGACATCATGGCACACACCAAAAAAGTGCAAAAGAAAATCTTATTTATTCTGAAATTAAAAGTATATAGGAATGGAGGACATACATGTGTGAAATAATTTGATAAGGCATGTCTGTGATTCTCAACCATGTTATTTACTCTACATAAAAATACATATTTCTGCACCTCCCATTTTACCTCTCCACTTTATCCTTATTTAACTTTAAACTAGATTTTCAACTTTAGGCTTGAAACATCATTTTTTTCTGGAAGACCTTATCTAGTTCCTCAGGGTAGATGTTACAACAGTATGTTAAAATACCTCTCTGAATTTTTATATTTTTTATTTTTGCAATTTTTTCAATGTCCATCTTCTGGTATAAGTGTATTCTACACAGCGACAGGGACTGTATTGACCATTGGAATACACCAGTGAATAGCACTTGTCATTAGTGAGTACATGAAGGTTTAAGAGATCATTTATGCCATTCCCCTTATTTAAGGGAGTCAACAAAAGTTAAATGATGTGTTGCACAGACAGGTGTAACAGACCCACCACTACAATCACAGCTACAGACCTTCTCCAGCTGTCCTTTCCACTCCAACATGATGCTTCCCCTGCATTATACAAGAGGATATAAGACAGAATGAGCAAAGGAGGATGTTTTCCAGGGGAGAAAAGAGTGAATAGGCAGGACTTATTTGGGAATTATGGGAGATCTTTGCTCTTTTTTAAAGCACTCAACATTTACACCAACAGATGAGCAAAGTACATTAAGTATAGTATGAAATGTACCAGTCATTTCCCACTAACATCTTCAATCAGAGTGTCCACAATCTTCCTTTAATACTTAAGTCAGACTCCATTTTTCATGGGAACACAATCTTGTTTCCCATTTATAAACAATTTTTTTCTCTAGACCTTGTGTTAAAATGATCCAAAAATTTCTCCATTACATATTTTTAAGCTCATTTAATACTTACATTTTATTCTACTTAAGAATAAAGAAACATATATTTGGTCAGATTTTTCTGGAAAAAATCAAGTTCTTTTTTAGAAAACAGACTTAATATATGTGAAAATTTGGATCATTTAAAAGTTGGAAATAACTAGAAATTAATAAAGAGAAAAATATGTGTTAAAATGTTGCAACTTCAAAGCAAACAGAAATTTTAGTTTTTCTTCTCGGCAGATCTGAATATTGCAAAAATATTTCAAGTTTGTAGAAATAATTAAAACATTCAAAAAGAAGTAACACAAATATTAATATCAGTTAATGAAGAGAATTTCAAAGAACTTCAAGGAAAAATTTCAAGAGCATACAATTTATGTAAATCATTGTCTTCTAAATACAGAAACAGTATGTGAATATCCTAAAACATTGTGAAAAGAAGTTATCTAAAAAGCAATTTGGAGGAAAGAGACTATTCCAATGAACATTTTGCAAACTGGGAAGATGCAACCTTCTGTGTAAAATAAAGGTGTGTTCCAGAGGACAAATGAAGGGTTTGGCTTTTATAGAGAAAGTTCCCACTCAGATTCCAAATTAGGTCCTTTTAAGCAAATAAAGGGTCCAGATTTACTTAATTCTGGTTGTTCAGCACAGTTGGGTTCTGATTGGAGGATGCACGCCACAGCCTATCTGTTGGTTTAGGTGATGTAAACAGGAATAGTCAGGTATAAAATTCTCAAAGTTAGGCAAGTGTGTGGATTTTCTGGTAACTCAGAGTAATGTGTGACCTCTATTTAGCAAATGGCCATTGGCTTCTTTTTAAAGTTATGCCCAGTTAGCCACCCAGGCTTTCTCATGAAGGATGGGTTCTTTCCAGTTCTCTGCTTTCAGGGACTCTCCATATCTTGCATAACTTTTCTTTTTGCTTGTTTTCTTTCTTCTCTTCTCAAAAACCTTTCATTAATGGCAATGCTTCATCCCTTAGGAAGAATGTCATATCACCGAGCACAGAAATTTCAGGCAGGAAGAGGTTTAGAATTTTAAATAATCAACAAGGAAATTTACATAACAGGAGAAGGAAGAAATTTAAGAGTCTAGTACTAAAAAGCTTCTCCTTCTAAACCCATAAAACGTTCACACCTATTTGCTATTTTGACCCAGAAGGGCTAAAAGAAACTAAATAAAACTACTCTACTTATGGAGTTAATCTAACAAAGTAATACGTATCTATTCTGAATTTTGAAGATAACCTTTTAGGTGATTTGATTTTCTGTTGGATAAATAAAACAAGCATGCTCCAATGTCACACAACACACAAAAGTGAATAAAAGGGAAAGTTAACATAGGCTGGAGATGAGTACTGGTGAGCGCTCTTGACAAGAGAAGCTCTTGATGAATTTTAATGTATGGATGGCACATTTTATTATTTTATGATGTCACTTAGACAAAAAATTAAAGCAGAATGGAGAGCTGAATTTGTGCTTGTTATGATGGAAATCAGAGAGATATGTTGGGGTGTAACTGTATATCATGAGAAGATTGCAATTATAGATGATGCAATGAAAGATGAAGCCGAAGCATGGTTGCTACATCTAACCTGAAGTGCATGATGACAATGCTAATTTTGTGGCCTCAAACATAATAAAAACCAGTGCATCCCTCACCTGCATGTTTACTCAGAAAGCATTTAGTGAAGGCTTACCATACTCAAAGCACTATAAAAATCTTCCTAGGAGAAACAGATATGGCACCAAGGGACAGTGACTGATTTCAGGTTCATGATATATTAGCTGCACCCTGGTTAGCATTATTCACTCTCCACAACCAGGAAATGTAGTTTGACAGTGGCCTTTCTGTTCAGTTTATTTATACTTTCTCATGTTCAATTTTTATTTTAATCAGTACAATTTTTTAAAGAAGCCTAACCAAAACTAAGAAAGAAGGGTATGGCTTTTTAGAAAGCAAAGACAAATAGCAGGTTAGGAATTAAAATGTCCACGTAGAATTTACTGATATATAAATCATTGTATTAGCCAAGATTCTTTTCATTGCAAATGACAAACCTTTGAATACATTTACTTTAGACCAAATGGAAAGTTTACTTGTCTGTAGAGCCCACAGGAATGGTTAAATAATATGAGCAGGGAAACCATGATAAAAAGAAATTTTGTGGCCAGGCGTGGTGGCTCATGCCTGTAATCCCAGCACTTTGGGAGGCCAAGATGGGCAGATCACAAAGTCAGGAGATCGAGATCATCCTGGCAATCATGGTGAAACCCCATCTCTACCAAAAATACAAACTACAAAAAAAATTAGCCACGCGTGGTGGTGGGTGCCTGTAGTCCCAGGTACTTGGGAGGCTGAGGAAGGAGAATGGCATGAACCCAAGAGGCAGAGCTTGCAGTGAGCTGAGATCGTGCCATTGCATTCTAGCCTGGGCGATTGAGCGAGACTCCAACTCCAAAAAAAAAAAAAAAGAAAGAAAGAAATTTTGTAAGGATTTGAACTGTGGACTCAAATGCCAACAATGCTGTCTGTATCTCTCTTTGATTGGTTTCTGTCAGAATACCAGCTCAATTTTTATCACACTCAGTATATTTATATTGTGGAAAATATAAACATTTATTGTTCACAATTTTATAGTCTATGACTTGAACAACCAAATAGATTTCTTCATTGGCCTCATGGATACTACACTTGCTAAAATAATCCCCTCTAGTAAATGTCATGGGCCACTTAGTGTATCGCAAAAATTCTCCAATAATAAAATACATAAATAAAAGTAATATTTTGGTTGTCATCTTAGTCCATTTGCACTGCCATACCAAAATACCACGGACTAGGTGACTTATAAACAAGTTTAAAAACTCACAATAAGTGACCAGATTTTTTTCTCTTAGACCAATGACTTGCAACCAAGTAAGAATGCAGTGTCTTTCACTGGAGCCTCTTGGTTGGAGCTGAGGGAGAAGCACTTTCTTAAAGAAGGGGTTGGAGGTGTGAAAAATAAAAACAACCTACTAGATTATGTGTTTGCAGAACAATATTCATCATGTTATTCAGTTCCTCTCATAAAAAGATTCAAATGATAAATGCTCATAATTTAAAACTGAAAAAGGACTTTTTTCCCCAAAGCTATTTTTATTGGGCAATAAAATGACAGAGCCCATTATTTTTCCTATTTTTGCTGTTGCTACCAGAAGCTTCAGAATTAAATCATAATATAACATCAATAACCAACTTGCATCAGGTTTATGGAAACCATTTCCACTATTTTCTATAAGGTTTTTAAATTTTTCTAATTTTTAAATTATTTCTGTGCCTTTAAAATGCTTTTGGATTACTTTCAGAAACAGATGAAGAAAAATAAGTAAGTAATTGACAAAGAACTCACAACATTGGCCTCATGGGTACTACACTTGCTAAAATAATCCCCTCTAGTAAATGTCATGGGCCACTTAGTGTACGGCAAAAATTCTCCAATAATAAAATAAAATGCATAAATAAAAAGAATATTTTGGTTGTCATCTTAGTCCATTTGGACTTCCATACCAAAATACCATGGACTAGGTGACTTATAAACAACATAAATTTACTTCTCACAGTTCATGATTTAAAATACAAATGTCATTAGGTCATAAACACAGTAGAATACCTTCAACCACTCAAGCTTAATTGGTATGTTCCATCTCACAGACAACATGCTTAAATACATTATTTAATATTAATTATTACAGACTGGTTTAAAATATAAAATCTTCAAGAAATACTTTAATTTCCCTTGGTGATGGAAAGTCTATCCCTCTGAAATATAACACCTTCCAATTTCCTGTCTCTCTACACAATGCAGCTGTGGGGATTTTTGAGAAAGTGACAAGAAATGTCTTCTTGTCCTTGTTGACAGGGTTTTATGGTGATTGAATAATATTTTCAGTTTAAATATGTAAAACACATATTACTTCAGTAAAATGCTTAGTACTTGAAACCTACCAGAAAAAATGAAGGTAATATAAATCAGTGCATAGCAGTTTGAGTTGAATTGTGATTTAAATTCTCCTGCTCTCTCATAGAGGAAAAACTGTGTAGACAGTAGTTTTACATGGACCTCATCCCAGTTTCACCATGTCTGATAACAAAACTAATGCAAAGATGCTTCTAGTCATAGGCCTGTGTCCTCTAAAAATAAGAAAAATTAATTGTGACTGTTCATCTTTCCAAGACACCCCATTCCTATGCTTCTGATATGGGTAAATATTTGTAAGAGTATTAGCAACAAAACATGAATAAGCCCCACCTCCACTCTCAAAGGTCTAAAGCTGGAAAGGAGTAGTGAAATTGAAAAGAGACTAAAATCTATTAAACATTTACTATAAACAAAACACTGTGTTAAGTGTTTGGATTATATATAATTCCTGAGTTTATAGAGACTGATTCTTGTAAAGAACATCATTATTTAAATTTAAAAATAAGTATAATAAATGTATAAATAAGAAATAAATATTATTATAAGTTTTTCTATCTGGGGTCAGTGAACTAAAGCTCATAGACAATCTCATCTACAAACCATTTTCATGTAGACCACAAACTAAGAACGGTTTATTAAATTTTTAAGAATTGCATTAAATGGTTATATGGGTACCTGCATAATATATTTGATTTTGCCTAATGGCTCACAAAGCCTAAAATACGTTCTATCTGGCCCTTTACAAAAATAGTTTATAGATCCTATTCTATAGAGATTTGACCTAGTCAGAATAGTAAATAGTATAGATGAATGACAAATTAAGAATATAAATAAAACATTTTATTAATATATTTTTATCAGTAATTTCATAGAAAAATATACACTCAGAATTAATGTGAAAATAGATTACTTAGTTATTTGGCATATGCAACTAAGTGGAAGGCCATATAGTATGCTGGATTCTTGTCGTGTGTGACGTGGGGTCTTGGATATTAGGCTTTTTGACATATATCTATTGCAGAAGCAATTTTTATGGAAATAAAGTATATTAGTCTGTGCTCACACTGTTATAAAGAAATACCTGAGACTGGGTAATTGATCAAGAAAATAGGTTTAATTAGTTCACAGTTCTGCAGGCTATACAGGAAGCATGGCAGCATCTTCAGGGCGGTGGGACTCTGGGCCTGGCCCACAAAACCATTCTTTCCTCCTAGGCCTCTGGGCCTATGATGGAAGGGGCTGCCAAAAGGTCTCTGAAATGCCTTTGAAACTTTTCCCCCATTGTCTTGGCTACTATAATTGGGTTCCTCTTTACTTATGCCAATTTCTGCAGCCTGCTTGAATTCCTTCTTGAAAAATCGGCTTTTATTTGCTACCATATGGCTAGGTTGCAAATTTTTCAAACTTTTATGTTCTGCTTCTCTTTTAAATATAAGTTCCAGTTTCAGATCATTTCTTTACTTCTGCATATGATCATAGGCTGTTAAAGGCAGCTAAGGCAAATCTTGATTGCTCTGTAAATTAGAAATATCTTCTGCCAGGTATCCTAAATTATTAATCTCAAGTTGTAAGTTTCACAGATCTCTAGAGCAGGGTACATTACTTCCAAGATTTTGCTAAAGAATAACAAAAGTGTTTTCTCCAGTTTCCAGTAAGTTCTTCATCTCCATCTGAGACCCCCTCAGCCTGGACTTCATTGTTCATATCACTATCAGTATTTTTGTCATAACAATTGAACAAGTCCTAGGAATTCCCAAGCTTTCTCTCATCTTCCTGCCTTTTTCTGAGCCCTTCACACACTATCAACCTCTGCCCAATAACCAGTTCCAAAGTCACTTTCACATTTTTACATATCTTTATAATTATGACCCACTCCTGATACTAATGTTCTGTATTAATCTGTATAAAAAATACCTGAAATGGGGTAATTTAAATAAAAGAGGTTTAATTGGTGCATGGTTCCACAGGTTATACAGGAAGCATGGCAGCATCTGTTTCTAGGGAGGCTTCAGGGAGTTTTTACTTATGGCAGAAGGCAAAGCTAAAGCAGGCATTTACACATGGCTGGAGCAGGAGAAAGAGAGAGTGGGGAGGGGCCGCATACTTAAAAAAAAAAAGATCTTGTGAGAACTGACTCACTATAGAGTACCAAGGGGGAATGGTGCTAAACCATTCAGGAAAACTGCTCCCATGATCCAATCATCTACCACTAGGCCCCACCTCCAGCATTGGGATTCCAACTCAACATGAGATTTGGGCAGGAAGACATATCCAAACCATATCATAGAGTTTTTCATAGAAGGCATCCCTGTAGCATGGGATGAAGTTCAATTTAAAAAAAAGGTTGAAATTATTGTAGAAAGCAAGGTAACTTACTTACTGTCTTACTAGAGAATCAGCAAAGCTCACAATGTCCTTGGAGGTTGGAATAGGAGACTGAGTTTTTGGATAGGCCTGCTGAAACATGACAGCAGGAGTGGTGGAGGAAGAACAGAGGTCTCTAGGGTTGCAATGAAAGAGATGTTTTGCTTTCTCTATATATCTTCTGATATAAAATAAAAATTTTGTCAGTGTAAAAAGAATCATATTATTAAGACTATCAATCACTAAAATAACAAAGAACAAAATCAACTATTGTGATATCACTGATGATATTTGGGAAAGTTCGTGTTTCTCTTTCACTTTTGAAGAATAACTTCATGAGTATGGAATTGTAGGTTGATGTTTGCTTTTACCTCTCAGTAAATTCATTTACTTTGAATATTTTCCTTCTCTCTAGTCTTACTCACATGATTTCTGAGCAGAAGTCAAATGCAGTTATTATATTTACATCACTATAGTTAAGATGTGTTTTATTCCTCTGTGTCCTTTCAGAATTGTCCTAAATCTCTGATTTTTCCTTAATTTGAAAATGATATGCTGAGGTGAACTTTTTTAGCATTAATCCTGGTTGGTGTTCTTTGAGCTTCTTAGATCTGTAGTTTGGTGTCTGACATTAATTTAGGAAAATTCTGTCATCATTATTTCAAATTTTTTTTCTGCTTTTTTTTCTCTCATCTCTGTCTGGAATTCCCATTATGCATATTTACACTTTCTGTAGTTGTCCCACTGATTTTGGATAATATATTCTGTTTTTTTTCAACCTTTGTTCCCTTTGCTTTTCAGTTTTGGAGGTTTCTATTGACAAATCTTCAACTCAGAGAGTCTTTCCCCAACTGTGTCCAGTCTAGTAATAAGCCCATCAGGGACATTCACAGTGTTTGTATCTCTAGCATTTCTCTTTGGTTCTTTCTTGGGATTTCAATCTCTCTGCTTATATTTCCCATCTGTTCTTGCATACTATCTGCTTTATCCATCATATCCCTTAATATATTAAACATAGTTCTTTTAGATTTCCTATCTGATAACTCTAAAATCCAGGCCATCTAGTTCTGGTGTTAGCTCTTTCTCTTTAAAGTGTTTTGTGTCTGGGAGTATGCCTTATAATTTTTCCTGAGAGCTGGACATGAAGTAGTGTATTAAGTAAACCACAGTAAATAGTTCTTTAGTATTGTGACAGTAAGGTTTTAGGAGATGAAACATTTTCTGTAGTTCTACAGTTAGATCTCAGTCTTATAGTGAGCCTGTGCTTCTGGACTGTAAGCCTTACAACTCTTTTTCCATTTTTTTTTCTCCCATCTTAGGTGAGGCAAGATGGTTAGAGTGGGCTGAAGTTTGGTATTTCCATTCTCCCTCATGACAAGGTAGAGCAGGCTGGAGTTGAGTATTTTATTCCCCCAGTTTAGTTAGCCTTTGCTCAAACTGCAGTAGGTTAGTATCTGGTTAACTAATTTATCCTGACAAGAGATTAAAACAACAACAACAACAACAACAGAGTGTTCTAGTATATTTCAAAGTGGTCTCTTTTTTTTCTTCCCCTGCTGGAAGCATGAGGAAATTTTTCTCCTATATTTACTGTGGCTAAGCTCCTGGAGGTAAAACTTAGAAAAGGGCGGTGTCTGTTCTGACTAGGTCACCCTGGATGTATTAACAGAGACATGTTCACACCTAGTCTCCAGCGAGTTATCAATCATAGTTCAGGGTTTCCTACCTTGACACTGGTTCCCATTAAGGCCTCTGTTTTAATATGTGGTGATTCTCTGTATTTGCCTGCTTGTGTCTTCTATTCTGGGCACAGTGGTTTGCTCTGTGGATCTAAGAAGAGTTGTTATTTACTTATTTTTTTGTTTGTTCAGTATTTTACTTTGTTTTTACAACAGAGTGGTGGCTTCCAAGCTTTTTCAATGTAGAATTGGACAGCAGAAGTCCCATATTATTTTCAAGTGCCCATGTAATAGATACCCAATTGAGCCATATTCTTATCATAGCACAAACTTTAATACATTTAAGGAATTGAAATCTTGCAGAATAATGTATATCGTAACAACAGTGGAATCTAACTAGAAATGAATAATAGAAGATTACAGAAAAATCTGAAGCACTTGGAAGCAGAACAGCACATCCTAAATAATCCATGGGTTTAAAAGGAAGCTTCCAAGGAAATCTAAAATCACACTGAACTGAATGAAAATGAAAATACAAATTATAAATTGTGAGATAGAGCTAAAACAGTGTTGAGAGAGAAATTTATAGCATTGAGTACATCTTTAATGAAAGAGAAAATGTATTCAATCAATTATCCAAGCTCCCATCTCAAGATCCTAGGGAAAAATAAACCACATGACACAGAACAAAAATAAAAAAGTTAAGAGAGAAAATTAAGAAAACATAAATACTAAAACAATAAAGAAACATGATGAAAAAATCTGATACAAATATCACTAAAACTTCCAAACCTCTAGAAAAACATAATAAAAAAGAGAGAAGACACAATATCAGAAATTAAAGAGAGGATATCACTACTGGCTCTATAGGCATCAAAAGAATAATACTAAGGATAGTAATGAACACATAAATACAAAAACTTAGTCAAAATAGATACCTACATTACACCTATATGATGTAGATTATTTCAACAGGGCTATGATTATTAAGAAAATTGAATTTATAATTTTCAATTTTTAAAGAAGTATCCAGGCCAAATTGGATTTGCTGGAAAATTCTATCAAACATTTAAAGAATTAACAATGTTACACAATTTCTACTAGAAAATAGAAGACTAAACACTCCACAATTTTAGGAATTTAATATTACTCTGATACCAACATCAGACAAAGACAGTACAAAGATAGAAAACACATATCAATATGCCTTATAAGAATGGACTCAACAGTCTCTCACAAAATATTAGTAAATGGAATTAGTAATATATAAAAAGACATTCACCATGAACAAGCAGGGATTTTTCCATGAATGTAAGCTTAGTTCCATATTTGAAAATCAATCAATATAATCCATAGTATAAACCAAAAAAGAGAAATTACATTACCGTAAGAAATAACGTAGAAAAAATTGACAAATTTAACACAAATTTGTGATAACTCTCAGAAAATAGAAATTGAGGGGAGCTACCTTAACACGATGAACAGTATCTACAGAAAGCCTGGAGCTTATGTTATGCTTGATGATATAACACTGTTTTTCCCCTAAGATATGGAATGTAGCAAGGATGTCTACTGTGAAATTCTTATTCATAATAGTGTTGGACAATCAATACAAAAGATAAGGAAATAAAAGTCCTACAGATGGGAAAAAAAGAAACAAAACTGTTCTCAATTTCAGATGGCATGCGTTTCTAGGAAGAAAATCTCAAGGAATATACAAATATAAATTATAGAACTAATATCTTATCTCCTGCAACCTTCAGTAAAGTCACCAGATATAAGATAAACATTTAGACATCATATTTAAATATATTAGCAATAAATACATGACATCAGTATTTAAAATGTGATATTACTTACAATCACTAAACAAAATTTGAAATAACTCTAAATCTAACAAACCATGTACAGGGCTTGTATGCAGATAAATACAAAATACTGATGAAGCAAGCAAGGAAGAACTACATAAATGGAAAGATATGTGTGTTTAGAGATTGAAGGAATCAACATATTGAAGATGTAAATTCTCCCTCAAGTTAACATACTGATTTAGCACAGTTCTCATCAAAATCCCAGCAATACTTTTTGACATATAGGTAATATTATTGTAAAATATATCTGTATAAGACAAAATATTAGAACAGCTGAAACAATTTTGGTGTGTAAAAATAAAGTGGGAGGAATCAGTCTATCTGGTTTTAAGACTGATTAGATAGTTGTAGTATCCAAGGCTGCATGAAATTTTTGAAGAGAGAGACACACAGATCAAGAGAAAGGATAGAAAACCAGAAATAGACTTATGCAAATTCTGCTCAAGTGATTTTTTTTTTTTTGCAAAAGTGAAAAGGAATTCAAAGGAAAAAAGATAACATTTTAAACAAATAGTGTAGGGGTGACTGGACATCCATGATGAAATAAATAAAAGAATTAATTTTTAGAAATTTTGCCTCACATTTTATACAGAATTAAAACAAAATGTATCATAGACTTAAATGTAAAATGTAACACTATAACATTTTAGATAAAAATTCATCTTCATGATATGAGATCAGGTGATGAGTTTTTTAATTTGACAACAAAAACAGGATTCATAAAGGAAAACTGATTATAATTTGACCTTATCAAAATTAAACAAATTTAATGTGAAAAATCCTGGCAAGAGGATGAAAATACAAGCCAGAGATGCGTAGAAATACTTAAAAAACACATATCTAACAAATGGGCTAGTTTATAGCATGTGTAAATAACTCTCAAACTCCCTAGCATAAAAAGAAACAATTCCTGCAGAGTGCAGTGGTTCACGCCTGTAATCCCAACACTCTGAGAGTCTGAAGCAGGCCGATCACTTGAGGTGAGGAGTTTAAGAGCAGCCTAGCCAACATGGCAAAAACCCTTCTCTACTAAAAATACAAAAATTAGCCAGGCATGGTGGCACATGCCTGTAATCCCAGCTATTCAGGATGCTGAGGGAGGAGAATCATTTGAACCCGGGAGGCGGGGGTCGCAGTGAGTCGAGATCGTGTCACAACACTCCAGCCTGGGCAACAGAATAAGTAGCTGGTGGAATTAAATTGTCAATCTTCTCCTAGTAAGAAAGTGATTGAAGGTGGTAACAGAAGAAATAATCTTGGGAGATAAACTGAAAATATTAACTGCTTTATGTTCTTAGTCAAAAATTCAGAATTTACGCAGCATGCTAATCCCTATAGATTTTCTGTTTGAACAAAAGTGACAATGATCTAATCTTTAACAATACTCAAAAATGTTACAAAACTCCTTTTATTCAAAAATCTACTTTGCAATTGTTTCTAAATGATTTCCAAAAATCCTGTCAGTCGTTAACAAGAGTAAATCTTAAATACACATAACTTTATACTATCTCCTTGCATTATGTTCTTTCGATTTGACATTCTGAGTGTCAGAATGATTTAACTTAACATAAATTACATCAGGAATATTTTTATATTGTACTTGGTTGTTTACATATTAATGACATTGACACAAAAAAATACTTGTTTTAATTCAATCTTTGTGAAAAGACATTACTCCAAAAGGATATTGACCTTCCACTTGCTATCTAGGGTGACGTCTGCAGTAAAGATTTGGGGAATGGCCATTTCCTTAAATGCTGGCTGGCCTTAATGCACCCTCAGATATTCTATGTCCCATAATAATAGCCAAGGTATGGGAATGGGATTTCTAATATGTAGGGTAAGAAAGGATGACAGGTCTGCTTTACTAGTAGGAGAATCTCATTTTGGGTAGTGGAGGATATAAAAGGAAAATTAATCCAGACATTAGAAACTTGGAAGATTTCATTATTGTAATGAAGCCAACATAGGAAATGTGCTACATTAATCCTGCTGAGGTTAAATATTTCTGAGAAAATGTGTGTATTTCAGGAAAAAATCTTCACTGAAAATACTTTAGAGTCATTTCTTAATTGTGCCTCTTCTCATCCATTAGATGGGAGTGAATATTTAATTCATTTAATGGATTAAAGTACCAATACCAGTAAAATACCAATAATCTATATTAGGGATTTTAAAAAGTGGATAGTAAAGTTCATATGTAAAAACAGATAAGAAGAGCTCAGAAAACACTGTAAGAGAAATCTGTGAAGGGGGATTTGCCCTAAAAGGTAAAAACAAACCAATACAAAATCTGTATAATAAAGCCAGTGTGGTATCAGAGCAGAAATAAACAGACCAGTGGAATAGAATAGGAAGTCTGTAAATAGGCTTATGTGCATATGTCACTTTTTTTATAAGGGATAAGTGGCATTTCAAATCACTAACATAAAGATGAGCATTTAATAAAGGGTGCTGGAGCAACTGGGTAGCCATTTAGAAAATGATAAGGTTAGATGTACATCTAACATCATAGACAACAATAAGCTCCAAATGGATGAGGAATAAAATGTAAATTAAAATCATAAAAGTGTGAGGAAAAAAAGATGGGTGGATTTGTCTCTGAACTTGGTATAGGGAAAATGTTCCTAAGGATAACTCAAAATCAGAAGCAATCAAATAAAAGATTAATGTATTTTACTACATAAAACTATTTAAAATGCATGCCCCAAAGACCGCAAGAACAGTCAAAAGATAACTGAAAAACAGAAAGTATATGTAACATACACCATGGTTGAAGGGCTAACATCACCATTATATAAGGAATTCCTAAATGTTAAGGGACAGAGTAGTAAAACTTAGAAAAATGGAAAACCAAATATTATCAGACAAATGATAAATAAATATTTTAAAATAACCTTCAAAAAGGTAAAAAGTAAAAACTAAATCATAGTAAGGAAAATGTTATTTAAAACAAACTAAGATACTATTTTCTATTTATTATATAGGTGAAAATTTAAAGTGTCCTGTTGGTGAGTCTGGAGAAACAGGTACTCTCACATATTGCTGGTAGAAATGATCATCAGTCTAAAAGTGTAAAAGGGACATTTGAATACACACACATACATGTATTTCTCTCTTCTCTCTTTCTCTCAATGATAGATAGATAGAGAGATAGATAGATAGACAGATAGATGAATGATAGATCTATATTCTTGCTTTCTGACCAGGAATCCCACTTCTAGGAATCTACCTTAAAGACATACCCCAGTAATACGGAAATACATAAGCCTAAGATCATTTGTGTTTTATTCACAATCACAAAATATTAAAGACAACCTAAATGACCATACTTAGGAGAGTGGTTGAATAAATTATGGCACATCTACACAAAAGAGTTTTTGGCATGAGGGCAAGCTCTACGCACTGAGCCGGGTCCATGTATAGGATATGTTATTAAGTGAAAAAAGTAAAATGCAAAAGAATGTTTGCAGTATGCTACCTCTCATGTAAAAAAAAGGAGTTTATATATTTATATGGTTCCATTTATGTGAAGTGTTCAAATTAGTCACACTGACAGAATAAGTAGATTTGTAGTTACCTAGAGCTGGAGTGGAGGGGATGGGGAGTGGATGTTAAATGGCTACAAGGCCATTTTGGGGGAAGATGAACATGTTCTAATTAGATCATAGGGATGCTTAGACAACTCTGCTAATACACCAAAATCCACTGAATTGTATAGACTTTGCAGAAGTAAAGTTCATGACATGTAGATTATATAGTACTAATAAATGTTCTAAAATTTAGAAAAAACAGAGGATTTAAGAAAACATATATGTATCAGATTTTTTGTGCCAAAAAATATAGGGAGGAAAAATCACACTTTAAAGAGATTGATTACCTATTGAGGGGATGGAAATATAGGAGAAGAGTGAAAACAAAGGGAGAAATAAATATAGAATATTAGGAATGAAAAGAAACTATCACACTTCTGAATATACATGGGATATGGGATATAGTTTGGATCTTTGTCTTCATCCAAATTTCATGTTGAATTTTCACCCCTAATGCTGGAGGTAGGACCTGGTGGGAGGTGTTTGGATCATGGAGGTGGAGCCCTCATGGCGTGATGCTGTCTTCATGATAGTGACTGAGTTCTCATGGGATCTAGTGGTTCAAAAGTGTGTGGCACTGCCTTCCCTACCACACTCTCTCTCTCTCTTGCTCTTGCTCCTGCTCTTTCCATGTGACATGCCTGTTCCCGCTTTGCCTTCTGCCATGATTGTAAGCCCCCTGAGGCCTCCCAGAAGCAGAAGCCGCTATGCATCCAGTGGGGCTTGTAGAACCATGAGTCAATCAAACCTCTTTTCTTATAATTTACTCAGTCTCAGGCATTTCTTTATAGCAATACGGTAATAGACTAGTACAATATGTTTGTATATTTTTGACTTGTAGAACTATAGTAGTTGTTCACATACTTGAAAAATAAAAGAATAAATAAAATCAACCACAATATGTGGGAAGTACAAAATCAAATACAAATATTAAAAATGAAACTAGCTGTATTACAAACGAAAAACATAAGCACACAAAAATTTGGGAAAAAGTGAACTAACCTAAATAATTTCAGGAAGCAATAGTTTTTGACTGGATATTCTAATGCTAAAGATGAAAATAATTATAAATAAATATTGAGCTCTAGTTAGTAAAGTTGTTTCTCAGAGGGTTATGTGTAGGTGATTCTGAAACCATGTGTAGACTAGGATTAATCAAAGAATAAATGTATTGGAAGTAATTAGAGCTAAGTGTCTCAATATTGAAGAAAGAATTAAAAGAAAGGGAAGGTTAGAAAAAACACTATTTTGGTGGAATGGCATTATAGTTGTCAGTATGAACTCTTGGTTTATAATATACACATACATAGGTAGATATAGAAATAAATATAGCTGTATAACAATGTGTGGATTAGTATTTATATCTCTGTTTCTATCTACTGAATCTATTTCTCTATCTCTATATCTATCTTTCTATCTATCTACATATAATCTATCTATTTCCTAGGTCTATATGCTAAAAGGGCCTAGGAAAATGATGTCCTGGTAGCAATGAGGACACCAAACAGAGAGCTCTTTGTTTCTAAGTATCATTCTCCACTTCAAAATGAAGAAACAACAACAATAAACCAGAGATTTGTGGAGAAGTGGTTGATCTAGACCTAGCACTAGGAAAGTATGAGATGAGCCTGGAAATTAATTGTTCATAAAGAATAAGGAAATGTCAAAACCTGACAGAGATCCCATTGGCCAAACCAGGCACAATCTGAGCAACAAAATAAGTACTGACAGTGTTGGATTATAACTCATAAAATAGAGGTCCATGAATTGGTCATAACTTAACTAAATAATGGAATAAATGAATAATTCATCCTACAAAAGAATTCTAACTAATACATATAGAAGGCACAAGGGAGATACAGAAATCATCATTAAGTAATCATTAATGCAGGCAAGATCCACTGCTGAATGCTAATGTGAGTAAACAGAAGTATGAGGAAAAGCAAAATATTTGAATAGTCTCAAAGTACCTATCTCAAGATATGTATTAGTTACACAAGGGGAAAAATAGTAACTTTAGGCTGGGCATGGTGGCTCATGCCTGTAATCCCAGCACTTTGGGAGGCCAAGGTGGACAGATCACCTGAGGCCAGGAGTTTGAGACCAGCCTGGCAAAGATGGTGAAACCCCGTCTCTACTAAAAAAATGAAAATTAGCAGGGCATGGTTGTGCAAACCTGTAATCCCAGGTACTTGAGAGGTTGAGGTAGGCGAATCACTCAAACCCAGGAGGTGAAGGCTGCAGTGAGCTGAGATCATGCCACTGCACCCCAGCCTGGGTGACACAGTGAGACTCCATCTCAAAAAACAAAGTAACTTTATAGTAGAGAAATACAGCAAACAAAACTTATAAGCAAGTAATGATGCTTAACATCACCAGTAACAAAACATCTATATTTCACAAATCCTAATATGGTACACTGAAAAGGGAACACCTCTGTTGTATTCTCATATCATCATCCCAACCACAAGTAAATAAATAAAAGCAAGAAGCATAACCTCAATATAATCATGAGAAAACATCAGAGAAACCCAAACTGAGAGACATTTTACAAAATAACTGAGGAGTACACATAAAATGAGTCAAGTCATAAAAAGACAAGAAAAAACCTGGAGATTGTGTCAGAAATTGGATAAGACTAAGGAGACACTACTAAACACAACATGGGGTATTGATTTATATCCTGAAACATGAGAAGATCTTAGTGGAAAAAGTGGTAAAATTCAAATAAGACATTGCAGTGGGATAATTAAGGAATCAGAGAGACCGAGGGGTTGAGGAGGAATTATTTAATTATTTATGTGCAACAACTCAGTTGGATTAACATCCAAAGGACTGAGCCCCAAACAAAGAGTCCGGTTACCTTTTAAGCATTTTGGGGTGGTGGTGGTGGGAGATCTGTGCAGGGGGAAGCATATTACAGAAGTGAGAAACAAAGACAGTTATTCAATTAAGACATGCATTACATCATTTCTTACTTTTCAAGGAATAGCATGTTTTACGACTTGAGTTTATCTGCCTAGTGACCTTGCAGCTGCACAGCTAGAGAAACAAGGTCTTCACAATGCCTGGGAAGGGGAGAGATAAGGCTCACTAGCCACAGAAAAGCAGGCAGTTAATTTTAAAGGACTCCAGCTCTTTCTCTTCTTCAGGGGGAATTGGGTTTTCTTACATACAACTGAGTTTTTGCTTACATTCTTTAATTTGTTTTAATTCCTGTTCCAACATGTTACTTGGTCAATACTGCTGAACCAATTTAATTTTCCTAAATGTATCTTTGTTATGTAAGTTGCTACCATGAGGAGCAGTGAGGTGAGGGGTACACATGAATTCTCCTTATTAACTTTGCAACTTTTCTGTAAACATAATATTATTTCAAAATAATAATAATAAGAAGAATGAGGTGCTTTTTACATTTTGGAGATTCAAAAGTTGAGCAAAGAAAAGGGAATGCAAACTGCCCAAGCTGAAACAGTTGTCCATCCGTGATTTAAAATCCAAAAGCCTGAATTCAAAAGCCATTGTCCTAAAACATTCACACAATGTTTAGAATGATGAAGGCACTCAATAACTGAAGGCATTTATAAATTCCAATACCTCAAACTACATAGAAATTTCATATGAACCGGAGAGCAGTTTTCACTGGGTGTCAGTGGAAATGCAGTGAGAGGTTTTGTGGTGGTCCAAAATTACTTGAAGCATTGGCAGTGGGAAAGGGTCAAGAATGTGAATAGCTCTTCAGAGCATGGAAAGATGAGCATAACAACAATAAACACATCTAAAGACCAATTGTGAATTGTGAATCACCAACTGGGGAACACTGAGGAACCAAGAAAGGCATTCTAAATCTGAAAAAGTTGAGTTTGTTTATTAGATCAACACAGACAAATATGTGTAGTGTTTCCAAAGGTAGACTAGCAAGGTGCTGTCTTCTTGCTGAACTTTAAAGCTAATTGTCAGATGCTAAAGTTTGGAGTATATAATTTGTATTCAATTTAGTTACATGTTTGGAGAAAAGATTGTCAATTATTATGATTATTCCTTAGTATTTAATAAAATAATAGGTGATACTTTTATTTGGCCCATATTTGTATATTAAAATTAGACATCTATAATTGAATCAGACCTCAAACCTATATTTTGATTATTTAATCTAAATGTTTTCCAATCGGAAAATGTTACTTTTTCTTCTCATCTTATAGCACATGGAAAAAGCACCACACTACCCTGACAAAGACGAGAAAAGGAACTCAAGGTGCCTCAGTGATGCAGAATGTTATCTTCATGCAATCAGGTTCCCTTCGCAGGTGTGCTGTTTGTGGGATTCACTGTCAGCTCCCATTAATTGTATCTCCTATATTCCTTGTAGATGGTTCCCTCAATGGTGACAGCTTGTTTTAGCAGTAGTCCTATTAACAGCGACTCTCACAAGAAATATCCTCTTCAATTGAAATGGCTTCCATTCAGAACAACTCTTAGTTTTGGCATTCTGTTCTATCCATAATGAATATAGCTTTCCCCAACTAGCACTCCAAGCAACATGTGTCATATCTCCAGTGTCTCTCACCTCCTTACACATGCCTAATTTCTTCACAGTTAACTCTCGCTACTCCAAATGGATACTGTAGAGTCTTTTAGAAATGCAGAATCTCAGGCTCTATGCTAGATTTGCTAAATCAGAGACTGCATTTTAACAAGATCCCCACATGATTTATTTGACCATCAGTTTAAGATGCACTGACCTAGGTGAATCAGTGTGGCAGTTTTAGTACCATATTCAAAGGCCAGCTCATATTGGGGTCCCTGAAAAGTTTTTCAGCGACAGCCTGCTGCAAAACTTCTACAAACTATGCAGAAAGACTCTAGACTAACCAGATATTCAAAAAAATGTTCTAATCAAAATTCCTTACATGTCATTTAAAACTTGATTTTTAGGCCATTATGTAAATACCTATGATTTTACTTTTTGTAAAAAAATTCTGAAAGATGCCATCACAAAATGTGTTTGCTTGCACTAGACAATAAGCTCTTTCAAGACCAGTGTACATGAGTTACTGAGATAGCTGAATATAAAATACTGATTTGGAAGGACCTTCAAAGATTTTGTTATATATTGCTTCCACTTTCTGAAGATGTTTTAATACTTAGTGGGCATTTGGAAAAGACCTTCAAATAGTCACCTCACTCAATTATTAATTATTTAATGTACACAACAGATTTACTTCCAGTCAGCCATGCTTTTATTATCTCCTTAAAAATATTATTCTATATTATCCAGAATATTTGATTCTTCTCATAGACATATTTTAAATCTTTAAGACTGTGAATTCAATTGAAGTCTATCCAATTGGAATAATAATTAGGATTTCTCCTTAAGAAACTTACGCATGAGAGGTGGAGCCAAGATGGCTGAATAGGAACAACTCTAGTCTATAACTCCCAGCATGAGTGACACAGAAGACGGGTGATTTCTGCATTTCCAATTGAGGTACTAGGTTCATCTCACTGGGGAGTGTTGGAAAGTGGGTGCAGGATATTGGGTGGAGTGCACTGAGCATGAGCCAAAGGCATTGCCTCAGCCAGGAAGTGCAAGGGGTCAGGGAATTCCCATTCCTATTCAAAGAAAGGGGTGACAGATGGCACCTGGAAAATTGGGTCACTCCCATCCCAATATTACACTTTTCCAGCAGTCTTATCAAATGGCACACCAGGAGATTATATCCTGTGCCTGGCTCAGAGGGTCCTACGCCCATGGAGCCTCATTCATTGAGAGCACAGCAGTCTGAGATCAAACTACAAGGTGGCAGCGACACTGGGGGAGGGGTGCCCACAATTGCTGAGGCTTGAGTAGGTAAACAAAGGGCCAGGAAACTCGAATTGGGTGGAGCCCATCACAGCTCAAGGAGGCCAGCCTGCCTCTGTAGCCTCCACCTCTGGGGGCAGGGCATTGCCAAACAAAAGGCAGCAGAATCCTCTGCAACTTAAATGTCCCTGTCTGACAGTTTTGAAGAGAGTAGTGGTTCTCTCAGCATGCAGCTGGAAATCAGAGAATGGACAGACTGCCTCCTCAAGTGGGTCCCTGACCCCCAAGTAACCTAACTGGGAGGCACCCCCCAGTAGGGGCAGACTGACACTTCACACAGCCGGTTACTCCTCTGAGACAAAACTTCCAGAGGAATGATCAGGCAGCAACATTTGCTGTTCACCAATATCCGCTGTTCTGCAGCCTCTGCTACTGATATCCAGGCAAACAGAGTCTGGAGTGGACGTCCAGCAAACTCCAAGAGACCTGCAGCTGAGGGTCCTGAATGTTAGAATGAAAACTAACAAACAGAAAAGACATCCACACCAAAACCCCATCTGTACATCACCATCATCAAAGACCAAAGGTAGATAAAAGCACAAAGATGGGGAAAAAACAGAGGAGAAAAACTGGAAACTCTAAAAATCGAGTGCCTCTCCTCCTCCAAAGGAACACAGCTCCTCACCAGCAATGGAACAAAGTTGGATGGAGAATGACTTTGACGAATTGAGAGAAGAAGGCTTCAGATGATCAAACTACTTTGAGCAAAAGGAGGAAGTTCAAACCCACCAGGAAGAAGTTAAAAACCTTGAAAAAAAATTAGACAAATGGCTAACTAGAATAACCAAGGCAGAGACGTCCTTAAATGACCTGATGGAGCTGAAAACCAAGGCAAGAGAACTACGTGAAGAATGCACAAGCCTCAGTAGCCAATTCGATCAACTGGAAGAAAGGGTATCAGTGATGAAAGATCAAATGAATGAAATGAAACAAGAAGAGAAGTTTAGAGAAAAAAGAATAAAAAGAAATGAACAAAGCCTCCAAGAAATATGGGACTATGTCAAAAGACCAAATCTACATCTGATTGGTGTACCTGAAAGTGACGGGAAGAATAGAACCAAGTTGGAAAACACTCTGCAGGATATTATCCAGGAGAACTTCCCCAATCTAGCAAGGCAGGCCAACATTCACATTCAGGAAATACAGAGAATGCCACAAAGATACTCCTCGAGAAAGACAACTCCAAGACACATAATTGTCAGATTCACCAAAGTTGAAATGAAGGAAAAAATGTTAACGGCAGACAGAGAGAAAGGTCAGGTTACCCACAAAGGGAAGACCATCAGACTAACAGCTGATCTCTCAGCAGAAACTCTACAAGCCAGAAGATAGTGGGGGCCAATATTCAACATTCTTAAAGAAAAGAATTTTCAACCCAGAATTTCATATCCAGCCAAACTAAGCTTCATAAGTGAAGGAGAAATAAAACCCTTTACAGACAAGCAAACGCTGAGAGATTTTGTCACCACCAGGCCTGCCCTAAAAGAGCTCGTGAAGGAAGCACTAAACATGCAAATGAACAACTGGTAGCAGCCACTGCAAAAACATGCCAAATTGTAAAGACCATCAAGGCCAGGAAGAAACTGCATGAACTAATGAGCAAAATAACCAGCTAACATCATAATGGTTATTTTATTGGATCAAATTCACACATAACAATATTAACCTTAAATGTAAATGGGCTAAATGCTCCAATGAAAAGGCACAGACTGACAAATTGGATAAAGAGTCAAGACCCATCAGTGTGCTGTATTCAGGAAATGCAACTCACATGCAGAGATAACACATAGGCTCAAAATAAAGGGATGGAAGAAGATCTACCAAGCAAGTGGAATACAAAAAATGGCAGGGGTTGCAATCCTAGTCTCTCATAAAACAGACTTTAAACCAACAAAGATCAAAAGAGACAAAGAAGGCCATTACATAATGGTAAAGGGATCAATTCAACAAGAAGACCTAACTATCCTAAATATATATGCACCCAATACAGGAGCACTCAGATTCATAAAGCAAGTCCTTAGAGACTTAGACTCCCACACAATAATAATGGGAGACTTTAACACTCACTGTCAACATTAGACAGATCAATGAGACAGAAAGTTAACAATGATATCCAGTAATTGAACTCAGCTCTCCACCAAGTGGACCTAATAGACATCTACAGAACTCTGCACCCCAAATCAACAGAATATACATTCATCTCAGCACCACCTCACACTTATTCCAAAATTGACCACATAGTTGGAAGTAAAGCACCCCTCAGCAAATGTAAAAGAACAGAAATTATAAAAAACTGTCTCTCAGACCACAGTGCAATCAAATTAGAACTCAGGATTAAGAAACTCACTCAAAACCACTCAACTACATGGAAACTGAACAACCTGCTCCTGAATGACTACTGGGTACATAACGAAATGAAGGCAGAAATAAAGATGTTCTTTGAAACCAACAAGAACAAAGACACAACATACCAGAATCTCTGGGACACATTCAAAGCAGTGTGTAGAGGGAAATTTATAGCACTAAATGTCCAAAAGAGAAAGCAGGAAAGATCTAAAATTGACACCCTAACAACATCATTAAACGAACTAGAGAAGCAAGAGCAAACACATTCAAAAGCTAGCAGAAGGCAAGAAATAACTAAGATCAGAGCAGAACTGAAAGAAATAGAGATGCAAAAAACCCTTCAAAAAATCAGGGAATCCCAGAGCTGGTTTTTTGAAAAGATCAAAAAAATTGATAGACCACTAGCAAGACTAATAAAGAAAAAAAGAGAGAAGAATCAAATAGATGCATTAAAAAATGATAAAGGGGATATCACCACCAATCCCACAGAAATACAAACTACCATCGGAGAATAACATAAACACCTCTATGCAAATAAACTAGAAAATCTAGAAGAAATGGATAAATTCCTCAACACATACACCCTCCCAAGTCT
The DNA here is from genome assembly GCF_000001405.40 of Homo sapiens. Lineage (NCBI taxonomy): Eukaryota > Metazoa > Chordata > Mammalia > Primates > Hominidae > Homo > Homo sapiens. The sequence continues at coordinate 43,483,485 of NC_000008.11, forward strand.
AAACCAGCAAGAAGTTGAATCCCTGAATAGACCAATAACAGGCTCTCAAATTGAGGCAAAAATTAGTAGCTTACCAACCAGAAAAAGTCCAGGACTAGATGGATTCACAGCTGAATTCTACCAGAGGTACAACGAGGAGATGGTAGCATTCCTTCTGAAACTATTCCAATCATTAGAAAAAGAGGGTATCCTCCCTAACTCATTTTATGAGGTCAGCATCATCCTGATACCAAAGCCTGATAGAGACACAACAAAAAAAGAGAATTTTAGACCAATATCCCTGATGAACATCGATGCAAAAATCCTCAATAAAATACAGGAAACCGAATCCAGCAGCACATCAAAAAGCTTATCCACCATGATCAAGTGGGCTTCATCCCTGCGATGCAAGGCTGGTTCAACATACAGAAATCAATAAACATAATCCAGCATATAAACAGAACCAATGACAAAAACCATATGATTATCTCAATAGATGCAGAAAAGGCATTTGACAAAATTCAATAACTCTTCATGCTAAAAACTCTCAATAAATTAGTAGGTATTGATGGGACATATCTCAAAATAATAAGAGCTATCTATGACAAACCCACAGCCAATATCATACTGAATGGGCAAAAACTGGAGGCATTCCCTTTGAAAACTGGCACAAGACAGGGATGCCCTCTCTCACCACTCCTATTCAACATAGTGTTGGAAGTTCTGGCCGGGGCAATCAGGCAGGAGAAGGAAATAAAGGGTATTCAATTTGGAAAGAGGAAGCCAAATTGTCCCTGTTTGCAGATGACATGATTGTATATCTAGAAAACCCCATTGTCTCAGCCCAAAATCTCCTTAAGCTGATAGGCAACTTCAGCAATG